>NC_000009.12:74470552-75095552 GCF_000001405.40 Homo sapiens
TTAGGTACTATGACAGAGATTATATCAGAGCTGAATTTTTATGGAAAAGTATAATTTGAATATTTTGATATGGGAAGAAAAAATATCCAGTACTACAAAAATATACAAAGAGAAAAGGAACAGAGACAGGAAATCATTGTACATGCACAAGAAAGAGTATGTAGAAGAGTTTGACTAGATCTATAGCACTCAAAGAAAATCAGTCAGACATAGGCTTAGAATGGTAGGTCTTCATAAAAAAGCTTAAACAGAGATAATGAATTTGGGATTTATTCAGGAGCCATGGGAAGCATTTTGAAGTTTTAAATGAGTACATATTGCAGTCAAATTAATTGGAGGACAAATTAATTAAAATGTGAATACAAATAATTACCAGTGAAATGATTAGTCCAGTGGCCCTAGTAAAAGGTATTGATATCTGAATTAGTGTATTTGCGGAAAGAATAGAAAGGAAAGAACAGCTGCAAGATAGTCATGGTCTACAGATGCTTCAGAATCTGGCAACCTTTTGGTTTTGGTGTAAAAAAAAGAGGAGAGAAATCAAAGTCTATGGTTTTAATTGTAGCTAATAATAGATATTCAATTTCATCAAGAGACGGGAAGCTAAGGAAGAAGAGGAGTGATGAAGGTAAGTTGATCAATTCACAATAGGATGGTTGGCATTTGTGACGGTGATGGGCTACAAGAGCTAAGGTGCCAACGAAGTTGGAAATGAAAGCACTCAGATGAGGAACAGAAGTGGAGGTAAAGAATTGGGAGTCACCTTCATTGCTGAGCTGTCAAATTAGATGAGCTTTATCAGACAGAAAATAAGGGAGAAGATAAAAGAGGTAAGGATCGGCCTTTGAAAAGCATTATATTTAGGACTGAGAGGAAGAAGAGCACCAAAAAGGAGTAATTGATGAAGCAGGAATAAAATCAAGGAAATTTGGTGCAACCCCAAAATCATAGAGTTCCATTCAAATGATGCAGTTTTCCTTCATCTTTTGCAATTTTTTTAAAATTAGAGCTTTATGTAATTGGAGTAAACACTTCCCCCAAGATAATGCCATTTAAATTTTTTTCTAAACATAAGAATTATATCCTGAGGTAGCTTAAATCTGGAAAATTCAACAGAAGGAATTTGACTCCATAAAGTATGCTTCAGTCTCGATAGTCATAAATATTACTCCAATTATGAATTAAAATTTTTCAAAAGAAACTAAATTAAATCACAGTATATTTAGTGTAACTTTTGAAAAATGCAGCACTTCTGTGTAATATGATACTATTGTTTCTCCACTAATTCATTTTCTATATCATTTGGGACAGATAAGTACACTTTCCTTGCAATCTGACTATTTTGCTTCTGTTTGTACATGTTGCCTTCAGATTTTCTTCACTTCTAAAACTCTATTATCATTTGGCATTAGGGGAATCATTTTTATTAATATTTTTCCCTTAACAGTCTATTTTTTCATGCTTAATTTCTAACATACATTTTTAAAAACTTAAAAAGGACCATTGGTAGTAATTGATTGGTTATTACAGTGACCTGAAATCTTCAAAATCCATGAGCAAATGAGAACCAATAGGCTTATATGAATATTAAAAGATTTTTCTATTTACCTCTCCCAACCAAGTCCCTCACAGTGATTTTTTGTCACTTTTTGTGACACACTTGGGCTCTCTTGTTCTTTCCTTCTACTCTCCTCCATTGCCTATAACTCTGCTTTTGAGTCACACGCTTCTACTGCCCTGTGTTGATGCCTTCAATTAAAGCAAGGCTTTCTGGTGCATGAACTTTAAGTTATCAAAAACAGAAATGTAGTAGGGCTCTCCACAAAGACAAAACCAATAGAATATATATATAAGTAGATAAGAGAGGATTAATTAGGAAAATTGGCTCACACAATTATGGAGACTGAGAAATCCCTCAATAAGATGTCTGCAAGTTGGAGAACCAGTGACTCTGGAGTGTGGCTCAGTTCAAGCCCAAAGGCCTCAGAACCAGTGAAGCTGATGGTGTAACTCTTTGCCCCAGGCCAAAGGATGAGAATCCAGAGGTGTGGGAGGTGGGTAGTGGTGAAAGTCCTAGAATCCAAAGGCTAGAGAACCTAGAGTTCTGATGCCCAAGGGCAGGAGAAGGATGTCCCAGCTCCAGGAGAGAGAGAGAAAATTCACCTTTCATCTGCCTTTTTGTTCTATCTGGCTCCAGCAATTGAATGATGCTCACTCACATTGAGGGTGATCTTACCCACTCCACCCACCAAATCACATGCCAGTCTCCTTCAAAAATACCCTCACAGACACACCCAGAAATAATGGTTTACCAGCTGTCTAGGTATTCCATAATCCAGTTAAATTGACACTAAAAAATTAGCCATCACAAATGGTATGTTCCTTTCGATCATGCATGCACCAAAATCAAATTATATTCCACAGAAATAGTGAGAATGCCTATGCAGCTCCCACACTGTCTATCAAACAGGGCTGGAGAATAGATAATGTTTTCCCCATCTCTCTCCTAAGGTGTCCATTTCAAAATGCCCTCCATAAAGTCTCTCTTTATTCTAATGCAAATTAAATCATTTAAATGCGTGCCTATGATAACGCACATTTCAGCTATTTATTAGATTCATTAGACCGTGATTTCCAGTTCAGACCAAGCTAGTCATCTTAATATGGAGAGAGATATAAACAAACATAGTTACATAAAAATGATAATATAGATATAGATGATACAGATATAGATCTAGAGATAGTTACATATCAATAATCATTTTTATTTTGATACCAATTACCTATATCTTAATGTAAGATCCTATATACACAATAAAAGTATCGATTTAGCTTCAACGTTGTAATAGTTACTTTTTCCTGCATAAAAAACACCTCAGAACTTAACGGCTTACAGTCATTTATTTAGCTTACAATTCTGCAAGTTGGCAATTTGGGCTAGGTTTAGCTGGAAGTGTCTTGTAGGCTTAGCTGAAATGGCTCATCTGTACTCAAGTGGGCCTGTACAGACCAATTCACAGAGTAACCACAGAGATCTGAAAAAGAAAGGGGAAGACCTCCAATGATCTAAGCTCAAAACTCGCACATCAACACTACTACCATATACCTTGTCCAACGCAAGTGACGATGCCAGTCCGAATTCAAAGGATAGGGAGGCAGACTCCACCTTTTTATGGAAGGAGATACAATGTCATATTTTAAAGCTTTTGGACCTGGGACTAGAGGACGTTTTTTAAGCTGTTAAATAAAAACTGATTGAAACAAACAATAGGACATGCAAGTTCACATGACAGCCCTCTCCCCAGGAGTGTCTATGCTATACAATAAACAGTGAAGATTCTGAAAGACATTTCAGGACAGTATCTGGCAAAAAGAAGGCATTCAAACCTATTTGTCAAATAAATAAATGATTTGATAAAATGAATTTTCGTGGCAACTAAAAAATGGTTAACTCCTAGCATATTCTGAAAAACTATCACATCCTCCAGATGCCTATCATTAACTTAAACAAAATATATTAATTTTTCTAAGTTACAAGAGTTTAGAAATATAGTTTTTCAAAAGGCAAATGATACATAATAAGTCCTCACTTAACATCATAGATAGGATCTTGAAACTGTGACTTTAAGCAGAATGATGTGTAACAAAATCAATACTTTTCTCATCAATGTTATCACAAAATAATGTTAATTGAGGGCAGCAGTAGCTTATTTCACTTATAGTCTTGGTTTCTAAAGTCCTATTTTGACATTGAGTGAAGATTTACTGTACCAAAATGAATAGAGCATCTTGCATTTGCTAAAGAGAAATGGAATTACAGTAGCCTCAGACCCTCTTGAGTACAAGCCCATCAAAAGATAAATCAGGCTGAGCACAGTGGCTACACCTGCAATCCCAGCATTTTGGAAGGCCAAGGCAAGAGGATTGATTGAGCCCAGGAGTTTGCGACCAGCCTGGGCAACATAATGAGTCTCCATCTCTACAAAAAATTTCTTTAAAAAATTAGCCAGGCATGCTGATGTGCACCTGTAGTCCCTACTCAAAAGGCTGAGGTGAGAGGATTGCAAAGCTTCACTGAGCTATGACCACGCCACTGCACTCCAGCCTAGACAACAGAGCAAGACCCTGTCTCAAAAATAAATAAATAAAATAGAAATAGAAATTGGTGTAGTTCGCCTGTGTCTCCACCCAGATTTCATCTTGAATTCCCATGTGTTGGGGAAGGGACCTGGTTAGGGGTAATTGAATCATGGGGGCGGTTCTTTCCCACGCTGTTCTCATGATAGTGAATAAGTCTCACAAGATATGATGGTTTTAGAAAGATACATGCTTCTGCACAGCTCTCACTCTTTTCTCCTGCCGCCATCCATGTAAGATATGACTTTCTCCTCCTTGCCTTCTGACATGACTGTGAGGCTTCCCCAGATACATGGAACTGTAAGTCCAATTAAACCTCTTTCTTTTGTAAATTGCTCAGTCTGGGGTATGTCTTTATCAGCAGTGTGAAAACAGACTAATACACTAAATTGGTACAAATAGAGTGGTGCATTGCTGAAAAGATACCCAAAAATGTGAAAGCAATTTTGGAACTAGCTAACAGGCAGAGATTGGAAGTTTGGAAGGCTCAGAAGACAGGAAAATGTGGGAAAGTTTGGAACTCCCTAGAGACTTGTTTAATGGCTTTGAGCAAAATGCTGATAATGATATGGACAATGAAATCCAGGCTGAGGTGGTCTCAGATGGAGATGAGGAACTTGTTGGGAACTGGAGCAAAGATGACTCTTGTTATGTTTTAGCAAAGAGACTGGCAGCATTTTGCCCCTACCGTAGAGATCTGTGGAACTTTGAACTTGAGAGGGATGATTTACAGTACCTAGTGGAAGAAATTTCTAAGCAGCAAAGCACTCAAGACTTGACTTGGGTGCTGTTAAAGGCATTCAGTTTTATAAGAGAAGCACAGCATAAAAGTTTGGAAAATTTGCAACCTGACAATGTGAGAGAAAGAAAATCCCATTTTCTGAGAAGAAATTCAAGCCGGCTGCAGAAACTTGCATAAGTAAGGAGGAGCCAAATGTTAATCACCAAGACAATGGGGAAAATGTCTCCAGGGCATGTCACAGGTCTTTACAGCAGCCCCTCCTATCACAGGCCCAGGGGCATAGGAGGAAAAAGTGGTTTCACGGGCTGGGCTCAGAGTCCCCATCCTGTGTGCAGCCTAGGCACTTGGTGCCCTGTGTCTCAGCCTGCTCCAGCCATGGCTGAAAGGGGCCAATGTAGAGCTCGGGTCATGGCTTCAGAGGGTGCAAGCCCAAAGCCTTGGCAGCTTTCATGTGGTGTTGAGCCTGTGAGTGCACAGAAATCAAGAACTGGGGTTTAGAAACCTCTACCTAGATTTTGGAATATGTATGGAAATGCCTGGATGCCCAAGCAGAAGTTTGCTGCAGGGGAGGGGCCCTCATGGAGAACTTCTTCTAGGGCAGTGCAGAAGGGAAATGTGGGGTTGGAATCCCCCCCCCCACAGAGTTCCTACTGGGGTGCCACTCCGTGGATCTGTAAAAAGAGGGCTACCATCCTCCAGACCCCAGAATGGTAGATCTTCTGACAGCTTGCATCATGTGCCCAGAAAAACCATAGACACACAACACCAGCCCGTGAAGGCAGCCAGAAAGAAGGCTTTACTCTGCAAAGCCACAGCGGTGGAGCTTTCCACGACCATGGAAACCTACCTCCTACATCAGCGTGACCTGGATATGAGACATGGAGTCAAAGGAGATCATTCTGGAACTTTAAGATGTGACTGCCCCACTGAATTTTGGACTTGCTTGGGGCCGATAGTCCCTTTGTTTTAGCCAATTTCTTCCATTTGGAATGGCTGCATTTACCAAATGCCTGTACCCCCAATGTGTCTAATAAGTAACTAACTTACTTTTGATTTACAGACTCATAGGCGGAAGGGACTTGCTTTGTCTCAGATGAGACTTTGGACTGTGGACTTTTGAGTTAATGCTGAAATGAGTTAAGACTTTGGGGGACTGTTGGGAAGGCATGATTGGTTTTGAAATGTGAGGACATGAGATTTGGGAGGGGCCAGGGGCACAATGATATGGTTTGGCTGTGTCCCCACCCAAATCTCATCTTGAATTCCCATGTATTGTAGGAGGGACCTGGTGGGTGGGTAATTGAAACATGGGGGTGGGTCTTTCCCATGCTGTTCTTGTGATAGTGAATAAGTCTCACAAGATCTGATGGTTCTAAAAAGAGGCATTCCCCTGCACAAGCTCGCTCTCTCTCTTTTTCCCTACTGCCATCCATGTAAGATGTTACTTGTTCCTCCTTGTCTTCCACCATGATTGTGAGGCTTCTCCAGTCACATGGAGCTGTAAGTCCAATTAAACCTTTCTTTTGTAAATTGTTCAGTCTTGGGTACATCTTTATCAGCAGCATGAAAATGTACTAATACAGAAACAAATAAAAAATTAAAGATAAGTCAGAGGTAATTCTCAGAAGACAGTGGCCTAAATACTTTGCTTCTTTCCTTAGCCAATGTACAGCTGAGGTGACTTAAGCAGTGGGAGGTCTGTAGGGCAACTGGGGAGGAGGTGGGAGGAAGTGCAGGATACTTTTTAAGCCTGAAGGAAACCCTGCAAAAATCTAAGGAGCTGCTCCCAATCACAATGACATAAGACTTATAGGAGGCTCCACAACACAATGTGAACCAGACTGTGAGCCTCCTCTGGAAAAGCATGGGGCAGAGTATTTCAATTTTGAGGCTATTTAAGGGTTTCAAAAGATTGGTAACAGGATCCACTCAGTTCATAGAAGAAACTATCCCAGCCCTCTTTTTCCTCAGTCCTAGAAAGAGACTACTGAAACAATTCTGGCTATTTAGAAAATTAACTGCTTTCTTTGTTCCCACTGCTTGCCAATATAGCACTGCCCAAGATGCTGAGTATAATAACCTCAACTTACATAGACTGATATAGAAAAATAAAACACAAATTACTTAGGAGGCTTGGTTATTTCAAGGAAGCAGACTGTCTTAGTCCATTTTGTGCTGCCACAACAGAATACCTGAGACTAGGTAATTTATAAAGAACAGAGATTTATTTCTTACAGTTCTGGAGTCTGGGAAGTCCAAAATCAAGGGGTGCATATCTGGTGAGGGCCTTCATGCTGTATCATCCCATGGTGGAAGCTGAAAGGGCAAGAGAGATCCAAAGAAAAAGATATGAAAGAAAATCAGGTAGGCATCAAATTTCTCATTTACTACACAAAAATAAAAGAAGACAGTGGACTATTTCAAACATTTTATTATTTTGTGAATAAGGAAACAAGAGACACTCTCAGACATACAAGGACTCAGAAAGTATACAATGCAGAAATCCTTCCCAAGGAAAATCTTAAAAATCTAGTAAAAAATAAATTAATAAAAATAAAATCAGGCCAAATGTCAATATAGGAGAAAAGTATACCCCAAAATTGGAATAATTGACATTTCCATTTATTCTGCCTTCTTAGGTAATTTCCCTATTGCCCAGGAGTTCCAGGTGGGACCCATGAATTAAGTTTAAAGCAGTTGTGGATACATACATTCTTCTAGTTATGGGAATTAATTCAGAGATAGGAGCTTGACCAAGTCAAAATTGCTAAGATATGACAAGACTCTCCCATTGTCCCTGTGTCTGACTAACAGTAACAACATCGGGAGTTCTTCAGCCACTTTACAATCAGAAGCAAGATATGATGAAAATGCTAACATTTTGCTGAAGAACATAAAACAAGACAACTTTTTGGGGCAATGTGTCACATGTGAACCCATCTTCCAGGAAAATTCAATATTATAAAAATATTAATTCACCCTAAAGTAATTCATACATGTAATTACAATCCTAAATAAATTTCTGTGGAACCTAACACTTTTTATTGAAGTCAACAAGCTGTTTTTTTATAGAACTTAAAACGATAATTCTAAAATTCATCTGTAGAAAAAACATGCTGGAGGATAATTTTTTTAAAAAAAAGAACAATGTATTAGTCTGTTCTCGCACTGCTATGAAGAAATACCCAAGACTGGGTAATTTATAAAGGAAAGAGTTTTGTTGATTCACAGTTTTTCATTGCTGGGGTGGCCTCAGGAAACTTACGATCACGGTAGAAGGCAAAGGAGAAGCAGGCACCTTCTCCACAGGGCGGCAGGACAGAGTGAGTGCAAGGAGGGGAAATGCCAGATGCTTATAAAACCACCGGATCTCCTGAGACTCACTCATTACCACAAGAACAGCATGGGGGAAACAGCCTCCATGATCCAATTACCTCCACCTGGTCCTTCCCCGGGGATTATGGGGATGCGTGTGGGCCTTATGTGGATTATGGGGATTATAATTCAGATGAGATTTTGGGTGGGGACACAGCCAAACCATATCAAACAATGAGAGGCATATGCCCTTCCAGACAACAAATATATCTTAAAGTTATAGTAAATAAAGAAAAGTGGCACAATGAGATCAATAAAACTCAGTAGAATCCAAAAACAGACCCATCTGTGTATATATATTATGGTAAATATGATGTATCAATTCACTAGAGGAGAGTTTAGATTTGTTGCTGTTGTTGTTTTGTTTGGGGAGTTTGGGGGACTTTTGTTGTGGTTAGCATACATTAAGAAGAGTTTACAATATGCCAGACACTATTCTAAGTGTTTTTCATGTAATAATTCATTTTATCAGTCCCACAATCCTATGAGGTAGATAAAAATGTTATTCATGTTTTTGATAATAAAACTGAGGCACAGAAGAGGCTAGTTACTCTGAACTACCAGCAAACGGTAGAGTTGGAAAATGGACCCAAGAATTTTGATTCCATTATATCATGTAGGAAAAGACACGTTTGATTCCTACCTACATTATACTAAATAAGAAAGCTCAGATTCCTGGCTAAAACTAAAGCCAAACTATAAAGTATTTGAACAAAATATGGGAGAAAATTCTTATAAGATTGGATTAAGGAAAAGTTTCATTGTAAAACACAAAACCCAGAATCTAAAAGGAAAAAATGTTTTCAAGTGATTCTATAATAAAAGATTTTACAAGAAAAAGACATTATAGTAAGCTAAAAGGCAAACTGCAGAGTGAGAGAAAATGTTTTTAACTCATATGATTGCAACAAAGAATTAATATCCATACTATATAAACACTCCAAACAAATCAGCAAGGGAAGAATAAAGATAAACAATTCATAGAACAAGAATTCCTAACAGCCCATAAACAAATGGAAGGGTCCTCAACATCAGTAGTAATCAGGGAAATGTAAAATAAACCAACAGTTGGGTAGCAAGTGCTTAACTGAAGAGTGAGCGACTCTGGGTTGGCAAGGGTAAGAGGAAATGACTACTTTCATACACCATTTGTGGCCATGGAAATTGGAAAAGCACATTTTGGAGTCTGGTCATATCCACCAAAAGGTTAAAGTTAAACCTTAGACTCAGCAGTTCTACTTGTTATGGTAAGAGATTAACTTGTATGTATAAGGAAAGACAATGATACACACACACACACACACACACACACACACACACACACAAGAAACTAAAATTACAAGTATGAATGTAAAGTGAACAGTTCTCTAATAAATGCACTAATATTTTAGCAGTAGTTCCTGCTAGTAAGGGAAGATTGTGGAGGAAGGGAAAGGAAATTGTAATGTTCACTCTATATGCTCATATTATTTAATACTTAAATGTTTCATAATATATAAGTGTTTATGCATGACTTGTGTTATTTAATTTTTTGAAGAATAAATCTTGGTTGTTTAACAAAATGTCAAAACTAAGTTCTCCTGTGTGCAAATAAAACGTATTTCACAGTTTTGCCATTTGCTGTCTCAGTTTGCCTTCTCTGAGACTATTTGCATAAATCCAGACAGAGAATTAATGTAACTTTTTGAAATGTATTTACAGTGGTCCACTTAGGCCATGTACTGTTGAGTAAAGTCAAATCTGGTCCAGCTTGTGAATAGTCAAAGGTTTTCTCCACCCCTTTTCTCCAAAACCCTCACTATATTTCTGGTATCTCTAGCACTGTCTCTTTAGTTGCTAAGGCCTAGCCATGAGTGCCAGGTCAGCTCCTAGCAACAAGGCCCATTGATAGCGCCAGGCCAGTTCCTGGCTGCCAGGGGCCCCTTTTCTCTCTCTCTCTCTCTCTCTCTCTCTCTCTCTCTCTCTCTCTCTCTCTCTCTCTCTCTATCCTCTCTCTCTCTCTCCCTTTCTCCCTTTCTCTCTCTCTCTCCCCCTCTTCTCAGGGAGGACAGTCAGCTGGCATGCACCTTCTGCCCTCTGTCTTCTGCTTCTTCCTGAGGTAATGCAGGAAGTGGAGAAATATCTTGAGATCTTCAGGGAAAATGCAAGAGGACAAAATCCATATCCTACGAGTATCTAAGGAACACACAGAAGACCCTGGGTCCCTGACAGAATCATGAAGATACTATACTAGCCTGCTTACCTCTGGCCTTCACATAGTGTAAAATAACAATAATAACTCTCTATGTGTTTCCTCCACAGATAAACTTGTTTTTCTGTGATTTACAAACACTCTCCTCACTTGTATAGAATACTCAGTGACAATTCAGGGAAACAAGGTGGATTTGGACCAGGTAGTAAGGTGTAAAGAGAAGACAGTGGCAGCTGCTCATGTTCCACAAGGCTGACTGTCCTGTAACTTCTGTGGCAGGAGCAGTTGATTCAGGAGTTCTTTCTTCCCATGGGGGATAACAAATGAGAATAGATGTGATTTTTTTCACTGTCTTTCCCTCCTGCAATGTTCCTTAAAAAGGGTCACAAAAGAAATCCCTATACAAATGTGTAAAATGCACATATGTGGGCCAGGCGCGGTGGCTCATGCCTGTAATCCCAGCACTTTGGGAGGCCAAGGTGGGCGGATCACAAGGTTAGGAGTTTGAGACCAGCCTGACCAACATGGTGAAACCCTGTCCCCACTAAAAATACAAAAATTAGCTGGGCATGGTGGCACGTGCCTATAATCCCAGCTACTCAGGAGGCTGAGGCAGGAGAATTGCTTGAACCCGGGAGGCAGAGGTTGCAGTGAGCCAAGATCACACCACTGCACTCCAGCTTGGGCAACAAAGCGAGACTCCGTCTCAAGAAAAAGAAAAGAAAAGAAAAAAGAAAAGAAAAGAAAGCACACATGCAATATTGCCTGCCAACTCATTTTCTTTTGGGGATATTTTCCTTTCACATAATTCCAGTAGGGGTTACCCCTCTAGAGGTCACCAAGGACCCCTTCCAGACCTGCCAATCAGACCCATAACTACTGGGTCAAGGATGTGAATATGATCCAGACCAAGCCAATTGATATCAGATCTGGGGCTTTTGCTGAACTGTTAGAAGAGATATGCCATTTGCACAGAGTTTACTCAGATGGTAGAATATAAGCTAGAACATCTGGTAACTAGCTTCACCATCTCCTAGGGACATGAGAAGGAAGAGAACACAAAGTAAGACACAGTCAGAAGACGGAAAGCGACAAGACTGATGATATTGTGTGAAGTCCTACATCCCACATCCCACTGTGCTCCTTCTGGCCATAAGCAAATAATTTCCTGTTTTTCTCAAGCTAGTGTTATTTTTTAAGTGCTTGAGTGTTTTCCCTGTCACTTGTAACCCATAGAATCCTGACTATGCAGATATGCTACAGAATTGCCTTTCCTTGACAATTAGAATTTCAAGAAACCATGAACAAAAGGAGTTGTTCCGAGGAGCAGACTAACATTTATGTAATAATAATTAGATGCTGGGTGCTTTTGTATATGGCACTTCCTTTAATTCTCAAAAAATTCATGTTGGATTGGTATGACAAGTGAGAAACAAGGAAGAGATGGAGTAAATGACCAGTCTCTGACTCTGAATCCTTACTCTTTTCCTGGCCTAATCCTTCTTCTAGCTCAGAGACCTCCATCCTAACCTCATTCTTCTAGCACGGTAAAGTGGTTACAGAGCTCCCTGCCAATGCAGGATTCTGAGAAGTCACAAGAAACGTTAAGGTTCTAATTAGAAATGCTAGGATCACAGAGAACATGTTAAAACTTCCAAAGCTCAAAACTGTGCCACCTTTGAGAAGTTCTTCAAAGAATTGACCAGGCATGGAGCTTTTATGATAGGGTTATGTCCCTAGAGGACACTTTTCTACCTTCTAGGTTTTCACAGTCACCAAGTTAACTATCATATGTTAGGGGCTCCACGAGGGCAAAAGCTTGTCAGCATTTTATTACATGAAAAAATGATCCATATCTATCTGTAATCTCCTGTTTATATTAAGATATTTTAAGTCTCTGGTTTTGTAGGCCACGGGTCCATTAGAACATGTTTTCTGTTAAGCATACCTACAAAATAATTCTTCATTTCAAACACAGGTCACTTTAATCTACCAAAAAAAAAAAGATTTAGCAGAATTTGCAGTTTTCAACTCAAAAAGAAATCTACAGGGTTCAGGTTCAGTGGCTCACACCTGTAATCCCAGCACTTTGGTTGGCCAAGGCAGGAGGATTGCTTGAGCCCAAGAGTTCGATCGAGATCAGCCAGGGAAACATAGTAAGACTCTATCTCTACAATAGTAATAATAATAATAATTATTATTATTATTAGCTGGGCGTGGTGGCACATACCTGTAGTCCCAGCTACTCAGGAGGTTTATTTAGGAGGATCACTTGATCCTGGGAGTTTGAAGCTACTATGAGCATTGATCACACCATCGCACTGCAACCTGGAGGGCAGAGTCTCAAAAAAAAGAAAGATTTATAAATTTGCTTTGTTAAAAAAAGAAAGCTTTTAAAAACATTGCATGACAAATGGAAGTAACCTAAATATCCAATATAAGGAAATGATTAAGTTAATTATACCTACTCATTTATAATAAATTATATTAATAATTACAAGATATGTTATAATATTTCTAAAGGACCATATAAAATTGTATGTACATAATGACAATTACATAAAATCTTTTTGCATTTGAACAAAATAATGGGAAAAGATAATATAAAAACAACAATAGTGTGGTTAAATGTGATTTTAAATAACATTTTTGTTTTTCCAAGCTTTCTCTGTTGACTATTTCTCTGTATGACTATATATACATATATAACTGTATATGTTTTATAAATTTAAAATGATCATTTTTAAACAAAAGAGCTGAACAAACACCTCACCAATGAAGGCATACAAATGCAAACAAGCGTATGAAAAGATGCTCAACATGATATTAGAAAATTACAAATTAAAATAGCAATGAGATACTACTACACACCTATGTAAATGGTGAAAAGCCAGAACACTGAAACCACCAAATGCTGGCAAGGATGTTGAGCAACAGAAACTCTGATTTACTGCTGCTGGGAATGCAAAATGCTGTAGCCACTTTGATGAAAGATTGTTTGGTGGTTTCTTGTTAAAACTAGGCATGCTCTTACTATGTGATCCAGTAATCACACATTCCTTGGTATTTACATAAATAAATTGAAAATGTATGTCCATTCAAAATCTGCACACGAATATTTATGGCAGCTTTATTCATAAGTGCCAAAACTTGAAAGCAACCAAGATGTCCTTCAGTAGGTGGATAAACAAACTGTGGACATCCAGACATTGGAATACTATCATTTGGTGCCAAAAAAAAAAAATGAGTTATCAGCCCATGAAAAGATATGAAGGAAAAGTCAATGCATACTACTGAGTATAAGAAACTAATCTGAAAGGGCTCTATACTGTATGATTGTAAATATATGACATTCTGGAAAAGGCAAAACTATGGAGACAGTAAAAATATCAGTGGTTACCAGGGATTGTGGCGGGGAAGGGATAACTAGGTGGAGCACAGAGGATTTTTAGGGCAGTGGAACTACTCTGTATGCTACTACAGTGGTGTATACATGTCATTATAGACTTGTCAAAACCCATAGAATACACAACACAAAGTATGAACTTTAAAGTAAACTATGAACAATAGTTAATAATAATACATCAACATTAGTTCATTAACTGTAAAAAAAACTTACCACATGAATGCAAGATATTATTAATAGAGAAAACTGTTGTGGAAGTGGGAGGGTGCATATGGGAACTCTCTGTACTTTCTGCTCAATTTTTCTATAAACCTAAAACTGCTCTAAAAAAATAAGTCTATTAAAAATTATCAGTCATTTTGATGTGATTTACAAGATCATTTTAGTATACATTTGAGATTAGCTTTTTACTTAGTTTGCTTAATATTTTGGTTTTAGGGTATTTCTTTTCATTTGTAAAATGCCTACAAATTTCCTACATAAATTATAAAGCAAAATTATAAAGGACAATAATTTTTTAGGCTTATCTATATCTTAGAATATTTTATAGAGGGACTTCTGTTTAAATAAATTTCAAATGGCCCATGATTTTTAACGATTTTTACTGTCTTTGCAACAGAATTTACTCAAGGTTTGCCATTTGTTGAAACGTATAGGAAATTGAAATGGCAGATTTTACTTAAATCTATATTTATTGAATCTTTAAATGAATGACTAATCCACCTGTAAGTATAGTGATGGCTTTATAAAGTCTGCTTTTTAAACTGTGCTTTTCAAAAATAATTCTCCTTTTCCTCCCTAGAGCTGAATTCATCTTAATCATGTGTAACTACATCCTCCACATTTTTCTTAAGTCCAGGATGCTTGCACAGACATCGAGTTGGTCCCCACTCATCACAGTCCACAGGGATCAAAACCTGTTTCCTTTTCCTTAGGCGTTTTAATGTTTCCATTTTCTGTTCTTTTGTCACTGTCAAGTTCATTAGTCCTTTAGAAAAAACAATTCTTGGCCAGGTACGGTGGCTCACGCCTGTAATCCCAGCACTTTGGGAGGCTGAGGCGGGCAGATCACAAGGTCAGGAGTTCAAGACCAGCCTGAACAACATGGTGAAATCCCGTCTCTACTAAATACAAAAATTAGCCGGGCATGGTGGCACGTGCCTGTAATCCCAGCTACTCAGGAGGCTGAGGCAAGAGAATTGCTTGAACCCGGGAGGCAGAGATTGCAGTGAGCCGAGATTGCGCCATTGCACTCCAACCTGGGCGACAGAGCAAGACTCCATCTCAAAAGAAAATAGTGATTTTGTAGGCTGCCGTTAGCTTCCCATGAATGGGAAGATGCTGGTCCCTTCTATTTGCCACCACTGCTGTGTTCAAGTTCTCCGGCTCCTTCTAAACCAATAAAGTTAAGGTGTTTGCTAAATCAGGTCCTGGCACTAGCACTACTCCCTCTGCTGATCACTGTTCTTCCATTTTCAAATCTCTTGGGGCAGGAAATTTATGCAAGGGACCCCTTGGATGTAGCAGAGAACACAAGCTTATTTGCTGCCCCGAACGCTTCCATTTACCCATTTCATTTATATCCTGCCCATATCTCCAGAAGCAAAGATAGTGGATACAAGTGATCTAAGCAAATCTCTACAACTCTTTATCAACTTATCCCCATTTAAATACATAAAATAACTTCACTAGCCTTCTGTGGGGACACATCTGCACATACCTGCACATGTGTTAAGCGTGACATGACATGACCAATTATTTTCTAAGCCATGCTTTTCTGCTTCCACTTTGATTACATAACCATTTGGGACTCATAGCCCATAAAAATTAATTATTTTATAAAATACTTTTGTTCCTGTTCCTGGTACATTTTGAGTATAACAAACCTGTTGAAGAAAAAAAGAAAAAAAAAAGACTTACTTGAATGTATTGTACTTTCACTGCATTGTAGATTCACTGATATTTGGAAGAAACTCTTTCCCTTTCTAACATATAGTTGTCTCATAGCACTAATTTCATTAATTTTACATAATCCCCAAATGAACAATACCAGCTTTACCAAAATTTTTTTTACAACTTCATAAAGCAATTTAGTTAATGGATATGTGCTTGCTTTGCAGTAAAGAAAAACAATCCTTTCTTAAACTTTTACTGGGGGACTGTGAACATTGCCTTGTATTATTGGTTTCATGTTTGCATGTTGGACATAAACTAAACCCAAGCAGAAAAGCCCATCATTCCCTTTTCCCAGGGTAGACCATGGTTGTCAAAGATAGGGACTGGTAGTTTACAGAGGCCATTAAGAGAAGACCCTTGAGACTTAATTGCCAAAAATACAAACAAACAACAAAAACGCCAGTACTACTCCTCAGGAAAAAATCAATTCGGTCCTAAGTGATCAGCTCCCCTTCACATAAGCCAATAAACAAAGTAAAAGCTGCCCCTGCCCTTTGTCCTCTTCTCTTTTTCCTTTGTAACCTTCTTCTTCCTTTTCTGCTCACCATCCTAGGCAACACCCCTGCTTTTTCTCACTTATTATAGAATGACTCATCTGAAATATGTCCATGAAATATACAGCGCACTTTAGCTACCATTCTGTTAAAGACATATGTATGCCTTCCCTGTCTCTCTCAAGGCCTTTTTAATCCCTTAATTCTCATTCCTTTCCTTATTCTTTATTCCTACCTTTCATCTCACGCTCATGTTTTTTTCTTTTTTCTTTCCTTCTTCTAAGTCCTGGCTGTCGAGTTAACAGAATTTACATTCGAATAAAACATTTTTTCCACATTTTGATATAAACTGACTGAGGTTGTAGCCATCCCACTAGGGAGTTCAGGTAGACTTGCTTAGAATTTTTTTTTAAAGCATGCTGCTTTCATTCCTTTACTCCCAGTGTCCCTTCAAAGAGGAAGATGGACTACTCTGAAATTGGTTTATATTGATAAAGTATTTTTCCCTGATTTAAAGGGCTCATCTTCCCTCAACCTCTCTTCTCATTTACTAAACAGATTCTCAAGCTCTCCTCATCTGAGAAAATTGGCCTCCCTTGTCTGCTTTGATCCAGAAAATTATGCTTTTATTAACATGAACATTTCCTGATCTCTGCCAATGCATTTAAAATTTTCAAATTATGTATGTGCATCATTTATCAAAATGCCATCAGGTCCCAGGAATGCCAAGCATTCAAACTGAGCAACCTATGGCCTGTATGTGGATGCATTCTAAGGGAGGGACATGGTGACTATAATCTTAGTCCCTAAAGTAGCTGCAGTTAGCTGTATAGTTTTTATTTCAAGGAAAGAAATGTGGCGATAAACTCCAAGGATGAGCTCTCACCAAATTGTAGAATCTCAAGGGAAAACACAGATTCCCATCTACTCCTTTAAGCAATAGAAAAGATAAAAACGTTTTGTACTAAGAAATGATCTGATTTTGGTGAGTGTGTTGAAAAGAATGTAGTAATTTTAGTGACATTATAAACATGCAGCTATATACCAGTAATAATTTTGATGCTTGGGAAAAGGAAACACACAGTAAGTTCTTTAATCTTCATGGAAAATACCCTGAGTCAAGTTTGGCCTATGTATATGCTTTTCAACAAAATTTTTTTCAAATTCAAATCTTCAAAATTGTCCTGACTTGTGTTTTCTCTGTTCATTCCAATCTTCTCTGGAACAGAGAAAGAAAACACTACCATAAAAAGCAGAATTTTGATCACCCAGAGATTCTTTAATTTTTATAAACTATGTCCAGAATTTCAATTTAAAAACTCTAGAGAATAAATTAACAATATAGCAAATGAACAGATGACCTAGATATTGGAATTATCTGACATTGGCTTTAAAGTAACTATGTACTCACATGTTCAAGAAAATAAAGGACAAGATGAAGGATTTTATCAGATAACTGATAAATCTATAAACAAGAACAAAATGGAAATTCTAAGACTAAAAACAGTAACTGAAATAAATGCCTCAGTAGATAGGTCTAACAACAGACTTGAAGATGGGACATAGCTGAGGAAAGGATTAATAAACTAGAAATCAGGTAAGTATAAAATATAGTGATGGAAATCTAAAGAATACAAAAGATGGAAACTACGTATAAAACTGAAAGGGACATGTGGGACATGGTGACATGGTGAAAGGTTCTAGCATGCATGCAACACCATCTCTCTCCAGAAGGGAAAACAGTGAGAATGAGGTGAGAACTACATTTATGAGTAAATATCAAGAACATTCCAAATGCTAAAAGATACCCAGCCACAGATCCAAGAATTGCTTCAAAATCTAGAGAGAGCAATTAAAAAGAAAACCCACACCTAAGCACATCACAATAAAACAGCTGAAAACCAAAGACAAAGACATTGTAAAAGGATCCAAAAAATAAGACCCTTGATTTTCAAAGAAGCAACCATAAGACTGAGAGCTGACTCTACAACAGAGAAGATTTAAGACAGAAGACAATGGAATTACATGAATAAGGGCCATACATTTAAAAGGGCCACTAAACTGCTAAAGATACTTAAGGAAAATAATCTCAAAGGGAAACACAAAAAATTCAAGAAAACTAGATAGGCTGAGCCTGGGGAATATCTGAAGAAATTCTGACCACACAAAACAATAACAGTAATAGCAATAGCAATTAATGTTATCTTAAGGAATAATGTTATCTTAAGACGGTTAAAATATATGTAGAGTTAACAATGCATGATAACAGTAACACAGCATTCAGGAGGTGAGGAAAGATTATCGGAGTTACATGTAGAGGGTCTCAGCACTGACTGGAATGTAGTAATAGTTTATATTAATTATAATAATCCAAAGACACATGTTAATCTCTAGAGAAATTACTAGTAGAATAGTGAAAGACTGTATAACCAGCATGCAAACAGAAGGAAAATAAATGAAGTAATCCAAAACTGATTAATCCACAATATAATAAGGAAGGAAAAAAAGGGGCAGTCATAAAGCAGTTGGGAAAAATCAAATTGAAAATAACTGATAATAGGGTAAATATTAAATTAGTTTTGTGCATTCTTTGAGCACTTAACAGTAGCTGTAGAGTATGATGAACAAGCAAAGTCTAACTGACCTGAATTGAAAATTTTGCTATTACCTATACGTGAGACAGATTTTCCCAATAAAATAATAAAATGTTTCAATAGTTAATGATTTTTGCTTGATTGTGATGTTCTGACCATTATGCTAGTATATCTCATTTTATCCTTTTAAGTGTATTAGCCTTATTTTACATATATATACATATATACACAGTACATACTGTAAAAAAACATTGTGTGTGTATTTTGTGTGTGTGTGTGTGTGTGTATATATACATGCACACAAAACTACATAAATAGTTTGCTATAACAAAATACCATAGACTCGGTGGCTTAAACAACATTTATTTTTCACAGTTCTGGAGGCTGAGAAGTTCAAAATCAAGGTGCTGCCAGATTTGGTATCTGACGAGAGGCCTCTTCATAGCTTGCAGACAGCTCACCTTCTTGCTGTACTCTCACATGGCAGAGAGAGGAAATTCTGGTGTTTCTTCCTCTCCTTATAAGAGCGCTAATCCCATCATAGGGGTTCCACCCTCATGGCCCATCTAAACCTACTTACCTCCCAAAGGCCCTACCTCTCTAGACCATCCAATGGGGATTGGAGCTTCAACATATGAATTTAGAGAGGACACAAACATGCAGTCCATAACCAGTAGGTTCACAACCAGCTAGAAGTTACGTTGCAAATAGCAGATCTGGGGACAAAATCAGTTTTTGTTTGTTTTTGTTGTTGTCCTGTTTTATTTACTCCCAAACCAATACATTTAATCATCACTATATGTCAGTTGCCTTGAAAGGAAAAACAATATTTCATGCATTTTTTTAGTGTGGCCATAATGAGATCTGGAGATATCTTAGCAAATATGTGAACCAAGTTTTCAAAAAGAAAGAATTATTACTTATATCAATTTATTTGTGGCAATTAGTCAAAGTTATCAATTCACTGAACAAACTTACTAAGCATGTGCTACCTGTCAGACATCATTCGAGGCACTGATAATATAATTCAAAATACAAGAAGTGGTTACTGCCTCCTGCAGCTATTAATAATATTAATTATAAATTAATTGAGTTCCTTCATTAGATAATAAAAGAAAACAAACAAATAATCATAAATTCTGATATACACTATAAAGAAAACAGAGATTTTTTGATAAAGAATTATAAACTCTTAGGTGGTATTATGAGAGACGATTTCTCTGAGACCGTAACATTTAAGCCAGCAGAGCTTTATAATCAACAGGATAATTCTATTATGCACTGCCCGAACAGGAACACATTCAAAAATGAAAGGGACACTTTTAATAATTATGCAGGGTTTCAGGGCAAACTATAATATGTATGCACCCTACTTCTAAGCCACGGTAAGGAGTATGGGTTATTTTCTAAATGCAATAGGAAGACACTAATGTGTTTTAGCAGGGCAATGTTTATTATCTGATTTTAAAAGTTCTAATGCCAGTTGGGAAATTAATGGGGTGAGAGGCAAGAATAGAGATAGAGAAAATATTCTAAGAATATTATACCCATCTAGGCAGGAGAGGAACAGTAGCTTAGATTGATAAGGCAGTGAAGGTATAGAAAAGTAGCCAATTCAAGATAAATTTTAAAGACTATCAGCAAGAATAGTGAAGTTATATAAAATATTACTTTTGCATTTTAATTCATATTTTAAGAAATATACAAGAAATTATCCTAAAGCCTTGTCAGTTGATCTGGAAAGGAACTTCTCAACCTTATTTACAGAGCTGTAAACATGAAGAAGAAATTATTCACCTGTATCAAAAACCATAAAGTAAAAAAAAAAAGAAATTAGCCACTAAATTATCTTCCCTTTCTTCTCTACCAACTTCACTTTTAGGGTTTTTTAAAATCTAATGTTTATCAATTTGTAAGTTTGCATACATTTGTTATGAAGGCTACTAATCTTTCATCTGTCACATGGGCAGCAAATATTTTCTCCAGCCTATTGATTTTGTTTTGGGGTCTTTGCCATTTAAAATACTTACTTTGTGTATAGGAAAATATACCTAACCTTATGGTGTCTGGGTTTCCTGATGCAGACAAGTTTGTCCCTATTTAAAATATCATATAAATATACACAAAAATGTAATTCTATTATTTTATGTACTTATTTGTTCACATTTAAATCTAATATTGGCTCTATTCTCCTTGGTGTTTCTGAATGTCATAAATTTTTTGAGACAGAGTCTCGCTCTGTCACCTGGAGTGCAGTAGTGCAACCTCAGCTCACTGCAACCTCCACTTCAGCCTCCCAAGTAGCCAGGATTGCAGATGCCCCCCACCACACCTGGCTAATTTTTGTATTTTTGGTAGAGACGGGGTTTCACCACATTGGCCAGGCTGGTCTTGAACTCCCGGCCTCAAGTGATCCACCCGCCTCGGCCTCCCAATGTGCTGGATTACAGGCGAAAACCAACACTCCTGGCCTGAATGTCATAAATCTTTACTTTCACCTCTAACCAATTCCCAAATCTCCAGTTCTATCTATAGCCAACTAGCTGCTGTACATTGTCACTGATATGCAAAATTGAAAATTAATGTCAACATTTTCCCCTATTTAAACAAGAATCTGCTCTTCCTTCCTTATATACTTATTAGATTATTGGGATAGGCATTCTATAAGCCTCCTACTGGTGAAGCTTTGGTTTGACTTCTCCCTCCCATTACCCAACACTCTGCCCATCAGCACCACTGGTCTAATCATGCATTAGATGTCATAGCTTCTGCCTGCAAAATGTGTCGTGCAACCAACCTTTTCATTTTTCCCCCTTTTTCCTGGTGCCAATTTAATTCAGCCTTACATTATTTACAACCTGAAATATTTATTGCAGAAGTATTTTCCTAAACTCCATGGTGGACCAAATTAGGCCATTACTGTTTCATAAATTTTTCACAATGTCCTTTTATTTTTAAAGTCAAAATTCACTCTTCTTTATTTAATGTCATTTAGTGATGAGAATGTACATATGTAATACTGTGTGGTGGACGAGGGTTTAAATGTCCATTTATTTATTCACAAGTGTATTTTAAACATCTACTATTTATCAGGCAAGAGACTCTAGATTCTGTGGATTGAGCACTGAAAAAATAAAATAAAATGAAGAAAGTTCCTGCACTCACGAAACACGTTTTAGTGGCTACACCTGGGTTTGAATCTTGGATCCAGCATTTTACGATTTGTGATCTTAGGTGAGTTAACTTTTTTAAGCCTCTGTTCTTTTAGCCATAAAATAATTTTTTAAAAGATGGGGAGGAGGAAGAGATATAATGTATAACATGTAGACTCTTGTAAGAAATAGAAATTAGATAGGTTGAGAAATCATGTGATTCATCCAATAAATGTTGGCTCTTGTTTTTTCTGACCTGTATGTTTTGTCTTTGTTCCAAAGCTAGCCTTACCTCTCCCACATACTGGGGTTAATTCATGCTTTGGCCCTTATCACCTTTTCCAATTTATTTCAAAATTACATGCTCTATTTTAATATTTGCTTTCTTTTTTTTATTTTGAAAACTTATTGAACTTGCATCTACACTTTAAAATGAAGCAGAACTTAAAGAACTCAAAGATTATGAAGAAGACTCAGTACCTGGGAATAAAATTGAGAATAGGGCTGGGTGTGGTGGCTCACGTCTGTCATCTCAGCACTTTCGGAGGCTGAGGCAGGCAGATCACTTGAGGTCAGGAGTTTGAGAACAGTGTGGCCAACATGGTGAAACCCCGTCTCTACTAAAATACAAAAATTAGCCAAGCATGGTGGTGGTCACCTGTAATCCCAGCTACTCAGGAGGCTGAGGCAGGAGAATCACTTGAAC
Source organism: Homo sapiens (assembly GCF_000001405.40). Lineage (NCBI taxonomy): Eukaryota > Metazoa > Chordata > Mammalia > Primates > Hominidae > Homo > Homo sapiens. The sequence continues at coordinate 74,493,306 of NC_000009.12, forward strand.
CCAAGAGGTAGAGGCTGCAGTGAGCTGAGACTGTGCCACTGCACTCCAGCCTCCAGCGAGACTTCCTTTCAAAGAATAAATAAATTAATTAAGAATAGTAATAAATATGAAAATAACTAAATTTTAGCTTCCTTTTATGACTATATAACCAATCTCAACCATTATTTTTTGCTTCCCCAAATTAGGAGAGTTTAAAATGCAGATTCTCCCCACTCTCCTCTTCCCATTCAATAGAAACTGAGAAAGAAGGATCTTATTCAGGTCTTCACTCCATTTGTGATTCATATTCAGTGGCTGAAAGGTTAGAAAGCATTCACTCCACCAATAATGATCAAGCACCCATAAAGTACCAGGAGCTCTTACAAACTCTAGGGAAATCCTGGCTCCTGTTGTCATGAATTTTGCATTCTCAGGTAGGAAATGTGGCTCTGATGCCTGCTGGGGCAGTGGTAGCAACCTTTAGTCCATGTGAATGCAGGCATCCCTTGGTATGCACGGGGGATTGGTTCCAGGACCTCCCACCGATACCAAAACCCACAGATATTCAAGTTTCTGCTATAAAATGGTGTGTAGTATTTGCATGTAACCTATGCACATCTTCCTATATACTTTGCATCATCTCTAGATTACTTATAATGCCAATGTCAACACTATATAAATAATTATTATACTGTATTGTTTAGGGAACAATGACAAGAAAAATATCTGTACATGTTCAGTACAGACACAATTTATTTTTGCTCTGCTCTTGGTTGAATCCACAGTTGTGGAACCCATGGACATAAAGGCCAACTGTACACTTAGAGCTACAGAGGATCTTGGAGGTAATCTAGACAATTTCTACCCTAGTATAGAAATCTGTATACTAGAGCATCTCTAACAGAACCTTTCATTCAACCCTTTTTTGGATGCCTTCAGCAACAGGGAACTCAGTACTTCCCTTCCCACTTGTAAAAGGTTTGAATGTTAAAAGTTCTTACATTTTTCTGGCTTTTCTAATATTTAATAGCAGCTTTATATCTCTTTCCCAATTTTCACAGCCACACAGCTCCCTAAATAGAGTTAAACATAACCAATCTTTCAGTCATTCCTAAAAGTAACATTGTTATCAGTATTGCTAATGTCCATTCAAGAGTCTTAATTATTTAAAATATTCCCTGACCAGTGAATATTCTGACTTATCAGCTCAGAATAACATGAACTATGACTTCCTGTTTAAGCCTTTTAGGATTGAAATAATCCTAAATGCCATGGTCACCCTACCTGGTTGGCTTATATTAAAACTTTGCCTCTTTCAGGATATTTGTTGTCATTCCTATTCTGTGGTACAGCTCAACCTGAGGGGTGCTAATGTGTCAGAAAAACAGGTAAGCAGGCAAGCCTAAGTGGAATCTGATGTCAATTCTTGAGATTGAGGACAGTGCTATGTGACTGATTGTCATTTAAATTAATCAACATGCAACTGTCAACTTAGAAAATCCTTCAGGCCCAGAGTGAAAAGCAGAGTTTCAAGCTTATAGGAAACCAGACATAATCATTCAAATAAAATTACTGATACCGTACTTCATATGAGCTAGGACATTACAGTAATGTATTATTATTATGCCACTTGAAATATGATTATTTGCTGGCAGATAGGTTACAAAACCATCAGATTATATATATGTGCTTTGTGAGTTCTTAGAAAATACTGACTTCTTTCATTCAAATTCTTAATATTTATTTTAAATAAATGGGCTCCATTCAGTGAAATAAATGTGAAAATTATTAGAAATATTCAACAAACCAGTTTTTAAATTTTTAGAAAGATCCAAAATGTCCCAGGCCGCCACATTATAACCAATGATTAGCATTTAAAGAGAAAATACATACTTTTGTATCACCATATATAGAGATTATATACATAGTTTTGAAAAATGAAATAATATAGTCTTCTAATTAATAATTTCTCCAAAAATACTCAGAAGGAATTAAGAAATATGTTCTAAGCAAAATTATGCCTTGCTGAAACCACAAAATAAAGAGAATATAAAAATGTATGGGGGGGTAAATACTTTTTATACACGTGTTGACTACCTTTTTCAAGGATTACAGATATTGCAGCATTAAAAAAAAATTCAGAATTCAATAAATGTTTAGAAAGTTAAAATTACATAAATGTTTAAATTTTTGGATTTTGAAATTCCTGTTCACTCTAAAGAGAAATAGAAATCTAAAATGATAACAACAACAATAATAATTAGACAATGTTTACAAAGCCTTTGGAATTTTCAATATTCTTGTGTCTCTGCTTGAAGCAACAAAATTAAAATGATATAGTCACAATTTGTTTCTTGACTATTTTATATTCAGTAATTTTTAATGAAGCAACTAAATTAGGCATAACTTTGTACAGCTTTAACATAGTTATGATGAATATATTTTACTTGATTAAAAATGATAAAACCAGGGAGCCTTAAATATTATCTTAAAAGATTAACTACTGTGTCAATTACAAATCTAGGAGAAAGATATTTATAAAGGAATAACTATTCTAAACAGTAACTTCCTTTTGTTCATTTCATTTAATTAATGACTCAATCAACTTTCACTCTTAATACTAAAATTTTCCTAAATTACACATTGGTTTGCAAATGGGATGGCATATAGCAGGGCTACGTCAATTTAATACTGGTGAAAATTCAGCAGATAATTCATTTTTCATTTAATCAGGAAGGAAAAAACTACTTGGCAGTGTAGAGCGACCTAATTAACTAAATAACTGCCAATTCTACATTGTACTTTGTGTTACATGACATATCATGAATAAATACCAGTCAAAAATCAAATTATTTGGATACTTAAATGATGATGAGGCCTGCTGTGCCAACAGGTATGCTAATGAGTAGACATCTCCCAGCCTCAAGACTGAGTGAATGAGGCAAATATTTTCACCTCCCAATCTTTTAGGGTGTTCAATTAACTCAAGTATTTAAGAAGTTCCCTACTATTGGGAAGGAAGTAGATGTAATCATCTATATGCTTATTTTGTCAACTGAGTTGGAAAAACTTGCAAAGGAACAGTTTGGATATATGTATTAGATTTTTATCAAAATACAAATAAATGGTCATAGATGACAATTTTCACCTAAGGAATACAAGTAAGTTTATCTATGTTCAGTTACCAATCGCCTCTAACTAAAGTTAACAATGTCTTCCTTCTAAAACCTTTCTAAAGAGCACCCTGCAATCACACCTTCTAGCAACAGCCATTTCTCTTGAATTAGTAAGGTGGCTACACCGCCAATTTGAGCTGTTCTCCTTCAGTCCTGTAGTCCATCGCCAGGGGAGTCTCCAAATGCTAATAAAAATCAATTTCCCAGACAAAAGAACATATACACGTTTTTTTCTTTCTTTCTTTCTTTTTTTTTTTTTTTTAGAAGAGGGTCAGGGAGCATCTGACGGACGTTTTTAAAGGAAGGGGACAGCTACTTCCATGGGACTGCATTTTAGTTGTGCTAAAAGTGATGAAAGTGGGTTTGCATTATTCTACCACCAACACCCAAACCACCTGCCCACGGAAACCCCCGCCGGAGACCGAAGTTTACCCAAATAGCGCTCGGCAAAGCGCTGCCATAAATTCAAAACTAACTCTGCCGGGCCCGCGGGGGTTGCGAGACAGGGACCGAACGTGAAACCCGGGGAGCCCCGCGTCTCTTGCCTCCGAAGGTTTTCCGTGATCAGTGTCCCCTTCTCTGCTGGAGTCGGAAGTGCCTGTCACCTGCGGATCTGCCCGACTCTCCCGGTCGGCCCTTCTTCTCTGCCCAGTTCGGACAGTCTCGAATTCCCCGTCGCAGCCCCGGCCACCTCGGACTCCCTGGTCCCCAGCCCCCGCCCCACCCCCCGCCTCCACCACGTCCCCTCCCCGCGGTCCCAGCCTCTCCAGGCGCTGCTGGGCTCTGATTGGCGGCTGCGCTGACAGCAGGCGGGGCCTGGAAGTCGCGGCCAAGCCCGCCCTCGCGTATAAGCCCCTCTCAGCGCTCTCTCTCCATCTCTCCCCTCTCTTTCTCTCTCGCTGCTCCCTTCCTCCCTGTAACTGAACAGTGAAAATTCACATTGTGGATCCGCTAACAGGCACAGATGTCATGTGAAAACGCACATGCTCTGCCATCCACACCGCCTTTCTTTCTTTTCTTTCTGTTTCCTTTTTTCCCCCTTGTTCCTTCTCCCTCTTCTTTGTAACTAACAAAACCACCACCAACTCCTCCTCCTGCTGCTGCCCTTCCTCCTCCTCCTCAGTCCAAGTGATCACAAAAGAAATCTTCTGAGCCGGAGGCGGTGGCATTTTTTAAAAAGCAAGCACATTGGAGAGAAAGAAAAAGAAAAACAAAACCAAAACAAAACCCAGGCACCAGACAGCCAGAACATTTTTTTTTCACCCTTCCTGAAAACAAACAAACAAACAAACAATCATCAAAACAGTCACCACCAACATCAAAACTGTTAACATAGCGGCGGCGGCGGCAAACGTCACCCTGCAGCCACGGCGTCCGCCTAAAGGGATGGTTTTCTCGGCAGAGCAGCTCTTCGCCGACCACCTTCTTCACTCGTGCTGAGCGGGATTTTTGGGCTCTCCGGGGTTCGGGCTGGGAGCAGCTTCATGACTACGCGGAGCGGGAGAGCGGCCACACCATGCGAGGTAAGCGAGTCTGCGGGCACCGAGGCTCCCCGAGTCCGGCCAACTCCAGCCAGACGGGGAGATGGGGGAGGGGAGGGCACCCAGCAGAAAGGGAAAGAGGTTGCCCAGGCGCAGTTCCCCGAATTCGCTCTCGCAGGTGGGGCTGCAAATGGCCTGGGCGTAGAAAGTTGCGGGAAGGTGTTGATGTCTTTCGGGAGTTCTGGAGGGACGCGGGAGGGCGCTTTTTTGGAGAGGGGAGACAGGCTAGTTGGTTCTTACCAGTCCTTGAGTTGCACTGAATCTTTTTTGCTTGTCGCTCTCGGGTGCGGAAGCGGACGCGGGATGGAGAAAGCCGAAAGAGGGATGCCTCTGGACAGGAGCAGTTTGGAAGCGCCCGGCGCGCAGTGGTCGCCGGCCGGGTTTGGGCGCGCGGGGCGCACCGGCCGGGGGCAGGGTGGACACGCGCGGGCACACACTCGCCAGGTTACGAGGCCCACTAAGCGTCCTGGCCAGCAGGCATGTCCCTTCGCTGGAGTAGCAAGCAGAAGAGCAGTGCTGCGAGGCTGGACGCGGCTGAGGAAACAGTTAGTTCCCCGGCACGCGGCTGAGGAAACAGTTCTGCGGCGCGCGCCTTCGTGCCGGCGCTGCGCCCTGGCCAGGTCCTCGTGCCCGAGCCCGCGCGGCCCAGGGAGTAGTGCGACCCCGGAAAAGTTGTAATGAGAAAGTTCTGGAGGCTTGGAAAGGCCACACTGCTCACAGTCGGAGAGTCATGGGCTCCGGCTCTTTTGTCAGATAAAGGGCCGGTAGTGGAAGGAGGTGCTGGTGCACCCTCGGGCCAGGACCCTCGCAGTCGCAGGCGGTGGCGGCGGCGGCGGCGGGACCCCGGGGCGAGCTGGGGTCTGCAGGGATGCGCGCCAGGGACTGTAGCGTTACGCTTGCTCCGGCTGGACTCTGGGCCTCTCGAAGGGCTGGAGGGTGGGTTTCGGGGAGTCACTTGGTCTCCTCTCCTGCCTTGCCGGAGACCTCAGGTTTCCTTCGCGCTGTGCTCGGCCTTTCTTCACTCTTTTACTGAAGAGCCAGGCGGGTGTCCGCTTGACATGGGGATCTGTGCAAGCTCTGGGCACCCACCCCCACTCCCAGTCCCTCTTCCTGGCCACACAGCGGTTAATCGGGGGCTCTTCTCTATCCTTCGCACGTACCCCTGGGTCTTGACAACAGAAAGTTAGTAACGGCCAGCTCCAGACCTTCTTGCATCCCAGACCCGGAGAGAGGTGGTCTAGGCAGGGAGCACTTGGGAGAGTTGGGATGCAATCACTGGTCTCCTCCTTCCACTGAAAGTGATCCTCTCCCACCCAGTCCCCCTACGCCCCTAGAGGAGCACCCCAGGAGGCAGCGGGTCTCACTCCCACTCCCTCCCGCACCCGGTGAGCCCCGAGCCTGGACTCAAGGGTTTGCTGGCTGGACGCTGGGATGTGTCAGGAAAGGGAAGGAGAAGAAGGAACGGAGAGAGACTGTCCATGGGGGAGGGGGTTGACTGTAGATAAGAAACAAGGACGTCCTGATGGGATGGTCTTGATTGGCCGGCTCGCTGGGAGTGGGGCACCCGTGTGTGTGCGCGCTGGCTCCAGCTGATTGTCCCGGTTGGGGGTTGGTTACACGCTCCACTGTCTAAATTCTTTCAAGAAACTATACTTGGGCAATTGGAGAGTAGAGAACCTTGGCTTAGTAAGAGACGCCCGGTCTTTTGTTTTTCTTTTTCTAGCCCATCTCACCATCCCATCCATTCTTTCGGTTTCCCCCGTCCCAGTCCAGAGCTGCCAGTTCGTCCCTCCCCTTCTTCCCTTCTAACTTTCCCCCTGTGGCTGGGTTCATACTTTCTGAACGTCGTAAACTATGCGCCACCTCAGCTCGGACCCAGCACTAGGACCTAGGGCATAAAATCCGCTCACTCCTTACATCGTAGAAGGAGTGCGGCGCGGGGTGGGGATGGGTTGTAGCTTGATCTAGCATCTCCTGAAGGAGCAGTTTGCAGATGACTGTCCTGGTTCGCCACGGCGGTCGCTTTGAGGACTCCAGAAGCTGGAAGGATTGAAAGCCAGGCGCTGGTCCTCATGCTCACCTTGAGAAAACCAGTTTAAGCCCACAGACCTATCAAAGAGGGCGCCAGCCTCGCCAGGCGCCCTAGGACCCCTTACAACTTCTAACTTGAGGCAGCTCTCAGGCGGCCTTAGGGGAATGCGCTGGAGAAAATGTAAGCTTAAAAGATGACCAGGTCACTCTATCGCCATTCCTGGTTGCCCTTTCCTGACCCCTAGTGTCTTTCCTTACTACCTCTTCATATTTTCCCCGGACAGTGCCCTACCACAGTATGAGAGGCTGTTCCGTAAGAATGGGATTGAGAAAAGATCCAGGCTACTCTGACGTCTTGTGGAGTTGGGAGTTGAACTTGAGAGTGAACTTGAGAAGTGAAAGCGGGAAAAGAATCAGCTTTCGCTCGTGCAGGGCTACTAAGCACCCTATGTTGGGAGAGGGGCCATTTTTGACCTGGGCTTTACGGTGGGCCCACTGCATTTCCCTCATCCACACGCGCGCGCTTTCCATTCCCAGGTGGTCCTAGTTAGCGCCTGGGCTCCACAGTTTGCAGCTGACAACTGTCCTGAATCAGGGCGCTTTGAGCGACGGAAAGGTGATCTGGGATTCAGTGGTCTCCCTCGGGGCCAATCCGGCAAACCTATTCCCACCCCCTACTCCTCCCCCGCCTAGGGCATTTAAGAGACTATCCCCAGGGAAGCTACGGGGAAAGAAAGGGGTTAAGAGTCCCTGATCTTTGACGTCCTTGTCCTGCCCCACGGCTGAACTGAGTCCCGGACACAGCGCAGTTGCTTACTCTAGCCTGGGGCGGAGGAGGTTGTATTTGGTGGCGCACAAAGCCTTTCATCCTTTGTCTGTGAGAGGGTACCACAGAAGTTCTAGAGAGGCTTCTCCGTAGATTTCATTACTGAAAGGAATAACTTCTGAAGGCGAAAGGGAGGACCTTTAATTGGGCCCATCACTAGGTGAGAAAGAAGTGAGCCGAGGTGTGGGTTTCAGGGTTCCTTCTTGAAAGATCTGTGGGCTGTTTATTACACAGGGGCGCGGAAATGGTCGGATTTTTCAGTCCTGCCTCCACGGAAAACCCTGCTTCCAAAAACAGGGGCACAGATGTCGTCGCAATCAATAGGTGATTGTCGCTGGGGCGGATTAGAAATCTGGTTTTATACTTGCTATAAACAAGGATTGGGTTTGGCTTTTTTAAAGTCTAGTTTTCCTCTATTATTTGCAGGTAGTTAATTTTTGCCAAGTGCTAAACTTTAGAAAAGAGGCTTCTTGCTCTCAGAGGTATGGCAGCCCTTCAGAAGTATGGAGCTCTGAATGTCCTGCTGGCAGGGCCTTTAGATTACCTAAACAAGTTCTCTCTCTTAATTTCCTCCACAAGTTCCAATTAAATATTTCTAACCAACATTCCACCTCCCGCAATTAAAAAAAACATTGCTGGAAGGACATCTCTGTTAGTAGTCCATTAATAATTGCTCATTAAGTAATCATCAGTAAGCTGTCTTCATTCCAAGAAATGTAATTATTCAAACAGTTTAAAAAGAAATCCTAAAGCTGTATTTCAACTATTGTTGAAATAATATATAGCCATAAGAATAAAAATATTTTCTTAAATGGTTACATCTAGCGACTCTCTCCTCCTTCCTCCCCCAGCATCATGGGTGAGTTTGTAACAAGTATTATGACACAGAAGTGCTTGACATACTGGACTTCTGGGATAGGTATTAGTACCACCAAGGCTTTTACTTTTCTATATTTTCTAACAATCACGAATTGGGAAACCAGGAGGAAAATGTAGATGAAGAAATTTTGAACAGCAAACTTTATAAACCTGAGGGACACAAGATTAAAACTCCTTTCTTGGCATTTACTTAAAACTTACTAATCTTTGGATTTTCCATCAACCACAATATAGCTTTTGCTCATTAGAGAATCCCTAAGAGATGAGTTTTTGCATCATTATTAAAGTGGTTTATGTGATCATTTAATATAAATAAAAACATTATTTTATACTCTTAACCAAATATGAATGTTAACATTTACTTATTTTGGCAGCAATTTGATAATACTAAACTATGATCAGCCATAAAAACAACTATTCAGGAGTGTATTTGCATAGATTATATTTTAAATTTAAGTGTTTCCAAGCCATGAAACCTAATTTTACAGGAACAATAATTTTACTACACCAAATTACAAAGTTTTTGGGTTGGTCTTCATGAAAATGACATTTAAATCTCATAATAATACCTACTTTTTTCCCCCAAAAGTAGCGTATACACAGTTGTCAACAGGGATTTAATACGATTTGATACAAAAAGCTTTTCTACATAAAAAGATAAGTAAATTGCTTTTTCAGCTATGACATCACCTTTTATAAACCTGTATTCACCTTTTAGAAATACAAGATGGCCTATATGGTTTTTAGACCTCTCATTACAATAGTTCTAAGATATAAAAGTATAAATCACAGCGTATTACTAGATTATTCCATTGCAATGAATAATACACCTCTAATTTAAAGTGCATATTATAGCATTCAATTAATAGTTTAATATTATAACTTTAAAAATTATTAGTTAAAAATTATATATGCATGGGTCTGCTGGGATTCTGCAAATTTGTATATAAAGTGAGGCTTAAAATTGTGAACAATAATATCAGTGCCAGTGTGCATTGGTGAAATTTAAGCCTTACGACTAAACATATTAGGAAATAAGAATTAATTCCAAAGTGAAGACTGTCAAATTCTGGCCAAATTGAAACACATCAAAGGTTCATAAGCACATACATTGTGAGTGCAAAAGTTATTAGTGATTGAGGTGACATTTTAATAATATGAGGATAATTTCTTAAGACTAAACTACTTCTGTATTTATTCTACAAAGACAAAAAAAAGTAAAGGCTTTATTTATACTGGCATTCATTTAATTAACATTAACAAAACATTTATTGTGATGTTAAAATATATAGAAAAGTAAATATTAGAAATGGAAATTATGCTTAATAATTAATGTATGTTTTTTATTCTAGATGTAGTTCTGTTATTCTATCTATTCTTATCTAAAGGATAGAAATCAAGCTGACTAATGAAATAAGTCTTTTGTGATATAATGAATGATGACCTTTGATGAAATAAGCACTCTAAACAAAAAGTATTATTCCTGTAATTTTGTAATCATCTTCCAATTACAGCTTTTTGCAAATATTTATCTTACTTTGAATAGAATCTCTGACTTAACAGAATCCCCAGCAGATAATAGCAGTCTTTGGAGGCGTCTGTTGATACACACTGATACGCAATATGTATATGTATGTGCCTATAACCACCCACTCAGACAAGAAGAATGAATATTTGAGAGAGAAAATCATTCTTATCTTTGCTTTCACAATCCAGACTTCCAAACTCAAACATATTTAGAGAAACAGAGCAACTTTCCAGAGCATTCAAAGGGAAGATATGAATACACGTGGTACTAGAGTCGCATAAAAAAGAAACTGTTAATAACATCTATTTATAAATAATCTACACAAAACTCCATTATACTACCTAATGATAATTAGAGGGAAAGGGAATCAAAGAATTCAGGACTGCCAAGTAAATAAAATATTCCCTCTCAAATTAAGCAACAAATTCATAGATAACAAGGTTTATGCCATGAATTTGAAGGATGTCTCCTTTGTAGCGCAAGACAAAGGAAGCATAGAGGAATAAATATTGATTGAACTAATCATCTGATGAATAGAAATGAGATTTACCAGTGCACCAATATAATAGGCTATGTTAACTAGTTCTTTCATAGCGCATATGCTGCCCTTTCAACCCCTGACCCCATCCATTCAATTCTTAATGAGGGAAACCACAGGTGTTATAACGGCATTTATAGTGAATCAAGCTACATATAATAACCATGTGGTTAACTAATGGCACTGGGGGTAGATTCTTATGAAAGGAAATATTGTGATCATAATGTGACAAAATTATTGTATATTTCAAACCACTTAGAATTTTGGCTTGCTCAGGTAACCTCTAAAATATACCTACGTGGCCATTAATATCTCAAGTCCCAGATTTGGTGGCTCTGTAATAAGTGCAAATTTATTAGTGCATATCTGAGGAGCAAGAATTATTCAATATATATTCTACCCACCATTGTTGTACACCTTGCATAATAAGCATTTAAAACATTAAAAAATAACACTTAGAAGGTACAGTATTTTATACTCAATATGTCCTGCATGCTGCTTGGTTAGTAGTTATTTTATAAATATTGTAAATAGATTACAACTTTATAGTAATAATTAAATGATACATTTTGTGTTAAATTTACATTAGAACATTCTTGAAATAGGCATGTTTTTACAAAAGCCAAAACGAACATCTTGCCTTCGCCAAAATATAAGGCTAAAATCTTACTCAAAAATATGCTCTTATAAAAGAACAAAAGTAATTTGCTTTGACTTAAGCATGTTCACCTCTGGGTAGTAAATATTTTATTAACTGGCTGGGTATGCTGACATTAAAATTACTAAAATGGGTATTTACTAATGTCATTTTTGTGTGATTAGTTATGATATCATGTGGTCCTGGCTAATTTAGAGGAATCACGGACATCAGTAAAGAAAGATCAAATTAATCTGGTTGTTTACTAAATTATGCTTTTCTTACTACCCTACGTATTACTTTGTGCTCATATAAACCAAATATCTTGGCACTGTGGAGTATATGAAAAACTTGGGATGCTTAAAGAAAACTGTTACATAGTTTACCTTATAGTAAAGCTTTTTTCAATAAATAATTGCAATAAATTAATTTTAAATTGTGTATTTAAAAAATTCTCACTCAACTGCCCAATATAGAATTCTTCTTTTAAAGACTGCTACACCATTAACTAAATTTCACTAGATTATGTTGTAATCATGTGACAACCAGAGATATACAATATTTTAGGACTGAATTAGATGTACAAATGGTATTCTGAATTTAAGCACAAAATTATCCTTAAAAAAGAAACAGCAAGAGCTTTTTAAAAAGGCCTTGGCATTTATAACCAGAACTTGGCATGAAATAAATGAGTATTATTAGCTGCAAAAAATGCAGATTTATTTAATTTTAATTTTCTGACCAGCTTTATTTTGTTTTGTTTTGTTTTAATATTTTCAAATACAAATGTCTCTCCTTATCTGAAACCAGCTAAGCTTGATTCTCATCTGTTCTGAAAACTTTGTCAAACTCATTGATCGACTCATTTTTAGGAGCCCAAATTAAGATATACTCTCAAGTACAAGAATGATACCATCTTCCCCAAAATATTTCAGTTTTAATTTTAAAAAGAATAAGCTCAAAGATGATGTCATCTTTTACAGCCATATATATAAAAAGAAATGTACATGACTCACATATTTATTTATTAAAGATTTATTGAATACATCCACCCAAAGTAAGGTACAGGGCTGAACCCCAGGGATGCTCAGGTTAATAAAGCACAGTCAGTAGTCGAAGCTAGGATCAAAGAGAAAGCAGAATGGAACATGGCAAGGACGCTACCAGAAAGTCAGACTAGCTCTCAAAGGGGAAGTGATGTTTGAGATGGGCCTCTAAAGATAAGTAGAACTCCCTCTTTGGGTTAATTTGTTCATCATAAATGAGGTCCATTAAATTACTGTTAGTTGTACTCCTCAGTTGCCTTATATAGTTGGTGTTATGTGAAATTGAGTTTATAGTAGAACTATTCCAAAAAGAACATAACCTGATGTAGCACAAATAATAGTATTGCTCTCAAAACTTTTAGTAGTAAAATTGTTCTCAAGTGACAATTGAAAACAAAATCCTTTAAGGCAATTTTTAAAATTACAAAAAGAAAGTATATTGAAGGTGAGACGAGTATCAGTGTAAGGAAGAGGGTACAGCTTGTTTTAAAAAAAAAAAAGTATCACCAAGAAAAAGAAAACGTAAAAATACTTTATAATATCCATATACATTTGTTTTTATAAGGAAAATTCTTATTTATTTTTTAAAAAAAGGAAATGACTGATGTATATTGAGTTTCATTTTCTTTAATACTATTATCTGAAAGTAGTGATATCTGCTCTAGAGAGTACCTTAGATTACTAGATATCAAGTAGAACAAAACCCATTGAAGTAATAGAGTATGTAGGCCGTATCTGAAGGCCACAATGATGTTCTTCAAATTCTTCCATTCCACATACTTGGATATAATACTGTACTCTGAAGATTAAGTTATAAAATCAACACTTGCTGACTTTTGAGCTATTCTCTTTCTTCGGCATATTTAAAGAAGGAAAATTCTGGAGACTCTTAGTAATAAAAACCTGAGTGTGAGAGGCAAATATTAGCTGGTTCCATCCCAGCACTGTGAGTGAGTTGCTGATCAGGCTGAAAAAAGTGTCCACTACAGTCCTCAGTTAAAGCTCAGTCATTTTGAAAGGATAGTCTGTCATTCTGGTCTTACACATTAGCTCTTGTGAACTTAGTTAACATGGGTCCTCATACTAATGTCTGATCTACTCTGAAACACTGGTAAGATCAAATTTCTCAGACCACAAAGCTGAAAAACAGACTCTGAGCTGGGATAAACTCACATAAGCAAATGCCTCCATTTGAAACTTGCAGGCAGCCAAACTGTCACTCTTGGCCATAACCCTCTGCATTAGCATGAATCTCATCTTCAAATTTCCACATAGTGGGCAGGACCACAGAGTCATACCTTTTAAGTCCTGAAACACAAATAATTGTTTTAAATGCTGAATATTAACTACAATATATTAGACCAAGGAATTGTGCCCTTCGGTTGTAACAATATCCAGATAACATAGTGGCTATGGTAATTCCAGATTTTTTCTTGGAAATAGAAGAATTCGAGAAGTGCATGAATGATTTCATTTCTTGAGGTTTTTCCAAAAAGATGAAGGCTTGGAAGTCTCCTGTAACTTTTACTAGCCTGATTAAACAGCTATTTAATAAGACAACCAGTTTTCTGGACAATCATTCACCCACGCCTTATTGCAATTTGTCTCTGGTGTTCCTAGGTTATGTGACAATGGACACATACAACCACTTCATGTTATGCCTGGGCCAGTGTACTATTCTGGTTGGTGAATGGAGGCTAAACCATTGGAGAACAGTCGTTTTACTTGAAGTGTTACATATAACTTAAGTCTAGTGTTTTTCTCTAGCTTTTATGTAAATATGCATCATACTTAGTAAACAGTAAACTGCTATTTTGGTTTTTCCATTAAAAAGCAATTTAAAGACAATCTTATTAAATAGGATCAAAATGTGTTGTTGCTGGTAATTTGCTCTGAGAACATGAAATGCAGACATACTATTGTTATTTGCCTAGTGTAATGAAAATTAGTGAAACCAGTTGTATTTGACAGGCTACATTTAAAAAGTTTCATTTCACCTCTCCAAGGAAAGGATCACATAGTGCTTCGTATGAGTTTGTAATTCTGCATTAGTATGAAAACTCATATTCTAAGTTTCCGAAGTAAAAATGTTAGCATATAGCTTGAACCAGAATAAACACTCAAATCATATTTAACCATCCAGCAGCTGTTGACTTCCAGAATCCAGAACTAAACAAGAACACACAAGCTTCAAGAACTTAGACATACTGAGTTTCTAATGAATAACTGGCTTTCATTATCATTGCCAGGACAAATAATAAAATTATTACACAAAACATTTCCTGTTAACTTGTATATAAATTGTGCCTGGCATATGTAAAGGAATTAAAGACTTTTAAAGAAAGGAGAAGAAACCTTGTTCCAAATTTTCACAGTTGTTGAGTATGAGCAAATGCCACACAGTCTGGTAGAATAGAGGAACATTTGTTCAGGAAAAACACATCATATCGTTAAGGTACATCCTTCTTGGCAATACTTTATTTTTTACAAAAATAAAATATTTTAAATAAATTATTTAGAATTTTTTCAGATCTCAACTTATTGATCTGTTTGCTCTAAAATTAAATTTAAAACAAACAGTTCAATATGCTGAGTTTTTTTCCCCACTTAAATGCTGACTACTTTTAATAAGCTTAATTCTAAGCACTTTTATCCTTGCATATATACTTTCATTCTTGTGATTTCAAAAAAAGTTAAGTACCAAAGGAAAAGAGCTTTTGGAGTAAATTATCCCAAGGACAACTCAGAAATATCAATAATGAGAATCCTAGTCAGACAGCATTAATACCCTTCCAGTTGTGTTTTTGCTTTGCTTACTAATATAACCAAAGATAAGTTCTGGCTGCCACTTATGTCAGAATAAATTAAAATTTATGTGATTGGTTTTAGAAAGTGTTCTTTTGCAATAAAATAAACTGATTTGGAATTTTTTCCACCAAAATTGTACTGTATCCTTATGTTCATTAATGATTTTTGAAAGGTTGTCTAACATGGTTGATTTGTGTATTGATTAAGAGTAAAAGCCATACTTTTTGAAACTAAAATAATGCTTTAAAAGTAAAGGGAACTATCTGACAGAGTTGTAGGTGACACCTTCTATAGTGAAGAAGGTGTAAATGTAACTCAGCGAATCTTAAATATTGAGCACTTATGATGTCTAAGAAGCAATACCCTCCAAGATAACAGTCTCAAGCACAGCAAAACTACATTTCTTATAAAAGTCTTAAGGAATTCCTTAGATACTATTTGTTCCATTTGAATTTCTCAAATGTCCAATATTGATTATGTCTCATTTTCTTAAATGAGAAAAATCGATGACTTGGTCATAATTATTTGTTAAAAGAGACTAATATCAACATTTGACTGGAAACAAGGGTTCCTGCCTGAATCCAGTTCTATTTTTATTAATCTATGCTCTCTCTCTCTCTCTCTCTCTGGCCATACTATTTTTTGCCACCCCTGTATTCGTAGTAGATATCCCTAATCAACTATGGCATTAATACTTGCTAAGTCTGAATGCAACCTCCGCTACCGTTTGGCCAGCATTGGCCCTTAAGATAAAACTTGTTACCACAACTCTCACCAGTGTTTTGACCACATGAAGAATAGAGAATAATACAGTAAAACTATTATTTAATCACAGGATCCCCTTGGGTAAACCATAGCTCTCCACAGCTTTCACTCCCAAAATAATGATAATGGCATTTACCAATCTCAGGAAAAACTAAAATAAAATAAGTATTATGGAAAAATCTATAGATTATGAACTAGATCTGTCTAGTCAAAATAATAACAAATTCAAAGTATAAGTAGTAAATTTTTTATCTTTCCATAATTATTCCCTGGAAAGTTCCAAATATTTAATTTTATAAACAAATAGATCTCCTTTTATATATATTTCAAAATTTTGAAAAAATTGCATATTTATGGATTTTTTTCCTCACTAAGAATCTGTATCCACTTTAAGGCAGCAATTTTATCAGAAATAGCTATGAAGACAATAAAAAATTTCTCTTCATTCAATAGCCAACATGCATTTTTAGTTTGTGATGTGAATGCACTCATTTGACCCTCAGCTTGTCAATTCTTTCCTCTAGTTTTTATGCCTGTTAAGAGGCGGGTTCTCTATCTTCAGCTATAAGCATTTCAATGAAAAAACTGTGTTAATAGCTGAGCATACCACCATTTATCCACCTGATCTTAATTAATTTTGTCTGATTGACTGAGACTGGAACTCTCATCAACACACTATTTAAATCAAAGGCCTATTATCATCCTTCTGTGTTGTGTACAAGCATAAGATGTTTTCTTAAGGAAGGAACCTTGACAACATTAAGAAGGTGCCATGTCTAATCATGCTGAGCATTATAAAGAAAAAAAAATTACATTTGACATTAATTCTAAAGAAATGCGGAGTTCTGCTCCTCCTTAACAATATTGCAATTTAATTTGTTTTGCATTTTGGCTGAAACATAATATTCCTTACATCAAGCTATCATTTATGCGGTTGATTTTTATGCTTTCAAATGAAGTTAATTTGCAATTCTTTAAAAGCACAGTTATTAGTCTACTGTTAGTGATTTTTCAGGCCTCTTTAATGTAAACTGTACTATAAAAAACATAGCTTGAAATACCAACCCTACTCTTCATTTATTCTGCAGGACTCCAATTGATCGTATTATAGAATGGTCCTGACACCCACAATTTGACTAAATTTGACCACAGATGCTATTAGAAAGAAAATGAGCCACAATGGGTTTCTTCCTCTTATATTTAGTATCTACTACTGTGTTTAACAATATCAGGTTGGAAAAGATTGTACACTTATCTCAGGTGATCCTCTTTGTTTTACAGCATGTAAAATATCTTCTTTGCTTGCTCCATTTTAGATATAGTGGTATGTTTCTTCATATTCACTAATCCTGTCAGTCTGTTCTGCAGCTGCTCTTAAGGAAAATTCTGAAAACATTTAAGAGAGGAACTATGTAAACCTGAGAGGAGCTGACAGATGCAGTCTCATCTCTACAAAATGTAATAGCAGTTAAAATTTATAATAATCTCTTGCCTGTGTTTCGTACTCTATAGCTCTCAATAAGCTTATGTAGCCACTGTCTCAATGACACACCCAACAATCTTGTGAGCTACGCAGGACAGGTATGAATAGGAATGTGTCCAGAGTACCCAGATCAAAGAAAACCCTAAAATATAAAAGAGTGCTTTTTAAACAGTTTTAAAATGTAGTTTCCACACTTCAAAAAATTGTACCAGATCAAAAATATAAATATTTGATTTATAAAAGGAGGAAATATAAGTGGTTAATAAACATTTGAAAAAAAGAGCTCAACTTCACTTATTAAAGAATGCAAACAGAATGAGTAGCATCTTCACCTGTCAAATAATAGCAGTTGTGATGACACCCTCATATTCTGTAGCAGGAATTTATAGTGATACAGTCTTTTAACTTAAACCCTTAAAAATATCATACTCTTTAGCCCAGTAATTCACCTTCTGGGATCTTTCCAAAGAACTAAACTAAAGTACAAAAAAGACTTTATACCTAAAGACCTGTGCCTAAAAACGTATTGCAGCCTCACAGTGATGTTTAGGGAAACCTTAGTTGTAATGCTCTTTACCACATACTTTCATGTAATATGTATTCACTGTGTATACTATTATATACTCATGATGTATTCAATATACGTCACTGGCATTAAATCTCTACATGTACTTAATCATTTATTTTAGGTACTGGGGATAAAATGGTAAGCAAAAAAGACATCGTCCTGACCTCACTAAACATAAAGACTAACAAAAAATAAGTAAAATGCAAAATTGTATGTACTATATGATTTAAATTAAATAAAAATCCATAAAAGAGCAATTGAAGAAAACATAAAACTGTTAGAAATCACCCCTTGATATTAACATCTTAGAAACTATTTTCTTCTTCTTTTTTTTTCTCTCCTTTCAACTTTTCCCACACAGTCTCTGTAGATTAGTTGTAAGTGTCAAAGTGTGGGAGGCACAGTGACCCGGGCCTGTGGTCCTGGCACATAAGGCGGCTAGGGCAGGAGTTCAAGACCAGCCTGGGCAACATAGCAAGCCCTCATCTATATAGCAAAAGAAAAGAAAAAAAAAAGTGTCAAGGTGAATGAATGTTCAGTTACTCTGGCATAGTAATAAGGCTATGCTTTATCTTTCACTCATTGTGTTTTAGCTCATCCATTTGCCTGAGGTCATCTAGTATGATAATAAGGTTAAAGTTGAAAGTTTAATGGCTCATTTATAAAATTAACTGATTTGATGTTGCACAACTGCTCTTTCCTTCATCATCCAACATTTATCAAGGATCTATTATGCACCAGACACTATCTTAAGGTTGGAAGATACACAGGTGAATAGGATTCCATCCCATACTCACAAGACCTTAGAGTCTGGTCTTTTTGAGAATCGTATATTACAGTTCACAATAGGTACTAGAAATGGCAATAATAAAAGTGATAACAATAATAAGAAGAAAAATGAATTTAAAAAAACTTTTTCCATCATTGAGAAAAGAAGAATTCTGCCTTATTAAATTCTTTAACAGTGGATTAATACTGTGCTTTTTGTCTCTAAAGGCTCCTAATTGGGGAAATTTATTTTAAATGTTAGAGGAAAAATCAGGATACTCATATAGAAAAATTAGTCAGCTAGTCTTCAATTTGTCTCCATTAAACTAGCTTGTGTCTATCCCCTGACAAAGCTGCAAGACTGCAATTCCTAAGGATGTTAAAGAATATCAACACAGACATACCAGTTCTCAAAATACAAGATGAATGATGAATTGATTCCCATTGGTGGAGTTGTGGGAATGCTTTAAATATTCCTACACTCTGTGGTAAATGAAGAATCTCAATTTGCTCATAAGACTGTTATAAACTCATTGGTATTTAATAGGGAAGAATTCATTATGATGTTCACTGCTAAAGTAGTCTTCATATATTAGTACTAACACCCCTAATACAGTGATTCAAAACAGGCAGTGATTTTGCCCTGCAGGAGATCAATGACAATATCTAGAAAAATGTGGAGTTATCACAACTGAGAAGATGCTACAAACATCCCACAGGTAGAGGTCAGGAATGCTGTTAAACATCCTGCAATATACAGGACAGCCCACAAGGCAAAGAACTATCCTGTCCAAAATGCCCATAATGCTGAGATTGAGAAATGTTGCCCTAGGACTATATGAAGGTTTTCCGAATAGAATCACTTTAGGATCCTCAGTTTTTTTGTGTATTCTCTGAGAAAGCTGCTTCCTCTTTTCTGCCTCCCCCTTTACAATAATCTCATTTCCACTCCACAAAGAAAGATTGAACTCTCTCACTCATTTCAAATATTATTATGTGCATGGTTCCCAACACGGAAAACTTCCATTGCAGTAAAAAACAGACAATTTGAAATATTGATTTTGATGCTGAGAAAATGATCGATTTTAATGAATGAGCAAAATCGTCTTTTGCAAGTCAGGTAGTTTCCTTTACTTTCAATGAAATTGAAGGAAGATGTATTCAAATTATCAGTTATTGGTCATTAAAATAGTTTTTGATAATAGAATGCTATGTGATTTGAGGCATATATCTCAGAATGAGTTTAAAGAAGTGAGTTCAATTGCTATGGCAAAATTAGTTCCACTTTCCTCTGCATATTTTTGTGAATAAGTTTTTCAACACTTGTATTCCTAAAAACAAAAATATAAATAGAATCGATGTGAAACCCCATTACATCCTAGTAGTAAATAATAGTCAAGCAAAAGTACCAGAATTAAGTGAAAGAAAAAAACCTCGCTCTGGTCCATTAACAGATAATTTTTCTTTTAATATTTATTCTTATATTTAGTATTAGGTTGATGGAAAAGTTATTGCAGTTTTTGCCATTACGTCAGCAAAAACCGCAATAACTTTTGCACCAACCTAATAAATATAACATTTGTAACATATTTGTGTGATTTTTATCAATTGTGTTCTAGTGATAATGATAATAATTCAATCTAGAAGGAATTTTAACTCAGAACCTGTGTTCACAGAGAAAAAAATGGTTAAGTCTAAAATATATACTTACTTTTTTTTGGAGAGTGGTATAACCTAGTAACTAATAAAAGACTTTCAAACATGAGAATTTAGACATTAGAATAAAATCATGTGCAGGAAGTGAAAGTATGAATTCAAGGAGAAAGTAGATATTGTAAAATTTCTGTAAAAGAGTTTATACATTTTCTTTTCAAATGTATGATATGCTATTAAAACATTTTGAGATTTAGATTCCATTGGTATATTTAAATGAAACTCATTAGTTCTATTTTAATATATAAAATCTAAAATGCTTCAAAAATTACATCCTTTGCAGTGTTATTGTATATACTATGTAATCTACTTTTACAATAGTTCTGAAATGAAAAAGAATGCCGTAGGATCCACAATTTCTATTCCACAGTGTTCAGCCATGGTTTTTCAGGTCCGTATTAACATGGTATCCTTATTGCTTAGAAACTGCATTAGTCAAGTACTTGGGCAACAACTATTGCAAACTCTTTGAAGAACCCAGAATGATAATTCATTCTTCGTTAACTTTTCTTAGATGACCACGCACAATCATATCTGAGAAGCTTTGGACAACAGCTACTGCTTATTTCACTCAAGTTTTTGAAAGTGCTAGTTTTCTAAAGAAATTGTGAATAACTACCAACCTCAGAATCAGCAACCCTGAAATCCAAACAGTATCCTCCTCAAAGAGACACTTCAGTACATTCCACTAGACCACATATCTGCAAACTTTTATGTAAAGCCCCAAATAGTAAATATTTTAGACTTTGTGGCCCATGTGGTCTCTGTTGTTCTGACATTGTAGCATAAAATGTCAGAGTAGCACAAATATAGCCACAGTCAATGTGTAAATGAAAAATCATGGCAATGTTCCAATAAAACTTTATTTACAAAAACAGGTGGCAGGCTGTTGCTGACCGCCAACACTTGACCGTCAAGTCCCTAAAGACAGGATATATGTCTTATTGAACTTAGTATTCCCATCACCTAGCACAAAACCTGAAACTCAGTAAATGTTGAATAAGTGAGTAGAAGTATTTAAGCCTTAAGAGGATAACAGTATACTTAAAATATGCTAAATGATATTTATATAATATATATTTAATAATATATATAATTATATATACGTAAAATGAATGATAGAGGAGAATAAGACAATTGTAAACCTCATCGAACTTAGATATTGGCCAAGGAGCCCTATTTCTAGAAGTACTAGGCAGCTTGACCACAGTTACTAGAATGAAGCTATAGTATTGAATTATTTCAATATAATTTTGTATATAATTCAATACAGTTATTTCAATATACCATTGACTAATAATTATGCAACATAATATTGAATAATTAATTAACCCTCAAGTATAACTTCTGAACCCCTTGAGGTCAGACAGCTTTGAATCCTCAACTTCAACTCTATATCTTCTCCATAGTAGGTCATTGAAAATTCAAATTAATTATGAATGAGGAAAGGTAAATCAAAACCTGGCCAATTAATAAATCAACAAACATCTGGTGTATCTAGTGTGCTGTAAGCATTACATAGTTGTTGAAAAAGATCCAATGAAGAAAATGTATTTATTCAACAAACTAACACCATTATAGCACTTACGTGTCATGTTTGCATCTAATTTCTAACAAATATTAACTCAGTTAATCCTCACAGCAAATTTCTGATTAAGCAGTGTTTATTATTAGGTCCATTTGATAGAAGAAGAGGCTAAGGTACAGGAAGGTTAAGTAACTTGTCCAAAGTCACACATCTAGTAAATGGCAAAACTGGAATTCAGACCCAGGCACTCTATCTCCTGAGTCTGTGCGATGTTTCCTCACATACCATCTCACTGAATATTATTATACCCATTGTGTTTTTTACATAGCTGTGGAAGGTTGATTTGTTCTTTCAGGAGAGTGTTTTATGAAGGAGCTCACCCCTTTTTCAATGGGAGCTAATTAATATTTTATTTTCTCAAACTTTACACATAACTTTTGAAGATTCCTCCAAGAATCTAAAATAGCTGAGTCTTTCCTTTCCCTCCCATGAAAAAATATGCTTTCTATTAGAAAATCTCAAAATTCTCAAAACCCACCATTCCAAAATGCTGTCACTTTTCTTGCAAAGTGAACCTATAATGTTTCAAAATAACAGATGCAAATTGTTAAGTAAGAGTACAACACACTATGGCATTCCCAAATGACATCTGTAACCAGTAAAAGCTGGATGAGTTAAAAAGATCAATATCCCAGTGACTAGGAAGAACTCTGTGAGAAGTCACTTGAGCCAAGCTTTCAAATTGTGTAGAATTTTATTGCCAAAGAATCACAGAGAAACTTTTCAGGTGAAAGGACAGAGGAAACAAAATCTTGGCAGCAAAAATCATGTGTGTGCACCACCGCAAATGAAAGAAACAAAGCATAAGAGAGAGAACTAACATTGACTCTACTCTATGTGTCAGACTGTGTTTGGTCCTTGACCTCCTAGGGAGGCTAGTTACAATCCCAGGCATGGAAGTAAAGCAGTCCAGGTACCAGTGCCACCTCTACTGCTTACGGTGCTACTTAATTTCTCTAAGCCTCAATTTTTTTGTAAAGTGAAGATAGATAATACCATCATCGTAGGCTCATTGTAAGAGTTAAATCAAATTAGATAACATCATAACATGCTTAGCATTGCACCTGATATTTAGCCCTCATTAAGTGGCTTAACATTGTTCTTGAATTTTTATTGTCACACACAAAAAAGTGAAGTATTGTTATCTCTACATTGCAAATGAGAAAGCTGAGGCTCAGACAGTCTTAGACTAACATCTATAATATATGTATAATTACCCCAGTACAATAGGCCTCCAAGAGAGTTCTCACTGGGAAGCAGAGATTTGGTTATTAGAAGAAAGAATTGAGAGATGCTGAAATGTCAAAATAGGAGTTTTGTTGTACTGAGATAAATTGAAAATGTTAGGGGCCTAGCGTTTGAACTTTTGAAAAAAAGGAAATCTGTGACTGTTCCTGTGTTTAAAACTTGCCTCTTAATGATTTAGGGGTCACTGAATAAAAAGAGGAGTCAAGCATGAAGCAGAGAAGCAGTCTGGGGACTTGGTTTGGCATTCAGTGACAGCAATGTCAACTTAACTGACATATCAGTTACCTCCCTAAAACCTGTCTCATAGTAAGTGTCCTTCCTCCCACCTAACAGTTCCCAACATACCTGGTGCACTTGATTTGAGTCTGGTGTTTTTTCCTTATATTTATTTATATTTGTTTAGCACAATCTGGTTGAAAAAATTTATAGACACAACATTTACCAAATATAAATTGCAATGTTTCCTCACATACCATCTCACTGAATATTATTATACCCATTGTGTTTTTTACATAGCTGTGGAAGGTTGATTTGTTCTTTCAGGGGAGTGTTTTATGAAGGAGCTCACCCCTTTTTCAATGGGAGCTAATTAATATTTTATTTTCTCATACTTTACACATAACTTTTCAAGATTCTTCCAAGAATCTAAAATAGCTGAGTCTTTCCTCTCCCTCCCACTAAAAAATATGCTTTCTATTAGAAAAACTCAAAATTTCATCTGAGTCTACTTTCAAATACACACCTGCAAAATGCATGTGTCATCTTTTAAAAAAACTGAAATTCTCTCATCATTTTTTTCTTAAAATGAATCAATGTTTTTCTTCATAATTTCATTTTTAAGATTCCCTTTATTCCCATGATTCCAATGTTGTTTTCTGCTGTAACGAAAGGTACTGACATCAGGAGATCTAAATTGTGAAACTTATGTAACTTGCACTATACTCGGTCCAACATCTTGTGGTCTAATTAAATACAAGCCAAGTCAGTTGGCAGAAAGGTACGGCGTGGTGGTGTGGATATTAGCACCTTGTTAGCAGTCAAAAACCTGCTTTCTCAGGCAGAACCTATTTCTGAATACAAAGTTTTATATAGATTAATGCTGTAATGTTTGAAAGGCATTTGATAAACAAACTTATATTTGAATCTGGAAATAGAAATATTTTCTTACCAGACATTTTAATCTAATTTTATTTTTTTAAAAAGGGTAGCCCCATACTCTATTGGGCATTACCCGAAAACCATTGTTTTACCTTTTAGTGTTTAATTTCTAGAAATAGAAAAAATTATACTTAAAATGTCACTATGAGAGAAATGATCTTGGAAAAAATATTATAAATGTGTAATATAAATAAAAATAAGTTATAAGGTTCACATTCCCTGGCATTAGTCTAAATCTTCTTCATCATAGGTAATTCTTGTTGAACACTCACTATGTGAAAGGCACTGTGCTAAATACTTCATGTGAATTACCTCAGTTAATCATCAGAATAAACCCTTGAGATTAGCAGTATTTTTATCCCCATGTCACAGGTGAAGAAAATGAAGCACAGAGAGGTTAAGTCATTTGTCCAAAGTTACCCAGATAGTATTTGAAGGAACTGAGATTTTAATTCAGATTTTTAACAGCTCTGCCCTCCCCATTACAGACCTATGGCTACAAGATGCTTCAAGCTGACCTCCTCCTCTGGGTCTATCTCATTTGTCTCAGAGGTCTTTTCTGGGGTACACCTCCCTTACTCTAGTCAAGCCAACGCTAAGTGAGTGGTCTAGGGAAATGCACTAATTTATCTTCTTCTTTAAGTCATGCATAAGATGAAAGCTTCCCTCCGTGGCACCGTTAATTGAACATGTGAAATGAGAGGAAGATCGTTCAAAAACATTGCAAAGCATGTCTTTCTACCGAATGGGCATTTAAAAAATTGCCACCAATGACCACACACTGCAACTGACCCTAAGACAACCTGAATTAATTTGAGAACATGTGGTTCACACCTAAGTGCAAGGAGTATCCAACATAGTGGTACTTTGCTATCTCACAAAAGACAGACTGTCTTCTGGGGGTTCAGTGGAAAGACTTCTAGAATTTAAATCAAGAGGTGTGTTGTTACCCTTAACTATGCAGCCTGCGCAAGTCACCTCTTTGCCCCGCCACGATCCTCATTTCTGAATGAGAATGTGGGCTGTGGTTGTCTCAAGAGTACTTTCCAGCTTTCAAAGTCCATAAGTTCATGCCCTCCAGTATAAAACTTTTCTTACATTGTTACAAGGATTGGTTTTCGGTTATTTTAGTTTTTGAGGGAACAGGAGCTTTTATAGACTAGGTAACCTGTCCAAAATCAAACAGATATAAGATGTGCCGCTGGGATGCTACCTTAGAACCATGTAATTCCAAAATCCTGAACTACAGTGTCCTTTGTGATTTTAAAGTCTAGTAGACCTGTCCCCTAAAATATGCTTTTTCTCCAACTTGTTAGAATTACAGTTAATTTTTACATAGTCTCATAATCTTACAATACACCAAGAATACAATATTCATTAGAACTATAGTAAGGTAAGGGTCGTGTATATCAAAAGAAGAGTATGGCTGTTCTTGAATGCTATGATAAAGTATATTTTACAGAGAAATTCAGCCTAGATTTTATTTATACCCCAGTAAATGAGTTTACCGAATCCTTTCCTAAGAACCTATTTTCATAGGAATATGAGGAAAAAGCTCAAAGGCCTGAAAACTTGAAAGATAGTTCCATCCCCTCTTGATAAAGTCGAGATGGAGCCAGAAAGGTTGTGCTGATTTCAGATAAATATCCTACCTACTGCACAATTTTGCTGAGGGCTAGTTGGAGTGTGCACACGCATGCACGCGGGAAGTATTTAGAGAAGTCAGGGTGGGTAGGTTGTGTGGGAGACAGGGGAATTCAATGAAGGGAGATTCTTTAGCCTTTCCTTCAAGTACATCTTTCTCCTGAGTACATTTACTTCCATCACAATGGACTAGAAGAGATCCTTGCTTAGTGGTGCAGAACCCTTGAGACCTAATTTAGCTTTTATAGGAAATTCAAAAAGAGAAAGACGGCACAAGAGCAAGAGAACAGAACAAAGATATGAGTTTGTACAGAGAATATTGATACTTGTGGACTGCTTCTGTAACTCTTTTAAAATAAATTTTCTAAGTAAATGCTGACGTAGACTTTTCTGTTAGTGGAAGGCTGAGCTCCTCCCGCCAAACAATGCGCTGCCCAAATCATCTTTACAATTCCCGACAGTCTGTCGTCTCCGAAGCTCGGGTTCATTGGTTTTTATTCTGTGAAGGTCAGGAAGCGTTTTGGAAAAATAAATTTTCCTTTTTAATTTCTTAAATTAAATGTGTCTTCCCAAGGATGCCCAGAAATAGGAAAGTTACATAAATGCTAATTAAAAACATGCCTGACAAGCTGTGCCCACTAGTCCCGTTGATCATTCTTTAATTCACATTTCACAGCAATTTCTAAGAACATCACCACGTCCTTCATTAACTACATATCAATTAAAATACCTCTGAGAGGCAGGTACAATAATGCACTATATATTATCCTTGAAAACTGAAAGGCCCACTTTGCTAACTGCTACACACAGCACATAGAGACTTAGAGAGAGAAGGAAAAAAAATAAAGCCTGCCCTTAAGGATTTCGCAGACGATGAAGAAAGACATTTTTTCCAATGCTGTACAAAAAGAAAAGAAAGAAAAAAAAAATCAGCGGCTTAACCAGACAATCAGTGGGAGGGATAGGACCAGACCTAGACATTCTTATTCTTTCTCATGTAATGCAGGCACAAAATCTAAATAGTCATTCGCAAGCAATTTTGCCACACAAATATAAAGTTGTTAATGTAAAGAGCCCATATTATATTTATGGATGGCTGTAGCAGTGTAGTAGTAAAAGGCAGACTGACTGAAAGAAAAAAACAACTTTGAAAACCTTGAATTCTGAAAATAAGTGTCTTTCTGCCCTACTTATGTTCTGCATCGGCTAGGATCGTTTACCTACTCCTCTTCATCTGTTTCCTCACCTGTCCAATATGATACCAATGACAGCTACATCATTGAATAGGTGTAAGAATTAAATAAGGCAATAAATATCAAATCTACTAGGTTCTTTTTTAATTTTTTTTTGTTTATTAAATTCAGATGATAGTGAGATAAATTACCAGGTTCTTAACTGGTTGTATCATTATTTGATACATAGCAATAATATACAATATTTCAACTTTTAAAAGTTGGCTTCAAACAGCTACCTAGAATTTAATATGCCTTTTATATTTCTGGGCCTGGCTTTTTTTTTCTGCACATTGTGAACCTGCCTGTGGTTCTGTTGATCTTGCATCTTGCCTGATAATGAGCTAACCATTATCACTAACCTTAGAGTCTTACATATTCTATAGTCTATTTCCTATCTATTGCTCCACACTATTGCAGGCCTGTTAGACATGAAAATAAATGGTAAAATTCTGTGATTTAACAGATTAATTAACCAGATCGAGGTGTTAAATTGAGGCAATCATCTTCATGTGGCTAACCCTGTATTTAGTTTATTAGGCAACCAGATGCCAATTGGCATTCCCTATCAGCTAGAAAAATACATAAACATAGCATCTTCCTGGTCTCTAAATCCTGCTGTTAACTAAAACTTCATTGTACCACTGCATTAATCACCAAGCTTGAGCTGAAACTTTTGTTTTTATTCTGGAAAGATAATTTATTCCAAATAATGTTTCACTTAAGGGTCTAATCGTAAGTCCAAGATGATTCAGATGGTGAAGTCCAGCTGTAACAACAACAGTATCATCCAGAAAAATAACCACATGTATATTGAATCCCTTGAAAGTTTTCCATAACAGATCTGGGGGTGATAAATCATGCAAACTCATTCTATAATTAACTAAAGTGTTTCTTTTCCTTCACCATAATCCAAAAGGATTAGCCCATGACATTTAGCTGGATAAATCAGGGGGCCATAATTTACTCCACTGTACAAAATTAAATTCAGATTTTAAAATCTAACAACAAAAAAATCAAACACACCCCAAAGTGAGCCTTTTCTGAAACTTTAAAATAAGTCTTCACAGTTAATAAAAGTTTGAACAATGAACAATATCTCTATGATAAATAGCACAGCTTTCAATAATATATTTCAGAACTTTTCCGTAGGACTCTCCTGAAATGTCATGATTATATCATCTGGAAAACTTATTGAGCAAGTGACATGGATAAACTAAGAGAGCCAGGCTTCTACAGTTTACTCCTGATCTCGGATTGTCACAGGTTAATTTTTCATCGTTTTATCCCTATCACTGAATACAGTACCTGTCACGAGTGTCTGTTAAATGAAAGCACCAAGAAAATTGAACCATACCTTGTTTCCTAATCTGTAATAGTATGAAAGTATGGTTAGCCTCTTTAGATGGTTCACTATAAAATTATAAGGACTAGTGAAGCAACATTGCTGCAGTTTTTGACATTTTATAAATATGCTCCTTGTGTATTTTATCCTATACTAATTTCTGCTCTTGTCTGCAACAGGCCTTGGTTCTGTTCTTATTTGGCTTTTGTTTTCTGTTGTCACACCACTGATACATTCAATGAAAATGTATTGAGCAGTCACTTAAGACCTTTCTGCAACAAAGCAGAAGATGGATGGATTGATAGAAAGATAACTTTCTCTAGAAAACATTTATAATTACTGAATTTTAGCAGTAAACTTAGTAAAATTACTGTATTTTAGCATGCCTTCAATTTGTTTTACATTTTCAGCCCTCTAAAAAATTGGCTGTCTTTGGAGAATTGCATTGTGTTGAACTTATTGATTTCCACTGAACATGCTGAAAATGCCCATTATTTGATGCATCATTAATATAATAATAGAGATCAAGCATTTTTAGATTCAAAATAACTGACATCAAAATCTTACAAGCATTAGAAAAATAGAAGGTAGAATTCACCTTCTCTCCAGGAACAACTAACCAAAATTATTCTATACAGTGATTTTTATTACATTATTGTCTGAGTTACCTGTATGTAGGTCAAATAAAGGCTGAGAAATTGAGTTCACATTATTAACCCAATAACTGATCACAAACTGGTAATACAGCAGTGGATGGGTGTTTGCTTCAATAAGGGTAAAGCCCAATTCTTTGATTTTGCTAAAATAAATTATTTACAATGTAGTGCATTGTCTGTCACTTGCTTCCTTAGAGGATGGTGTTGATATTCAGTTTTTTAAAAATGGCTACCAAAAAGAGGACAACGTAAATCAGAATCTGTGTAGGTTATTCTTCACAAGGAACAACTTGTAAGCCAAAGTCATTGTTTGGTGCTCCACTGTACCCAGATAATCAACCAAAGAATGGAAAGAAGTGTTTTGATGAATAGGGGCATCACTGCAAATCACTACTGGTCTAAAAAAAGAAGCAGAATGTAAAATGCATGTGAGCACCTCTTTTCTTACTTCTAGTTCTACCTAATTCTTATTAACCTAGCACATCACACTGATTTATAGGATAGGGATGGTGCCACTTGAGTTTAGGTGCATAACAAGCAGTAAACATTTGGTAGATATTTCTTGAGGTTTGACTCTGGTTGTTATCTGTTGATTCTCTCAAATTCCTCCTCTTTTAATTTAAAAATTAAAATTTAAATGCAGTCTTTTAATTTGCTATAGTCTTATGTTTTTCCCTTACATTTTCTTACAAGTCTGTTTGTTTTCTGTCATTTCTCAGTTTTTCCATTATCTCATAGTTCTCTCCCTTAAGATTGATGCATTTTCTGTCTTCTTTTGTTATCCTTTCATCTTTTCGTCTTGTTTCCCTCTTTTTCATTGATTTTATCTCAGTAGTCTTCTAATTTTTTTTCCATTTATTTTCAAAGCATTTGCTTGGCCTGCATCTTCCTCTTCCTCTCTTCAATCTGCCCATTTTCATGCTTTCCTTTAAATAGCTCCACCTTTAGCAAAACTTTATCACAACTGCCACTGGATTCAGAAAAAAAGATTGCAAAATCTTATTCTTGTACCTTCATTAACTGGGAGAGATGCAAAGTATAAATCTGTATTTACAAGCCATGGATCTGATTTAAAAGTATGATTGTCCCATATCTGTGTTATTGTACATATATGAACAATTCACAACTAAAGGACTCAAGCCAGAGCTTTCAAAATAAACTCGTTGGCCTGATTGCCAGTGCCCTATAATCAGAACATTAAAAGGAAAAAAATCACCTGTGATGCTTTTTCCAAACTAGCTTTAACTAAACTCTTTGTCTAGAAGACGGTTAATCCAAACACTTTTTAAACTTGATTCTTTTAATAAGGATAAGTAATCTTTTGTTTCCTGTTGAATCTTCCTTCTTGAATTAATATTAAGTATGGCCTGACTTTTGATCAACTGATATATGCACCTAAGGCTGTTTGGGTTCATAGTCAGTCTTTAATTCCTGAGCTGTGAAATGCTCTTGAGAATGAGTCAATGGCACACCACTCCAGAGTTTGAAATTTGCAACATGAAAATTATTGCCATGACTTTATTCACTGAATCAACGACACCTTTTTTTTTTTTTTTTTTTTACCAAATAGTATGTACCAAAACCTGTGCTAATTTGGAGGGAATAAAGAGGAATAAGGTAAATATCTCATCATCTACAGAAAGCTGGAGACATGACCAACCAGTAATTCCAGTATAGTGGGATATGCCAGGGTGGGGTTTTATGTGAGGTGCTAGGAGGTCACAGGAGAGGAGACTTAGTTTGTCCTGGATGGCAAGTGAAGAGAAGACTGTGGAAAGGCTTGAAGAAAAGTGGGGTTCCAGAGGAAGGAACAGTTAAGGTCAGTCAAAGCAAGAGCAATATCCAAAAAGTGATTCATTTTTTACTAGATGCTATGGATAATGAAATTGGGTAAAAACTTGCCTTGAGTGATTGATACTACAGCAGAGTCATTATAATCTCTTACATACTAAATCTTAAGAGATCTTGAAGGAAATTCAAAGGTCTTGACTTCTGCTGAAAAGCTAATTACCTTTATTTTTTGCTGACCTTTTCATTTCCTTTCTACAAGATGAGCTGTTGATTTAAATGCATGCATAAAAGATTCCACTAATTTATAGAAGAATGTAATGTTTAAATACCTATCCTATTGTTTGTTCAAAATATGCCTGTGGTATCTTCTCTATTTGCATAATGTAAATACTTTTTTTTAACCACTATTGATTCTTTCCTTGTCGGGTAATCAAAGCTTAGATCAACCATTGTAATTCAAATATGAAAAGCCACATTCAAAAAATTATAATATTTGTCTTTTTTTATGTTCAACAATGAAAGAGAAAAATAAAAGTATTATATAGCCTGCAAAGATCACATCTGGAAGCCTGGTTTTTCTTTAAATTTGTTAAAAATTTTTTGAAAAATATGTCTTTGATTCTAATTTCCTAATACCTAATATTTCAATATTCTAATAATCTAATAAGGAAAATCTTTAGAAAGGGAAATTATTATTTTCACCTGGAATCTGCCATAACACAAAGCTAAGGATATAAAAAGTACCCAATAATTACTCATCAAATTATATTTAATTTTACTTAAAACTAAGTCTACTTAGTGATTTACATTCCTAATGCTGGTAAATAAACACAAAAGATTAACCCAAAGCTGTATAATCTTTAGATCAAGAATGACAATATTAGACTCTTGATTTTCAAAAAGCGAGCAATACTTCATTTTATCAACTGAATGGAGAAAGAAGTGTGTTTTATGTGCCATAATCACTACTGTGGCTTATTAATTCCTTTGTAAGAAAAATATAGAGGTTATAAAGAGTTGGAGGTTATATTGATTTTTCATTACTAGCTAAAGGTTTGCATGCCATATAAAATGCATTCTAAAATCAAGGTGGGAGAAGTCATGTTCCCAAGATCCTTTTTTAGAAATCAGTGGGAAACCAAAAAGTTATATAGTCTAGTTCATAAAGTTAGGCAGTAGGGTGGTAAAACTGTATTGTTACTCTTTCATAGAGGAAGCTAGAGGTTTATCTTTATACATAACTGATCAAATAATCTTCTATTTCCCATCTTACATTTCACATTTTATTAAATCAGTCAGATTTTCTTCCTGGTCCCTTTTAAAAGGACAAGAGGATGTCATGCCCACACAGAATTTTCACTCTATGAACAGCAAGTAGGCAGGTATGTGGGAAACCGGATTTAAGTTCAGATGTTCCCATGGGAAAATGAATAAATTAAAGAGCATACATTTTCAGTTTTTGTAATAAGTATAGAATTCTACTGTTTTTTGCTTTCCATCCCCATTCTAACAGAACCTCGATGAAATTCAGGAACCCTTTGCGTCCCGAAATTCCCAACTAAATGAATCTTTTTTAAAGATTCAGGTGATTTTCACGTAGAGCCAACGCTGAGAGACATTGAGAAAGCAAATGCAAATTTACTAGAGTTAATTACTAAATTTTTTAAAGTATAGGGGAAAAAATTGCAAAATGACTAGTTAGAAAATACAAGGATGGGTTACAGTCACTTTAAGAAAAAATTGTTTGTGCCGATGAATCTAATTTACAGCTTCTTCACACACGGTCTCTTTCACAATAAGAAACCAAAATGGGCTATCAAAAACTCTTCTAATTTGGAATCACTCAAGTTGTAGTAGGCACTCCTGGCTTGCATCAGAATCACAAGAGAATTTATTTGAAATGCAGATTACTGAATCAAAATCTGTAACAGAGGGACCCAATAATTTAACAAACATCCACTTTCACTTTCACAAAAACCCCCAAAATGATTCTTACTCTAAAGCTTGAGATTCATTACTCCAGTTAACTCACACACTTTCCCCTTAGAAAATAAAAGGTTTACATTTAACTATGTGGCTTGAGCAACCAACGAGAAAACCCTAAAAGACTTATTCAGACCCAACTGGGCAGTCAGCAGTAGTGATCCCAGCATGGAGCTCGCCTTCCTTCCCCTGCTCAGTGCCTCCTCCATCACACTTTCTCCTTTCTCATCTTTGAAGCTGCTCTGCCACAATAGAATGGGTCTATTTTCATCAAATGCCTACTTCTCAGAATTTTCCATTACTTCTTCCAGCTAATGAGGATGCATCTGTAAGACATCCAACACAAACTTCCTGTCAGCTACCAAAAACTCCCATTTGTGCCAGAAACTTGAGGAAGGTGTATTTTCTTAGATGCCCAATGTACTGTGATTTGTGATATTGCTGCAGTGGTATCTGGTTTTTAAAATTGTGTAGTTATAACCAATTTCAGAATGCACCACATCTGCAATAATATAAAAGAGAAACTTAGGGCAAACATGGGAGATGCTCATGGCTGATCAGAAGAAAAAAAGGGGGCTAATATACCTTTTAGAAATTGATGCTTTAAGAAACAAAAAGCAAGCAACAAAGAGAGTTGCATCAGGCTCTATCACTGGACTTATGATTAGAGAGAGCTTGGAAGGGTTGCCTTTCAGGGAGGTTTACAAACATAAGCCTTCCTGAATGGAACGTTGGGATTAAAGAGCTAAATTCCATCAAGTGCCAATATTATATGTTGATAGATTTACAGCTACTCTCAAAAGACAACTTGTGAAAGACATCCTTATTAATTAAAGCTAGCCAAAAGACTCATGAGAATTTAGAAACCGTAAGCATGAGTAATCAACCATTATCTGTTACTATAATAGTAATACATTTTTCAGTGTGAAAGGACTTTGTTATTCAGATTTCACATTAGAAATTTAGTCTCAAGCATTTTTTAGATAGGATGTGAGGAGTAGGTTTAGTTACTATACTCTACTATGGAAAACAAGATGCTAAATTATGGACAGTTATGAATCATTCATTCTTAAGTATTTACTGAACACCTATTATGTGCCAGTCGCTGTTCCAAAATCTGGGAATCAAGCAGACAGAAAAGAGACCAAAACCCCCTACCCTAATGAAACCTACATTCCAGAAGGGAAGGACAGTCAGTAATTTAAAAACAAGTAAAATTGAAAGTATTTGTGACAATGGTAAGTTCTACAAAGAATAATAAAGCAAGGAAGAGGTTTAGAAACTGTCAAAAGGATGCATTGCAGGGAATTTTTTTTATATGACAAAATTTAAACAACATCTGTTATTACCAAAAATGATTTTAGATTTTACAGACTCAGTATCATTTAGCTCAACCCCCTGGTTTTACAGAAGAGAGAACACAACCGTCCGCAATTCATGTTTTGTCAAAGATTTCCAAGTCTGATCACATGAAGGCCAGTGCTCTTTGCACCATATCCTGTGCCTGTCTTGGGAGTTTAGGAGTTGTCCCTTCAAATCTGTTTTGTCACTACAAACGAGCCCAGGCTTTGACTAAGAATGTTTTCACTCTTCCAAAATATTTCTCTCTGTGTATCTCACCAGCAGCGTGTTTATAGGGTAGCAGGTTGACTTCATGCACTTGAAGATAGATGGCTGCTAACACCATGCTGTGAGTGGTGACGTAATTTCACATGATTCCAAATGGGGTTTCGGAGCTACTCTTCCAAGACAGAGATCTATATAGACGATCAACAGATGACCATAAATATAGTTTGCTATAATTTATTTTTAAACTATCTATGTGTTTTTAAAAGAAACTCCAAATCTGTCACTTTCTTTTCCCTAAACCTCAGTGGCATAAAACCAGAGATCATTTTTTCACTAGGGCAAGGATCAGAGAGACCTTGAAGGAAGAGGAGCAAGAAATTACCCAACTTGAGTGAAACTGTAAGCTACATAAAGGGACTGAGGGGTTCTTAGAGTCCAAGTGTTGAAACACTTTTAAAGTGCAGTTATTACTAGAAGTAACTGTGAAAATACTACTCTCCTAGCGCAGCTGCTCCCTGCATATTTGCTTTACTGAAAAAAGAAAAATGTTTATTCTGGTTAGTACTGCAAGCCTCAGGCATCAACGTCTCAAGTGTCTCCTAATCTCTCCTCGCACAGCCGTCCGTCTGGCGGTGGGAAAAGCAGCAGCTCTGGATGTTTGAATCCAGGATTTAGTGTGCCAGGCCAAAGTCTTGTTACCCTTTCCACTTGTAAGCTGTGAACAAATGAGAGAAAGACAGAGACAGACTGTGGATATACCTAAACTAGTTTTTACACTCTAACTGTGAGCCTAATTGGGTTTTCAATACCATTTAGGCACAACCTGAAAATTATTTCTTCTGAATGTAACATCTTCTTTTGTAATATTACTGAAATTATTTTCTTCTTCTTTTGTAATGTTGCACTAGCTTTTATTGAAGAGCTACTAGGTGCTATTCTATGTCCTATGCTTTAGATTTTGTTGCACAGACAAGAAGACTGACCAACATTTGTTGTGTGCCTACTCTATCCCAGGCACTGGATAGGCAATCCCGTGAAGTGGATATTGCTATTAATGCCATGTTTTCCATGAGGAAATGAGACTAAGGTAGGTTAAATAACATTCCTAAGCTTGTGTACTCACTCAGTGAGTGTTGGAGCTAAGATTTCAGACCAGCAGGATTCAAATTCTTGAAACTTCTTTCAAAAAATGGTTGATTGAACTCTCTTTATTTGACAACCATTTTAAGGAGAAGTGCTCTATTCGTTATCTATGAAGATGGTTAAAGAGTAGAGGAAATATTATTGCAAGGACCAAATATTTCATAATTAAGAAAAATTTCTCCTGCTATTACAGAATTTCCAAGCATGGACTTTTAGATGATAATATCTAATTTTCTTGATACAGGGGAGAGATATTAAAACCCAAGGACTTCTAAAGTTTGATTTGTTATAGAAAAATTAGGGAAGAAAGGAAAGAAGGATAGTCTGTCATGGAAACAAGACTGAACAGAAGAATGAAGAAGATAAATAAGAAATTTATAATCTAAGAATAGTTAATGCAAAGCTAGAAAAAAAAAAGTAACACTGAGAACAGATTTAATAATTTAGTTCTTAACCATAAAAGAACTCTCCATAGTTTCTGCTCCTTGTAGGATCACTGCATATTTCTCCAATATTTCAATCTTTGAAAATTGAGGCTTTCTTTGCCTCAACTTCTCATCTTTAAAATGGGCATAATAATAGTACTTGGCTCAATGACTTTTGAGAATTAAAATAGTAAAATATACTATTAATAAATAGTAAATTTATGTTTATTTTAAAATATAAATAGTATGTTTGAAAGAGCTAATATAAAGTACCTTAAAAGTGCTTTAAACAGTGACTAGTACATAACAAGCACACAATGAATGTTGGATATTGTCATTTTTATTATTACATATCTTTGTATAAAAGCATGATACCTAGGGAAATGAAAACTAGCTCCCTGGTTTCTGTCCTAAATTATAGATTTTTAAAATTAAATTGGTATATTAGGGTGATGGGTGCACCAAAATCTCAGAAATCACCGCTGAAGGACTTACTCATGTAACCAAACACCACATGTTCCCTAAAAAACCTATTAAAATAAATACATTGAAAATAATAAATTTGCATATTAATTTAGCAACACTCCACAGCTATGTCAAAAAAAAGTGCATCAGACTGATGGTGTGCCCACTCAAGATTCTGTGGTATAAATACCTGTCTCTCATCCCAAATGTATAAGCACTTCATGTTTCTTCTGAAAATTGATCCTCCCTTTCTGTTTCTACAAATCTCTGAGATAAATCTAAATTCCACTCCAAGTGGGATGAAAGGTCACATAAGCAAAATATTTTCCAAGTGGAAGTAAAATTGTATTCCCTCTTAGATTTTGGTGGTTGAGGAAGAAAACATGATTCTATTCATTTCTTTTGGTCGTTGACTGAAAATTCTCCACCTTTAGGTTTAGCAAAGTCAAATCTATCATAGTTGGTGTACCCTGAATTTGAAGCCAAATACATCCCCAAGATTAAAGTGAAGCCAGTATCTGTAAAGGTGACACTGGTCATGTTATGGATGCTGCTGTGAAAACTTCGCATTGCTTTCTGCAAGTAGAACTGGCCATATGGCCACCGGGAGAGAAAATTTGGTCTTTCTTGTCAGGTAGATCCAGAGACGATGGACCAAGTAGAGGAAAAATTGTCACGCTGACATTTATGCTGATAACCAAAAGGAACTGATCTGCAAATCAGGCAAACACCTACGGCTTGTGGTTTGTAATTATTCATTTTCCTTTATATCATTCCTCCTGGTAGGTATGAATTAAGAACATTGATCCTTCCACGCTGTCCTCAAGGTGGCGTTGTTTCTAATGTAGGCTAATTGTTTATTTCCCAATGACTAATTGAGATTTTTTATTATTATTATATTATACTTTAAGTTCTAGGGTACATGTGCACAACGTGCAGGTTTGTTACATATGTACACATGTGCCACGTTGGTGTGCTGCACCCATTAACTCGTCATTTACATTAGGTGTATCTCCTAATGCTATCCTTCCCCCTACCCCCTACCCCACGACAGGCCCCGGTGTGTGATGCTCCTCATCCTGTGTCCAAGTGTTCTTAATTTTTTTTCCTTTTTATTATTTTCATTTGTTAAACGTTATTCTTATCCCAGAAATGATTTATAACTCTTCCTTTTTCCTTGTTTCATAAGGCACTAGATTATTATATTGTTAATGATACTATCCTGCAATATAGTACTCCCCCAATGATGCTATTTATGTCATGAAAAAGCCTTCAATACCTGAGAACATTTTGCTAAGGAGTCAGTTTACTTTTAAATAGTTATCAGTCAGCATGAGTGAGCTCACATCTTTGTAAACATGTAAACTGATGGCCTAAACACTGGGATTTCACTGATTATTGTATCAAAGCGACAATGATTGATCAAAGTCAAGTTTTCTGCTTTTTAAAACGCAGCCATTAACCCAAAGCTGCCTACCAACAATGGGTGCAAGATGCCACCTTCAGACTAGGTCCATGTGCACAGCCAAATCAAAAGTGGCCCCAAAGTTTTCAGTTTTCTATGTATTATGCCCAAGATAAACTGAAGATCTGGAAATACTGAGAAGCTGAATTTCCCCTCCTGAATGAATGGCATTCCCATTTCAGAAATACCAAGCTTGGGGTTTTATGCCATTTTATCCCTCTGTGAAATGCAGTTCTATTACGAGATCCGTTTAGAGAGCTCAGACATCTTAGGTTCAGACATCTAAACTTAGGATATGTATAACCACTGCATAATTGCCTTCTTTAAATAGAATGACAATCAAGTTTTATTGTTATTTGGCTCCTTTAATATACAAGAGAAAAAAATAAGCCCTACATTTTTTAATGATATCTTCTTTTGAAAGAAAAATAAGTACAAATGAACTCAGAATAGCTTTTCTCTTTCCACACTCCCCTAGTAAATTTTGAGTGTAAACATACTAAACTTTACATGAGACTTTTTTTTATAAAGACTGCTGTCTTCTTGCAGATGGGGTGCAGTTTATCTGGAGGGGTGATGAATTCCTAGTCTTGAAATGCACAGTGTCAAAATCATTGCCATTTAAAGTTACATCTTGAAAATTTTTCATCAGAATTAATGCTACGTGATGTCTCAAGCCCTTGAAAAACCTTCAGTGTTTCTTTTTATCTAAGCTGACACACTGTCACTGTGAATAAAAATAAAAGAACATATAATGCTGTGGAATCATTTGCAATCAGAAATTTTGTTTCAAGCTTACCTATCCTTGATCAGCTATGATCTGTAGAGTCAATATTAATTTCTAAAAATTAAACGAATAGTATTTATATAATTATTTCCTATGCTATTCTATACATAAGGGAAGTGACTAACAATTCTGTTTCAACAGTCACATCACATAGATGTGTATATCTTTGAAGATCATTCAAATCTAACACATTCTCCAGCTCTCCCCACTTTTTCTCAGTGATCAGTTCTGATATCCAGCTCCAAAGCACCACTCTAAGTTTCCCTTCCCACTCTCCTTCACTCCTCCTGATCTTTATTCCTCAAAAGCCTATTTTAGTCTTATTACTACTACTAATCAGAGTGAAGAATCCAGTGCTATACTCTACATTGCTGCTTTCCTTATTGGTTCAGCTATACATCATACTCTTTAGGAGTAAAATTCTTGTCTTCAACATATCCAACAAATCCTTCAGAGCATTAATATTGAGCTTTATGTTCAGGAGACCCTTAGTAAGTGTGGACAGTGTGGTAGCATATTCCATGAGCTAAAAATGGCAGCTGGTGTGATGAATTCCATATATGTGTGTATACATATATTAAATATACGTATTATATATAACTTATACATATATGTTTATACATATATGTGTGTTACATATGTTTATATACATATACATTTTTTCTATATACACACGTGTATGTGTATGTGTGTATATATATATACATAGATACGTATATATATACACATATATATGTGTATATATATACACATATATATACACATATATATGTGTGTGTGTGTATATATATATGTTAGTTTTTGTTGGGCTCATTTTGAATAAGTGACCTTCATTTTAAAATCAGGAAACTTTGCAAAAATTCAGATTTTCAGTTTCTCTTTTAAAAAGTTAGGAGATTGGGGCCCCCACTCCCATAAGGCAGCACATCTGGAGCTGAGAAGTGGCTTCCATCTTGAGATAGGCATCATTTTCTCTGTATTTCCATTTCCCACTGAACTTGCTTTACTCATTACACCACCTGCTTGGACTCTGTAGGCACTTGTGTTTGCTACCTCTGCTCCACACAAACATTGTTCAAAGACTTTCTAATTCGTTTTATAGAATTATCTCACAAACGTAACTTCCCCATGAGGAAAATGATAGATGTTTCCCCTGAGAGGATCCCGTCAGTGTCAAAATGTTTTTCCTGGGGCTTTCCTCATATTTATGCAAAATTTTGCAGGACTTTATAGTTCCACAGGAGCCTCATTCAGCTGCTCCCATTCTGGGAATATGATGAGATCTACATTTTTGAAATGTTCTGTAAAATGTCCTGAAAAATTACTCACAGTGGCAGTGACAGCAACATCCCCAACCTGGAGAAGTACTAATGATGATAAAATAGAAGCAGAGTCCCTTTGACATGTATGCTTTTCATCACAATGTGGTTCTCCAAGAGTTAACCAGGTCTAATGTGTATTATTTTGTTGTCTTTTAAAAATCTACTCCCCAACACACACTTTTTTGAAAAATTAGTTTAATCTGGTTGGGCCTGGTCAAGCTTATTTAAATTGATTGCAGGGCTGAGCATCAGTCCAGAGAGACAATGCTGTCAGTTCTCACACGTTTGGCTTTGCCATTATATCCATCAGCTATAGTAGTTATGATTCCTTAATTAGGAGGAGCCTAGATAAATGTCTAATTCCTTTTTACTAAATATATTCGTGCTGAAATTTCAGACTTTTAAGAATATTGAACTTGTTCTCTTACTGAAAAGTTAAAAAGTTAATGACATTCTTGAAAAAAACTTGTGCATTAGGGGTTGGTAAAGGGGACATTAAAGAAGGACGCTGTACTGTTGACTTGTTTCTTTAATCTTGAATTGGGGAGAAAATCTCTCCAAATAGTGGATGGCCACTGTGGTATCAGGATAGCCGTTCTATGACGAAATTATTTATATCTCTACTTGGTGTTCTTCAGGACTGAGACCACATTTAACTTTTCTGAAGCTGTTCCTTCTTCTATTTCATAATTATCTTTTCCCTATGTTTGCTATTTTCTTCCTATGGTTAAAATGGCGAGGTTCATATACGGATAAAAATAGACTAAATGCCTTTTAGCACTCCCTTAAGGAGCTAAGAGGGTTCTGAGAAAGAAGTTTCTCTCAGATACGGAATGGTGAATGGAGGTTGGTAGTTAAAGGGCACTAGTTAACTATGATTGATAATGGCCTGATATTATTTCTTTGATCTTATTTCCCTTCCCCTTTTTAATCCACATGAATAGTAATGAACACAGCTGAGTGAATGAACACAAAAGCAGATAAGCCACTGTGTGCATTTTATACCCTCCAATCTAATGAGTGCGTTGTCTTTAGCATCATTAATGAGTTTTGCAAAATCTGTAATATTTTCATAGAACATCATTGCAGCTTGTTTAAGGGTCATTTGACCATATTTTGCCCCTGGCACCAGAGTGATGGCTTCATTTTTAATGACAGATGCTAATTCTAATTAGCAGTCTGGAAAAAGTCAGACTGAGTTCTGGGTGAGCCTGCCTGTCCACCCATACACCCTAGATGCTAACTTGAACCCCAGTGCCACCATATATAAATTCTCTCTGCAATGCCTAAGAAAAGATGCTGACGTTGCTGCTGCACCCCCTATGGTGGATACAGAGGAAGGGAATATTTTGACATAATGATCACAATAATATTTTCATTCTGCAGCTACTGTACCCCAAAGTGGCTATGTCAGGACATTACTTCGTCTTTTTCTGTTTTCTCAACCACAAAATCAGACTCACAATTGGATTTGGCAGCTGCCAAGCTACCCTAATATAGCAGCAGACAAATCCAGGCAAAGAACAGATCTATCACTGTATCTGACTGATCTTTCTGCTTATGCACAGTGACAAATTCTCACCTCTCCATATAGATCAGCGGGCTCTGTAACCAGTCAGTCACGCATAAGTTGTGACAGCGCATCACAAGACTGGCAATTTGGAGCCCTGGAGAACAAGGTGAAACATGCAGTTATTTTACATGAAAACTGCAGTCTTTCCCAGAGCACCATAGGGGTGTGTGTGTGTTGTGTGTGTGTATGTGTGTGTCTGTGTGTACAACATTTTACAAAAAGAAACAGATTGTTCTATTCACTATATTAAAATACACAGAAAAAGGAGATGAAAAAACAAATCTTTGCATTGCAGGAGAGGGATTTACATTGCCCATTGAATAAAGACTAAGCAGATCTTTTTTCCCACCTTCTTCTAGGTTACTCAGAATGGCTAAATCAAGGGAATGCCTGGCTAATGAGAATATGTGTATGTGTCTCTGGGATTCCAGGGCTGTGCCTAGGATGGCAGAATGGAAAAAATCTTGGAATAAATTTTCCAATCTTCCTCTCCCTAGTTCTAGTAAAACGCAATCACGGGAGGCTTCTGTTTACCCTAGTAAAATCAATACCGCCCCCCCACCCACACACACACACTTTTATGTCTCAATTTAAGAACTTTGAGAAATGGTTTTGATATTTGATATTTGCAAGGATTTTAGAGAAACTCCCTTTGTCATTTTATGGTAAGCATATTAACAAAAGAAGATGTCTGGCTGCTTCAGAAATGTTTCAGGGTATGAGGTGACAATACTTCCCATGAGCTATCCAAATTCAGAAAAAAATTGGGGAATTGCTAAAAAAAATCTAGTAATAATGCATGCATGTTGGAATTTATAGGTTAGTAGTATACAAATTAAATATATTTTAACATTACTCATTTATAAGAAGCCAAATGTAAGTACAAATGACTGGAAAATAAAATGGCATAGGATTTTAGGGTTGTTGTTGTTGTTGATTATCTATAAATTATGGATATAAGGGATAGTAGGTCCTGGTCTTAGGACACTCTTAGGTCATTGATTCAACAGATATTCCCAAATGGAAACAATAGAGTCATATCTAAAAAGTAAATTTATTACGAAGTCTCATAAAATATAACGTATTTCTCTGCTTACATGAAGTATTCTTCTGTTCAGTTACTTCCATCAAGAAAAGACAAGACTTTATTCAGTTTATGGTTTATTATGATTTAGATAATTAATATAACATCTTGTTTTTAAAAGGTTTAAAAAAGAGAGGAGTCAGTTGCTATACTTACTGTGCTAAAAAAGGGCGGGGGCTAAAATACTGCATTAAAACTGAGTAGGATTCTGATGATGCTGAAGAAGAGGAGGAGGGGAGGGAAGAGGAGAAGGAGAATGAGGAAGAAAAGAGGTAGTAGAAGAGGAAGAGGAGATTAGAAAAATTATACTAACTCTGATGTATTTCTGCAGGATAATAGACAGAGAGGATCCTTTCTATGTTAACTAGTTCTTCGAGTTCATGTAAGTCCTTGGAAATACATTAACTGAAATCCTTCACCTCTTTTGGGGAAATGACAGAGCCATTAGTTCAAATATTTGGTAAATTAATTATAAACAACTGTAAACCTCCCTGCTCTCACTTTCTGGAGCAAACTCAATTGACTACATTATTCCAAACCAATTGTTCACTCTGACTGTCCCGTAGCAATAAGACCAAGTCAGTAACTTCAAGGTTCCAGAAATGGACTGTGTATCTGGACTCATTTGTTAAATTGTTTCCATAGCAAGAAAAAAAATTCTGAAAATGTAAGAAATACAAAAAGAAAACATCAGCTTACTAGCCCACAGTCACCTGGTGAGACAGCAATAAAGACAGTAGTTTGATATCTGCCATTCAAAAAGCTTTTAACTTGCAGAGAGAGAGAGAAAGAGAGAGACTTTTTAAACTTTTCTATAGTGTGTTAACTATCCCCATGACCCACACGAGGGAGAATTCTCTCTTATATTAATATCGCACTTTTATTCTTTGCTCATACAGTTTACTTATTTGAATTTGAATTGATTCCTACAACCACTTGGTAATATATATATAAGGCAGTTATAAGA
The DNA here is from genome assembly GCF_000001405.40 of Homo sapiens. Taxonomy (NCBI): domain Eukaryota; kingdom Metazoa; phylum Chordata; class Mammalia; order Primates; family Hominidae; genus Homo; species Homo sapiens. The sequence continues at coordinate 74,537,037 of NC_000009.12, forward strand.
CCCATTTTACAAATAAGGAAACTGAGCCCAAGAGGTTAAGTGACTTATTTCAAGTTATAGAGCCAGTTAAGAGCCAAGCTGAAAACAGAGTGCAGCTCTTTATTTTCTGAATTTAATGTAGTTTTCTAGAATGTCATGGTGCCTCCTTCATCATTCATCGTTACCTCTTCCCCGTGGTTCCTGGCATGAAAATCTGTTTTTGCTTGGGAACTTGAAGAATAAAGACTGTGTATCCTCTTATGTAGTAAACAGAGATGAACGAAGTAATAACGTATTAAGCATCTGAAAGCAAAGACTTTTTCTGCATATGGCTTTCTAGTTCTTAAACTTTTTATTTTTTTCTCTTACTCACTTTTGTTTATTCAAAAGAAAGTCCCCACAGCATCTCCTGAAACTTGAAAAGGCTAATTTGTTTCCCCCACATGAAATCCTCATCTCCTGTTTTTTTAACAAGAGTTGAAAAAAAATCATCAAACAGGTGTTTGTTTTCTTAAAAACACAAATAACATTTAATTTTATTCATTCTGCTTCAAAAATAAGCATTTTATTCATTAGTCCAGAATTAAACATTTTCAAAGAGCTTTGTTGCTGACTAGTTGCATGCCATTTGAAGTTTTAAATGTCATTTGATGAGTTTTAGCAGTACAGACATAGAAATAATAAAAAGATGTATGTTAACTAATGAAATACATAATACAGTCATGTGCCACATAGCAACATTTTGGTCTGATGAGGGTACCATAAATTTATAATGGACCTGAAAAATACCTATCTCCTAGTTATGTCATAGCAGTTGTAACATTGTAGCACAATTACTTTTTTAAAAAATATAGCATAGCCTAAGTGTAAAGTGTTTAGGAAGTCTACGGTAGTATACAGTAACGTCCTAGGCCTTCATTCACTCAGCTCTCACTCACTGACTCATCCAGAGAAACTTCCAGTCCTGCAAGCTCCACTAATGGTAAGTTTCCTATATAGGTGTACCACTTTTATCTTTTATACTCTATTTTTACTATACCTTTTCTATATTTAGATATGTTTAGATGCACAAATATTTACTGTTACGTTACAATTGCCTACAGTATTTAGTTCAGTCACATGCTATACATGTTTGCAGCCTAGGAGCAATAGTTAAACCATATAGCCTAGCTATATAGTAGGCTATACCATTTAGACTTGTGTAAGTACACTCTGTGGTGTTTACACAACAATGAAATCACCTAACATGCATGTCTCTGAACTTATCCCCCAAATTAAGTGATGCATGATTGTATTCTTGTTCTCAAGAAGCCCTCTTGGATGATTTTTAAAATAGTAAAAGAAATGTTAACAATAAAGAAATTTATTTGGTTTTGTCCACTGTTCACCACCTCAGTTAAAAAATTAAAGCTGAATGAAAGAAATAAAACTTTAGGATTTGAAAAGCAGGGAAAAAATTTCAAGAGATTATTTGTTTTGCATAATTTATTGTGAAAGTGCTTCCTCTGTTAGTATTTTGCTTCAGCAATACTATTATAAATACTGTACACCTCAATTGTTATTATTTATTAGCAATTATTAATTAATCAATGCACAAATAAAATCAGAAAACTTTGGGAAACATTTATTTATATATGTGCATGTATGTACAGATTATACCTGATCTACTTCATAAAGTAATTTTTATTAGCTTACAGCAAAAGACAAAGATGCAAAAAAAAAAAAACAGAATTAAAAGGAAGGGTTAAATAGTAAAAGGGAAATATTCCAGTCATAATTAAGAGCATCGTCTTTAGAGTCAGATAAAACTGGCAGCTTGGCATTTCTAATCCAAGATTGTCTGGCTGTGTGACCTTGGACAATTCACTCAACTTCCCTGATCCCCAGCTCATTACTTAATCAAACACAGATAATAATGCCCACCTTGAAGAAGATAGTGGCAGCTATTGTTTTCATTCCTGAAATGCTCTTGCTAATGAATTCTACACTAATTAAATACAAAAACAAAAATCTGACCTACACTCCCTGCCCCACTTATGATTATATAGAAATATATATTTAAAAAGCTGAACTCAAGTTCATTTTCTATGAAGGTTAGAAATACCAAGTTAAATTTTAAAACAAACACTGTAGAATGGTATTCATGAATACACCTCACATGTTGAGCAATATCTTATGGAAGTAAGCAATCAATTAAGAACCACAGCAGAAAATTGTAAGCAAACATCAGAGATAATGACATATATTTAGTTTTAAATTTATAGGCATGTTTTGCATTAAGATTTCATTTAGATGTTGCTGGTTTCTCTTTATAACACCCCTTGAAATGCAATATCTTTAGAGAAACTACTTCTATCATGCTGTAAAAATGAGCGCACAGCTTTCCAAGATTGGCTGTTGTTCGGATGAGAACAAATAAAAGAAACAAAATGTCATGTACAAAATTGCTCATTTTGAATATAAACTGGAACTTTCTATTCATAACTTTCATACATATTTATGGAAAGCAGGCCACATTCGAGACACTGTTTTAAAGTACTGGGCTACAGCGTTAAGAAGCCAGAAAACGTTCTTGCCCTCATAGAGCGTTTTGTTCATTTGTAGTGAAGAAGATCATGAACACAGCAACAAAAAAATGATACAAATGGCATTTATAGATAAATGCTATGAAGACAAATAAAGCTGGATAAGGGAATAAAGAATGGCAGGGAAGACAGGGGCCAGTGAGATGGGGCCAGCTTTTACTATGAATTCCATGTGAAGGTAGAAGGAAAATATTATTTCAAGCACAATTCCAGAAAACCTTAAGTTTCGTTGTTAAATTGCCAAATCACTTACCCACCTTAACCTCTCAAAAAAAAAAAAAAAAAAAATTCCAAAGAAACAGAGTAATTTTGCTCCTTGCCTCAGCCCTAAGTCATCTCCCAGACAAAAAAGCAATCATCATTGTCAAATTTAAAAGGGAAAAGGAAAGACTTTTATTTGAATGAAAAGATTTTTTTCAGTGTGATAGAGAGGGAAGACTGAAATAAACAGAATTTACAACCTTCGCACCTTTGCACCTTCCTCTTCTAGCAATATGGCAAACTAAATAACTTGCACTGAAAACGAGTTAAAAAGCTGTATACTTTTTTAAAAAATATATTTTGTTTATGTCATTGATCTGCACAGTTTGAATACAAAAATATATATAACAGAGAATATATTGAGGGCTTTTGCTGCCACCCCTGCCCCCTCTGCTCACTCTGTGCCCCAACCTGCCTCCTCTAGCTTATCACTTGTGTTACTTTCTTTTGCATCCTTCCACGTCATAGCTGTGTAACCTCAGTCACATTATTTAACCCCTCTATGCTTCAATTTCTGCATCTGCAAAAATAAATAAAACAGTATCCACATTGAAGGGTCTTAATGAGTATTAATTGGTTTAATATTCAGAAAACACATCAAAGAATTCCTGACAAAAGAAATGTGTAAGCTATCAGTTAAGTAAATCAACGCATACAGCAAATAAGAAAATATATTCGTAACTTCCTCCTCAATTGTACAAAAGATAGAATATAATACCCTCTAGTTTGTGATTTGGCATTTTTTTACTTAAAATATCTCATTATTGGTACAGGGATCTTTCTCATTCTTTTTTTTTTAAGCTGCATAGTATTACATTGAATAGATGTACTATATTTAATTTAAATGCTTCTCTGTTGATCATTTGGGATGCTTCCAGTCTTCTGCTTTTAGAAACAATGCTTCATTGGAAAACCACATAAATATATCATCTTGTAGGTATGCAGGTAAATCTATCGGACAAATTTTCAAAAGTGAGATTGCAGAATTGAAGAGTTAAATACATCAATTATTTTATATACATTTCCAAACTGCTCTCTGTAGTTTCCAAATTGCTCCCTGTAGTGTTTGTATCGTGTTGTACCCCACCAGCATCTATGAAGGTGCCTGAGAAAACATCTTTTAAAAATACATTGTTGAGCCGGGCACCGTGGTGCACGCCTATAATTCCAGCACTTTAGGAGGCCAAGGCGGGTAGATCACCTGAGGTCAGGAGTTCAAGACCAGCCTGGCCAACATGGTGAAACCCTGTCTCTACTAAAAATATAAAAGTAGCCGGGTGTGGTGGTACATGCCTGTAATCTCAGCTACTCAGGAGGCTGAGGCACGAAAATCACTTGAACCTTGGAGGTGGAGGTTGCAGTGAGCCAAGATCGCGCCACTGCTCTCCAGCCTGGGCAACAGAAAGAGACTCCATCTCAAAAAAAAAAAAAAAAAAAAAAAAAAAGTAAAGGCTTTTGAGAACCAACCAACCAATCAAACAAACAAAAAACACATATGACAAAGCTAGAATCAAGAGAAGTGGGCTCTATATTAAACAATTATATTTTAAAAGATTTAAATGATAAAATAATTCTTGTCATAAAAACTTAGAGTGATGTGCATAGTACAAAAGAACAGCCCTCCCCTGTAAACAGCCGTCTTATCCTCCAGCCTCCCTTCACTTTCTTAAACTGACTCTATTTAACCTGTGATTAATTATTTTCCTAAACTATGTTTTGAAGTTTTAGATATGATGTCGTTCTGGGAACAGGGCTATTTATAATGTTGATGTGTGTTTAAACTGTGAGAGATTTGCAAAGTTTAAATACAAATATTTGGGTAGAAAAATAAGCTTCCCTTTAATAAACTTACAAACATACCTAATCCGGAAAGGAGAAGGAGGGCATTTAAGCTTTTATTTCTGAGCTATCTGCCAACCCTCATGAGCTTTCATTTCAATAGGTGTGGGGAGTACAGGAGACAGGATAGTAATCTTAGGACCTTCTCCTAATGGAGATTCTAATAGGAGACCTCCATGACATTAGATAATTTTTGAGATTTAATAGCTGCAAAAATTCCTGAGAATTAATACTACAAAGTTGTTCTCTTGTGGATTTTCAGCCCAAATTTATACTACCTATGTGGGCGAGAGGGAGCCCAATCCAATACAAAAATTTATCTCAAATAAATGGTAGTACCCTTAGATACCTATCTTGAAGCAAATGCAATCCTCTTAAAAAAAAATGAAACTTCAATCCAGACTTCAAAGAATTCACACAAAGTTCTACAAAATATAAATTAACAATCAAAAATGACAAAAACACTAAAGTAAACAAAATACCCTAACTGAAACACAGACAGAAAATCTAGATTCCTTAAGACTTCAGATACTAGAATTACAGGATCCAAATATGAAATTAGTATGCTTCCTGTGATTCAAGAAATAAAAAGTGATACATATTATGTAAGTGATAAGCAGGAGACAATGAATAACACCAAACGTATTTGCAAAAAAGCAAAAACATTTGCAGAAATGAAAAATGTATTGTTTGAAATCGAATTTCAGTGGACATTAAATTGCAAAGTAGACACAACTGAAGAGAGACTTAGTGAAGACATTATCCTCAATGCAGCACAGAAAGGCAAGGAGCTAGAAAATTTAAAAAACAAAGGAAGAGAAATAGAAGATGAAGGTCTACCATAAAATTAACTAGAATCACAGAAAGATAGGGAGAGAAAATGAGAGGCAATATTTAAGAAGATACTCTGCAGTTTTTCACAACTGATAAAAGATGTTACTTCTCTGACTTAGCAAAATCATCCCTTTCCTGCTTATCCAATATCTTTTTCCAAAAATTGTGGCTAACTCTACTCAAGATGCTCATAATTCCAGTATTAATTATCTAAGAATTCTTCCAAGGATCTCCCAAGAACACATTTCTCAATCTTGTTTCTCAGGGTCTACTTAAAAGGTAGTGGGGTATTGTGGAAAGCCTCTGGGAGTATAAGAATCTGGATCAAGGTCTGGTCTTTGCATAGCCTATCTTTGTAGTGCCAGGCAACGTACTTAAGCCTTCTGAGCTTCAGCATTCTCATGCTTAAAATGGGAATAATGGAATCTACCTTAAAAGACAGGTTATGAAAATTAAATGCTGTAGCATATATAAAATGCCCAGCATACTGCCTGGCATATTTTAGGTACTTAGCACATGTTCATTACATTTGCACATCATTAATTCTCACAGTCCCAGATCATGAGAGCCTTCAGACAGACGGGCCCATCAAAGCCCTTCTGTCAGGTACACTCACACCACTCAATCATTCACTGGTTTTGGTATTAATCACACCAATGAGCTTGGTAGGAGCCAGCATGCTTCTTTCCACCACATACGGCAACCCACCCTCAAGTGAGAATACTTGTTTTCACCCCAGTAGTATCTACAGGCTTCAGATACAGGCAGATATATGAGCAACAGGACGGTGTGGAACACCCCTTTGAGGAGGAGCTGCATCATCACATGCCACTCGTCCAACTCATGTATTGTGGGAAAACAACAGAGGCCCATTTGCTGTTTTAATTTCAAAGAATCCTCTTTGTTCATTCTTTATTATTTCATTCAACAAAGATTTGTTGAGCCCATTTTTTGTTTGTGCCAGACACTATTCTAGCCCTGACTTCAGGACCACATCAGTCCCAGAAATCATGAGGCTGTTTTCAAAAGACCACTCTAGGTGAATCCAGAAGTTCAAGGAATTTGAGTTTAATTTTTTTTTTAATCTTCAATTGATGGAGGAGGAACCAAAGGAGTTGGAACTATTTTGAAATAATGCACATATGTCCAAATGAAAACAAATTGAGTCAGTAAATAATATCTCCCTAATCACTTCTATCAAAAACTAATATAATCCCCTTATCAATGATCTTTAAAAGAGAGTTGGGAGATATTTTTCTTTGTAGTAATGCAAAGGAAATTAATATCACTTCATCAGAGCCTAGGAGGAAATTACTGTGAAACACAGTCTCAGCTAAATGCATATAATATGAAACCTAGTTTCATATATAGGTGTAAACTAGGCTGTGATGTGGATTTGCAAGTAAATAGAACACCTTGAAACTAGACTCAAGCTGCTAGAGGGTTTTGTTTCCAATCCCTTGACCTAGGGTTTAAATTGGATGAAATCTTTCAGGATATTGTACCAGTGACTCTCTTTGGTGGAGGAGAGCCAGTGAAATGTACTGTCAGCAGACACAATACCTTTTCACTTTCTTATTTTGTCTTCATTACTCAGCCTCTGTTGCCGCCTCCTCCAAACACTCTCAGGCTTGCCGCTTGCCTTGGTGCCTCTGTTTGCTCCATTCTCTATCATTATCCTTCTGATTTGAGGACACAGCTATTGATGTTGATTGCTATCTGGTCACATGACGGAGGCTGAAAAGGCAAAGTAAAGCAAGCCCTCTTTTCCTCACTCACACACACGCAAAGACTGTTCTTCGGTTTCCAGAGACCACAGGATGTCTATGCACAATTCAATACTGTAAATGGTTAAAGCCAAAGGTAGGGGGAAGGGATGTGCTCCAGTGATTGCTTTATAATTTTCTCATTTGCATACAGTGGGGCTAAGTTAATAAATAAATGTGCTCTGAGGCTGCAGGCCTGATACAGAGGTCTAGTTCTGTGCTAAATTGACATTCATCTTCAGAGCCTGAATGTCTTCACCTGACTCCCTTCTTGCCTATTCTTCTCCCTCCAAACGCAGCCTTACTGGGCTGTCATGCAATGCCGTAGCTCATGGAAGTCCCTGACTAGGAAACCTCATCACGACCAGCCCTCCTCTGTGTTTTTACCACGCTTGTCCTGGCAGAAACAAATGCACAGGTTCCTGTCTCCTTCGTGTGCACAGGAATCCTGAGGGGAAAAACCTTCCTCTATCCAGCCAGCTCGATCAGCTGAGTCAACCCCCACCTGCAGAAGGATAACAAATGTCACAGTCAGGTTCCCATCACATCTAGAGGAGTAAACATAAACTTTGAAAGCAGATCTTTAGAATTTGCATTCAGCATGGCCACTGACTGGTCAGGCACAAATGGGGAGGCCATTTAACTCTTGGAGGCTCATTCACTTCATCCTAAAATGGGGATTAGCAATATGGGATATTGCAGCGCTTGAATATGGGGATGTATTGAAAGTTCTACGAAAATTGCTATGTACTACAGAACTGCAAATTTTCTCTTCCCTTCTATGTTCACTGCGAGCAGGTTTTTTTTTTTTTGCGGCGCTTATTGGGGTTGAGGGGTCTTCCTTCTGTTTTGCCAAGTGATAGCTATCTAGTTAACTAGTGTTAAGTTGCATGGAGTTCATGGCTTAATTTACTCACAGGCCCTCCCTTCCAATTTTGTGCCTCAAAAGAGATCTTCTGGTACAGTGTTTAACCCAGGGTTATTTCAGTCATGGGGATTTGGAGCACGTTGGTAGTTCTAGTTGGAGTAAGATTGCGGTGCCTTTTTGTATCCATCAAATCACTCCATTATTTTACACAAACAACTGGCCCACAGGATTTTCTTGAGATAGCCCAAGTCATTTATAGTAAATATATCTAACATTATCATTGCTAACTCATTCTCTGTTTCAGAAATGAATGAATCCAATTTCCCAGTGTAAGTGATCAGCAGTGTTTGTGAAATAGGTAATGTCTAAGAAAAGTCTTTGAAAATCAGAAAAAGAAGCAGAGTACCCTCAAGAAGAAAAACAAGCAAAGGTGAAGACAGAAAGATGAGAAGGTTGGAGAGAGGTGGTAGAAAACTAATCTGATTAGGCTGGGGAAATTTCTCAGGAGAGAAAGAAGTTCCCAGGTCAATTACATTTAGAAACACTTCAAACAGTCTTTTTGGAGACTTGCAGTGCTCCTTAGAATATTAACCTGCTATATGGAAATCACAATTGAGTAACTCTTATTTTACCTGACAGTTTTTTTTTTCAGGGGACATATATCTATTATCATTGGCATAAGCCAATAATTGATGGACCTTTCGTAGAGCCTTTAAATCAGGGCAATGGCACAGTCAATATTTTGTTTCAAACATAGCCATCTAACAAAATGCAAAGGCGTAAAAATAAAAGGAATCTAACTGGCAATAGAGAAATATGTACAGGTTGTTGTGTTAGTCCAGGAGAGTGATACTAATGATAGTTTTTATAGTTCTAGATAAAAGGATGAATATAAAGACATGGCAGAAGGAAAATATGTGAGCTTTGGCATCTGATCAGTGGGGATGATCTAGATAAAGCAATCTAAAAATGACGAAGATTTCAAACTGCCATGATGGGAAGCAAAAAATGATTTGATTTTAGATAGAGAAGCTCGGAGGTTCCCGTGGGAAAATGGTAGAAATCTGGGTTTACCACTTGAAAGGAGAGATATGCCAGGGTTTAGGGAATCATCTTCAGAGAAGTCATCATTGAAATTGCTGAAGCAGCTGATATCTCTGATAAATTATATAGTAAGAAAAGAGATCAGGGTTGACATGAGACCTTGGAGGATTGTCTGGCTTTAAGGGGCAGAAAGAGGAAGAGGTGCTAACAAAGAATGCAGCAAAAAAAAAAGAGAAAAGCTAGTGTAGAACACTGTCACAGAAGCAAGTGAAAAAGGTTTTAGAAGAAGGGCATAATCAATGGCATCATAAACTGATGAGAGTTTCAGGAAGAAGAAAGCTAAGAAAAAGCCATTGGCTTTGATGCTTAATCATGGACAGCTCAGAGGGAAATGTTCTCAGAGAGAAGTGGCAGATAGACCACTAGGAACTGAGACTGTGGTGCTAGGTAGGTCTAGACACCGTTGTGCATTTGAATCAGCTGTGGATTTGATTGCTGTTGTCGTTTAATGCATGTAATCAAAACCCACCTAGAGATTCTGATGCAGTAGGTTTATGATAGAGCCTAATTATCTCTTGTGAGTGAGTTTAGAGGTGATACAAATAAAGGACTATGTTTTGAGAATACTGACAATGAGAGTGAAGACAGAAGAATATCAGGATCAAAATTTGGGAGTTTGAGACCAGCCTGGCCAACATGATGAGACCCTGTCTCTACTAAAAATACAAAAAATTAGCCAGGCATGGTGGCGCGTGCCTGTAGTCCCAGCTACTCGGGAGGCTGAGGCAGGAGAATCTCTTGAACTCAGGAGGCAGAGGCTGCAGTGAGCCGAGGTCACACCACCACACTCCAGCCTGGGTGACAGAGAGAGACTCCATCTCAAAAAAATAAATTGTTGGATTGTTTTGGTTTTTTTTGTTATCAGAGGAGAGACCCAAGTATGTGTGTAGGTTGCTGGAGAGAATTAAAACTATAAGAAAATATGTATGAGAGAGATCATTGATGAAGCATGGCACAGAGCAAGAATGGAAGAGATGGGATCTGAGGTGTCAGGAACCTGGCTTTAAATAAGGTGGTGGTTTGAACTTGGAGGGAAGAAGGATGAAAGGAAGAAGGATGGGTAAAGCCTACTAAGATTTAGAGCTAGAGAAGAGGGAAAATAGGTGATGATTAAAAATCTGTCAGTTAAGCAAGGACCGAAGACCTTCTACCAATATTGAAGGAGATAGAGTTAGGATTGGGGAACCAAAATTGGAGGTTTATCACAGCCAATTTGGGAAATTCTAATAGTAAACCCAAGAGGCTTGCAATTTTAAATAGAGTTGTCAGGGAGGCCTCACTAAAATGATGATATTTGTACCCAGATCTGAAGTTGGTAAGGGAGTAAGGGATGTGGATATCTGCTTAACAGCACCCCAAGCAAGAGGAATAGCCTGTGCAAAGGCCCTGAGGTAGGAGACCACCCAATATGTTAAAAGAACAGCAGTGTGTGAGAAGATGAGGTCACAGAATTAATAAGGGGAGGAGAGACAGTGACTCCTATGACCCATGATTACATAAGATGTTGTACAACATTGTAAAGAATTTATTTTTATGTTAAGTAAAATAGGAATTCATTCAAGGGTAGAATGGAGAGTGATATTATCTGACATGTTTTTTAAAAATCCTGGCTGCAGAAAATAGGCTGAAAGGAGGCAAGTAAGAAACCAGGAAGACCAACTACCAGGCTACTGTAATAATCCAGGCTAGAAATTAGAGTGACTTAGACCAGAAATGTAGCTCTGAAAATGGTTTAAATTGTTTTTAATGTTGAGTTTTCAATATAGTTTTTAAAGAAAGAACAAATAGGTTGCTGATGGATTAAATATGGAGTGTGAGAAAGCACTCAAAAAATGACTCCCCATGTTTTTTAGCAAGAGCAGCCAGGTCATAACGTTACCCATAACGGCATGACCGTGTGGGGAGAGGGTGAGGGCGGGGCAGATCAGGAGCTAATGAGTGTGAGTTAGCTGTTAGTATTGTAGCTTCTCTTATGATCACCTTCTCTTATCCTAGAAATTATCTTTTTTTCATTGAGTGGCATTGGCTTTATTGAGATTATAAATTAGGTATTTTTTTATATTTGGAAAGATCTTCACAACTTCAGCTTCTCTGAAGCAGCAGTTTCTGCTGGTTGAGAAGTATGAGAAAACTATAATTTCAAAATAATGCAGGGACAAACCCTACACTGGAAATGAGCTTTCTGGTTAGAAAATATTTTCTTTATCCCATGGAATTCACTACTTCTTGTCCAGATTAATTCTTTTTAGTGTTTCTTATTTTGCAATTTACTTTTTCAGAATAAGTGGATTTACAGCATAATCTAGGTTTGCTGCACAAACAGCACACTGCACAACTTTGTTTATGTTGTGGCTTCTTGCTCCCTAGAGTGGCTCGGTGCAGCTACCCTGAGAGCAGTGTGAACTTCGAAAGTAATAACTGGTCATTGCAGAGAATGTGGAAAATGCAGAAACATAAAGAAAAAATAAACATGTTAAAATATGTCAGTGAATTCTCTTCCAGCCTTATTTTCTATACATAATACCGTAAACAAATTTAGTATTCTACTCTTTTCATTGAAAATATTCTAAGGATTTTTTTATGGTTTCAGTTATTTTTCATGAACTTTCATGGTGATCCGTAATATGGATAATACCTCTTATGTGTTTAATAATTGCATCATTATTGGATATTTATGTTCTTTTAAATAAAATATATTAAAAATAATGCTATTTCAATCTTTTATTTAAATTTTCAATCCTTTATTTAAATCTTTGACCACATGAAAATGCGATATTGCATCAAATGGTATCTGTGTTTAAAAACTTTTGAAATATGCGTACTGCTCAGTTGCTTTCTGTGAAAGTTGTACCTGTTTATATTCTCAGCCACATTGTTTAAGACTGCTTGTCAGCCGGCTGCAGTGGCTCACGCCTGTAATCCCAACACTTTGGGAGGCTGAGGCGGGCGGATCACCTGAGGTCAGGAGTTTGAGACCAGCCTGGCTAACACGGTGAAACCGTCTCTACTAAAAATACAAAAATTAGCTGGGCATGGGAGCAGGCGCCTGTAATCCCAGCTACTCAGGAGGCTGAGGCAGGGGAATCGCTTGAACCCAGGAGGCGGAGGTTGCAGTGAGCCGAGGTCGCATCACCGCACTCCAGCCTGGGCAACAGAGCAAAATTCCGTCAAAAAAAAAAAAAGAAGAAAGAGAGAGAGAGAGAGGTAGGGAGGGAGAGAGAGAGAGAAAGAAAGAAAGGGAAAGAAGGGAGGGAGGGAGGGAGGGAGGGAGGGAGGGAAGGAAGGAAGGAAGGAAGGAAGGAAGGAAGGAAGGAAGGAAGGAAGGAAGGAAGGAAGAAAGGAAGGAAGGAAGGAAGAAAGGAAAGAAAGAAAGAAAGAGAGAAGAGACTGCTTGTAGGATTATCTGTATTTTTTGACTGCTTGTAGGATTAACTGTATTTTTTGACTGCTTGTAGGATTATGTGTGTGTGTTTGAGACGGAATTTTGCTCTGTCACCCAGGCTGGAGTGCAGTGGCGCGATCTGGGCTCACTGCGACCCTCCGCCTCCCGGGTTCAAGCGATTCTCCTGTCTTAGCCTCCCGAGTAGTTGGGATTACAGGTGTGTGCCACTACGCCCGGCTAATCTTTTGCATTTTTAGTAGAGACGGGGTTTCACCATGTTGGCCAGGCTGGTCGCGAACTCCTGACCTCAGGTGATCTGCCTGCCTCAGCCTCCCAAAGTAGGATTACAGGCATGAGCCCCTGCGCCCGGCCGATTATGTGTATTTCTAATTCCCTTTCTTCTGGCCACACTAAGCAATTGCATCAATTTAGAAACGTGAATTCAAAATGTTCTTATCAATATTTTCTTAAGTATTGTAAAATATTTTATGTTGTACCACTGTTAAATAATTTGATATTTTTAAAGTGGAATATGTTTTTAATCTCTGGCATTTTTTCACTTAAAGAAGAAAAAAAATCTATGTTTGAAAATATAGATTGTTTAAAGTCACTTGCAAATACCAATCTAGATGACATTAGAGAGCAAAACTCACTCTTTTGGGAAAGACACACTTTTTCAGCCCTAAATGACTGTAATAAGTGGTTCTTAACTTTGACCACAAATCAGGATAACCTGAACTCTATCTCCAGAAATTCTCATTTAGCAGACCAGGGTGGGGCTTGGGTAACTGTAAGCTTTGAAAGCTCTACAAGTGGTCTTATCGACTAGCTAGGGTTGAGAAATACTTTTCCATTAGTTTCCAATGTTAGAGAAGTAGTTTTTATTTCTAGCTCTCTGCAAGTTTCTCTTAATTGGCCAATACCAACTTTGGTCCCTTCCACCTTTCAATTACCACTTGACAGTACATTTGACAGAAAAGGATGTCACTTAAAACCATTTTCTCTTTTCTTATACAGCTACTCTGGAAGAAAGCAATTGTCAGGTTGATCCTATATGCTGGTAATCATAAACAGCAAAATCTAAAGGGCAGCCCAAAGAATAAATATCTGCTGGGCATTATCTCTTCTATGAGCATTTAGAGCTGCATTGTCCAATATGGCACCACTAGCTGTTGAGCAGTTGAAATGTGGCCAGTCCAAATTGACATGTTCTATAAGTGTAAAATGTACAATTGATTCTGAAGACTACCAAAAACCATTAACTATTTTATTAATAATTTCTATATTGCTTGCACATAAAAATAATATTTTAGATATATTGGATTAACTAAAATACATTTTAAAATTTTATCTATTTCTTTTTACTTTTTTTAATGCAGCTACTAAAAAGTTTTAAATTACATGTAACATTTGCATTCTATTCCATGGAACAGTGCCGATCTAGAGATAATGTATGCGCACTGACACAAATTAAATTTGTTGTTTTCACATTATGGTATTCCTCATTTGTCTGAGGGGGGATATATTCCAAGACCATCAGTGGATTTCTGAAACTTTGGATAGTAGTAAACCCTATATACAGTATGATTTTTCCTTATTGTAAGTCAAAACTTTTACCCTTTTCACTTAAAGCACTTTATGGCTTCTTTTGGCATATGTAAATCGCCAGCAAATGCACTGGGGCCATTTTTAAATAAAAGAAGGGTGACTTGAACACAAGCACTGTGATATCACAATAGTTGATATGATCACCAGGTCAGCTACTAAGTGACTAAGGGGAGGGCATCAACAGCACGGATACAGTGGACAAAGAGATGATTCATGTCCCAGACGAGACAGAGCGGGATGACAAGAGATTTCAACACACTACTTAAACCTTATGAATTGTTCATTTATGGAATTTTTTATTTAATGTTTTTGGACCAAGGTTGACGACTGGTAACTGAAACCACAGAAGGCACAGATTGGGGCAGACTACTATATTGGAAATTAATTTAGGGATCCCAAGTTATACAATATAATTAGAGACTTAACAGTAGATAGTTTAGTTTAACTTAATCTTAGGTTTTTTCATAGTGTACATGGAAATATCTCAGAGTATCTCTCAGGAATGCAAAAGTTTGTCCTGGGAAAAAAATTATAGTGGTTGCCATTCGTTTGATTTTCAAAAGTTTATTATGGAGTACTTTTTCACCCTTTTTTGTTGACTGGATCATACCAAAAATATGGTATCCAGTGCTGGGACCAAATTTTTAGAGGATATAGACTAGATGGAGCATATTCAGGGAAGAGCATAGTAAGAGAGCTGAGGTATCACTACACAAGAGGCTATTGAAAGGACAAAGGACGGTCAGTGGAGAAGGAAAGATTCAAGGAGGCAATGCTGAGTAGCTTGCAAATGCTGGGGGGCCGTCAGGTGGAAGAGAGGTTACAGTTCTTCTATAGGTCTCAAGGAGTGAAGCTTCGACTAAAGGGTGGAGGTAGCTGGGAGAAATTTGGGGTCAGAAAAGGGAGAATTTCTTATCAGAGCTTTCACTGTAAGAAATGGGCTGATTCTAAGGTAATGAGAATCTCATCAGTGGAAGTGATCAAGTGTTATTGGGTAATCATTTGGCAAGGATATGTTTTGTGGGGAGGATTTTCAGAATTTCATCTTATCATCTATAACATAATGATTAAGAACACAGGCTCTGAAAACAGACAACCTGAGTTTGAATCCTGGCCATGTACTTCCTGGCTTTCTGACTTTGAGCAAGTCAATAACTTCTCTCCACTTCCATTTCCTCCTTTGTGAAATGTGGAATATGATGATGGGACTACATCTTAAGAGTGTTATGAGAGTTAAATATTAATATATTAATAAATAGAGCACTTTAAAAATGGCTAGCATGTAATATGCACAACATAAGTGTTTAGCTATCAATAGTTCAACGTAGGGTCATGTTTCTATACTGAGCAAAAGGGCTTCTTTTGCTCAGTATAGAAAATGATATCATGTTTATAATATCATTTATTTATTCACTCATTCATTCCATAAACTAATATATTGAGCACATATCATGCACGGTGCACCCTTCTAGGCTCTCAGTATAAGGCGGTCAATGCAGAGAAGATTTCTGCCCTCACAGAGAGACAGGCAATAAAGATATAAAGACACAAAATAATAATAATAATAATAAGTGCTATGCCGTTAAAATAGGGCAATATAATGGAGAAAGACTGGCAGTCATGGAAGAACTGTCTGAAGATCTGAATCAAAGCGGGGACCTAAGTGAGAGAGCATTTCAGACAGGTGTTTTTGGTGGAAAGACCATGAGGAAGAAATAAACTTGGAATGTTCAAGTATCAGAAAGAAGGTCACTGTGGAGTTTAGGAAGCCATGGGAAGCTGACTTAGGGTGGATGCGTTCGGAGAGGGGAAGGAGCCTTGATAAAGAGTTTGGATTTTATTCTGAGAGCAGGGAGAAGCTGTTGGAGGATCTTACACAGAGGGGCACGGAGCAGAAGTGGAAGCAGGAAGACCAATTTTCGGTAGTCCTGGCGGGAGCAGATGGGTTTTAACAATTATTTTTCTTCCTGAATCTGGAGCCACCAGATGAGACTTACATAGTTTGCCTCTTTTTTCATTTACATTTTGGTTCTGTTTCAGGAACCAAACATTTCATCTACTTACATATTTGAAAATTCAGAATCATAAATAAATATTAAGAATTCCTTGTAAGAATGCTCTTTTTACCAATAAGAATTTTGAGACCCGGAGTAGTAAAATTACTTCTCAAAGGCCATATTTTATCAGTAACAGAACTATAACCAGAATTGGCATCACATAACTTACCAGTGACTAACAGATTACCACTTATGTATCAAGCACTAAGGGTAGTATTCAACAGTGAGGTGAAATTTATGTCAAAAATGTGATTTTTAAATGCAAGGAGTAAATGGATTCAAAGAGAAAGCACAAGTTCTATAAGCATGAACTTAAATGAATCACCCACTCTATCTTTGCAGGCCAATTTGTACAACCACTAATTGATAGACCGTGTACCTGTTTGAAAAAATTATTTTGCACTTTCAATTATTTTACACCCTCTGTTTTAAGTATCAAGCAAATGACTTCAAAGAAAATTGGGATCTTATGATTTCCTACAAAAACCAGAGTAGGCTGAGCTATGGAGCCAGTTTTAGTTTTCTTGACCCAGGCGTAAACAATATGCAACCATCTAGAACTGACATGAAATGATCTGTAGCACTTTAGAACTTGAAGATCTCTTGGAAATCATCTAATTCAACAGTTCTCAATGAGTGACTCCCTGACCCACAGCGTCAGCATCACCTGGGAAATTGTTAATTTCCAATTAACAGTTGGAGATCGCGAATTCTCAGGCCCCACCTGCTGAATCAGACCTTAGAGATGGAGTCCAACAATTGGTGCTTTAACAAGCCCTTTCGTTGGGAGATCTCAGTCCACACTTAAGTTTGACAACCACTGATTTACTCCAAACTCTTGATTGCACAGGTGAGATAAATGAGAACCAGAAAAGTAAAGTGATTTGCTTGGGGTGATCCAGCTTAGCATCAAAATCAGGACCAGAATCTGGGCCTCCTGACTCCTAGTGCCATGTATTTGCATCTTGAACTGGACTTCCTTCCCTTCTCTGCAATTGCAACCTGAGAAGCCCAGGTTAGGTCCAATCATCATTGCTTTTTGTCTGTGCCCTCCTATCCTACATCAGGGAAAGATATGCTTCACCGAAGCACCTGGGCTCTTTCATTTCATTTTGGACAGTTGCAGGAGTTTGTTATTTAAAAGCTGCATAAATAATGAGCAGACACAGTCAGCCCTGTTTAGCCATGGCTAAACCTTAGAAGGGAGTGTAGAACAACCCAAAGTCCAGCCTCTTCCAGATGCAATTTGAATAACTTAAAAAAAAAAAAGAATAGAAGGTCACTATCTATCTTCACAAGCATTTATCTGATCATAGCTTCAATACAAGCTTTCTGTTTGTTTGTTTGTTGAGGACTGAATTAATACAAAGGTCTCAGTTAAAGTAGAAAGATAGTTGAAATACTAGCCTGAAAATTCAGATGACCAATGAATATTTGGCAGCGCCAGGCCACAGCAGTGTGCCCCCTGCTTTCTCTGCTAGTAAGATGGCATTAAGAATTCAGTCCCCACTAAAAAGATATCTTGTCATCCTAGAACATGAGCCAGCATCTCCTTTCTATAGTTGTAAATATAGCCAAATACGATACAGTTACCCCAGTGGTTGGGTGGTGTTTCTCTCAATCAGAATGTGTCTGTGTACAGAAGAGGAGAGCAAAAAAAAGACCTAGAGAGAAACGTGGGCGCAGAAGCAAAATCAACACTGGGAATTGGCTATCTGAGGAGATCAGTCATTAAAACTAGGCACATGCTAATTGCATGGCCTGGCCCCCATTTTTCTCCCTCACAGCCCCCTCTCAATTCAGTTCATTCTCCTAAGCACTGAGGCTACAGCCTGGCTGGCCTCTTATGTAAGTCTGAAATCAGATCTGGCATGCGGTTTGTTTTAGCCTGTCACAGACGCAGGGCACTGTGTTGCCCTCGACAAGGCTGTTCAGCATAGCATATGACTGTAAATCTTCTTTTTCATGTACCACAGTGGGGACCTTTGTCCTAGCAGTGATTTAGCAGCTTTTATTAGCCTGAGAAGCAGCCAGTAATCAGGAGACATTTAAAGTGGAAGCTTGCTCATTTCGATGGAGAAGAATCCAGAAACCAACGGCTCTTTGAAAATTACTTTTGATGGGAGAGAAATAAAACCTTAATACATATAAATATATGGTATGTTTCCATTTTAAATTTATTATTGCTCAAACAAATCTATACATAATTCAGCAAAGACTCAAAGTCACATATCTTTAAAACTTTGCATTCATCAAGTCATGAAGCTCAAGGGTTTATTTAACTCTGAGTTTTCAGAAGTATGCATCTTGAAAGAACGTAGGTCTTGGATGGCAGCTCCCTGTATGTTATTCAGATCCTGGAGTGTCCACAGCTTTTAAATTCACTGTAATTCCAATTAGAGCTTGGGCTCAGGGGTTGGCAGCAGCTGCAAATAAGAACTAATAATGTTTCATTCCACTGCTTATGTATTCTGCAAATGCGTTCTTGACATGGTAGTTTGCATATGATGTCAGCGTGGGAAAATAAGAAGGTATTAGCATCTGTAAGCCCAGCAGAAATTTCTCAGAGAAGTCACTTCTCAAGTTCATACAGCTGATTCCACAATTTAGGCAGTGTTCACATTTTTAAAATATATTTTGGTGATTTTTTAAAATTAATTGAGTCATAAAATATCGATGGTTCTTTATTTGCATGTATTTGCAAAGTTTAAATTCACTTTTTCTGAGATCAAGTTTTCTATTGCAAATTGTTGACGTCGTTACTTTCTGCCTTTGTAATTTTGATGCTGATATAACATAATTATTGTTAGAAATTTAAACATTTATGTATAGCCATCAATGTGAAGGCTAGTGGTTGAAATAACTTCTGTAAGTCCTTGGAACTATTTGTGGGAAGACGGAAGCATTATATGAATCCAGTTCATTTATATATTATACTTATTACTGAGATACGTTATTGTAGAAACACAAGGGCCTCTGCTGTAGGTCGTAGGACCCTCTGGGATGGTGAAAGAGTGTCATATGACACTAAAAGAGTAAAATGAGCCTTTCAAAAGGAACTCTTGCTTTTAAAATGTGGCATAAATGATCTTATCTCTACAGCAAGGAGTTTGATCCTGATTCACAAAGAGCTGGAGTTATGCAGCCAAAGAAAAGTGGAGCCCTGTCCATTTATCTGAGGATTTGGGGACCATCCACAGCGACCAAGCAGATTGTTCAGGAAACAAAGCCCACCCTTCCCTGCATTATCTGATGGCATAGATGGTCTTATATTTCCCAGATAATTGCACCACACACTGTTTTACTTTGCTGGGTCATAGCAATTGGCTGATCTGCCATGAGATAAATGGCAACAACAACAAAAAAAATTCACCAGGAAAGTCATTCCTTTAAAAGTATTTACCTATATGCTGTAGTGGGTGCTTTGTGTGCTGGGGAGCAGGCAGCCAGGATGGGGGCGGTAGGAAATGAGTAATGATCTGATAATGGAGCTGAATGGGGCCATAGAAATATTTTCACACCATCCTGCTATTGCTACAATAGCTGAAACCCAGAAATTTTGTGGCTTTCTTCACAGTCAAATGATGTGTTAATGTCAATAGATTCTGGATGTCTTGACTCATTTCTTGATAATTTTTTTTTCTGCTCTGACTATACTATCGTATGGTAGATATGTCCTTGCCTATTTCGTATTCATTTCCCCCTTTTTTCTACCCACTAGTACCTCCCCTCCCAGCTGTTCTTCCAGGAGCAAACTCTTTCCCCATGTAGCTCATAAGACACGGGTGAAGTTGATCCTATTCTCATCCCCATTATCAGATTGAATCAGTCTAAATGAATCAAGGTGACCTCTTCCCCTTTGCCTGGGATTGCTCTGGGAAACAGGCTTAAGCCAGTCATCACATGGCATTCTCTAACATCGTTGTTGGCTCAAATAAATAGATGAGAAAACTACTATTCTATACTTGAGACAGAGCTACTCCTGCCCCTCCACAGACACGAATGAGGAGGCAGGTAACCCCAGTTGCTGCTGGCAAACATCTGGAACCATGCAGAAAGCCAGCATGAGGAGCAAGCCTTACACACAGAGGAGAATAGTGCCAAGAGAACAATCTGAACCTTAATGGTATTGAACCTTGAGCTTTTCCTATCTCTGGATATTTTAAGGGAATTAATAAATTCTTTAATTGTTTCAGCCAATTTGAGTCAGGAGTTCTGTGACTTGTGGTTGGAACATCCAACCTCATGCACACTAATATAATCAGGTATGCAAATATACCAATACTTATGATTTGGACTAAGGAAATGGTTTTGCTTTTACAGAAGATCCCACTATCATTGTTAACATGGCTTTCTGCAACTTTGGCCTTAATTACGTAACGGCCGAGGACTCTTTATAATATCCCTCGCAACTCAAGTAACCAGGACAAACTTATTAGGGCCTCAGCACACAAATTGCAACAAGCAGAAGCATAGAGAGTAAAGTTCTGTCTTGTTCCTTTTTTTTGGTTTTGCTTTTGATTTCCTAACAAGGAGGAAACATTATGTTTGATTTCTTTCTGGTTGCTCTTATGAGGCACATTTATTGGTTCATGTTGTGTTTTTCTCTAAGTTTTAAGTTTATACAACTTAAGATACGACAACCAATTACTGTATAAAATTTAGAAAATATTTAAACAACAAGAAAATAAGAATGGCCTGTCATAGTCCTACCCTCCGGAGCAAACAATTATTAGCAGATATTTACATATGCTTCATTATGTATATATTTTCATTAATATTTACTTTATGTAAATATTGCTATTTTTAAAACTACTATATTTTTCCCATACTGTGAACATCTTGATTAATGTTATATTCCATTTGAATTCTCACAGCCCTCAGAGCTACCCTTCCTTTTGCAGCTGCTCCTCAAATAGCTGCATCCAGCCTGTGTGCCTACGGTTTGAAAGGATATTCAGTTGAGCTCGAGCAGGATGGGTGACTGTCAGAGCTGGAGACTGTTATTATTAATCATTCAGAATCTGTCGTCCTTGTGTGGGCACTTCTTTGAGATAGGCCTATTACTTCTGCCAGTTTTCCCTCTTTCACTACCTTTTTAACTTAGTTCTCCTTCCCATTTTAAGCCTATATTAAACAGACACATATGTTGACTTCAGAACTTAAATGAATGGAAGATTCACTTGTTATCATAAACTGCATCCATTCATTTGCCCGTTCATCTAACTCATATTTATTGAACACCCTTGCATGGGTTGAGTGGATCACAGTACCTGACTTTCAGAATTTCCAGTGTATTTAGAGAGACAGAACTTTAAAAATATCACAGCAATGCAATGTAAGAAGAATAAGGACAAAGTGCTGAGAAGAGATAGAGGGAGAAACAATATCACAGCAATGCAATGTAAGAAGAATAAGGACAAAGTGCTGAGAAGAGATAGAGGGAGAAACAATGAGAATCTGCAAGCCCCGCTTGTGTTCAGGAGCTTTGCAATCTGTATAATGTCATTTTACATAAGCCTTAAGACTGGTTATTTGCCAGTTATCCTGGGACTTTAGCTGTAGAAAGGATCTGAGTACTTGAGTGCTATATTAAATATCCCCCTTGAAGAGAGTCTATTAAAAGCAGACACATGTAAGTGGTCATTGCTACCAACAATTATGAAAAGAAAATTCTAGGGAGAGTGTAACTGACCCATTTAATTAAGACTTTAGTCTCTTGGATTGGAGCATGGTTGTCCACTTTAAAATGTTGTATTTGGTGGCCATATTTTCCAAACTCCGTGCATACGATTTGATAACCACCATGGGCCCAGGGCAAGAGGCAAAATATATAAAATTACTACTGTTTCGAAAAATCCAAGGCACCAGATCTCTGTAAACAATATTTCCCAATATTTCCTTGTAGATTTGTGTCTTTTTAACAAATCATTTTATTTACCATATATACCAGAATGCCAGGCTTCTAAAACCCCGGAAGAGGTAGAGTGAATCATTATACCTTGCCTCCCAAGCTCCAAGGTACAGAAATTAATGGAAGGCAGACACGTTTGACCTAGCTGCTCCTGCCAGAATATGAAAATGAGACTGGTATTGCGTGGAGTTACTGGATGACAACTCCCTCGACCCAGACCCATGAAACCCATTTCATATAACCTTAGCTACCATGATTCCTTGCATGTTTTTAAGTCTTGGTAAGCTGTTTTTCTTTTTAATATAGCTATGGTTTCACCTTTGACTTTGCACATTATTGATAGAGCTAAAAACCTGATGAAATTTAAAAACAAATCCAGATATTTCAGACTGGATTTTTATACACAAAGACAGGACCTTTGGACTTTAAAGATCACTCAGGCTAGACAGGATAATAATAGTAATATTCTGGTTTTCTATGACATTTTCCTACCAAAGAGATGAATGCACCTTGATAGCAATATTGAAATATTCATAACCTTCTCATACAGTAGATGTAATACTGTTATCCTCCCTTGTTTATGAAAAAAACAAGGCCTGCTTCTTTTGAAGGCATTGTTCAAGGTCATATAGAAGGTAGTTGAGTTAGGACTCTCAGGATATTTCAAGCAAGGACAGTAAGGAAAGATCTAAGAATTCCACATAAATGTCATATGACCACATTGCAAACCATTTGCAAAATGTCATTTGAATGTATTAATATTGAATAGTCATATGGAATGAATCCTGCTTGAAATTCATGTCTCAAAAAACTAAAGCAAAGCTATTCAGAAAATGCCAAGAGAATTGGAGCATTTGTTTCCTCTACGGTTTACCCATTTCTATTCACTATTCTTCAGTGACATGTGAGAACCTTAAGGTTCTCATACAATACGTCGTTTAGGAGTAAGAATCCATCTCTAGAAGCATCCTTTGGGTGTTTACCATACAGCTTAGTCTACAGAGTTCATGTTGCAAGTCACGACTTGAAATGCAAAATGTTTTTAATTTATTGTGTGCTTGTCAGTGTGGCTTAATGAAAGTACTCAGAATTCGAAGTAGGGTGGCGGAAGGCTCAATATGCCACATCCCTTAAATTCTCTAGCAATGTAAGAACACATCCACATAAAGTGTATTAAAGAGCGCTGTATCTCCATCTACGAACAATCATCTCCAACTCTAAACCAGGTTATTGAACTGAAAACATCAGGGAAAATGGCATGAGCAGGGTTGCTTTTTCATAGATCTAAGAAAATACATATATTCTCAGAAGTTTTTAGATTTGGTAGAAACATTTGATATCTTTCCAAAGAGAGACCAAAAGTGGTTGGGTTAAATTTTAAGGCAGATTCCAAAGATCTTAGTCATTCTTTTGAAATTTTTCTGATAAATTTGTCTAATAATAATTTATATAATAAAATAATAAATTTATATAATAATAAACCTAAACCTATTTCAGTATTGATAAATGGTACGTGATTATCACAGTTTATTTGTAGTTTCATAATTACTTGCCCTCACTAAAAATCAAAAGTAAAACACATAAATGGTTCTTTCCTACAACGACGTGGGTTTCTGTTTCTCTTACATAGTCCAGTTACAGCCTGGGAATGTATACTGTTTGCCTTCATTCTATCTGAAAATACATTGGTTATCAGGATTAAGCCTTGAAATCCAGTATGAGACTGTAGTCTTAGCTTTCATTCTATAGTGTGGGTAAGAAGCAGTTATTCCTCCCAGCTCCTGAGTCAAATGAAAGATGATGTTGCTGCCAATAGATTCAACTTCCCTTCCATTCTTCTTTAAGAGAGTAAGCCACACTCTTCTACATACTCCCAGTGAATTGAATGAGAAGAAGAAATATTAGAATCAAATTATAGGAGTGGAAATCTCCAACTTCCTGAGAGGTCTTCATTGAGTCTCTCCCCGAGATGTGAGGAATAGACTATTTCAGCTCATTAAATAATCATCGCTGCATTCTATGTTTCTCTGGTTCTTGTTCTAAATGTCAATCAAAAAGAGGAGTGAAATATCAGGAGAAATAGTTAATAAAGAAATACATTCCCCTGAAAGGTACTAAAGTAAATATCTTATTTTTTTATAAATAACATAAGCCTATACAATCATGTTTTGACATCTGTCTCTAAGTACCAACTAAATGAAGATGAGTTTAAGATTTCAAATCTTTTATTTCTAGTATAAAATAACATTTTAGGACTTAATGTGCCATGTTCATCCACAAAATTGGAAACATTCAAACTAGAATTGTGATAGTTTTATTGGGATGAATGAGTCCTCAGTAATATTTTATTTTTTATTTTGAAATACCATAATTTTAGACTTATAGGAAGGTGCAAAAATAGTACAGAGAGTTCACACACAGCCTTTACCCAACTTTCCCTAATGTTAAAAATTTACATAACCAGAATACTGTGATCAAAACCAGGAAATTAACATTGGTACAATACTACTAATTAAATAAAAAACATTTTTCAAATTTCACCAGTTTTTGCTCTAATGTCATTTTTCTCTTCCAGGATCCAATCCAGAATTCCATGTGCATTTAGTTGATGATGTGTTTCTCTAATCTATGAGAATCTCTCAGTCTTTCTTGTCTCTCATGACCTTAGCACTTTTGATGAGTACTGGCCAGGTATTATGTAGAATGTCACTCCACTCAATTTGGGTTTGTCTGATATCTTCATGAGTAGATTGTTTATCTGCATTTTTGGCCAGAATATCATAAAAACATTGTATCCCTTTCAGTGTGCTATATCAGAGGATGGTGCATGTTGTCAGTACGTCATATTGCTGATGGTGTTTAATTAGATCATTTGCTTAAGGTGGGGTCTTGCAAATCACTAGTAATCTTGACTTTGCTACCCTTGAACCCTTGAAAACTTCTATACTCAAATGCTGTATGTATTTCAGTCTACTTTCTTATTGTACACTCAGTTATATGTCAGATGTAACTCCGTATCTAACCTATAAGGATATGCTCAAATATTATTCTTGGTATCTCAAAGTTAGATCCAATGGAGTAGGAATTCAAATAAAATACTTTATAATGTACTGTGATTCCTGCAATCTTCTCTGTGTGTATGTATGAATAAATTGTTGTATCTGTAATATGTATTACTGCAATGCATTTTATACCAAGGATATCAAGAAATTTATACATTTTCATTTGTTTGGGAATCTCATCTGAGACCAGAGGTGGAGCTCTGAATGCTTTGGGAGGCACTCCAATCACTGTCTTGCTAGTTTGCCTCTTCTTAGACCTGATGTACTAGGAAGCTGACATTTTTTTCTCCCTACTCCTTCACCATGACCCAGTGTTGGCTCATGTATCTCTGAAGCAATAAAGGAGTTGAATGGTGGGATCATCATTTCTTAACAAACATCAGTCAACATGGACACTGGAATCCATGTCAGTGAGGAACTTAGCAAGAATGAGAGCACACAACTAGGATTTTTGAAAACTCTTTTTAAATGTTTCTTATTTTGAAATGCTGTCAAACTTACAGAAAAGTTGCAAGAACAGCAAAAATACTCCCATGTATACCTCACCCAGATTTCCCAATTATTAACACTTTATCACTGTTGCTGTTTCATTCTTGTTCCCTTTCTCCCTCTCCCCCATCTAAAAATCATTTTAAGTGGAAACATGTTCTTTTACTTCTTCAAATACTTCAATGTGCATTTCTTAAAATAAAAACATTATCTCATATAATCACAGTACACTCATCAAAATCAAGAAATTAACAATGATATGTTGCCACTACCTAATGAACAGACCTTATTTATATTTCACCTACTTTCCCAATAATGTTGTTTTTAGCAACAGCTAAAAATCTTAACTGGAGCCCGATCCAGGATCATGCACGCCTTCAGTTGTCATGTCTCTTCAGTCTTTTTTTTTTTTTTTTTTTTTGATGGAGTCTCGCTCTGTCGCCCAGGCTGGAGTGCAGTAGCACAATCTCGGCTCACTGCAACTTCCAACTCCCAGATTCAAGCGATTCTTCTGCCTCAGCCTCCCGAGTAGCTAGGACTACAGGCACCTGCCACCACGCCTGACTAATTTTTGTATTTTTAGAAGAGATGGGGTTTCACCATATTGGCCAGGCTAGTCTCAAACTCCTGACCTTGTGATCCACCTGCCTTGGCCTCCCAAAGTCCTAGGATTACAGGCATGAGCCATCATGCCTGGCCCTCAGTATCCTTATCAGAACTATTTCCTCAGTTCATTTTCTTCCTTTATGATATTAACATTTTAAAATGTAAAGGCCAGTTATTTAACTGATGTTTCCTCCATATGGATTTGTCCAACATTCCTTTGTGACTAGATTGAAGTTGTACATTTTTGACAGTGATGTGTCTCGAAGAGACTTGTAATGAAGGGACTATCTACACAGGTATGGGCAGGGTTAAGGGATGCTGAGGCATGCAGAACTAACAACAAAGGAAGTGGCTACAACTCTAGGGGAGGCTATTTCCAGCTAGAACCTTGGAGTGAGTGGGTTAGGGACTGAGGAAAGCAAGTCTTAGAGGGATGCAGACACTGCCAGAGCTGTGCCAAAGGCAGGAGTGGAAATAGATGCCTTCCAATGGTGACTATAACAAGAAGCCAGAAGGCAGGAAAGACCAGTGATGTGCTTCATAAGTGCCAGCCTTCTGAGGCCCAAAACAAGACAAACAATGGCAAGAGAATGCAGCTGTAGGCAAATGGAGAATAGCCACTGCAAAATTTAATATGCCTGTTTCTCATTTCTCTTCTTCGACACATATCATCAAGCTGTCATGTGCAATGTCGTACACAATAACATATATAAAGAATTCTAATCTATGAATTAGAAAACCTGGTCTCGGTTGCTGGTATCACCTGCTTTGGGCCATGTTACCTTAGAGGAGACACTTAGCCCCTCTGAGTCTCTGTAAAGATGGTGTTCTAACATCTGTCCATCTCCCCCATGATGTGTCTGCAAAGATCATTATCATTGCTATATAATAGGCATAGAACTATGAAGTTAATCACAATTCATTAACTTACAGAAAAAGCAAATGAAGCATAAGCATTTGTGTTTATGCCTCATGTTCAAAGTAATAATGCCTATGCCTCTGTATTTGAATTGTTTTCCAAGAAAACCATTTTCTAGTGTAGTTTTCCCTTCTTGCATCTACTTCCTTGTGAGTTATGTAACCTGCAAATTACTGTAACTCGCAAGCCCACCATTTTCTCCCATTTGGGTAGATTGCTGAAAAGCATTGTACTTGTTTTGGCTGCTGTATCTCTTGGTTGCTCTGTTTTTCTTCCCCATTTGCATTTCTGCAGTCATTACTTTGTATAGCCGACTATGGTTCTTTGAATAGTCAGTAAATATGCAGCTGGTGAAAGGTAGGTAGAGTTAATGTAAACGTGGTTTTTATTTAAGTCTCCTTTTTAAAAAATATAGCATTCACTAGGATTCAAAAAAACTTAGAAATGAAAAAGAAGATTTTTAAAAAGAAAGACTAGGAGAAAGCACTGACAGGTTGAGATTTAATGGGATCTCAATTTCTCAGTTCTGGTATTTTTTTAAAAGGTGTAAAGAGGCCAGAAGCTTAGGCTTGGGTTGGTGGCATTGATAAAGTGTGGCTTTCTGATTGGCAGCAAACATTCAGAACATCTTTCTGCTTACAACTTCTCAGCATGAGTTGAGTAAATATTGGTTCACTGGCATTTTTGAGCAGTGGCAACTATCACAAAGAAGATCTCTTTACTGTAATGGGCACTTGTCAGACACAGAAAAAGAAAACAAGCATCTCTTTAAATTTCCTATTGTGTTGTTACATCTCTGTCAGTGGTGGTTCCTATTATGTGTTACTTGAATCTGGTATTCAGTAACTAATGACATGAATACCAGATATCAGAATAACTCTGAGCTAAAAACACCCAATCTTTGCAAAGACACACCACTCAGCAGAAAGGGTCCTGTGCAAAATTCCACTTATTCACAAATTTATACAAATAAAATTACTGTTTGAGAATTGCTAGAGAGAACCAACAGGTGGATTTCTAACTGTTTCTTCTTTGGTTTAACATCTAGTAACTTTGAGTAGGAGAACAATGAATCTTTGAGACATATTCACTTCAAAATCAATATGTTGAGTAACATCACATAAATGATGAGTTTCGTCACTGTTCATTGCCAGCTCTCATTTTTGCTGGCAAATATCAGCATCAAAATTTTCATAAGCATTCTGTACCTTAGAGATCAAAGTGGTTTTGTTTACTTTTAATTTGATAAGTAGACGTGTGACCCCTAAGTAGTTAAATTTATCAATTGTGAAGTTAAGATGAAAATTATTTATCTTTACATTTATTCAAAAAGTGAAATGTAAAAACTTGTCTTAATATCTTAGACCATGCCTTTCCCTAAAAAGCATCTTCTTTTTCATACATTTTTATTTAAGCTTTTCTGCTTGTGTGTTGGCAAAATAAATCTTTTTCAGGTTATATGTGATTATCCTACAGATATGCTGTTGAGTGAGATCTCCTACTTTCATCATCTATACTTAGACTTAAGTCAGAGTCCCCTTCATGTCTCTTACATGAATATCAGAATTGCCTAATTCGAATTAAAACTTCCCTGATTAATGACAAGTGCTCTTTGAACAAGATGTTCTGATGATCTCCAATCCTAAAATTCCTCATTCAATGGGTTGTGTAAAAATACTTCATACATTTCAGTATTGCTCTCAGGCACTGATGAAGTATTAATATGGGTGAAAAAGACCATAGTCATCAATGTATGTGCTACTTATTGAGGGCAATGGTAAATCTGCTTCCTTCCTCTGCTGTCCTTTACCAACCCCTGTCACCTCAAACGATGAAAGGAAGAGTGAGGAAATGATAAAATCCAAGACCAGGGAAATCCATTAGCCCAAATATGCTCTCCATTATTGCCTTTCATCAAAAGCTTTTACAGCAATTCATTTTTTTCTGGCTCTATGAAATCTAAACTTTTTAAGTTAGAATCTCAAAGTCATTCTGCTTCATAGAGTTGTTGGGAAGATACTAGATAATGCATATACATTTCTTCTCATGTTTTGAGAACATATTATTTATGTTATTTTCTATTATTTTGTTAGTTGTATTAGTTGTATTATTCTGTCTCTACTACTATCAACAGTTTTGTGTTTCCACAGTGGTTCTTTACATCTTCTTCTCCAAATCTTCATCTTTTATAAAATAAGCCCTTCCGGCCGGGCACAGTGGCTCACACCTGTAATCCCAAGACTTTGGGAAGCCGAGGTGGGTGGATCACCTGTGGTCAGGAGTTCGAGACTAGCCTGGCCAACATGGTGAAACCCCGTCTCTACTAAAAACACAAAAATTAGCTGGGTGTGGTGGCATGCACCTGTAGTCCCAGGTACTCGCAAGAGTGAGGCAAAAGAATCACTTGAATCCAGGAGGTGGAGGTTGCAGTGAGCTGAGATGGTGCCACTGCGCTCCAACCTGGAAACAGGGCGAGATTCCATCTCAAAAAAATAAATAAATAAAATAAAGAAGCAGGGTAAGATATAAGGCTGATAGCCCCAAATAAATCAGAGATGTCATTAGTATTTCAGTTATTCAGCCATACTGACGTTGTCATTTGTTTATGTGACTTTTCTTTCTATGTAGGAACCTAAAATAACCCAGAAGTTTCTGTGGGTTTTGGTTTTCCAAAAGCTGTTGCTTGCCTACCTCATTTGGGGCAACAAATGCCCACCCCACCCTTTTTTTTTTTCTGAGACAGAGGCTCGCTCTGTCGCCCAGGCTGGAGTGCAACGGCGTGATCTCGGCTCACTACAACCTCTGCCTCCCGGGTTCAAGGGATTCCCGTCTCAACCTCCCGACTACCTGGAAATACACGCACACACCACCACACCCGGCTAATTTTTTGTATTTTTAGTAGAGACGAGGTTTCACCATGTTGCCCAGGCTGGTCTTGAACTCCTGTTCTCAAGTGATCCACCCGCCTTGGCCTCCCAAAGTGCTGGAATTATGGGTGTGAGCCACCGCGTCTGGTCGGAATGCCCTCTACTTGAGAGGACCCTCTCTAGTCCCAGGAAAGCTGGATGGATTCCAAAGGAAGGAAACAGAGATTGACACAAGACAACATTGAATTGAACCTTCACATTTTCTTCTTGGTTGCTGAGCTCACATAACCAAGATAGGGAAAGGGATAGGAATTCAGAGTAGGTAATGGCAAGGACAGAAAAGTCAAGTTCCCCAATGTCACAGCTCTCAGAAACAGGAACATGATAAATGTAGGGGGAAATGAGGGTCTCCACTGAAACCATAGTTGTAATAGATCCTATGGTTTAATAGAAACCATAGTTTTAACAGGATCTATTAAATTGAATTTAATTCAGCACCACAGTCTCCCCTCATTCTGAGACTTTGTTCCCACTCGTAAGGAAAATGGTACCACTTATGAAAGATAAAGACTCAGCAGTCCCATTTTCAAAACTCTGAAGTATTCCTCTCTCTGAGCGAGTGGTTCCTTTCATTCGAAGGCATTGCATGTATGTGTGCTTTCTTTGGAATGGAAGTGCCATGAAAGAAAACACATTTTGACGAATTCCAGAGGAAGCATCAAGAACTGCCAGGTGACTTGTCATAGAGCTTTCAAGCCTAGTGTCATTTTATTTTTACAACCCAGGGTTTTAGCAACTCAAGAGGCTTTATATGTGTTCATTAACCGCAAATCTGTAATTTAAATGGACAAATTATCCTGGTTAATAATCTAACACATCATTCCCAATTCTTCCTGCTGTCAATATTCGAAACAGAGCTCAATATTCCAAATTTTTATAACACCTTTCACATGTTAAGTGGGTACAGTTTTGACACACAAGACAAAATAAAATAAAATTCCGTACTGGACAACACTCACAAAAGCTGCTTGATTCAGGTGAAAAGTATTTTGCTTCCATATTGGCCTAGAGCATCTATTTATGTATTTTTTTTTTTGAAAATAGAAACTCAAAAAAATTATTGTGATTTTTTTAGGTCATTATATAAGGGATAGAGAGAGGTCACCTAAAATGATGAAAATTAGCACAATAAATATGACTGTGAGAGCAGCAATCAATTCTTTTCTTAAGAAAATTAAACCGGAGCCGGGCACGGTGGCTCACGCCTGTAATCCCAGCACTTTGGGAGGCCGAGGTGGGTGGATAATGAGGTCAGGAGTTCAAGACCAGCCTGGCCAAGATGGTGAAACCCCGTCTCTACTAAAAATACAAAAATTAGCCAGGTGTGGTGGTGGGCACCTATAATCCCAGCTACTCGGGAGGCTGAGGCAGGAGAATCACTTGAACCCGGGAAGCAGAGGTTGAAGTGAGCCAAGGTCGCGCCATTGCACTCCAGCCTGGGCGACAAAGAAAGACTCCATCTCAAAAAAAAAAAAAAAGAAAAAAAGAAAATTAACTGGAAGTTTGTCTTTAAAAATATTACAATAGTTTGAACTAGCATTATCACCTAGAGTGAAATGAACATTTAAAATCTAAACCTAAAATCATATTTATAAGTATAAATGTATATTAAAATATTTGCAGTTTCCTCAAGATATTTATAGTGTCACAGTTCTAAAGTTATGAAAATCTTTCATCTTTTATCAAATATTAAAAATCATACACTCAAAAAAGCCCTTATTAGAAGAACTCTTCTTCTAAGAAAACATAATATGTTTAGCTAGAAACGTTAGTATGAATGTACCAATGTTAAGGTTTTTGTTAGCTGAACAGGTTGTTGCTAGGATAAATATAAACCATTGATATATTATAGTGTAAATAACCATATATGAATGTATTTCAGTCACCAGACACAAATGAAAAAAATTCTTAATAGATCATTATAAAATGGAATTGTTATTATTGTTATGCAAGTCCAAATTGGGAGGTCATTAATTAATACAATGGTATATCTGTCATTATTTCAAGCTTTATCTTATAAAGCTTGTGTTTATTTTTCTTAGTTTTTATGAATACATGAGATGCTTTTTTTAACTCTGCTGTTAAGAAGACTGTACTCAAAGACATTGGGAATGTAAATATATATTAAAGTATATAGTGTATAGTGTAGCCATAGGCAGGTTTATTTATAAATGTCAATGCTATTTTGTTGTGAAAGTTCATTATGATGACAGTTTTAAAAGTAGGGCCAATTCAAGAGTGTTTATTACATACCAAAAAAAGGAAAAAATATTTACCTTGTATTTTTTGATGTCTGGGGATAAGATTAATTTATAAATCGATGTGTTGCATTGAAATAGCAAATGTAAAAACCAGTCACAAATACTAGCCTTAAAGGTAGAATGTGTGCTGTTTTTATAAGGCCCTGCTCATCATTGAAACCAGGTGACTTTAAAAATAATCTACAAAATTAAAAAATTTGAAATTTGGTTTAAAATTTTAAAATACCTCAGAAAAACAATAAAAAGGAAATTATATACTGCATTTGTCACAAATCTGACAACTCTAATACAAATATGCATTTCTCTTTCTTTGACTGTATATAAATAAGGCCAAATATCTAGCTTGTTAAATTAAAGATTCACCTGTATGTTTTCTCCACCAAATATTTGGAAACTCTTGAAATTTTTATTCGATTTTTTTAGATCTCACTAAGGTTTTTGATTAAGATCTTTTTTATTTTCTCCTCCCCTCCTATGTTCCTTTAAAAATAACAGCATATCCATTTTAACAATATAAAACTTCAGTTGATATTTTTTAGAGCTAGTAAAATTGCCAATCTTATAATACTAAAATTCTTCCTTCTTCAGAAATCTTCTTTGGAGTGAATAGAGAATAATCCACAAAATAAATTTAATTCCTTAGAAGTTTGTTATTTTTAATGGAAGGATGTTTTCCATAAGCATTCTTCAAATAGCTTTGCTCCATACCTTCTCACTTTTTAATATTTGTATCATTACGTGTATCAATTTATTTATAAATTAATTGAATTCTGCATACAGGCATATATGTGCTGAATGTGTAAATGAATATGTATTTGTCATCTTTAATGTATTT
This sequence comes from Homo sapiens, assembly GCF_000001405.40. NCBI lineage: Eukaryota > Metazoa > Chordata > Mammalia > Primates > Hominidae > Homo > Homo sapiens. The sequence continues at coordinate 74,570,333 of NC_000009.12, forward strand.
GAATTTGGCTGATGCACCCATAAAAAAAGCCTCCAGCATATTTGCATAATTAAGCATAATATTATGATAAACCATTTCAAGGGAAAAAGTTGGTCTTACAATCACAATATGTTTATTTTTTTAACCTTGTAAATTCAGAATACATTTGTGGGAAGAACTGGAGATAGAAAAGATCGGCTTTACCTTCATGAAAAGAGGTCAAATGTTACTTTAATTAATCTTGTGTTATGCCAAAAAGAGTATTTATATAACACATAAATATTAAGCATGGCTGGTACAATTTTAGGGGAGCAAGAGTATTCTATTCCTTCTAGCTTTCACATAAGAAAAGAATTCTAGAAGAATTCTTGATTAAGACTCAAGTGTGCTACAGCTTATGAATTTGTGTGTGCACACACGTGTGTGTGTATGAATGTGTCTCACCACAGAGCCTGAAAAATAGTGTTCAATACATGCCGTTTGATTAATTCTTACTATACCTCCGAGTTATATCATCAGAACATATGTGAAGGTGACTAAGCAAATGGATCTTTTAAAAGGATATTACTTTTACATTTTATTATTAATATTTTTTAAAGTAAACCTCAAAAATTGTAAATTCTGGGAATCACACTATTGTTGTGAATTAATAATAAATAATATAATTAATTATATTATAATTAAATGATTGCTAGTTTTATAGATAGAAAATTCATGAACAAAATAGAAAATAATTTAACCTATGGAGAAATGTGTGCATTAAAGTTTCATCCCAAGGCTAAGTCAGTACTGTAGTTATTGGTGACATCGTGTGGTTGATGCTGGTATCGACAGCAGAGTCAGAGCATTTCCTAAAAATTGGTTAAATTACTATAAGCAAAATTAAAGTCTTAAAATGCACATTGTCTCGATTAAATTTGAAACAAAAAATTTCACCTAAACCATGACTAAATCATTCATCCCTCAAATTCTAGACCTCTTTTAGAATATTGTGGTATGCAGACACATGAAAATTGATGCATTACAATAGTACACAGCAGAGAGTACTCCGGAGCAGTATTTTTCACTACAGTACTTGCTACTTTCCTTTAAAAAAAAAAAAAAAACACAGTTTTAATTACTAGAGTTGGGGAACAGTTGTTCTCTCCAAAAAAAGGGTAGAATTCTCTATTCACTGTCTCACATTTTTACTTGAAAAAGTTATCGTTGTTAAAAGAATTTTAAAAACTTAATTTGCATCCTATTTTTATTTAAATTACCTCTGATATTTTAACCAAATATTATCACTGCTGGAGAGCACCTAATATTACTCAATATTATTTTTTTCGTAATAGTAAAAGGTGAACTAATTTTGTTTTAAACTTTGAGGTTAATTTTTTAAATGAGAGTTCTGGTTTTTAATATGGTAACTTTGACCTCCACAATGTCATGCTCCTATAGTTTGACAAAATAGGAGGTTGCAGATGTTAAATATAGCCCTGTTCTCGTAGAGGAAAGGCAAGGTTGCAAGGCAGGATTTCCAGCACAGATTGTAGTAAATGCTTTCTGAGCCATCTTCCTCACACAAAGAAGCGGTGATAATTCCTTCCGTGGACATTCCCAGTCGGTGCACATCTCTGCACCTCCCCCGCCCTCCTGAGGCTCTTACCTGGTTTCTGCATAACATCATATTGCATAGTGCAGAGACCCCTGGGGAACTTTCTTTCTCTACCTGGGGAAGGCCTTCTAAACTCTAACATAGCACCACCTGAGATATTAATTTGCGACTCTTGCTAGGGTTTAGTGAAAGCTAATTCCCTAGAGTAACTATTATTGTACCATGCGATACTGAATGAAAAGCTCCATCGTTCTGTCTCTTTTTAAAATTCAGACTGCTAAATTCAACGGGATAGGGAAGCATAGATAACATTTATTAATATAGACAATTTTCACTGGTTTTAAAGGAAGATGGTTATGATGGGTACTGATATGAAAAAAAATATTATGGTCAGTTATGTCTCAAGACCAAAGTCACAGGAAATATAATCCTTATTTGACTATGAACATGTCCCAAAGAAAGCACAGGTATGAAGTCTTTTTCCTGAGCTTAGATGACTGAGGAAATCTGGGGTTACCTGGCACTGCATGCAAGCTATTTTTGGAGAGAGCCAAGATCTGCCTCTCATCAAGAAAGATGCCCCACCATGATAGCTGGTTATTGAACTGGTAGCATTGACAATTGATGAGGTGATGTTATCACCTTTGAAGTGCGGGTCACAGGAGGGAAAAAGGGTGCTCTTGAGGGTAATGAGATACAAAACCAGCAGAATCACACTGCCATTGCCCAGAGCTAAATTAAAACCGGTAAGGAGAACCCCTTGGAATATTTTTTCTTTCTACACTTGGGGCCAGTCTTGGGATTAATTAGCTAAATTCAGCTGAAATCCCTGTTTTCCTCAGTAGGTTTCACTTAATTACTTTATATGTTTCCTCATCCAGGTGTAACATGACAATATAAGTTAAAACAATTCCCAGTAGTACCACCTTGTGAAAGATATTCCCAATTTTCCCTTCGTGTGTGGCACAAAGGGTAAGAATGTGAGGAAATTGCATATCGAACAACTGTTCCAAAATTAGCAAATTGTAGCTGAATTTGAGACGGTAATTTTCACTCTTCAGAATCTTTTAATTGTAGATCACAAAAATCTTATCTTCTTTGTATTAAACTATTTTGGTAATTCGGTCAGGTGCCCATTTTCCCAATCTACTAAGTATATAACTTGAGGTAAAAGTAACAAAAGTTTCACACATACTTCAATTACTGAAGACTAGACAGTTTTCAAACGTGTTTTTTTCCACATCTTAACTCCATGGACCTCACTTTTTTGAACAAAGTATGTGGTGCCATTTTGGACATTTAATTAACTGGCACATCTTGTAAAGAATTCACACATGATCTGTAGCTGTTTTGAGGGGGTTGCACATCAGATATCAATGAGGGGCCAATCAGCCACTTGTGCATGTCATTTGTACAAGTGTGTTTTCCCATTCAATTTTGGCTCCACTCTAAATGACAACGTCAGTGCTTGAATTTTTTCCACAGAAGGCCAGGAAGCACTGCATTCCCTAAGCTTGATGTGACAACCTTCAACCAAAGGCTGAGCTTTTGTTATTAAAAAAAAAAAAAAAAAAAAACTGGGCCTAATGATTGCAGCAAACAGCGTTGGGATTTTATTGATGTACTCTATGTGACTGTGACAGTGTTGACATGAAATCAAATTCAATTAGCAGGGGCTTGCTAATGACTTACACTGCTTCAAAAACTCACAAGGACAAAGCACTTGGCCAGAAATCTCCCGGCTACTGTCTGGTTTCCAACTCCTTTTGGTTGCTTCTCAGAGCAATAACCAACTGCCAGATTGTCTCCATAGATTAATGTTAAAGAACTTCACTAATGAAACTCTTGACAACATCTGTGTGTGATGAGAGGGAAAGGGTAGGGAAGGGAGACGGAATTTCTGTCCTCAGGTGCTCTTGAAGCAATTTCTAAAACCACTGTGGAGCACATCGAAAGAAACAGCAACTGTGTCTCTGGAGGATAACTTGGCTGGACAGGGTATCAAAGCTGCAAGGGGAAATAAGGTCTGTGGTCAGGATAGGGTTTCAGTAAGGCTAGAGGCACCCTCTCGGAATGCGTGGGAGGCCAGGCCATTATCTGAGCAGTATTTTAAAGGAACAGAGGCGCCATTATGATGCCTGCATCAACCCAGCAAGATGAAGATGATGTCCGTTCTAGATTTCCACAGCTTTTATTGACGGCCTCCTCATTGTGTCTTTCCTGATTGTCTGGCAGTCTCATTATCATACCCACTCCTTCCCCTGAAAAGGAGCAGGAACAGCTTTGACTCACACATACAACTCCCACTACCTGATTAGCAAACAGATCCAGCCCTGAGTCAGTTTCAGGGGTCCTCCGTAAATACAATGTCAAGTAAATAAAGTATGATCTTAATTGACAGAAAGTTTACGAGGGGAAATAAGCCAGTATTCTGCTGTGTTGTTATATCACTTTAACACTTCAAGATGGTTTACTTCAATGTTTATCCTCAAATTACCTTCTCCATTTTACCTCACAGATATTTTCCCTTAATATTTCTTTCTTTATTAATTTAAATATGCTGTTAACAACAATTGCATAAATAGTAGCATTAAGGAGCTCTAAAAAATAAATAAATAAAGCATGGAATCTGGTAAAAACATGGCTATTTGTGTGTCTTTAGGCCTTCACCACCATCCACATTATAGTGCAACCAGATTATTGTAAAACAACAAAACCTCAGAGTCAGAATTGGGCACAGACTCCAACCTTTTGGGATCTCCCGTAACTTGTAGGTAAATTGACCATGTAACCCTGCAACCTGAAAACATCATTAAAAAGCCATAAACTAGTCATACGATTGAGAATCCAAGCCACTAGTGATATGATTTTCACAAGCAAGAAGAAATCTTAAAATTCTAGTGACTTCTGAGATTATAAAGAAAGAGGAAAAGACAGAAAGCAACACCTCAGGAAGGAGTTTTAACACGAAGGAGAGCCTCTTCCTATCGTCAGTCCCAATCACACTGCTCAGTGGTAAGCTAAGCGTATATGGGACTGAAACTTAGCACTGATGGGGGCCAAAAGAGTATTGCATACCAGGAATATAGAAGTAAATAACTATAAGAAATTGAAGTTACATAAAGTGTGTCCTAAACCCTTGAAAAACTGCTTGAGCCATGTTAACAATGAGTACGGACACCTTAAATACCTGGACTGATACAAAAAAGGTAGACTGTGCCTCTCTCAGTAACAACTGCAAGACTATCGTTTTATGCCCAGACGTGTAACAAATCACATTGTTTACTCTTTAAAATTACCCGGTATTACTCTTCTCATTTTACAAACAAGGAAACTGAGTCTCAACCTCCTTGATGGCTCCAGAATTGCTCAGGAAAATGTCCACTCGTTGGAGACAGTCCCAGGACAAAGGGAAGATGGAGGACCTGCAGGGCTTTGCATTTGCTTAGCAGTCACCCTCTTTTCACCCAAGTCGATTGTTTATTTGACATGACTTAACACTGCCATTCTCTTCACCTGAGCACTTCAGAAACTTTTCTGAAGCCCCCTGAGCAGTACAGGAAGTGGTAGAGCGAGAATGATTTGTATTCACCTGCCTGACAGGAAAGCCTGTGTTTTTATGGATCACCTGCAAAACTTTCTAACTTTCATTTACTATTATTATCTTCCAGGACAAATGGATATGCCTGGACACTCACCAAGAAATAGGCTAATTATTTCAAAAGGCCCAATTGTTAAAAAAAATCTGACTACTAGAGCTCACAAGGCAGTTGACACAGAAAAATGTTGTTCAGTTTCCTGTATAAGTTAGAGATCTGCCTCCTAAAATCTTGCATAGATTAAAAGTCAGAAGAGGGAGGGATAAAAAGCAGTCTCCTTATACAGTGGTACAGGGAATATTAGACCCCACAGAGTAGGAAGGACAAATCAGACACAATATTATGAAGATCAAATGAGATAATGCATGTAAAAGCACTTTGTAAATGAAAAAGCCCTGTGAAATGTGAGCTGGTGTTATTATTAATATTATCACGCAGGATTTCTTTGCCTCCTTCTTAATAAAATAATGGTCTTCTTCAAGGTCCCTCGAAGCCAAACCAAAGGAGTGTGTTTCCAGAGAAATGAAAAGTAAAGGTAATTGTGGATGTTCAATAAATATTAAACAGCCTCGCTGTTTGTGGGAAGCTTCAAGTACATGATTAAGTTGCAGGTGATAGTAAAGGAAACCAGCATGATCTTTAATTATAAAATACTTGTTAGGTTTGATTCCAGTAAAATGCAATTACCTTGAGACTTCTGGTAATATCTCACAAGAGGCTATGTTCTCAAGATGAAAGCTTTTGTGGATGCATGTTAGACTCCATTGTTTGGGACCATGTACACCCATCCTGGCTCCTGTCTGTAACAGCTAATCACCATTAACTGGACGAGCCTTGCAGGAATTCCCAGTTGTATGCCAGCCATTCTGTGGCCTGCCTTGAAGTATGGAAACATCACAGAAGTGGGAATAAGGGCAACAGTGGCAGACCACAGCATTAGCTAGGCTTAGGGAGAAAGAGAAGGGAATTCAAGATTTCATAGGGGACAAAAGAGGGCCCAGTAGGAGGGAGAAAATGGAATTGTCCTTGTACATGTCATGATGATTATAATGCAAACAATTTTTTTTAAGACTAGCAGGGAAACCTCTGGATTTCATTTTGGAAAAGTATCCATCAATCTGTATAGCTTCATTTTAAAATGAAATTTTTAATCAGTGTATATTTTTTGAACCCGCCTGGGAAAGCAATTGGTGGGCTTAGAAAATGTTATTTTGAAAGCCTTTTTTAGTTTCGTGCTGGTAGGGTTCCAAAAGCCTTTTTTAAAGAACATTCTTATATAATAATGATAGCTAACACTTAACTAGTGGGTACTACATGCCATGTACCAGCAAGTGCTTTATGTATGTTAACTCTGTCAATACTCATAATGAACCCATGGGGAAACCGTGGCAGTAATGCTCATTCATTTGTCTACAGTCACACAGCCTGTAAGAGGAGAATCCAGTTTTCATGTCCAGGCAGTCTGGATGCAGAAATAATGCTCTACCCCGTCAACATTGCCTCCAAGGCCAGTGCTCTAGAGGTTTCAAGTGTATGTAGGTTACAAGAAAGACTGCATGTGTGTGTCTATGTATTCTGCTGAAGGGAGATGCTTAAGATGAAAATGTTTACCCATTAAAAACTATGTTGCTTATCTTCTTACACACTGAAGCAATTGAATTTTGCTGGGTTTTTTTTCTCTCTATGTTCATCAGTTTCTTCTTGTACAATCAGTTCTATGAATTGGACTTAGTTTCTTCACTAATGTCAAAATCGTTCTGTAAAAGAGTCCTATCCTCCTTTTAAGAATGATCTTGGTGTCTTTCCTTTGGCTTCCAAATTATTACTACTTTAAATTATAGTCAAGGGCTTTAATGCAGGGTTACCATGATTCTACTTTTAGGCATCTACTTAGTTTCCTTTGCTCTTCCTCACCCTAAATTTGCTCTAGGGAGCACTGTCAGGCATCACAGTACATGACTCTTCAAATGGAAAGTACCTGTCAGTAAGCAAAATAGTGTGTATATTTCTATTTGGAAGAAACTGTGAGCTATGGGCATGCAATTGCAAGGTGAATGATAGATGGCTCCAAAACCAAGAGCAAAACACTTCCTGAGAGAAAGTTAGCAGAAGGTGACACCCATTATGGATGCAAAGTGAAATGGGGCAGAGACACCAAAACCAAATAAGCGGGTTTGCCCCAGCTCTTTTACTTTCCAGTTATTTAGCCTCACTGATCCTCAGATTCCCACCCTATAAAATGGAGGCAAAAACATTGGCTCTGTAGGTTTATTATGAGAAATAAATGAAAACCTGTATAAAATGCCTGACACACTGACAGATGAGTTATGGTGCCAAGTAGTAATTGCTTTTGTTCAATTTGGTTTCTTAACTAAAAGGAACCTTGTGACCCTCCTTGAGACTGTCTCCACAGTTCTCGGGCCCCAACTCAAAGAATCCTAAGTATTAGCAGAACTGAAAGAAATCTCAAAATATTATGTAGCCTAACTGGATAAAGTATTAATCCCTACCCACCCTCCCATTTTACAGATCAGGAAACTGAGGACCTGAGAAGGTAAGTGGCTTGCTCAAGGTCATACAGGAGCAAATGAGGAAGATAAACTTGGGACTAAACACTGCCTCCTTATTGGGCATTTTTCACTATGCTTGCTGTTTTTCTTTGTACTAAAAGTCTTAGGACAGTAGGGGTCATCCAAGAGCAATCCTCTCTAAATTTTTAGTGTTTCCAATCACCAAGATCATATGATAAAAACAGGGGTCTAGAAAGGGGACAAGATACTGATTATATTAGGTCGTTAATGGCTCATGTGAGAAAGAAAGCAGTAAATGTTTATTGAGAGCATTATGAAGATCCAAACTGAACATCTTTCTAGAGATGGTCCTATTGCCACATTATTTGGTTGAGTAAAGTATGTTTAGGTTTAGGGAATGAAGGACTTTGGGAAGTCAAAGACAACCGTGTAAAAACACCAATGACATGCAATTTACCCATGTAACAAACCTGCACATGTACCTTCTGAACCTAAAATTAAAAATGGAAGACAAAAAATTAATAAAATTTAAAAAGACGACCAAGTGATACAGTTGTCTTATCAAATGAATTCTTTAAATTGTGACATGAAATGCTGTAAAAGATATTTTATTTTGAATTGTAAAGGTTTATTTGGAGTAGAAGATCCTTTTTAAGGATACCTTATTAATACCATATACCACAAGTGTAGTTAAAATGGTACAAGACTTTAGTCTTCGGCACTGTTTCTATATGAAGTATATTCTGGTTAACTCACTACTGGGGTTCTATCTTTCCTCCCAAGGCCACCCAAGTCATTTGCACAAGTTCTGATTGCCAGTCAGGTACTCTGCTGGTTGGTATGTTTCAGCATGTCCTCATCCTTTGTCCTCTGCCTGTCCTGCTGTACTCCAGCTCACCAATCAGCAATTATCTGCAAGTGAAAAGAGAGGACTCACTGACCTTGATTTTATATATATGAGTAGATGAATGTCTCTTCCCAACGAACTAGTGTTTATACTCTATTAATCCTATGTATGAAGATTTTTAGTTGAACATTAAATTATATTTTTGAGATTTTCTAATGTTTATTCCATTGTTTCCTCATCTAGACTAATAAGCAACAATTTATATTTAGTAAATAATATTTAGTCTTATAAGAAGCATCCCATTTCATAGGACTTTCAGCAAGTCAAGCAAATGAACATAGAATTTTAAACTAAATAGATATTAAGTGCTGGACAGTAGCAAAACTACTGTTTTATTACTTATTAAACACAATTAATTAATTAAACACATTAATTAATGATTTACACATTGCAAAGTGTACTTTCACAGTTTTATATTTCTTTCTTTTTTTTCTATTTGTCTGTTTTAAGTTGCTGGCAGCATCTTTGAGCATTTTAAACAGGCTGAATTCCCAAAGGCTTTCCTCCTGGACAACAGAATTAAATGAATTCTGAGGGGTGGGTCAGTTTTTTTTCTCCTGGTTTTGTTAAAAGCTACAATGTTGCAATACACAAAAGTTGGGTTGACACAAGATTAAAATATTGATGGTTAACAAAGCTTCTGGATAACGAGCTTATTTGCCTAAGAATGTAAATTGCAAACCTGAACTTGAGAAACCCTTTCATTGACTTTTCCTATCATATCACACTCACCACAATAGAAGGGAGTAACATATAAAGCCCCAGCAATACGAAATGGAAAATACCAGATTTTTATTTCAATTGGTACCACTCAGCCTTGGCTCTCATCTGTCAGTGGACAGAGTTTCTTTCTGGGAAGCCTTATCTGACCACAGAACATTGCGAGAGCAAGAGCGGTGTTTCAGAGCTTAAAGAGTTTTACAGTAGTTCCCTCTTATCCACGGTTTCGCCTTCAGCAATTTCAATTATATGCAGTTAACTATAGTCTGAAAATATTAAGATATTTTGAGAGAGAGATAAACCACATTCATATAACTTTTTACAGTATGTTGTTATAATTGTTCTATTTTATTATTGTTGTTTATTATTATTGTGCCTAATTTTTAAATTAAACTATCATAGGTAGGTATGTATAGGAAAAAACATGGCATTTAGAAGGTTTGGTGCTATCTGTGGTTTCAGGCATCCACTAGGGGTTTAAGACCATATCCCGTTTGAATAAGTGGTGACGACCGTATTTAGCAGGAGTAAAATTTGGAAAGGCACAGACATAATATACCTCAACAAGAGTGTAAGTGGAGGGATGAGGAAGTCATCAGCCAGTGTAAAATAAACTTCCCTGTGACACAGAGAATCTCCAAAATATGTATAAAATACAGTTGAATGTTTTTCTATGGTAATTTGCTAACCCAATGTTACCTTTTGCCAAGATTTGCATGGATACTCAAGAAAGTGAAATTATTCTAATAGATCTTGTTCCTTGATTGGGATCCAGAATCATCTTTCCATGAGATACTGCCTAGCAAACCGTGTAAGACCAAGACAAGAGTAAAGTCTCATTGGTACACTAATTGATGGTGGCTAATGGGAAGATTAGAGAGACTACCACTTCTCATTTGTCACTGCAGTGCCCCAAAAATAATTCTATAATGATTTTTTTAGGAATATACTTTTTTTCTGAAAGGAATTAAGGCCATCAAAATATGTTCATCAGGGATAGTAAATCAGTTAGTTGCATTTTCCTTAAACTGCTGATCCCAACCAATTCACAGAAATCAGCCCAAACAGGTGATAAGAAAACTCGCTAGCCAATGTTTTATAGTGATGTCATCTTACCTTGGGGTAGCCACTGAAATAAACTGTGCCTCAGTTACTTTGACTGTATAATGGGAATGTTTATAACAGCAAAAGTAGTAAGACAAAAATTTCTCTAGAAAGTCCACAAATAAATAAGGGGAAGTCATAGCTCTTTCAGAATCAAATACTCCATTGAATCTCCAGACGTGAATGAAGTTTTGCCCCACCCAGCTGTGGGGAGGAGCCAGAATTTCAGATGGGGATGCAGTCCAATTTCTTCCCTCTACATTAAGGGCTTATTCCTGAGTAGTCTCTGAACTTGGTAGCACAGAATCACAGACATCTTACATAATTTCTCTGTGTCCCTAAGTTGAAATAAGAATGTATTTACTAGCTTCTTCCCTCATGAAAATTCACCAGGCCCTTAAGAACCTCAACCCTTTAAACCTTCTTAAAGGTCCTAAGCCCCAGAGAAAAGTCTCCGTGCAATCTCAGAGACCAAAAAAATGCACCTATGACATATAAAACAGATAGTGGTAAAAGGTTAGGAAAAGATCTACTCTTTCTTGAGCTGTAAACAAACATTCTCCATGTGCTCTACTGCTACATCAGCTGACTAATAAACTAAGACCAGTTTCAGGGGGAAAATGGGGAAGAGATCATTTACTAAGGAAACCAGGTTTGTTTTGTTTTTCATCTCTTATCCCAGGAACTTAAGACCAAAGGAAGTCTTCTATTAACAAGTGAGGTTTGCCAGAAATGAATTGATTGCCTTCACAACCTCACCACACTTTTGGAAGGTGTCTCCACCTGCTTGAGCAGGAAAAGTTTGCAGACCTCAAACCAAAATACAAAGGAGCAAGAGATATTAGCCATAAAATGTGAGCCTAAATCTTCCTCTTTAAATCTTCTACTCTCCCTACAAAAGTCGGGAGATCTGCATCACTCTATTCAGAGGTTCTGGTCTGCAATGAAATTCTCTCTTAATAAACTGATTCCCCCCTGAGAACCAAGCATCATTTGATATTGAATTCATGAGTGCAAGTAGGCATGAGAACACAGGGCATTCCTCTGATGGATTATTACATTATATATTTTATGCCACAATTTCTATAGGGCTTCAGAAACTCAAAGGTGCCTGCTATGTGCTTTATACATGTGTAGATGATTATTTTACATTCTAAAAAATAGCATTGCTATTTTAGCTCTTAAAGTCTATACTCATGAAGTGAAATGAAGAATTTTCATCTGTATCAATCAGTTCAAAGAAAAATCAGATTCCTTGGGTTTGTGGTGACAGTATAAATATTCTATCATCTATTCAGTGTCTATTTATATCTCTTCTTGAAGTTAGCAGCATGGATGAAATAGTGCATTCTGTCAGGAGAAGTAACACTCAAAATGGCATTGTGCTTTAAGTGGAGTGGGAAAATTATAAGACTACACAAGTTTATAACCATACTTAGTTGTTTAGGCCATGATATTAATAAGACCAAGATTTAGGATTGAAATTATGAGCCAGTAAACCATTCTAGGGTAACTGACTTCCTACCTTTCTCGATTATGAATTTCCAGCTGGCTTTTCCTATGTGTACAATAAAGAACTAGTCAAGAGGGCAAATGGGCCAGTGGAAGATTTCTCCCATATTAGAAAAATGGCTCAGAGCCCATGCCCTAGGAATGGCAGATAAGGAATGTGATTGTTACTCAAAAATGTGAGCAAATTATTAAATTGAAGAGAACCTTACAGAGGTTACAAACTGGCAGACTGCATGCCAAATACCCTTCACAGTGTTGTTTTGTTTGGCCCTTGCAGTATCCTTAAAACACTAGGATTAGTTACCAACATTACAAGATTGGAAGATGTCACACAAAAATCTGGGTGGCCCTCTGAGTCTGCATTCTTGCTTAGCAACAATCAGCTGGATCTGAGCAGCCACTGCTCCTCTGGACAGAGCAGGTACTTACTAGTTCACCTCAGCCCCCTCACCCTGCCGTCTTGTGCCCATCTCCCTTCAACTGTGTCTATTATCTACCCAAGCCTCAGAAGGCATATTAGCTTGCAACTTCCTAAAGATCCTGTATGCATGAGATAAACAGTAGTAGGATCTGAGTAGTGTATCTTGCAAAATAAAAAAGATTCACTTTTTGGTAGGTGTCAAAATTTTCTTTGTAGGAGGGATAGAAAAGTGAGAGCTGCTAAATGTTCAAGAGATGACCCAAGAGCTTCAACCTTCTCAGGTGTCTATATGGGATCATATGTCCTACAGGCCCTACTCATGAATAAGGCAACAATGTGGCACATGGACTGGGCCCCCATGTACACAAGTGGAAGGTTGGGGAATGCATATGTTGCTCCCTCTACCCACCCTCTTTCCCCAAAAGTCTGCAAGGCATACCACTTCAAGGACTGACACAAACCTACTTTTTAATCTAGGGCTCATGTAAGTGTTTCTTTTTACCAACTTACTATTGCCTCAGTAGATGGTTATAAAGCAGCAGCTAGACTAAAGAAGAACTGCCACGTACCCAGGCAGACAATTCCCAAAGCTGCACATGCCCCCAAGCACCTTCTCCGAACACCCAAACATTTCCCACAGAAACAATGGATCCATTTTCTGTAGACAGTCATGGTAATTCTGCAAAACAGATACTGCTTTACATCTCTTTTAAGGATGGTTTATATTTCCAAATATTTATTATATCCTGAATTTGGGTTACTAATTCTACAGGTAACCCAAATTAGGTTACTAATTTGTAACCTAATTTGGTTACAAATTAGGTAACCCAAATTAGGTTACTAATTCTACAGGTATTTGTTTGCCAAATGATTGTTTTGTCCAGGGAGCATTTTCAATCAAACAGATTTCCAAAAGTTACCCCCAGGTTGATGTTCTGTCAGTTGTAGAAGATGAACAGTTCAGACCACAAACCAGCTCTATCCATCCTTAGAACTCAGGCTGTAGTGAGGATATTGGCATATGGCTGAAGTATAGCATCTAAGGAGTAAATATTATTTAGCACTAACCCTCTCAACTTTTTTGAGATTCTCAAAGCTGAATCCAAATATGCTCAGTGTTAGTTCTGGTGGGCCGTCTACTAGTAAAAGATGTCTCTTCCCTCTATAAAGCAGAATTCAGCATTTGCCAGCCAGAAAATAAGCTCACTAGCAGACAGACTGAGCACTTTGATGGTGTTGCTCAAGCTTATGCAAATGTTGTCTTTGTGTAGAACGGGTACAAAAATGCAACTTTTTCTGTGAGATAACATTTCAGAGGACTTAGCTTGTGCTATCTGTCTGTGTGCCAGTCTTGACAGCCATAAACACTTTCTCTAACCTTGAGACTTTGGCTGGAGAAGCTGAGAATTAAAAAATATTAATATCATGAAATAGGCTATTACTGGTAGGCTCAGTGCAGCAAGTCATGCAGAATTTTATTGCTATTCCCTGTGCGGTCTTACCAATTATGTGGGTTTTGTTGTAGCTTTTTTAAATACCGCTATGTCATTACTGCGCATGTATAGATAGTATGATGGAGTGGTAGAGAGTTCCTTGGGAGCCAGTCTGTCTGGAGTTGTACTCGCTGCATAACCTTGGGCAAAATATTTATCCTCTCTATGCCTCTCAGTTTTCTTATGCAAAATGGGTATTATGATAGCATAATTACTTATAGGGTTGTTGTGAAGATTAAATGAGATAATAGATAAAACAGGACTTACTACAATGTTCAGCTTATAGTCAGTACTCATTTAAATGTTAGTTTCTTATTATTTCTGCAGGAAGTGTGGTATGCTTGGTTCTAAAGAGCAGTCTGGGACTTTCACCATGCCGTTTATTGCATCAGAAAGGTTATCTGTTGGTTCTCAGAGCCCAGAGTCTACTGATCTTCATTTCAGCCCAGTATCACAGAGGACAGAAAGCCATTAATGGAACACACCCAGCAAGACTTTAGTTTATTCTATTTGAAGTCATTGTTTGTTGGTATTGGAAATACATCATTGGTAATGGAGATAGTGGCTACTGTCATAGACCCTCAGACTCATGGAGCTATAGGAAAAAGGGAGGCAGGAGCCACAGAATGAGTCTGGGAGCTGCCTTTAGAGTGGATAGCCAGTTATGCTAATGAAAGCTTCTGGCACTAGGACTGGCTATCAATGGATGGGAAGTTGTGTTGTTGGATACAAAACAACGATGCAAAAACAAATGCTATGGAATGTGTTGAAAGTGATGATACACCCAGGGCTCAGGTGGACTGGGTCCCCATCCCCCGTCCAATCTCAGCCCTAATGCAGTGGTCCAGCCAGAGATCTTCAGGGTAATGGCAGAGCCACCCAACCTATACCCACACTAAGTATTGCCTTCAGACTAAATAACTATTATCTCAAATAGATAAATGCAGCCATTTTTCAAATGTGATGTTTTACTGAGTGCATCGATAGCATTTTATAATTGTTAATCCTCCCCATCAACAGCTTCCAAAAGTACGACTCAGGATGGGTCTGAAAACTTACCTGTTCCAAAGCAGGCCTTTTTATTCCAAATTTTGGGAACTACTCTCCCTAGCATAATCTCAAAATATATCAAGGACTGAAAGAGTAAAAATATATGAAAATACAAAAGCAAATGGAGTTCTCCAAAGGTTGAGTAACATATTCTATATAAAACCCCACACTTTTATTTTCTTTTAATGTAAGCAGGTGTCTGCTATCAGATTTTTCAACCAGGTCACAAATTATTCCGAAGTTGTCAAACTGAAAATGTAGTGCCTTTTGGTAATCTTGGTAAAGTCCTCTCCTCCTTCTGAATTCTGTGTTAGACAGAAGGCAGCTGATAGCTATAGTCTACCTTTTGCCTTGTCCTGACCATTAGATTATGAAGAACAGCCTCATTGGTACTATACCGTCAACTAGTCCCTTTTTTCTCCGCTATAAAAAGCTATTCACATGGTTTGTGCATATTACCACTCAATTCTAACCCTATGTAAGCTCATGAGCATTTAGATATTTTTTAAAAATCTACACAGCACTCTTTTCACAGGGGATATTTATTTATTTATTTATTTATTTATTGAGACGGATTCTCGCTCTGTCGCCCAGACTGGAGTGCAGTGGAGCGATCTCGGCTCACTGCAAGCTCCGCCTCCCGGGTTCACGCCATTCTCCTGCCTCAGCCTCCCGAGTAGCTGGGACTACAGGCGCGTGCCACCATGCCCGGCTAATTTTTTGTGTTTTTAGTAGAGACAGGGTTTCACCGTGTTAGCCAGGATGGTCTCAATCTCCTGACCTCGTGATCCGCCCGCCTCGACCTCCCAAAGTGCTGGGATTACAGGCATGAGCCACTGCGCCCAGCCTCACAGGACATATTTAAAGAGCATAAGATACTTATAAATTTACCAAAGTGTTAATGACCTACAGATGTTAATGGCATATAAAATCTAGAGTTAACAGATATATTGTAGAGAAGTGTATTTTGGGCCAGGTGCAGTCGCTCATGCCTGTAAACCCAGCACTTTGGGAGGCCAAAGCAGGTGGATCACTTGAGTCCAGGAGTTCAAGACCGGCCTTGGCAACATGGCAAAACCCTATCTCTACAAAATATACAAAAATTAGCCAGGCATGGTGGCACATCCCTGTAGTCCCAACAACTTGGGAGGCTGAGGCAGGAGAATCATTTGAGCCTGGGACATGGAGGTTGCAGTAAGCCTAGATGGTACCACTGCACTCCAGCCTGGGTGACAGAATGAGAACCTGTCTGAAAAGAAAAGAAAAAAGAGAGAAATATATTTTATTTATTTGTATTTGTATGGTTGTTTTGAAAACAATAAAATCGTATGCAAATGAGTACATATGTAATGTCCGTGTGTGTGTGTGTGTGTGTGTGTGTGTGTGTGTGTGTATTTTCAGATTATTTTATTCTGGGAATCATTGTTCCTACTTCTTATGCTACTCCACATGGACAAAGTTGGAATATTTTCTCTAAATGTGGCACATGTTTTTATTTGTGTTTTGCTCTGTATTTGAATGTAGAGTAGAACAGGGATTACCAGAGCATGTGCCAGTATCACTCAGGAGGTCAATGAGATTGAAGAAAGTTTTTAACTTTAGTTTAATCATACAATTAACAATGTAGCCTTCTCCTGTCCATGTCAATGTAGATGCATTGTTCAGTTTTTTTAACCTCATGCTCCATACTATGTCATATCTGATACCCAGTGAGCTCCTAACCAATCTGTCCACTCCCTTGGTACAGACATTAGCTGGTACTGCCTTACAGATCAGATTGTTTAACTTTGGATTTTAACTTTCTCCATCAACAAATTAAACAACTTCATCTAAACTGAGAGTAATACTATGAATGATATAAATACTTATGAATTAATAATGATCAAATAATTAAGGAGGTCCAGCCTAGTCAATCCACGGTGGTCTGAATCAACGGTTTCAGGATTTGAGCTTCCATTGGTCAGAGCTTTATTGCTCCCATCAGATAAGATTCATATTTTGTCTTTTCCTAACCGTCTCCCAGTGGAATATGCGAAATTCTTTATCAGAAGTTACTGTTATATGCAAACTTCTATCACCTCTAAAGATAAGAGGCATTGGATGGTTTTTATTTTGGGAACTATTTAAGAATTGCCAGACTCCACAGATTAACCTGGAATTTCCCTCTTGCCTATTTTATATATTGTTCTCTATGTTTTTCAGTCATAGCCTTACTGTCTCTTAAACTACCCCAAAACTTAGGAACCTGTAAAAACAAACATGTATTATTAATTGTGAGTCTGTGGGTCAACTGGGTGGTTCTTCTTGTCTGAGTCAGTTTAGCTGATCTCTGAGGTCAGCTGAGGACTCAGCTAGGGACGGATGATCCAGGATGGCCTTACCCACATGTTTGGGGTTGGGAGGATGGTTGGTCAAGGGAAGGGGGCCTCAGCTGGCATGACTTATCCTCCAGTAGGCTAGCCTGGGCTTTTTCACATGTGATCTTAGCATTCCAAAGAGCAACAAGTGATGGCAAGGCCCAATGTGTGCACACATGTCAATCTCTGCTACTCTCAGGATTGCTATTGTCCCATTGGCCAAAGTAAATCACATGGCCAATTTTAAAGGCAGAGTGGGAGGCACTACCGGAAAGTGTGGACACAGAGAAATGTGCAACATAGGGAGCCATTACTGCAATAATCTACCAGACTAAACTGGCATGAGTTTTGTCTGAAAAATCGTTCAAATATAAATGTGCATAATTTGTCACTAGATTTTGGTTATTGTTCCCCTTTCACACATGGCTCTTAGGTTATAGAATTCTATATTGCTCATAGGAGTTTTTTTAAACAGTAAGTTTTCTCTGCATTTAGAAGACAATTTTCAAAATATTTAATAAGGCAGGGAAATGGTGGCGAGAAGAGTAGACTAAATTTAAACAAGCATCCTTTTCCACCAGCATGATAGTGGGGCAAGCGTAATAATTAAGGCAAGTCTCTCACTCTCAGTGAGACTCAATTTCCTCGCCTGGAAATTGAAGGATTTGGGCTAAGCCTCCTTCTGACTCTAATATTCTTTAACTATAAGACATCTGGAATATGTAGAACAGTACAAAAAGTGAGGTTGTGGTTCAGTAAACATATGGATATACTGTCTTATGAGGAAAATATTGACTTTGACAAAGTCAGGTCAATGAATTTTGATGTTCGCCTTAAAAGAAGTCAATACCTATGTTTTTAATCTACACATAAAATAATGATTTTAAGAGCCAAAGCTATTGATGGAAATAAGTCTACCTCTCATCCTAATAAATGCCAATATATATGGTGTAATATTATTATAGATCATCATTCATTATGGTTGAGAATTCTTTGATTTAGAACAAGATATTATACTCTTAATTCATCATCCGGTTAACTTTTCTTCTGAAAGTAAGATAAAAACATTTCTCATTCTTTTTGGGCCATTAGTACATGAAATAGTATATTCATTACATAAGTACTGGAGCTTTTAAGCTATCAATGGAATCTTGTTTAGTCAGCTAAAGCACATGTATTACCTTTTTGTATGGGTACAAAGTGATTCAAAGCAAGATATCTTTTAATCCTCTGAGGAAAACAGTTGTATATTTTTCTCTGGCCTGCTTTCCATGTTAACATTTCTTATTTCATTCTGTTTTCCTGTGGACTTGGCTCTGACCATTAAGTGATGATTAAAAAAAAAAAATAAGAGACCCAAAAAGAAGTGAAGGCTTCATGTTCATGCTTAGGAAAATAATTATTGTAACCATAATTTTCCTTTAAAATGAAACATGATGTTAACATTCACAGCATAGTACAGGGAGGACTTATTGGATGTCCAATTACAGAGCACCTCAGAAACATCACTTGAAAATAATTGTCCATGTTTTAGGTCAGAATATTCCTTGGAATCATTTGTCCACAGTCAGAGTCAATCTAAGGATTTAGTAATTTTGCAAATAGACAGGAAAGACAGAAAGTGGAATTAAGGAAGTAGAGAGTTTCAATGTTTAAATGAAAGAATTTGTGGCCCTAAAAGAACAAAAAACTTTAAGTGTGTTCCTGTGTCTTTCTATTTCTTCCATTCCCGAAATATGACTACACAGGTTCCCACCTCTCTCCCCCAACACACAAACCATGGACCCAAATTTTCTCTTCTAACAGGGTCCCCATGAGTCAATGTTAAGAGCCCAGACCAGAACTGGATACAAAATCCTGGCTTCAACCTATGAGACAGTGGGCAAGTCACTTTGTAAACCTCGTTCTTAAAATGATACCAAGACTTATCTCATAGGACATTTATGAGAATTTAAAATAATTTATTGTACAGATGCGGCTAGTAAAGTGCCTAAGACTCAATAAATATTAGTTTTCTTTTTCACACTTAGATGCTTCATTTCCACATTCATGTAAACAAAATTTAAAAAGAAAAGAAAAAAGCACAGGATGAGTGTCACTGGGGGTGCCCTCGCATGAACCCCACGCTCGCCTCCCCCAGGGACTTTCTGGCCTCGCTTGTTCTGTACTCCACCCAAACCACAAGCATCAGGTCTTCCTCAGGGAAGTCCTTTCTAACCACAGACACCAGGTTGGGTCTCCAGTTATACATGCCCTACTCTTTGCCACAATTTGCACACTGCTATTAATTAATTTATTATAGTTAGTGGCTTTCTGTGGTGGATAAGAACATAGACTTTGGTGTCAGACTACTTAAAATCAAATTCCACCTCCTCCATTCACTACCTGTGTGACCTTGGGTAAGTTACTTAATATTTACCTGCACTTCAGTTTTCTCATCTGTAACATGTGGATAACAGTATTACCTACCTCAATGAGGCAATGTATAGAAAGTATTTAAAATCCTGCTGGGCACATAGTAAGCTCTCAGTAGTAACAGTAGTAGTAGTAGTAGTAATAGTAATAGTAGCAGCAGCAGTGCTGGGAGTACTAAGACCTCTAGGAGTAGCAGTAATGTCTACTGGACTGAAATGCAGTCTTTTATTTACCACTCTATTCTCAGTGCCTAGGTTTGTGCCTGGTGCACAGTAAGCTCTCAGATACATTTGGTGACAGACTGATTGCTTTCAGATCAATTATGAGTCTTTGTAAAGTGTAGTAGAAATACTTTATTACTTATATAATCATCTGGGTTATAATCTAAGAGTTGTAGTGGTTAAAATGCTGTACCACGGTCTCAGTGTAAGTCCTGTTTCTGCCATGTACATATTGTGTGGCTTGAAGAAATTTACTAAGCCTCTCTAATCTTCTGTTTCCTCACCTGTACATGAAATCATCATGAGGATTGAATAAGATAATCCATATAAAATGCCAAGCAGGTTGAGTTGCACACAGCGAGCTCTTTCCACGATGTGCTGTCATGTCAAGTGAGACCTCTGGTCCAGCCAGCTAGGGGTTCTGTCTGGACCTCACAAGGCCCCAAGGGGGATTTTAGATTTTGCAGACATACATCGTTGCCCTTTAGGAGATATTTGTATTTTCACTTCAAAAATCTTCCTAATCTGTTTTTTTGTTTTGTTTTGTTTTGTTTTGTTTTATTTTGTTTTTGAGACAGAGTCTCGTTCTGTCACCTTGGCTGGAGTGCAGTGCAGTGGTGCAATCTTGGCTCACTGCAACCTCTGCCTCCGGATTCAAGCAATTCCTCTCCCTCAGCCCCCCACGTAGCTGGGACTACAGGCGCATGCCACCAGGCCCAGCTAACTTTTTGTATTTTTAGTACAGGTGGGGTTTCACCATGTTAACCAGGATAGTCCCGATCTCCTGACCTCGTGATCCACCCACATCAGCCTCCCAAAGTGCTGGGATTACAGGCGTGAGCCACCGTGTCCAGCCAAATTGGTTATTTTAAAAGAAGTTTCAGAGCCAGCTGAATAGAATGAAAAGAGGTAACGATGAAGATCCCTTCTTCCAAGCATTAGAAAGCACTAAAATTTCTAGTTGAGTTTTTGTAAAAAGGACCTTAGTGTAGACTGAACTTCTAAAATTCAACTAGCTTTACGTCACCTTTTAAAAATGGCCCCAATCTAGAATTGGGACCATGATATCCTATGCATATGAATGAACCGCTTTCCACTGTGTGAATCAGTGTCTATTCAGCAGGCAAAACATCATGGTCTCCTCATTAACTCCCTTTTTAAGATGCAGTCCCTTAGCTTTAAAAACATTTTAGGAGAACACAAAAGTTACACACACTGTAGTTACAAAGAAAAGAAAACTCCAGATTTATGGCAAGTAATCTAAATAAAACAAAGCCATAAACACTCTAATTTAATGTGGATAGCTGATACTACGTGGACATAGATCATAAAATCCTGGAGACTAGTCTGATTATTTATTTTACTGCCCTAGTGTGATATGATTGAGATAATAAGTAGATGCTTTCATGGAATTTGAAATTGTTTTTCCCATAAAACATGTTTTTCTTAAAGCTGGATTTACCTAAATTCACTGACAGCTGGAAGCCAAATGTATTCACACTAAATTGTTTATATCACAGGGATTCCAGTAGATAGATTAAATATGTTTTATTTATTAATGTACAACAAGTAGAAGAGACCCTGGCTTTCATATTTTACCAAACATTTTTCACATTATTTCTAAAGTTTAGAATGCTACTGAAATGTTATATGGGGAGTGTGTGCGTGTGCATGTGCCTGTGTGTGCATGTTCATGTGTGAGAGTGAGAGAGAGAGAGACAGAGAGAGAGAGAGAGAGGATGATTGCTTGTTTTGACAATGTGCCATTTTTATGGACTGCTTTTTCTTTTTGGTTTCGCAAAATAGGAAGTAGATGACTGTTTACAATGGCCCAAATTTTGATAGTTCAGAAACTGACCATAGCCATCCATACTCACTTGGATCTCCTTGGAACCCTCAATCCCCTGCTTCAGGATTCTCACATCCCTAGAAAATAAACAATGGGAATGCAGGACTTCAGGAATGATAAGACAAGAGTTTACTTTCTTGCTAGAGAAAGTGTAGTACCTAGAGTGGAAGGATTTATTAAAAATTCAAATTATCAGGCCCCATCTCATACCTACTGAACCAGAATCTTATAAAAATCACTTATAAAAGTGATTTTTACATACATTAAGTGGGGAAGCACTGCCCTGGGAGATTTCTCACATGGTTGACCACCAAGTACTTTGGAATATCGCCATGGCGTGGCTATAGAACTGGATAATAAGAAAGAACCAAGGGCATAGAGAAACTCTTCTTTTACCACCCATTGCCTCGAAATAGTTGACTTACATGCTGATGGGGAGAAGAGTACTTCAGAGAGAAAAACAAGTACTACCTGTACATGATCTGAAGAGCCAGACCCAAATGGCTAGTAATGGTCAGCAACATGTCTCAAAACCTGCAGTGGGTGATGAGGAGGTACTGGGACTCTATCAAGAACATTCCAAAAGCTGATGAGAATCACAGGTACTATCAAAATTTGGGCCATTGTAAACAGTCATCTTCTTCCTATTTTGCAAAACCAAAAAGAAAAAACAGTCCATAGAAATGGCACATTGTCAAAACAAGCAATTATCCTCTCTTTCAATCTCTCTCTCTCTCTCTCTCACTCTCACACACACACATGAACATGCACACACATGCACATGCACACGCACACACACGCACTATTCAGGGGTGAGGAGAGCTAGGGGAAGCTGTCAGAAGGCCTGCGAGGAGCTTTCTGAACCTTAGGAAAGTCTTCCTTGTATCCATAGACCGTTTCTTGGGCTGATGAGAATCACAGCAGCTTTCTACTCAAGGTATCTTCAGGTACAGCCCTTTGTCCATCCATTACTGAAACATCTAGTGATGTCTTCCCCAGATACATACCATAAGTTTTGCTTAATTCAACTCAACAAATTGTTACTGATTGCAAGTCAGGCACCAAAACCATGACTTGATTAAAACAGAAGAGGAAGAGGCCGGGCGCGGTGGCACACACCTATAATCCCAGCACTTTGGGAGGCCAAGGCGGGTGGATCACTTGAAGTCAGGAGTTCGAGACCATCCTGACCAACATGGTGAAACCCTGTCTCTACTAAAAATACAAAATTAGCCAGGCACAGTGGTGTACGCCTATAATCCCAGCTACTTGGGAGGCTGAGGAATGAGAATCTCTTGAACCTGGGAGGTGGAGGTTGCAGTAAGCCGAGATCACACCGTTGCACTCCAGCCTGGGCAACAAGAGCTCAAACTCCATCTAAAAAAAAAAAAAAAAAACAAAAGAGGAAGAAGAACTTCTAAATAACCAAAATAGGTAGCAAAGTTCATTCCTAAAGCTTATCACTCTTCCATGATGTAAAATCAGGCTGGGCCTATGCTGAGTCTATTTTTATTTTTCCATTTTATTCTACATTACACATAATTCCAGCAAGCTTGGTTATCTGCTTTCCAAGTCCTCCATAAGAAGGGGTGAATTGGAGTCAATGGAAAAGAAGGGACAGGACAGTGAACAATGTTGCTGCAGGAAAATGCACTAATCCAGCCAGAAGAGCAATAGATTCTCAGCAAACAGAGGAACAGAGACCTACAAATAGAAGACACAAGAGCTTATAAAGCATGGCCATCTGGTGCCATTTTTGTGTAAACACCAACATTTCTACATACCTCAAAAGACCTAGGTCTTGATATAGTACATCAGTGCAATGGGTTCTGAAAAGGGAGCTGAGTCTTCACAAAAAGTTAACTCATATTCAGAATACTATAATCAGAAAAAATAAAAATTATGTAATATATTTTAGAAAGCGCTCCATGCAAAGAGCCTCCAGTAGAAAAATAATGGTGCTTGAAATAGCAACCACAGTATTTTTGGGGAATTTGCAAAGGCTCCATCTATAAAATTCTGGATGGCTGAGACTTCAGTATGTTTTTATAAGAATAAAACTTACTTAGCATAATGTCAATTGACTGAAATAAGGAACATTTACCCTGATGAGCCCTGAGTTATCCATATGCCTTTTGCACGAGTGAGACCTTTGCATTATCTGCATCAGCTGTGCATGTATGAACACTGCATAGCACTGCCCATGATGCATCCAAGGACTCACAGCTGTCAGCACACCCCTCTCATACTTCAACCCAAATTTTCAGGTCCTCGATGGTTATTTCAATCAAACCTTATGGAAGCTCCAAACAAAAGACCCACAATCCTTATTTGCCTACTCCTTAAGACATATTCAAAACTGGGGCTATCTGCATACAAAATATCATGAAAATCATATATAAAATCTATATGTAGTATATATGTTGATGTAGTATACTTAATACAATTTTTATATCATCACATTCATATATATGAGACAGAGAGAGAAAAAAGCAGAAAGTTGGGAATATGCATAGGGAAAGTTCATAAAAATATATTCTAAACTCTTAACAGTGATTGTTTTCTGGGAAATAGTATTACTTGCAGTTTTACTTTCTTCTTTACATCTCTGGCTGCAGTCTATAAAGTTTTTGTAAAGAACACACACATGCACACAAACACACATATAAAATTCCACTATTTTCATTTGAGAGGAAAAGAAGAAAGAAAAAGAGAAAAAGGAAGGAAAGAGGGAGGGAGGGAAGCTGCTTGATTGATATCCCAATTTTCATCTATCCTGTAAGTTCCCATTCATCTTTCTCTACACCAGGATATCCTCCCCTTTTTATGTGTATGTGACTTCCCTGTCTGTGCCATTGATTATTCTACACATCCAGTCCCTGAGGGTGTCCCTTTTTAGTGGATGATAAAACCCAGGCCCTAAGGATGAAAACCATCCTGAAGCCATAAATCCAGCCCTGGACACAGCCAAAAACTGGGGACCCTTCACCAGTTGAGTCACTGTCCCAGAAACATAAGGTATGCTGTGACCTTCTGCTTCAGTTCCATAATGCAGTCAGGTTATCTTCCTATTCAGAAACATGCCTACAAACCGAGACCAATCTTTGGCTCAGAATGATGATCATCCTGTCAATGGTTAGTACACATTAGGACAGGCAGTAGAAAGTGACAACTTTGGAAATAGGCTTGCTGTCATTCAAGAAGCCTTCCCTGAAGCTCATGGCTCACCAAAAGTAAGCAGAGCTTAAGTAACCTAACAAAGCAGTCTTACTTTATTCACTCCTGACCATGCCCTTTCTTTGTATGCTGTTCAAGACTAAACAGTATAAAACAAGATTGACATTATGTAATTACTTGCCTTTTACACTGTGCTAACTTAATTTGCTTTTCATTCTCAAGTATTTAAGAAACCATTACTTTCCCATCAGACTTTACTGTCTGCCAATTAAAGCATTAGATCGATGAGGTGGAGAGAGCACAGTGTTTGGCAAGATTTCAGGTGGAGCAATTGAAAACAACAGCTTTGTATCCCTTTCCTTTTGTCAAAGACAGAATTGTTTTGCCGGTTTACCACTTTCTGTGTCACCCTCTGTTCATCCTATGTTGTTTTTTGGTTCCATTTGCAAGTAAGGATGGTCTAGCCATCGTCTAAGATTTACAACTAAATACAAACTAAATTTCCTCTCTATGGGAAGAGTAGGTGGGTGAGGATCAGGTTGAGGAGCTGGAGTTTTTTGGGGTCACGTTTACTCTATTGGGGGCACCTAAATTACCAAGCACGTTGCGTTGGGCTCCTCAGATGTCCCACAGAACTGTGCGGTCCCTCTGTCTTAGCTAGTAAATTTCTGCAGGAGCTACATCTCAGCTCTATAGAGCCCACTTCAATCTCATGATCAAATATGATTTGTGTCCAGGGAAACTCAGAGTTTGAGTTGGTTTAAGTAAGGCATGATGACCTGAACAAAAAATGCAAGTCACTTTTCTTCTAATTCACTCTTATTTTGAGTAATAAGAGCTGTAGCACTGAGGGCTTTCTATCTCATCCTCATCCCTTGAAATCCAGTCATTTTCTTTTTCTCTATGTCATTATGAAAACACCTGTACTTTAGAAGTACAGGAAATCATGGTAATTGCCCCCAAGAACAGCAGAGGGAAGAAGAGTCCAGGGCAAAGGTAGAGACATTCGTCAGCTCCAGAAAGCATTTTTTAGAAAAGAGAATTAACGAATAAAAAGGGTCACCATCAGCACAGTCAGATAGCCTCTGTCATTAAAAAATTAATAGACTTCCAGTTCTGATAACTCAGGGACCAGAGGATGAGAACACCTTGTGCAATCTCTAAATACAAAATATGATTATTGTGTGTCGTGGCCTCCTTGTGAGACTTCATGGTTCTACTGCTGACCTAGAAAAAGTAACTCCATGGGTCTTGATCAAACAATGGGCTACAGGTTGTTTTGGTTACCCTAATCCTGCATTTAGAACACACACTGATTCAGTGAGTCCATTTTTTTCTCCATTCTAAGAGAGTATCCCTGGAGAAGACAGCTGTTGCCTCACAGATTCTGCCTCAGACTTAACCCTGAGCTCACTCCAAGTTTGGATTGATGATTCCTCACTACAATTACTGAACCCATGCTTCCCCTGCTTATTGGTAAAAGAGGTTAATTAGATAGCCATTAACCACATGCAGCTCTCTAAATTTATATTTAAGCTAATTAAAATGAAAGAGAATTTACAACTTAGTTCCTCATTTGCACTAGCCACATTTCAAATGGTCAATGGTCATGTGGCTAGTGGCTACCATATTAGAGAGTGCAGATATAAAACATTTCCACTATCACAGAAAATTCTATCAGACAGCACTGCAGAATGAGAAGCTCTTGCTCTCTCGGCATCCCTTCATTCCCAGGGAAAGCCCTAGGGAAAATAAGACTTTTTTAGACCTACAGCAGTAGTTCTCAAAGATCACTGGGACCTACCCCAAGAGTTTCTAGCTCAGTCGGTCTGAAATTAGGTCCCAAGGATTTGCATTTCCTTCAAGCTCCCAGGTGATGCAGCTGCTTCCATAGGAGACTACGTTTTGAGAATCACTGCTCTATAGGAAGTAGGAGCAATACCAGATCATTGGTAACTGGTACATCTGAAAAATGAATTAGGATACCCAAGTTTTAGTCTCAATTCAGTCAAAACTCATTTGTTGAGTTTCTCCTTTAAGCCAAGCACCAGGCTGCAAATATCAAGTCTTGGCTCTATAACTGAAAAGGAACATTATGTAGAGAGGCACTGGCCAATACAGCAGCCACAGGGCCTCATGGGGCAAGTGAGCACTTGAAACATGCACAGAATAAATGAAATTTTTAACATTATTAAATTTAAATATCAAAGTGATTTAAAATATTTTCCATTAAGCATAACTATATCATTTTGGCAGAACTATGTTTCACTTGAATCTTTGAAAATTTAATGTTAAAAGAAATTGAGAAAATTCAAATGAAAACAAATTGAGATGTGGTCCAAATGTAAAACACATATTGGAAATATAGTATAAAAAAAAGAAGGTAAAATATCTCAATAATTTTATATTGGTGGCTGGGCATGGTGGCTCATGCCTGTAATCCCAGCACTTTGGGAGACCGAGGCGGGCAGATCACCTGAGATCAGGAGTTCGAGACCAGCCTGACCAACATGGAGAAACCCCGTCTCTACTAAAAATACAAAATTAGCTGGGCATGGGGGCAGGCGCCTGTAATCCCAGCTACTTGGGAGGCTGAGGCAGGAGAATCGCTTGAACCCGGGAGGCAGAGGTTGCGGTGAGCCGAGATCGCGCCATTGCACTCCAGCCTGGGTGACAACAGTGAAACTCTGTCTCAAAAAAAAAAAAATTATATTGGTTACATGCTGAAATGATAATATTTGATATACATTAGGTTAAATAAAATATATTAATGAAATTATTTTCAGCTGTTTTTGCTACATTTTTAATGTGGCTACTAGAAAAATTTGAATTCCATATATATTTTGCATTATATTTGTATTGGACTGTGCTGATCTGCAACTCGAACTCACTCTCTTGGCGTGTCAATTGCCCATCAACCGATTGGGGCCTGGGGTGTTGGAGGTGAAGAGCAGTAGATTAATGACCTCTAAGGCCACTTACATCTCTGAAAGTCTGTGATTCCTAGACAATCTACTAGGAGATCATCTTTTTTAGGTTCTGTTTTTCCTCCAAACACTGGGCAAAATCTACCATTTATTCCCCTGTGAAGATCCTAACAGCCCACTCTCGATCTGCAGTTCAGAGAAAAAGAGCAATCATAATTGAATCTCCTTAAGCTACAGAGCAGGTCAGCATGTTGGACCCACACACGCTTTTCCAACTGAGCTGTACTTTTTTAAATTTTTTTTTAAATTATATATTGACAAAGTATAGTTTATATTTGTATATATTTGTGGGTACAAAGTTGTGTTATGATTTCTAAATACAATGTGGAATATGATACTAATCCATAGTTTTGTGTTGAAAACATTAGAAATTTCCTCTTAGCAATATTGAAGTATACAGTACTCATTTATTAACCGTATTCAGCATGCTGTGCAATTGGTATAATAATAATCAGACTCATTCCTCCTATCTAATTGACTGTCCTGTTTAGTGTCACTACGACAGAATACCTGAGGCTGGGTGATTTATAAAGAAAAGAGGTTTATTTATTTCATGCCTCTGCAGGCTAGGAAATTCAAAGGTATGACCCTGGCTTCTGATGAGAGCTTTAATGATGTATCATAACAGCAGAGAAGGTCAAAGGAGGAGCAGACACATGCAAAGAGAGGACCAAACCAGAAGAGGAACCTTACTTTACAACAATCCTTTCCCTCATGAATACTCTATTCCCTCAATACCTTGTGAAATCTCTCTCACGACCATGAGAACAGCACCAAGACATGCATGAGGGAGCCACCTGCATAACCCGAACACCTCCCGCTAGACCACACCTCCTGACACTTTCACAGTGGAGATAAAATTTCAGCAAGAATTTTGGTGGTGACAAACTCAAACCATAGCAAAGAGGCTTTGTATCCTTTGACTAATATTTCCCCATTCTCCTCACACTTCACCCTTTGAACTGTACTTCTTAAACACATACCTATGGAATTAAGTAAAAATGGGCTTGTTTTTCTTGTGTATAGCAAGACATTGGACTCCCAACTCCAGTCTTTCCACCAGAAAAAAAAAAATGCCACGAATTGAAATGCTAACTATTATTCAATGGCCTCTAAGGTCAAAAATATGGAAGCTACTTCAATCAGAATGAGTAATATAGACACATTTAAAGAAATTAAAACAAGCCCACAGATTTTCTGACATTATGAGTGCTATCTACTATCTCCTTTCCTCTGCTGTCCCGGAAGAGCACTCAATCCCAGAGAATCCTAACTAATAGTAATACTAACAATAACATTCATTCTAGAGTTGAGTTGTATTTAGCATGGTCTTTTAAAAGGCTTTGTGAATGCTAAAATGTTTACAAAACTTTTAAAAATATAATATTTCAATATTCCAACCACATTGTAACCATGTAGCAATACATAATTAGCTACATTGAGGAGTAAGGTTCAATGACGTGCCCAAGGTCATAAGGCTGAGTCGTGGCAGGGCCAGAACTCTGACTCCATGCCCTGGCTGTTTTACTTGCCCCATACCTGGCCTTCTTCTGGGGTGCTAATGGCTGCCCCAGAATGGTGACTGAGCCAGATCATGGGACGAACTTTAAACATTTCAGAAATTCCAGTTATTTTAGAAACTACTAGCTGTGGAGCCACTAAGAACCAGGTAAGAAACTTGAGGACTAGCACTAGACAAATTATGAAGTTGAGATTTTTCTCTAGTGAATTTCTCCCTTTCCTTTTTATGCTGCCATCTCCTGCCCAGACTTATATCTACCTCTCAGATAATGAACACTTTACCAGACTTATAAGGACTAGTTTCCAATAATGACACTTAGGGCCGCTCTGGACATGTCCCTCTCCCCAGCTACATTAAAACTTACCCATCCTGTGTCTTCTTCACTTAGAGCTTAGCAATAAGCTCCAGACTTGTAAAAGACTAATTCACATTCAAGATTGCAGTATTTCTCCTAGAGGTGGTTTTATTCTTGAAAGTAATTCCTGGGTGAAGGCAATGTCTTAAAGGAATAAATGATCAAAAAATCTTGGACACTAGACAGACCAAAAATATTTTCAGACGTGATGGTGTCTTTAATCACATTATGAAAACATTTATTTATAGGTGAAGGTCATGTTCAAAGTGAATTAAATTAAACCTCTCCGTTCATCACTGAGGTGCTTTGGCCATCTTGCTGAAAGTTAATGAAGATGTAGAAAACTTCATGAAGTCCTTCTGAGGCAATTGGTGTTTCTGGGATCACTGATGGGCTGCACAGTCCATCACCCACAATTGTCATTTCAGATCTTCCTCTGAGCCACAGCTGGTCCCAACTTAAACTACTGAACTGAGTTTAGGGTCTCATGCTAGATTTGGTATAGTTTTCTTACTGAGATAGACTCAGATATCAAGATATTAAAATATTTCAAAGGTTTTAGAGTTAACAACATTAATATATTGAAATTTTTTCTTGAAGTATAAGTCCTATTTTATCAGTACATCTTCTACATTGATAATTAACTGTATCCTTTACCCAGTGAATATCTAAAATAATGTATAGTTTACCAAAATTATGGGAAATCTACAGACTACTTCTATCTAGGGTTGAGCAGATTTCCCTTTAAAATTATAATTCTGTTAGACTAATGCTTGATACAAAACACATAAGAGCCAAAAATTCATGTTAAGTGGCAGGTAAAAGGCAATCTGAGGTAAAATATGTTATTGTATTATAATATGAAGTTTTCAAGAGGCCATTGTTCACCTATTACATTAGCAATTACTATTTTTTAAAAATAATAACACTCAATGTCAGTAAGAGGCATGAGATAGGCATGCTCATGCAATGTTCAATGTTTCAAAGAACTTTTGAAATAATTATACTCTTTTTCTTAGCTATTCCTCTTCTAGGAATAAGAGAAGTAAACAGACATGTGCAATTTATAGTAGGAAAAAGAAGCTTAGAAACAACTTAAACATTCACTTATGAAAAAATTTGAATACATTAAGGCACATCACATCAAGAAATATTACATATCCACTAAAAGTAATCTTTTAACAATTGTGGTTTTTATTTTAAATTTTAATTTAATTTAATTTTGCATAGAGAATATGTGAATTATATATATATTATATATATATAAAATATTTTAGTTGCAGAGAAGGTTTTCAATGATATGTTCCCCTCACATGCCTAACCATCTCCCCAAGGCAATCAGTTTTACCAGTTTCTTGTTTATCATGTCAGAGATATTTTATGCATAAACAAGTTCTAACGTGTGAATAAAAGTTTGTCTTCCCTCAAGGACATCACATTAAATTTGGAAGTTTAAAAAAGATTACTACTCAATTCTCTACGATTTCTCACTACAAAGCTTCCTGTGAGATTTCCAAAATTTTCAATATGGAAGGACTTCCTACCGTGGGACATTGCTAGAAATCCTATTTGCCCACCTGTCTGATTAATAGAGACCTTCTGATTAAGAGCAAAAGAAATAAGGAGTTGTAGTCATGTGGGCACTTTCCCTCCAAATTCCTAATCACTGGTTGTATTTTAGGGGGTGAATGGAAGTGAATGAGTTTTCCTTTTTCTCAGCCTAGATGATATTCACTCACCCACTAGAAGAGATGAGTTGAACAAGCAAAGCAACTTCTTAATTTTGACATTGGCTACAGTGACAAGGAAACACCTTAAAAGCAAAAGTAGACCTTGAACTTAGCTTCTCACACGGTCAGCAGAACGGTGTGCTGGCCAGTCCCACACCGACACTTCCTGCCCTCCATCATGCTGAGCCAGGGGCCCCACTATGTCATCATGGCACATTTAACTTCCATCCAGGTCCCCATCAACATCATTGCCCTCATTGTGCTTAGAGGAAACATCACAAACCTTAGAAGGCAACCTTCACGCACTGTCTCCCCAAGCCAAATAAAATGTCTTCCACGATGACCTTTTTGCTGGGACTTTGTGCTTTTTTCCTCAGATAAAAATCGCAAGATGTAAAATTTGTTATAGAAACTGTTTAATGAGTATCTGGACCTGAAGCATCATAAGCACTTAATAATTTTCCAAGCAATGACTAAATGAATGAATCCTATATTGTTGTTTTAAAGAATAAATGTTAAAGATGCATGCATGATACCTTTTGGCACTGTGTTTGGTACTAAATGAAAAGAGCAGAGGTGGACATTTTGATAGTGAGGAAAGGACTTCTGGATTTGTATTTGAGAAATGTTTAATGCAGTGTTTGATTCCGAAGCCCTAATGATAACAGGATACACATGATGACAAGTGACGATCCGTCCTTGGCAGCTGACCTTACTAACAGACTGTTATGACCCTAAGCTATTTTGTTGGAACTGAGCCATACCCACAGAGGGGGAGACAGTTAACAATTCTTGAGTTATGTAGCACCTTTCTCCCCCAAAAGAAATCCCACACTTAGTTGGCAAATCCTTTCCCTGTATCTGGCTATTTAATGCCTTTTCTCCTGCTCTGTAGAGAAATTTTTCACTGTATAAATTGGTTTCATTTATAAATGGTGAAAATTTTTAAATTAAAAATGTACAGTGCCATTTAAATATAAAGTATTATTATTTATGGTAACTATTATTGCTGTTATAATTACCATAAGAATGATAATGTTTATAATGCTCTCCCAAAATAACAAGCAACTTGTTAGCTGGATAACTAGCTCATGTAACTAGCTAATGTAAACGAGTATAAGCCCAGGCATTTAGTATGCATTTGGTAAGAATTTATTGCCGAATTAATCAGTAGGTGTAATTTTCCTTGTCTTGGAATTGTAGGGAATAAGAACTAGCTCCTAGGGGAAGGAATGCATGATCTGTAGGAGCAGCTCTATTTGATACATGATCTGCCAAGTCAGAAGAGTTTCAGGTACTCAACCCCAAAACATGCATATGCCCAGTCGTGGCTCTCAGAGAGGATGCCCAACCTTCAGTGATGAAGAAAACACAGGCACTCATCATGTCTGGGCTTTTGCAGCTCTCTTTGGTGCAATGGCAGTGAGCTCAGCCACAGGACGGGCAGTTTTCATGCTCAGTAGCAACCACCATCTTCTGACCGCTTTCTATTTGCCAAGCACAAGGAAGGAATCATGGCACCAGTTTGATAAATGGGGAAAGTTGGACACAGAGAGGTTGATTCTGTTGACTAAGGATGCATCTCTTAAGTGGACTAGTCATAATATGAGCACAAGTCCAAAGCCCATGCCACAAACTGGTGTTTCCCAAAGATTCAGTCTCAGTCCACTGGGAGGATCATGAATTCCTCCAGGCAAGACTCTAATTAACTATCACAAGTCCTTATCTCAGGTCTTATAATACACAAATAATTACTCCACTGAGTTTCATTTTTATGTAAGAATAAGGACAAATTCACCAGTAACTTACTTAGTCCATTACTAGGAGTTATTAAAATGTTGGTATTCACAAACTAAAATGAACATGTTATTAGATAGTTTATAGATGGCTCTAATACATCACTCTACCAAGGGTTCAGGCTGACATAACACATTGTAAAGTTGCTATTTTGCCTGTGTGACACACAGAGAGCTGGAAATCCACTAGAAAGTGATAATGGGTGGGCTAAGCGGACTGTGAGGTCTTTGCCTTGCTTAAGTGTGCTGTAATAATATATTAAAAGGTTGAGTGCCATCGTCCTAACTATTATGCTAAAAGGAAAGAGGAGAGAGTTTATTCCCTTCCACGTGAACGGATCAGTGCAAGCTGGTACTATGTTCTTGTATATGGAAAGGTAGCTTAAGCACTAAATATTATTTTTCTCACATCCCTATAATTTACATAGAACACAATTATTTTAAAAATGTCCTATTATTTTCTAAACTAATGATCTAGAATCTCCAATAAGGCAGGACATATCCAATGCTGATGAGGTCTTAATTCACAGGTTGATTCATTTTTTGAATAAATATTATTTGAATCCTTGCCTGTTTTGAGGGATGCTAACGAGCCTGCCTTTTTCATACCCTAAGCAATATAAACTCCTTGGCAAGGCCATTTAATCTCTCTTCAGAAAATCAGAATAAGCACTTTTCTAAAACATACCTAAGGCAGCTGTGCATTCAACACATCACCCATCAACTGCCTTTAGCAAACAGAAGATCATTTTTAGATTCCCAGTATTAACTATTCTTGGACCCACTAGTTGCAAGGGCATGGGCAAATTGGGTTATCCATTCTATGACTGTTTTTATCACAGAGTTGACAATATATATTGTTCTTTAGTAAAATGTTCCTACTCATCTGAAAAATTCTTTAGCCGTTGGGATACAGCTCTTAATTTTCAACCATAAGATAATAATTCAACATTTATTTATCTAGATCACCCAATTATTATTTGTTAGTAAGTGTAGTGGTGTTAAATAGCAATTATTTCTACTTGGCAATTTTTATCTCAGCCCAGGAAAAAATAAATTGTTTAAATAAGGTAGAAGAAGAAGTCTTTTAAGTCTTTGATATGACATTTATCACTGAAGATTCCCCAGGCTTTGTTGACCCCCAAAGCAGCTATATTTTAATAATGCTTTTCAAGCAGTTTGAAAACAATTTTCATTTACCACTTAATAGTATTTAGGACAGCAACTTGAACAACTAGTAAGTGTTAAGGTTAAGAAACAAAAAGTAAATAAAATGGAAATGCAAATGCTGCTACATTCGCTAAATTGTATTCACATTCAGTACTTTTTCATTTGTTCTGATAAAGTATGGTAAGCCCCCAAGCTTTATGTAGTAACCCTTCATCCTAGAAAGAAAAGAAGAGAGATCACTGTGCACATGTATTTCTCTTTGTACTTTTTTCTTTCTTTAGGGAAATGAGAGTTTAATATGTTTTCATTCAGTCCCGAAATAACATTCAACATTAAGTATAGCATATGTATTAATGATGATAAGTAAAAATGGTAATGATGAAAATGTCGACCCAGCCTAATGTCTATGATTAAAAGGTAGAAAGAAAAAACAAGTGACAATTCTCATTCGGAAACAGATTTACGGCAGGTAGTCAAATTTCACGAGGGTTAGGAGGATTGTAGATAGCCTTTCAAACCAAAAACTCATGGTATTGTTGGTCAGTAACCTCCTATGGACCAGCAGTATCCCAACAGGGGCCTTTTGGGGAATTTAAACTTCAACAACAATGACATACTGTATTTTCCACAGTATAGGCGGTGTGTCCACCATGGTAGCCACCAAATTGCTCCTAGCAAGGAAGTGACCCGGTGTCTGTCTGCTCCTTAGATTAAAGAGGAAAAGGCTTCTGTAATACGTAGTCTGTCTTTGCTGGCAAAGATCACCTAGCCCTACTGAAAGTATGGGGGTTGGAAGCACAATTCTTCAAGACTTCTTCAAATAGAAGAAATGTCAATATTTAGTACTTAAACATTAAAAAGTACGTCTTTCTTGAAATGCTCTAAATATCACTCACCTTTGTAAACAAGTCTATATATTGTGCACGTGATTTAGAGAATGGGCTTAAATGCTCAAACAGACATGGATCCACATTATTAATTATGTAATATAAGCTGTTGTTCTCAGATGTTAGCAAGCATTAGAATCAGGCTGGAGAGCGTTTTCAGACACAGATTGCTATCATGTTCATTCCTAGGGTTCCTGGACCACATCTCAGTAGACTCGAGGTGGGTCAGGGAATTTGTATCTCTAACAAGTACACAGGAGCAGGAGGTGGTACTGATGCTACTCATTGGAGGAACACATGTGGAGAATCGCCAATCTAAAGTTCCATTCCTAGCCCTGCTGTGCCTCAGTTTCTTCACCAGTTACTTGAGAGTACTAACACCTACCACCCAGAGTTGTTGTGATTAAATAAATGAGATAATGCATTTAAATCTCTTAACACAATGCCTGGCTCCTACTGTAATATGCTCTCAATCCATGCTAGCTATTACTACTGTTTAATTCTATGGACCCTGGAGAGATCAGAAAATGAAGACAATGAATGGCATGATATATTTGCCTTTGGTTGCCTCTCTGAATTTTCTGCTTTTACCTTTAAGTAGACTAAACTCCTGTTTTCACTTCTGAGTTAGAAAGATGTAGTTCTTCAATGATGCTAAATCCACATTTAGTTTGGCAATGTGAATTGTTCATGTGGTTTTATATTCCACATTTGTTTCTCATTCTGTTCAGTAAAATATTCATGATTTTGGTTGGCTGTAAGATGTCCCAGGATGAGCGAGGGAAAAGAACCGTGCACAGTTCTACCTTGTAAGATACTTCAGGGACAAATTTCCTTCTACAAACACAAACTTGGGCTGCACACAGAGATAATGCTACCATTCTTGGACTTTTCTACATTTTTAAGTAATTTACTATAGTTGGTTGTTAAGCTGTCTCCTGGTGAGTATGTTCCTTAGAAGACGTAAGATGAGAAACTCAACTCTTTCACTGGTTTTGGAACAGAGCTAAGTTGGTTTAACACTAATGACTGTACCTGTATTCTTTCTGACAGGATTGTTGGGTTCTTATGTAAATGAGTATATGTTGTTGGTGCCTTTGTACAGAAAGAAAAGAAACAGACTGAGATCTAAAAAATAGCAATAAATGAACCAAACCTACACATCTAGGGTTAAAAAGCACTAATGTTTATAAAGAAGCAGGTATTCTATTTGTTGTTGTTCTTGTTGTTGTGATAACCACAATGGAAGACCAGACTCATGAGAGATAGGAATGCTTTTGGTAGAAAATTCTGAGCTAGCATGGATGAAACCCATGCACTAATATATAATAATATAGGTCCCAGGTGCAGCAGCTTATAGCCACGTCTCCTGGATTAAAGCAATCAAAGCTCATCCTGCGATGTTGCATATTCAGCAACATGCAAAATTACTACCATCACCCATGACACCAAATAATAGAAGTCTTCATCACATATGGGCTTCTGAAGGGACTTATCTGAAGTCAACTTCCAAGTTAAGATCCCTTGGGGAAGATTCTTATGTTATCAATTTCTTTGTCTATTTTTTTGAATGGTGTCTCCTCCACTCAGGGAAATGACTTCAGACTGCAAGGAGGTAGAACAAACATCATTAAGGCAGGATTGAAGTTCACCACTGAGTTGAGGATTGTAACGGTGAGGCTTGCCACTTTACATAAGCCTAAGTGTCCAGATGAAAGCTATGTTGGGGGACTACAGATGTGTTTCTTCTTTGATGGCAATCTTTGTGATTCCTGGATAAATGAAAACATTTCAGAAGTTAGAAATAAGTGAAATGTCCTACATTCAAAAGCAGACAGGGAAAGATACATTTCATATAGACACATGTTTATACTATATATATATTTATTTATATATATACACACACACATAAGTGTATTCATAAGTACATAAGTATATCTATATACATATATACATGTATTCATATAGACACACATGCACTGCAGACACTATAGATACTCTACACCATGGCTGTAGGACAAATTACTGACTAGAGCCTTACGACTTGGGAAGTAAAGTGGTATCATTGGTAGTCATCTTGGGCATACCAGAAATTAAGTAATGACAAACTAATCTCATAGCATTTCTGATACTATACTGTTAAGATCAGTGAAGCAACACAGAATTGTGTTTTTATTTTAGCAAGGTTTCTAGGCATACTGCAGACATATGGGCTGGAGGGAATCATAATTGGTTGCAGGAGAATGCGACAGGGGTACTTGTTTTGCAACGTGCTGAACTCCCCATTGTTGAATACATGCTGAATGAGAACCAGGAAAGTCTATTTCTCTTCCTGCACAATGAGCTTATGGGCTGAAAGTTCCATGAAGTAAGGTTCTTAACTCAGGTACTAGAGTATCCGCTCAACAAAGAGGTATTTGATAAATGAACAAATGTCAAAATTTAAGAAGTGATTGTTACAGCCATTTTCTAACATCCAGATCTCTATTCTTAAATAGCTTCGATTTCTACTGAGTTAGGACGTGTTTGCTTAAGAAACACGTCCTAACAATAAGAAAATTGCTAGTTTCTGGGCCGGGAGCGGTGGCTCACGCCTGTAATCCCAGCACTTTGGGAGGCCGAGGCGGGCGGATCATGAGGTCAGAAGATCGAGACCATCCTGGCTAACACGCTGAAACCCCGTCTCTACTAAAAAGAAAAAAATAAGCCGGGCGTGGTGGCGGGCACCTGTAGTCCCAGCTACTCGGGAGGCTGAGGCAGGAGAATGGCGTGAACCCGGGAGGCGGAGCTTGCAGTGAGCCGAGATCGCGCCACTGCACTCCAGCCTGGGCAACAGAGTGAGACTCCGTCTCAAAAAAAAAAAAAAAAAATTGCTAGTTCCTTTGTTTTCTATTCTGTTATCTGTGTTATCTGTATAACTTTCCCTCTGATGAAAAATAAATAGAAGTACTGTTGGGAAAATACTTAAAACTGTGAATGGTTTTTATAACATGGATTTGAATCAAAGTTAAGATATTTGCAAACCCAGTCGCCAGAATAATTTTACTACTAATTAAAGCAATAATCCCTATTCTACGTTGCACAAAAATTAAACTGCACAAGTTTCTTCTTGCATTTGCCAAACTGTAAATAGATTAACCCATTCTTTCAGCCTTCTAAAGAATTGACTAAATTAAAATAATATTGAATTTTAGTAAG
The DNA here is from genome assembly GCF_000001405.40 of Homo sapiens. Classification (NCBI taxonomy): domain Eukaryota; kingdom Metazoa; phylum Chordata; class Mammalia; order Primates; family Hominidae; genus Homo; species Homo sapiens. The sequence goes on from NC_000009.12 coordinate 74,608,910, forward strand.
TACCCTTCAGATACCTCATTTTGCCAATACAGATTTGACAGAACAAAATGCTGTCATGACTGAAGAAATATTTTTCACTGCTTATTCATCAATTCAGATAAAATGATGTCATACAAAGTCAAAGTTCAGAAAAACACAGATATACCCCCATTATTCCCATACTGTTTCCTTCTATGCTTTCATCTATAATTTTAACGGAATTAAATGTTTAATTAGTGCCTACTACATACCAGAATATTGGCTTAAGTGCATTCACATATATTATCTGATTCAATTCTCGTAACAAATACGCAAAATAGTAATTATTTTTCCTAATTTACAAATGAGGAAACAAAGGTTCTGAGGGGCTGTAACTTCCCAACACTGCATAGCTAGAGAAGTGTAGAAACAGAACCCTCTTCTAATGCTGACACATCCTTTCACCATTGCTTTTTTCTCCATCATCTACCAACTGTTGACCCTAGGAGGTAATGAGTAGTTGGTCATTCTGATTCTCAACTCAAAGGATAAATTAATGAATGGACACAAAATTTCTTTTTTTTCTTTTTAATATGACCCATACTGCCTCCAGAAGGATACATGAGTTCAATGTAAAGACTTCAGGAGAATTTTTTCAGTGATTTGGAATCAAAATAAGACTATCAATAAACATACAATTGATAGCTGATATTTACTGAATATTTACCATGTTTCAGACACCGTCACCTGTGCTTCATATGCATTTTCTCTTTTATTTCTCAAACAGCAAAACTGAACTTTATCAGCTGGGTATAATTTTCATCTCTACTTCACAGAAGAAATTGAGGCACAGAGGGATTGAGTAACTTGCACTAATCATACTGTTACATAGTAAAGCCTGGGTTTGTGTCCAGCCACTGAAACTCTAGAACAGTGGTTGTCAACTGGGCCTATTTTGTCCCCAGGGGGTATTTGGCAATATTTGGAAACCTGTTTGGTTGTCATAAGTGAGGGGCAACACTGGCATCTAGTGGATAGAGGCCAAGGATGTTTAAAATACACAGAACAGCTCCAGAGAAAAAAAGAATTATCCAGCCCAAAATATCAATGACAAGCATAAGAAACCCTGCTCTAGAACCTGCCTTTTGGCATTTCTCTGTACTTCTGTACTACTGAATTTGGGCAAAATCATGGAAATAATGTATACAGCGTCTCACATTACTGATGATTAATTCTCAGCTGCTTTTAATCTCACGACACTTTCTCATGACAATATTGATTATAATACATTGCAACAGCAGATTTTACTGTACCTCATAAAGATCTTGGTATCTTCTGTAAAATAAAAATGCCTGGTTTCACTTCCCAAAATTTCGTGCTAAATTAGTCTGATGTAAATCTCTTGGGAATCAGATATTTTTTAAAAAGCTCCCCAAGTGATTTTAACATGCAGCCAAGTTTTGAGAAACATGTAGAGAAAAATAACAGAGATTTTTGTAGAGAAAAATAACAGAGATTTTTAAAGTATGGAACACTTTCTATTCTCCACTAAAATAGTATCCTAGTAATGGTTCAAAGTTATTGAATGTTTATTATGTGCCCAGGGCTGGACTGAATGCTTTGCAGGAATTATCTCACTTTAAATTCTTCAAATATTCTCTATGCAAAATTAAATTAAATTAATACCTAAACTCCTAATACCATCATCTTGAGGGTAAGAATTTGAACATATTAATTTGGGGGAGACACACACATTCAGACCACAGCATCACCATTTTACAGATGATGAAACTGAAACATCTGAAAATTAACTTATCCAGACTACACAGTTAGTGAGTAACAGAGCTGTTTATTAAATGTAGCTCTTTCTGACTAGAAAACCCATGGTGTAAACCAGCAGTTCTGAAACATGAGCATGCCTCAGAACCATCCAGAAAGCTAGTGAACACATAGATTGTTGAGCTCAGCCCCCAGAGTCTCTGATTCAGTAGGTCTGGAATGGTATCTAAGAATCTACATGTTTAACAAGTTCCCAGTGATGCCGCTGACTTTGCTGGTCTGGGGACTACACTTTTCAAGAACCTCCGTGGGATGGTTTCTATAAAATCAAGCTATTTTTAATGACATTTCTTCTATTTGAGGGGATTTATCCCTCATTTCCCCCTGAATCTTGGCAGCTGTGGGTGGTTGGAGAACTTTTCTGTCCCCCTAGCATAATGTCTTCTGATACTAGGGACGGTTGTAAGCACTACGTTAGTGTGAAAAGTGCATAATAGCTGCTGCCTACTGTGAGATGGGGTCAAGGGAGAGCTACCCAGGGGAGAAATCAACTCCCCCTTGCCTCTAAAGCTAAGCTCCCTTAACCAGAGAAAATGAAATCTACCAACAGGACAGAAACAGACCTAAACCATTGGGACAACAATTCAAAGTGACAATTAAATGCCAGATCAAGGGGATGAAGGGACAGGTTGTATATTAAGGGAAAACAGGAAATGAAGAGAAGATTTTTGTTTCAACTTCCTTGTTCCTACACTTAGAACCAACTATGATTAAATAAAGAACAAAAAGAGGCAAGTGTTTTTCTTTTTAAACTATCTCTCATCCCCACTAAACATCAGCAAGCAAGGAAGCAAACATATCCCAAAGATGAGCCATCGATGTAAAACACAAGTTAGGGGAAATCATGAGAGTAGGCGGTGAGACTCCTATATGGTCCCCCAGTGTTGAGTCAAGCAACTAGTGTGTATTCACCCATTGATCAACTCCATTCTTGGTTTATTTGTTTGTTTGTTTGTTTTTGAGATGGAGTTTCGCTATTATTGCCCAGGCTGAAGTGCAATGGCAATCTTGGCTCACCGCAACCTCCACCTCCCAGGCTCAAGCGATTCTCCTGCCTGAGCCTCCTGAGGAGCTGAGATTATAGGCACCCACCACCCTGCCTGGCTAACTTTTTTGTATTTTTAGTAGAGACAATGTTTCACCATATTGGCCAGGCTGGTCTTGAACTCCTGACCTCAGGTGATCCACCCACCTCGGCCTCCCAAAGTGCTGGGATTACAGGCATGAGCCACCATGCCCAGCCAACTCCATTCATTTTACTGAATCCTTATGTTAGACACTGGGAGACACACAAAGAGAGGGTTTTATGCCTAAGGAGCTTATAGTCAAGGTGAAAGAGAAGCATATAAACAGGATTATTGAAGAGTACCAGGACCAAATGAGTGGTGGGGACATAGGATCCCAGGGTAAGCAGAAATTACTGTGGGTAAATGGTCAGGGGACACTTTGCAAACGTGGTGGGAGTTGAGCTGGGTCTTCAAAATTAGGTTAGGTGTGGGTAATTGGAGCAGAGTGGAGAGAGGCTGTCAGGAAGTTCAAGGAGGAGATAGAGGTGGCATTAAAAGGCAGAGAAGTGAGGCATTTGGGATGGCTCAGGTGAATGGATGGCTTTGACCTAGGATCACAGGTGAGTGCCTGAAGACAGAGCTGGCCCGGGTTGTAGAAAGGTAGGCCAAGGAGGAGCTTGGGTTTGTTTTGTGGAACCTAGAGGGCTGAAAAGTTTTTGATAAGGAAGGTGATGTGATAAAACTGAAACTTTATAGACATACTAGCCATCCTCCTTCTTTCCTGAACACACGCTAGATCCACCCCTCGTATCTGAGCTCCTGTCTCCAACTCTGCCCTTTGTTTCTAGGCGACAAGCATACTCTGTGCTATTAATTCTCCTTTGATTCTCTTTTGTACCCATTTCCTGGTTGCGAGAGCGGGAGCTGGATTTTTATCAAGGCTCAGTAGACATAAAGATGTATAAGTTTCTACCCCTAATACTTGGCTTTTAGCACCCTATGAATGGTGCCTATTAATTTCATTTACTCAGGTTAATATTTAATAACCTTGAAGTAGTTCACAGGGAACAATTCTGTCTACAATTTGAACTATAACACATCAGATATTTGGTATCCCCCAGATCGATTTGCTTTCTGACAAAAAAAAAGAAGTTCTTAAATGGTTTTCTTACTTATCCTCATTACCTACAGATCTTCTAAGTTAGAATTTTATTTCTTGTAAAATACAGAAAAATAACAATTACAATGAAAACAATCAAATCGGATTAAATCCACAGGATTTAAATACACACTGGACTGTGAGCTTCATCACATTTATTTCCAAGTACAAATGGTAGTAATTACTTATGAATTAATTAATAAATATTGAAAGAATGAATGATAACCAGAGTCAACAGCCAAAATGCATATCTCCACGATGAACAAAGGCATGAAGATTCATATTGAACTATGTTTACTGAATTCCCAGTGTGTTTCAGACACAATATTAAGCACTTTCACATTTACTCCTTTTATGACTTAATGAGTGTTACAATCTGATTTCAGACATGAGTAGCCTGAGGTACAAATAGTTAAGTAATTTACCCAAGAAGTGACAACCAGATGTGTTAACTCAAAGCCCAAGGTTCTTTGCTAAAGTTTTTACCAAATGTATCTAATCATAACAAATACCTAAGTGCTTATGACTATAGGTTCCCAGACCCCTCCTCAGATTCTGACTCAGTAGTTGCTGGGGTTAGGAATCTATGCCATATGTCTCCGGTGATTCTGAGGACCATTCCAAGGGTCTTCAGTCCCTGCTGCCCGTTAGAATTACTTTAGAAGTGTTTAAAATTCCAGATGCCTTGGCCCCCCACCAAACAAATCAATGAAAGTAAGAAGGAAATCCCTGGACATCAATATTTTTAAGCTCTCTGGGTTATTCCAATGGGCATCCACAGCTGAGAACCACTAAGTTCGGCTCTACCATGCCAAAAATAATCTTGAATGGATTTCCCAGCCTCCTCTCCACCCCTTGCCTTTCTCCCCATCAAAAAGCAGTTCTACTACAATGTAAGCCAGGGAAAAGTGGAGATGTTTAAGAGAAGACAGGAATAAAAGGAGGATTAACAAACCATTTGCTTTCTGTTCCTGTGTTAATTCACTTCGGATAATGGCATCCAGCTGCATTTACGTTGCTTTAAAGGTCATGATTTTATTATTTTTATGGCTGTGTAGTATTTCATGGTATATGTGTACCATATTTTATTTATTCAAGCCACCATTGGTGGGCATCTGGGCTGATTGCATGTTTTTGCTATTGTGAATAAAGCTGTGATGAACACATGGGTGCATGTGTCTTTGGTAGAATGATTTGTTTTCCTTTGGGTATATACCCAATAATGGGATTGCTGGGTTGAATGACAGTACTGTTTGAAGTTGAGAAATATCCACCTGCTTTCCACAGTGGCTGAACTAATTTACACTCCACCAACTTATATGGTTGCGTGTGCATAGACTTGTTCTGAAAAAGAAGCAAGGAAATATCAGTGGGTAACTCAGTGGGGTAGTACGGAGGGCTGAGGGTTGGGCTAACACAAAGAGATTAAAATTTCCCCTTTATACCTTTGTGTATGTTATGATTTGTTTAATATTCAAATATCACTTTTTTAAATTAAAAGACAACCTCTTTTTTTTAAAAAAAAGCCATTTGTCATAATAGTGTATTGTATTTTCTACTAAATGAGTAGATTATAGTTGCTCTTGGCACAAGGAGGAATGGGTAATTATGTGAGATGATGGATATGTTAATTTATTCCACTATAGTAACCATTTTACTATGTACAATACATGTGTCCTAGAACATCATGTTGTATATTTTAAATATACATAATAAAATTTATTTTTAAAAAAATAAGAAAAGGTTTGTGATAAGTGATTAGTGGAAAGAAATCAAGAGCTTTCAAAGGTGGTAGGGGATGAGAAGAGCAAAGAGAAAGATCTGAGATTCATCATGCAAGCAACTGAGCAACTCTAAGTAAAGTTAAATAAAGCTAATACATATGTAGGCATTTTGCTTTCATATAAAGAACATATTTTGTTCCCATGGAAGTTAACGCAATTTTTACCTATTCATATATTTATCCTTCCTAGCAAGGATCAGAAATTTCTGTCTTTGTTTCTTCATCATTCTTACAAGTGGGAGCACCAGGGCACACTGGGGAAATGAAGTCACTTTAGACTTCAGGTGTGGGGCCCGGTGAGGTCACCTGGTGTTAAGTCTCTACACTGGTGCTCAGGCTCTCTTGCTGCTGCTGCTCCTGTTAGGTGTGCATATTTTCTTAGACTATAAACTGCTCCTCTGCTGTATTAACTACTTCATAGACAACTGTAATCCAATATTTGACAGAATAGGAACATGGTAATACCTTGATGCGATCTTTCATCCAAAATAATTTGAGACAAACTAATTCTGAAGAAAATTTATGTTGTACTTTTATAGTCACAGGGATAACTTTTGTTACATGCCATATGCATATCGAATCTGTTTCCAAAAGGATGAAAACAAAGGGGAATTTAAGTGCAGAAATTATATGTATCTATATAATTTGGGGGTGGGAACATCTTGAAGTTGCTGATTGCTATTAAGCAAATGCTGCATTCTTTAGCGAATAAGTAGCATCAAAAAGAAAAACCAATATTCTCCCTCCCACCTTCTGCGCCTGAGCCAGCCTTTCACCCTTACTTAATGAAATGGAGCCGTTGATGCCTTTAACTCCTCTTTCATTTAATCTCATTAATGCAGCCTGTTGGGATTGAAGTTGTGGGTTAACGCAGGGGCAGTCTTCAGACCTCCCCAGTGAAAAGTATCATATTTTTCAGTTAGACTTTTAATTGCTACGTCAAAATGTGTGAGAACCAGCTCAAAACTAAAGCTGACGCCACTGGTGAGTTTTACATTTTCTTCTCTCTTCTGACATTTAGCTGTATGGACCATCCTCCAGGCAAGGAAGTAAGCATTTATAAGCTCTCAGCAAAATAAATTGATAGCTAGGTGTGGGGACAAAAAAATATTTTCTGACTCAGGAATGTATATAATAAAACAAGTCACTCAGGCTTAATTTTACACTGGAGAAGATATTTATATATAAATACTGTCATATCCTGGAGTGAACTACCAAATGCATAAGTTTCAAGATTAAATTCAAGTCGTTATCCACCACATTATACTAACATTAGGTTAATCATATGAACATCCTTCTCACAGTTTTGTAGCTTTGATTTTGGTCATCAGCATTGCTATCATGTTGATTTTATTTTTCTAAGTTTAAAAAAAATCTATTTGATTTATATATATGATACCAGATGCTTTATCATATGTAAAAAATATATTTTCAAACATAATAGCTATTTGGTTGAATGATTATTAACTATGAGGTGAATTACATTTGAGTTTTTCTCCTAAATTTTTTACAAGTTAGTGCATAATTCTCTAGACACACATTATCTCATAATATAGGCAAATTTGGAGCACTTGTTTTAAGAATATTTCAGGGTAAAATGATTTATTGTAATTTCCTTGCTAGTACTAGATAGCAATGCACAACAGTTGGAAATATTAAAATGAAAATTGATATAATTGTTTCAAATAATATAAACACTGCATTGTTCAAAAAAGTTCCTGATCAAACTAAACTCCTTTAAATATATAAACTCAGAATCACATCTTTCCACAATGCTTATAGCTTCCTGGTGCTTGTATTTGTAGGAAAAAAAGTAGATACTGTTTCTGTGCAATTACCAATTTCAAAATATATGCATTTAAAGATTTTATTGGTGAAATAAGCTATTACCAGCAGATTGCATTTCTGACATCAATGGAGTCTTTAAGTAACTATCCTTGCTACTGACAGATTTACTCAGGATATTGTTGCTGCTGTTGTTCAGAAATTAATAACACTAGACATACTAACGTCTATGTACTTAATCCTCTTTGGGTCTGAATCACAATAAGCAGGGGCTCACAGGTGAACAGAAATGTTTCTTTCTCCTCTGATTTTGTGTTTAAAAAACATGAAGTTACCTTCTACTGTAAAATTACATAAAACATAGTGGCCGATTTTAGGGGTTTATGTGCACATACACACACACACACAGACACACACACAATTCACTTTTTAAATGAACTATATGAACAAATGTGTTTTTACATTTTGCAAAGAGAACCAGATATTTCTCTTTCTCCACTTAAATTTTAGTGGAATTAAAATGAATATCCCAAATTAAAGCTGTAGCTTTAAAAAAAAAAAAGTTCCTACGGTAGAATACCTGGTGCTAGGCTTAGTAATTCCTAGTTTTCAGTAATGTCTTTCTCGTCTAATATTCCCACCACCCGCTCCCCCCGCAAAAAAACTCTGCCTCTTTAGAAGTAATTCAAATGTCTAAAAAATGGAAAAGAAATTTTTTGTACCAATTCAATTTACATGGTAGCATCAAAATGCCTTTGCTACAAATTAACGTATAAGAAACACAGCTAACAAATGGAACAACCGTAAGTATCTCCATTCAAATATTACTATAGATCTCCAAAAGATCATTAGATTGTTCTACTTGTAAAAAAGCAATTTGAAAGATGGAAATTTGTTAAAGTGAAATTTGAAAATTATAATGTTATTTCTCACTACTTTTTGTGGCAATTATACAGAGTGATGTTGTCTCTGGGAATAAGGGACAGTCGACATGTTCATACAACAACTTCACCAGCTTACATAAACACCGAATAAAGCTGTTAGGGATTAGGTGCAGCATGCTGGATCTGATGCGCTCAAATATAAGATATCTCGGGTCCCATAATATTTAGGATTATGCTGGTAATCTCTTTAGAGAAAGTGTGCAGTATCAGCAGAACAGGCGCTTCAGTCTTTGAGGGAGCTATTCACTAATTCTACATTTGTTGGGTGACTAAGCCTCCACCTCAGTCCCACACTGACACCGGGCCTTTGTGACATTTCGCTTAGGGTGAAATTATAAGAGGGAGCTTCTAGAGTGACGTTCTAAATTATCATTTTGCTCCTGAAGCAATTTCTGGTGTGGTGTGCAAATGAGAATACTTTCCTTTAAATTCTGTATGTCTCCTTTTCAAAAAGGCCACCTGGGTAAAGACAAACTAAACTCAAACATGCCTTTCTCTAACCTCTAAAGTCATTCTTATCTCTAGAGATGAAATAAGAACTAAAATTATCTCTTTAATTCTATAATTTCCTTTTATTTCAAGATTCAATTCTGAAGCAATGGAGGCTAAATTGCAAATTTGCTGGAACATAAATTATATAACAACGTAATTTTCAGTGCAGAAATTGACAATATATTTAGTCATTGTAGCATCATCTATGTTCAAAAAAATCAAAGCTCTTGTAGATAATCCAATCACACACAGACGCACACACACACACGCACACACACGCGCATGCTATAAATACCTCACCTATATTCTATAGTTTGTGTATGTAAGTATTTGGGGCATCAGTGGCTAAAGGCACATTAAAAATCAAAAGTGTCTGCAAACGTGAAAAAGGGACAAATAACAATACAGGCAAATTGTTAAGATGTTATGAACCAGTTAAAGTTACTATTAGATTAGGAAGAGAAATGTTAGTAGAATACTAACATTCTAATCTTACATGGACATTGTCTCAGTGTGGGGTGATAGTCCACTCACATACCTCATGAGAAGATATGATGTCACTTTTATTTTACCAGGTTTCTTTTTTCTAAAACAAAGACATTGAAATTGGTTCTGATCACTATATTTTAGAACATAGCCTCCTTCTTTTCTCTGCCGTCCTGGCTCGTCTCTTTTTTTAACACACTCAAGAGATTTAGTCTTTCTTTGCCACCAACCAGAAAAAGACATGTTTTACTTATTTTCAAACTCTCTGAACAAGTGCTGAGAACTTCAGGAATGGTCTCTACTGCGTCTATCAATGAACAGAATGAGAAACAGCGTGTATGCTTTCTACACCAAACTTTAGTCACTTGACTTTTGCTCGTGTGTGTGTGTATATGTGTGTGTGTGTATATTGTGGGGGGTGGAAGGCCAAAGGTTATTGTCCCAACCTTTGATTTGTCTGACTCCAAGTAGATAATTTAATGGCTTTATATTTATATTTAACAAGCATGCATTGAATCCTTGGTCTTTTCAAGTATTCTGGAAAATAATGCAATATAGGAATTAGTGAATAATACTTGGTTGAACTATATGAAATTGGCAATATTAACATTTTTTGCACAAAAAGGTGGCAATTTCATATGATTCGACTTGATATATGGTTAGTGACTACAGATTAAGGCATGATTGATAATTCTGGAAGCATTCTGCTACTAGTTACTTTTCATTTAACCCCATTAACTAAGTCTCCAAAATAAACAAGTAATCTGGAATTTTGTTCTTGTTATTAGATTTTCCTTTTTCACTCTTCAACCACCAACTTTAAGATTGCCCTTTCCCATTGCTATTTACTACTTGAAACTTGCTCACTTTCCAAGACCTGGCTCAAAAGGCACCTCAGCACCAAACCTTCCCAGCTTCCCCCAGTTCATATTAACATCGTCTTCTTCCAGGTTTATTTAGCAGTCACCTGTCTGCCCTGCATTCAGGTGATGTAAACATGTGTGGCTGTAGAATTATAGTATTCATTGTGAAGACAGAAACTTGGTTTTGCACATAACTGTGACCTAAAATAAGTAGATGTTGGCTGAGTTGTTTTTCTTATTTTTTGAGTTGGAGTCTTACTCTGTCGCCCAGGCTGGAGTGCAGTGGCGCGATCTTGGCTCACTGCAACCTCTGCCTCCCAGGTTCAAGCGATTCTCCTGCCTCAGCCTCCTGAGTAGCTGGGATTACAGGTGTGCACCACCATGCCCAGCTAATTTTTGTATTTTTAGTAGAGACAGGGTTTCACCATGTTGGTCAGGCTGGTTTCATACTCCTGACCTCATGATCTGCCCACCTCAGCCTCCCAAAGTGCTGGAATTACAGGAGTTGGTTGTTCTTAGCATGAAGGGCTGTTGAATTTTGTCGAAGACCTTTTCTGCATCTATTGAGATAATCATGTGGTTTTTGTCTTTGGTTCTGTTTATATGCTGGATTACACTTATTGATTTGTGTATGCTGAACCAGCCTTGCATCCCAGGGATGAAGCCAACTTGATCATGGTGGATAAGCTTTTTGATGTGCTGCTGGATTCGGTTTGCCAGTATTTTATTGAGGATTTTTGCATCGATGTTCGTCAGGGATATTGGTCTAAAATTCTCTTTTTTTTGCTGTGTCTCTGCCAGGCTTTGGTATCAGGATGATGCTGGCCTCATAAAATGAGTTAGGGAGGATTTCCTCTTTTTCTATTGATTGGAGTAGTTTCAGAAGGAATGGTACCAGCTCCTTTTTGTACCTCTGGTAGAATTCAGCTGTGAATCCGTCTGGTCCTGGACTTTTTTTGGTTGGGAGGCTATTAATTACGGCCTCAATTTCAGAGCCTGTTATTGGTCTATTCAGGAATTCAACTTCTTCCTGGTTTAGTCTTGGGAGGGTGTATGTGTCGAGGAATTTATCCATTTCTTCTAGATGTTCTAGTTTATTTGCGTAGAGGTGTTTATAGTATTCTCTGATGGTAGTTTGCATTTCTGTGGGATCGGTGGTGATATCCATTTTATCATTTTTTATTGTGTCTATTTGATTCTTCTCTCTTTTCTTCTTTATTAGTCTTGCTAGCAGTCTATCGATTTTGTTGATCTTTTCAAAAAAACCAGCTCCTGGATTCACTGATTTTTTTGAAGGGTTTTTTTGTGTCTCTATTTCCTTCAGTTCTGCTCTGATTTTAGTTATTTCTTGCCTTCTGCTAGCTTTTGAATGTGTTTGCTCTTGCTTCTCTAGTTCTTTTAATTGTGATGTTAGGATGTCAATTTTAGATCTTTCCTGCTTTCTCTTGTGGGCATTTAGTGCTATAAATTTCCCTCTACACACTGCTTTAAATGTGTCCTAGAGATTCTGGTATGTTGTGTCTTTGTTCTCATTGGTTTCAAAGAACATCTTTATTTCTGCCTTCATTTCGTTATGTACCCAGTAGTCATTCAGGAGCAGGTTGTTCAGTTTCCATGTAGTTGAGCAGTGGGAGTTGGTTGTTCTTAAAGTACTCCTTACTTGTCTTTGCTGGACCCTCTCAGATGCTCCTCACTATCTCCAGCAAAAGAAGCACCTCTGTGCAATTCACTTTTTTGAAAAATTAATAAACATTTTTAGCACCACTTTAGATTTACAAAATAATTGAGCAAATAGTACATAGAGTTCTGTGCACTCACCAACCCCCCAGACACAATTTCCTCTATTGTTATTTTGCATAAGTATGGCATACTTGTTACAATTATAAACCAATACTGATACATTATTATTAACCATTTATTCTTTGTGTTGTACTATTCTATAGGTTTTGACAAATCTGTAATGATGTGTATCTGTCATTACAGTATTGTACAGAATAGTTTCACTTCCCTAACAATTCCCTGCCCTTCACCCCTTCATCCTCTTCCTCCACTCCAAACCCATGGCAACTAATGATTTTTTTAATTATCTTTGTAGTTTTGCCCTTTGAAAAATATTATGTAGCTGGAATCAAACTGTCTTGTTTCACTCAGTAATATCCATTTAAGTTTCCAACATATATTTTCGTGGCTTAATAGCTCTTTTTATATTGCCAAATAATATTTCAAAGCACAAATGTACCACAGTTGGTTTGTCTGTTCACCTGTTGAAGGACATCTTAATTGTTTCCAGTTTTGGGTAATTATGAATGAAGTTGCCATAAATATTTGTGTGCACGTTGTCATGTGGACGTAAGTTTTCAGTTCAATGGTAAATACCTAGGCACACAATTGTTAGGTGGTTTGGTAAGACTATGGGTAGCTTTGTAAGAAACTGTCAAACTGCCTTCCAAAGTGGGTGTACCATTTTGCATTCCTAGCAGCAATAAGCAAACATTCCATTTGTTCTGTATCCTCTCCAGCATTTGGTATTATCAGTTTTTTAAGTAGGTTTATAGTGGCACCTCATTGCTTTTAATTTGCAATTCCTTAATGACATATGATATTCAGCATCTTTTCATATGCTTATTTTCCATTCATAAATCTTCTTTGGTTAAGTGTCTATTCAGATATTTTGCCACTTTTTGAATTTTAAGAGCACTTTGTATATTTTGGATTCAAGTACTTTATTACATACATGTTTCACAATATTTTCTCTCAGTCCTGACGTCTCTCCATTCTCTTAATGCAATTTGATTTTTAACATAGAAAAGTTGTATTTTTTTTTCATTTTCTGAAACGATATATTTTGCTCTTTTTGAATTATTCTCCAAGGAATAAACTCTGCCTGGTCATTCTAAATTATCTCTGGGACCTGGTTTTGTGGTGTGCCCCATCCCTGTCCTTCAGTGAAGGTGATGCTGTGTAATCACGAGCTTCCTGTTGAAGGTTTAAACTAAATGTAGGCTAGAGAAAGGGGTTTAGAAAAAAAATAAGGAACTAAAGAGAGACGAGTTTTATTTACTGAAGCAAATAATTCTGTTTCTTCTTTTCATAACTGGATAAAATGAGCTATCAAGTAGAGTACATGTCTTCATATAGAGAGCGAGAAATAAATAAAGTTCTCTTCACAGAGAGGAGAGGTTTGGGAATGGAGATCCTGAGGGGTAAATTATAGAATGTATTGCTTTCCTCTTTTTTAGAACCTCTGAAATGTTATCGTGTATATGAATCACAGAGATGCTGTTACAACCCAGATTTTTTTTTTTTTTTTTTTTTTTTTGAGACAGAGTCTCGGTCTGTCGCCCAGGCCGGAGTGCAGTGATGCGATCTCAGCTCACTGCAACCTCCACCTCCCGAGTTCAAGCGATTCTCCTGCCCTAGCCTCCCGAGTAGCTGGGACTACAGGTGCGCACCACCACACCCAGCTAATTTTTGTATTTTTAGTAGAGACAGGGTTTCACCATGTTGGCCAGGATGGTCTCGATCTCTTAACCTGGTAATCCACCCGCCTCAGCCTCCCAACATGCTGGGATTACAGGCATGAGCCACCGTGCCCAGCCACAACCCAGATTCTTATAGGCCCAGGGTAGGAGCAAAATGCTGCATGTCTATCAGGCACCCAGGGAAGGCCAATGCTACTGGTCAGGGACCACACTTTGAGTCAGCAAGTCTCAGGACAGCACACAACAGATGAGAGGAATGCCATAAATATCCATCATGACCATTGAACTCCGTGTTAACTAATCTGCCTCAATGAGACAGGACAGCTTTTCACATGTTGGATTTCCAGAACTACTGTGAATAGCCAAAATGAGTTCATTGCTGGTTTCAAAAAACTGCTTGATCTCCCTTACCTTTATCAAAAGAAGTACCATTCAATTTTTAAAATAGAAAAACTGTATGGTTTTTAACTGTTTCAAGAAAGCCTTTGTCAGTACTGAGTATCCAAGGAGCAAGCTAGTAGCCACAACCGCAAGAGTGAGTGTACAGAAGAGGGAGGTGCCATTACCAAACATTGCTAGAATGCGGAGAAAATGTGGGTGCAGGTAACAATCATTAAATCTGCAAAGGAAGCCTGGTACACTGGGTGTTAATTACAGTAACGCAAGATATTTCTGGAATATGCTGTGTTCTCTTTTTTCTGCCTTGTCAATTAGTGGCCAGAGTTTTCTCTCTCTTTTTTTTTTTTTATTTTCTTCTAATCTTTCAATTATCCTACTGCCTTTATAATCCAAAGGAAATGCCTAAAAGGCAAAAGCAGAGACCACTTTTCCAGAATCCAGGGAAATTTAAAATTCCATCAGTTCTTACAGTTGCTAAAACTGTGGCTACCTGGACATCACAGAACAGTGCTTCTCAAACTCGAATGCTAGCCTCAGGATCTCATTCTAAAGCAAATTCTGATTCAGCTGGTCTTGAGTGAGTCGTGGTAGTCTGCAGTTTTACCATGATCCCCGGAGATGCCAATGCCACTGTTCTGTGGACCACACCTTGAGTGGTCGAAAAGACATTCACTCAACCTGAATAACGTCGGGTCCCACGCACAAGTTATCCCATTATAATTAAAATGTTGACAGGAAAAGATGAATTTAATGGGAATTAATTCCTAAAGTATGAGTTCAAAGCCGCTACAACTTATAAAGTGATTTACTTTGTTTACAAGGGGAATATTTAACTTATCAGTATTTTCTCTTAATGATTATACTAATTGCTGTCGTTATTTGTTGGTCTCATGTTCTGTTGTTTCAGTCCTCTGGGGAGTGAGCAAACACTTCAGGGGTAAATGTTCATATGTAAGATAAATCAGCCTCTATTGTGATAATCCTACACATGATGCCTTTGAAAATGATCTTCTTTTGTCATTATCATATGGTAGTAATTTTTTTCTTAATCTAACTTTCGATGATAAATGGTATAGGGAATTAAAATAATATAAAGCCAAATGTATCTTTAAGTTATTTAGGAGCTATCAGCCATTGGAACAGAAAACTCACACAGCCCACCACCCAGAGTATTACAGAGAAGACCCCAGATGCTGATAGACGTGAGAGTGTTATAGTAGAAATTAGAGTGCACTGAATTTCATGCACCATATTGTATATTTAGACAGGAAGCTGATGTTGAGATGCACTCTGCACTGATGAGATACACATGGGCACAATCCAATAACAGGAATCTTTTAGAATCACCACCTTCTAGCATGGTATAGCGGCCGAAGTTCAAGACTTTTATATTTGTCCTCTGAGGATCTTATTTTTCCAAGATCCTATCCCATCCCAACCTTGGGGCTACTGTCTGATGAATCACAGTTACAGTGGAACTGGTTCCCAGAGATACCTGCTGCATCACAGACCTTTGGCTTTGTTATTAGGTGACATCAGAATATTTTGTACCTAATAGAGATAGATACTTATCAGTCTGCCAGTGAGAGAGGGAAAGAGTACAAACAGAGATTTTTAACTTGGATTTGTCGCAGATGGTAGATGAGATACAATTTGGGTAGATGAGATACAACTTGGGCTACTGAGACCATCTGCAAAAGGATTTTTAACCAAAATAGTCATCTTTATTGGAAATTTCTACATGTGTAAATTGTGCTTTACTCAGACATTAAGAGATTTAATTGCACTGCCCACTTTTAGCATAACTGTACAATTATGGGAAACAGAAGCTAACAGGTGAATCCAATGTCCTAGAATGTAGTCTGTGTCTAGGAATACAGTGTCTGGTGTCCAGGAATCATAGCCGGGTCAGATGTCCTTAAGGCAAAAAAAAAAGAAAGAGAGCAGAAAACAAAGATGCTACAAGTATAGCCCCAAACCAAAAGTGAGAAAACATAGAGAGAATTCCTGGTGACTCTTTAAAATGTTCAGATCTGGCCTGTCCCTGGGTTTTTCCACCTTCGCAGGTGATTTATGTGGTAGAGAAAATTCCTAGCTAATAACTTAACTCATTTAATTGCCAATGGGTGTCTCATCATATACAAGAATCACTTGGGGGCCTTTTCCAAAATATATATCCCCCACAATCTCTGGTTCATTCTCTTTATCCCAAATATGAAAAATCAGACCCAGCATGGTGGCTCATGCCTGTAATTCCAGCCCTTTGGGAGGGCAAGGCAAGCGGATCACTTGGGGCCAGAAGTTAGAGACCAGCCTGGACAACATAGCAAGAGTCTGTCCCTACAAAAAATGTAAAAATTAGCCAGGCATGGTGGTGCACACCCACAGTCCCAGATACTCAGGAGGCTGAGATGGGAGTATCCCCTGAGTCTGGGGGTTTGAGGCTGCAGTGAGCTACAATAACACTGCACTCCAGCCTAGATGACAAAGTGAGACCCTGTCTCAAAAAACATTAATATTGCTTATTGCCTCTTTTATAAGAAGGAGTATATCAAATCTCGTGGTTGTACTGAAATAAATAAAACACTTAGAACCACTACTTTAAGGAGTTATAAAAATTCTCCTTTAGACACCATAGAAAACAAAGTATGATCTTGTCCCTCTCTTCAATGGATTTAAAATGCCCAGAATATAGGAATGGCCAAGTTGAATTGTAAGAGTTGGAAGGGTGAGAATTGAGAGCCATAAGAACAAACACAGTAAAAATGTTACCTCCAACCAGAACGTACGTGAAAAGTCTGTTATTATTACCATTCTTAATGTATGCTTTTAAGAGTTAAGGTATTTTGTTGAATCAATGTGATGCATTTTCTAGTTAACTCATTAGCTGGATTAGTTTATATAATCTTAACACCTGCTGTTACTAGCGGAGGTTCTGAGGGGGCAGAACTAAAAATGTGTGTGTTTTGACATGCAGGAAGAAGTGAAAACATGGTAGTTTTGTGCAAAGTTGTGGCAGGGAACTCTAAACAAAGAAGGGGTTTTCAGGGGGAGCTTGGGGGAGAGAATTGCCATCTTCAAAGAGGGAGAGAAATTTTGTTTATTCCATAATTGTTGAATAGGATCTGCCTGCCAGATCACTAGATAGTAAACTAATTGTACTTCATCATTTGTTCTAATATAAAGTAAAGCAGCAAATTATTTTAAATCTTTCATGACACTCTTTGACACTGTCATAATATTGTTTCAAAAAAGATAAAATTATATAGCATTGATTTTATAAACAAAAATATTAATTAATACATAACATTTTAACTATAGTCTCCACAAAGGATTACCAATAGAAAAATATAAGTGAAATGAATATCTAAGAAATTGAAAAAATGAAAAATGAATAAACCTCACTCAAGCCATCTCTCAGGGCATTTCAGTTCCTCTAAGTTTGTCTCTTGGGGAATACTATTGTTGAATAAATCCATGAGTCAAGCAAAATACAAAGGTCAAACTCTTTCCTCAGTTTCCTTCTATAACCTTCATTGTAACAGCTGGTGAGGTCCAAACAGCCAAATCCTCCCAAGATGTTCAGTTGGAAACCGTAGTCAACAGCATGTCACTAGATCTGTATTCACTGCAAGACAATTCCACAAGAGCCTATGCCTGTTATAGTGGCAAGATATTGAGAAATGGCAGGCATTGGAGAAATAATGGGATTTGTTGTTCTAATCAGTTTGTGAAATGCTGTCTGGAAGATGTGCTTTATAAAACACATAGTATAGACCGGGCATGGTGGCTCACACCTGTAATCCCAGCACTTTGGGAGGCCAAAGCAGGCTGATCACAAAGTCAGGAGATCGAGACCATCCTGGCCAACATGGTGAAACCCCGTCTCTACTAAAAATACAAAAATTAGCTGGGCATGGTGGCACACACCGGTAGTCCCAGCTGCTGGGGAGGCTGAGGTGGGAGAATCGCTTGAGCAGGGGAGGCGGAGGTTGCAGTGAGCTGAGATCGCGCCACTCCACTCCAGCCTGGCAACAGAGCAAGACTCCATCTCAAAAAAAAAAAAAAAGTATAAACTATAAAGCTGCAGCTCAGAAGCAGTTTATTTCCTTACATGAGAGAAAATGAAAAGAATTAGTATTTTAAATGACTTAAATTTACCTTTACCTATCATAAACCTCGGATGATTTATTATATTGCAATAAGTTAAAATGGTCACAGATTTCCAAACTGATAACCCCTTTCCACACACAGCTATACACATATACCATTTTAAGTGACTTATTTCTCTTTAAAAATGTTGTTAAGATGTTTATAGTTCTTCAGGATTACATGTTGAGTCTGGATTATAAATATGTATAAATATGCAGATGCTCTATCAAATGTTCCTTATCTCATTTGTATTTCCAAAGTTGTGTAAGATAACCTCTGTGGCTTTCAAAAACATCTTGTCACACCCCAGGGGGCAAATTATCTCTATTTTCATTTCCTTTAAAGTTAGATCATTTTATAATTAAGAACTTATAGAAGCAGATTCTCCCCACGTGTAAGCTACTCCCTGGGGAGTAATTTATGCAAAGAGAACCTTTGACTTAATATTATATAAGCTAAAAACTATACAATGGATAACTGAGATTTTTAGTCAATTTTGTAATCGTTATAAACAATCCAACATTTGAAAGGTTATTGCTAAAAAAAAAAACCATAGTACAAATGACTTGCTGTGTCATTTATTAGATTATTTTTAAATGAAAAGATCTTTGATAAAGGAATAATAATGTGGCTTGTCATATTTTGTGTCCAAAAGTTTTAGAAAACCAGTTAACAATAATGATTGATGTGATGATGATGATAATGAAGACTAACATTTCCTAGCTCTTCAGCATTTTACAAGGTGCTTCTACATAAAATATCTGTTTGAACCTCACAAATCTATGAAGTTTGTCAGTTAAGCTTTATAAACTAGAAAGCATAAGATCAGATATTTTATCTTGGCCGTGGCTCCAATCATTAACAGACTAAGGACTGGAGTCCAGAAGGACAGAATAGAATAACATCAAATCTCATATTTTTCTCCTACCACAAAATCTTGAAAACAAATACTAGCTCGTGTAATCTAAAAGCTAAAATAAAAAGAAATGAATAGAAATGTATACTTAGTCTCATAAGTATTTTAGAGGTGACTTTGTCTCTTCTGTTTTTTTATCATTAGCTCTTTAGCTGGAGCTATTGGAGTAATATAGGAATTTAAAACTGTAATCTTATTTTGTCTGTGTGGAAGTCAGAGAATGGTTACTGAATGAAGTATCAGGATATTTAGCTAATTTCTGGTTGTCAATTCCCAAATCACCTCAAAAGCAGAACTTAACCTGGATCCTCAATTTTTTCACATGAAAAATAGGCACACAACACTGAGGTTTTTTGCTTACAAAGATGATTTGAAATTTCTGTGAAATATTTACTTTTTTAAAAATTCAATGTACTGCCCTAAAGCTAAGTATTGTCTTTTTTAAAAAATGTAAAATAAGAAAAAGAGGGCAATGTCTTGCATTTATTTGTTTTGTATATGCAAGAGTGAGAAACTGTAGAAAAGCATCCAAGTGGCAGATTGATATACAACGCATTTTGAAGTATATTTTGCATAATTATTTTAAATTGTAAGAGGAAATAGCAGATCTTCTAGTGTGTATAATTTTAACAACTCTTAGAATACTATCAGACATAGGAATCACTACATTCTAAATAAATTTTGTCTCATGGATCCATCCATAACCTGTGTGCTGATTATTTAAAATCATCTTACCAAGAGGTTCTATATACAGGACTTTACACCAAATTGCACACATAGAAAATAGAAATCCCATGCCCCACCATATTCCACCAAAGTAACTGCCTTACCAACAACCCCATTTCTGTCCAACTTACTACCTTATCTCAGCCTCTTGGCTAGGAAACTAGGAGTCACCTTTGACTCTTCGTTTCCATGTCGGTTCCCTTTTTTAATCATATAATCTAGCTTCTGCCTTTGAACCATCTTTCTATTTACATCTTCCTCTCCATTTATCCTACCACTTATGTAATAAGCCATGTTTTTATCTCCTAACACCCAAGTTGGAAGTAATCTTTAGTTGGTCTTCTGCTTGTTTATGGGTAGCCTGCCAAACTCACCTTTCTAAGGTGAGTTACTTTGATCGTTTCTTTACCCTGTTCACTTCGTTGATTCCTTATGGCCAGTGAGATCAGATGAAAACCTCTCTGCCTAACCCCAGGAACTCCATAATCTGGCATCAACCCTCTAGCCAATCATCTGACCTAAATTTACATTATAGCCAAGTTATTGTCTCAATGATCACAATCCACAATCATCCCAGGCCTCCAATCTTTTTTCATTTCCCTTCTGCCAACAGAAATGCCCTTTGCCTTTCCCTTCGTCCTAATTAAATCCTGCACGATCTTCAGAATCAACAAAAATGCCTTCATCTCCAATGAAACTATTTCAGTTTGTATTGAATTCATATTTGGTACCCTCATAATTTATCCTGATTTCTCCATGTATTAATTTCATTAATTAGATTATTAGCATCATTAGCATATGTTATCCTCCATCAATATCCTTTATTATTTTAGAGAACATATACAGCATGCTCAGTAAATATTGGACTGATTTATTATTGACATTTTTGTAAGTAAACATCCAGCCACACAATGTATAAAGCTACCATGCACTGCTCCCTCCCAGAGTTTTGCTTTATTTATGTATTTATTTTAAATATCACTGAGGTAAGGCCATGTGAAAGATCTCAGTAACTTAATGTTTCAAGTGCAAAATAAGAAAAGAAAAGCCGTGGGTTCAAAGGCTTTTTGAGTCCCACTACTTTTAAGGTCAAATTCACAAAGGAGAAAACAGTGAATGCAAGACTTTGGAAAACTGGTTTCTGGTTGTATTTTTTTAGTTTGAGAAAAACGAAGCAAACTGTGGCAGAGAAATGTACTTTGACTTAGAAGAAGCTTAGGACAGCCATGCAAATACTAATGGATGACTCCCACACCACCGCTCACACCCCAGTATTTTCAAATACAAACATCAAGGCAGAGATAGATGGGGAGAGAGATAGGAAGAGTGAAAGGAGAAAGAAAACATCTGTATGCTCAAAATGTCTGTTTTCTCCTTTCAGCACAAATTGAAGTGATACCATGCAAAATTTGTGGCGATAAGTCCTCTGGGATCCACTACGGAGTCATCACATGTGAAGGCTGCAAGGTATGGGACTTTCATACAGCACGGTTCTGTATTTGCCTCAGGCATCTGTGTACCTCACAAGATGCGGTGACACGTTTTTAAGGAAGGCTGGCTAAAGGATCCTTCTGCCTGCTGCTGACATTCAGGAATTCTTGCGTGGTGGGTGGGAGGGTTGATTTTCTGGTCTTTTGCCTTTTACCTTTTTGTTATTGTCTAACTGGTCAGCAGCTCTTTAAAAATGGATGCGTATTTAAAACCTTGGGTTATTCACATTTACAGAGATACAAACACTGACTCTTGCTGTTTTAGCAGTATTGTCTCCAGTAAATTCCAAGGCACTTATTACTATATGAAAAAACTAAAGGTTAAAATAAAGATTATAAACTAATAGGTATATATTTAACTTTCTGCTTGAGAAAGAGGAAGTCAAGGTAACAGCTACAATATGCATATGGCCATCCTTTATTCTCAAGTTACAGGAAAAAAAAAGAAAAGAAAAGAAAAGAAAACTGGAAGCATGGTATGTTAGAAGCCGAAAAGATTAACTCTAAATCGACTAAAATTCACCTGCCCCCACCCACCTCTTCATTTTCCGATGAGGTCCTGAGGTATAAACAAGATTATGTCATCTGATCAACATCATTGATTCAGACAGTAAAGAACAGAGCATGGCCAAAAACATGGGGTTTTTCAGTCTCAATCCAGTGTTCCACTTCCAGACAGATTCCACTCATCCTTCCCGTGGCAAACTAATTACTGTGAGCAAGCTGCTTTCTTAAATAAAGAGCTGGAGGAATAGCAGTAAACGTAGACTTAATCTGAAATAAGAGAATGTTGAAATTTAACAGTAAGTTTTAATAATGAATCCTTAGAAGGAAAGAAAGTGAGTGTGAGAGACATAATAGCCAGGGGAAATCAAAACAGTTCTATAGCTAACGCTAAAGGACCATGTGTAACCAGAACAAATAAAATGCAGCCACAGTCTGGGAGGAAAAGGTAATATGCTGGTAAAGTTATTGGCAAGAGCAATTATATTTTTGATCAAAGAAGCAAGCAAAGTGAATTATTCTTTTAAGGCCAGTAAACTGAAGGAAGTGTAGTACAGTCATAGAGTCTTAAGATCTAATCTTAATCTTAAACAGGATTTCAAATATAAACAAGGCAAAACACACTGTAACTGTCAAATACTGGTACTGTGTGATAAATTGACAATGCCTTCCTAATGGTCTCAAAAAGGCATGAGTCTTGGAATTAAAACTGGAGTGAAGAAAAGAAAAGGAAATAAGTAAGAATAAAGTGGGAGAGGGAAGAAGAAGGAGCATGATATTAACGTACTAACCTGTCAACACACTGCTCTACTTTAAAGATGATTAGTGATAATCTATTTGTGAATATCGTGAGATGTTCTTCACATTCTGTTCCTCTGCAGATCTATAATTAAGAATTCCATGTTGTCCACTTTAATGCAATTTTTCAACTCATCAAGAATAAACAAGAAAACAAAATTATGTCAGCAATTTTTTACCCTCCTTGAATAAGTTATTACTTCCTCTAGGCAGATAGACAAATAGTTTTCTTCATAAACAGTAATAGTTTAGGAGTCAGAATCCTCTCCATTGAAAGTATTTCTACCATTCTATTGGCTTGTTATGCAATCTTGAGAGCTCTGGTTTACATAATATCTACTAAAACTGATTTTTAGATCAATATCAAAATGGAGATGTTTGGCATTTGATTGTATAAGCTCTATTTGAAAAATGTGTGATTTCAAAAGATGGGGATATGTTCAAGTTAAAAAGCAAAATATTTTAAACAGTAATTTCCAAAAAATTTAACTAGTGCACAAATATAACCCAGCAAGCCAATAGCCAAGAACAAGTGTCATCTTTTCTATTTAAAGGAAGAATCCACAATCAAAGAAATTATGCTGTTATTATGAAGCATACTCTGAGGTTTTAGTCAAAATGGCACTGTACACCACACTATTTTTTTAAATTCATGGAAAAAACCCACATTTGTAAATATGCTACTTTTTTCTGCAAATACAGAACTTAAAAATTCTCTTCAGAATTTGATGCCAATGTCAGCACATTCAGTATCAACCTCTGAGTTTTCATAATACTGTTTTCAAGTCAACATAAACAACCCATTCTAAATAACATCAATTCAGCTTGTGCACTTATTCAAATTTCTATTCATTCAATAAAATTTGGAACGCAATCCCTTTTTCATGCCAAAAACCTCATTTGCAATAATGAGCAACAGATAAGCAAGAAACGAGTCGTAATTAATGTCAAATTGGTCTTAAATTAGGGCTGTAGCTGTGACTTCAGAAAAGTCTTTTCTGTCCTGTCAACTCTTTTGCTAAGTAGCACTAGAGTATCCAAAGATAAAAACCACACAATTCTGTCTTAAAATGTAAATTTCAAGTCATCTTTAATCAAGACTGATGGGCTGAGGTTATGCTTCCTGACAGTTTTCATGGTATATAAAGTACATCATTTCAATCCCTGGGAGCTTACGTTTGATCTCCATTCTAAGATGCTCCATGAATTCAGTCAAACTGGACAGTCAGAAGTCTCATTCTGCAATCACTGGTTTATTAAATAAGGAATGCACTTGGATCTATAGGGATGAAACTAGTCCCTGTTGAATGGCTAAGCCAGTTGGGACTCTCTCTCTCTCTGAGGAGATGCTCGGCCACACCTCCGTGTCTGAGTTTCCTCACAGGTTGATCAAGCTCTCTTCACCAGTGCCACGCTGAGCCATATTGGAGCTGAAGACAAAAGGAAAATGAATAACACAGATCCTTTCTTTAAACTATTGGGTATTTTTGCATTAATGTAGATTTTTAACACATTGTGTTAAAATATTGTATTTTCTAATTACAAAAATTTTAGGCGACCTTTAAATGTTGTGGGCAAGGTGTTTGCCTCACTAGGCGTACCTAGCCCTGGCCCTGCTTGTTCATCCTGTAGATAGTTGAGGAAACACAGAAGCTGTTTGAGGGAAGTCAGGGGATCTATTCCAGGCTTCTCTGCAAGATAGGCATTGAATCTACCATTCCTGAACTTTTCTAGACTTTCTCCATCCAAAAGATGATGCTATGGGATATCTCTTCCCAAAATTTCTCTTAGAAAGCTTAATGTAGACCATGATTTTGCTCATGACACATTGCACTTTTCCTTTTTTGCTCTAGACAATTCAAAAGCAAAGAGTAATTAGGGAAATCGATTACATGAGTCAGTGAATGGACGAATGATAACTTATCTATCTCTGGAGAAAATGCTTATTTTCCCCAATAGAGTTTTCTATAAGACAACTAAGGAGAAATCTTTTAAAAATCAACTCAGCTGTGGATTTATTTAGACAAGCAGTGTATGGTCAC
Source organism: Homo sapiens (assembly GCF_000001405.40). Lineage (NCBI taxonomy): Eukaryota > Metazoa > Chordata > Mammalia > Primates > Hominidae > Homo > Homo sapiens. The sequence continues at coordinate 74,633,735 of NC_000009.12, forward strand.
TGGCAGTTCATTTTTTACCTGATGAACCCAAATGTACTTGCATGAAGACATCTTACACTGAGTAGCCTGAGGCTAAGTAGAGACCATTCATTCAGTTTTTACTTAGTACTTTTTGTTGTTAGACAGCTTATATATAATATTTTCTTTTTTCAATGGTGTGGTTGATTATTAAAAACAACTTTCCAGACCCGGTCACGGTGGCACACACCTGTAGTCCCAGCTATAGTCTGAGGCAGGAGGATCACTTGAGTCTAGGAGTTTGAGGCCACAGTACACTATGATCCTGCCTGCAAATAGCCACTGAACTCTAGCGTGAACAGCATAGCAAGACACCTCAAAAAGTTAAAAAAAAAAAAAAGACACTTTTCAGCTGCATTCGAGCCAAATTCAAAAATTTTATGGTGGGGAAAAACACATCTTAGAAACTAAGAAAACAGTAGTGCATACTCCTCAGTGTTGCTTTTTCTTACCAATACTTCAAGTTCCTCACCACCACAGCACTTGACACAAACCTGTGTGATTTTTCCCATCAAGTTCTGTCATGTTTGGTTTAGTAATCTCCTTTGCTACTCCTTCCCCACTGCTCTTTGCGGAGCAGAAACTTCTGTTTATTTCTGCATAGAACAGCACAGCTGCAAATGTCTTTAGCAAACATTGATTCAAGGAATGAATGAATGAATGAATGGGTAAATGAATGATACCCTCATATCTTTGCAGATAGCATCTATTTTCCCCAGCAGAAATATCTGCAAGCCATACAAGAAGAGGTATCCAAAGAGCTTTAAAAATTAAACTCAGTTATGTTCACTGCAGAAAATGTAGCAAATGTATACATTAATGTTCTCTGTTTCCCTTCTTATAAATCTGTTTCCCTCCCCTTCTCTTTTTCCCTCAAGGGATTCTTTAGGAGGAGCCAGCAGAACAATGCTTCTTATTCCTGCCCAAGGCAGAGAAACTGTTTAATTGACAGAACGAACAGAAACCGTTGCCAACACTGCCGACTGCAGAAGTGTCTTGCCCTAGGAATGTCAAGAGATGGTAAGACATTACCTTCCTGTTTCTTACTTAAGCCCTTTCAAATGGATGCTTTGCTGGAGTCTATTTAAGCTGCTGGAAGAATTCTAGATGAGGGAATTGGGGATAAGAAGAAAAGAAAATCACTGTGCTGCTAGTGCATTACAAGGAAAAGTAAGAATATACAAAAATAGAGCATTGCCTATGAAATAAGAAAGCAAAGACTTTACCATAGCTCAGGGAGCAACTTGTGCTAACTAGGTTTAGTGCAAGCCACATAGGCCTAGGTTGAAGGTGACCATCTGTCTAGGTTTGCCTGCAAATGAGGGATTTCCTGGGACATGAGACTTTCAGAGATAATACCGGAAAGTCCTAAGCAAACCAGGACCACATCTGAGTATGTTCACTGGGCAGGTCTGACTGGGCTTGCTTACTGTGTGGAGACACTAAGGAATTGCATATGCCTCTATGGGAAGCCTGGAAGTCCTGCTGGCTGGTCATAGCTACCCAGAGGAGGAATTGGACTATCTGAGCCCATAATGAAGTTTCCAAAGGCTAGAGCGAAGTCCAAGTCTTAGAAAGGCTGTGTAGGTGATGTCTTCCTCAGAATGTCATACCTTCTACACTCCACCTTGACGCCCACCCATGCTGAATGGCTTGGCTTCCCAAGGGAACATCTTAGAGTAATGAAAGAGGACAAATAAACTCAAACAAGATGAACGAAGAATTTCACCTAGCTTTGTTTTCCGTTTTCATTCATTCATCCAAAGTAATTCTTTCCCTGCTGACATTGGACACATCACCCTTGTATCATACAGTGAGTGGCCCTGAATCCTGGGGCCATTTCTGTCTTGTTCCCACTAAAACATCAGGCTCTGCTTAAAAGCACACACCTAAATGTTTGTTGAATAAACTATGGAAATCCCTTCTACCTAGAGCCTAAGACATAGACAATGCCCTGACACTTTCTGTCTTTATGTCAGTCAGTGTGGATTCTGGGCCTCTGGTCGCACTCCCTCTAGTGAAATTCAAGGCTGTATAGACACACACAAAACAAGAAACTTCCAAATTTTAAAGAAATGTGAATAATTGGCATACATTTAGTATAAAGGGATTTTGTGAGTGATTAGATTCTTTACCTTTTCTCTAATTCCCAATCCATCTAAACTTGTCCTGCAGAAAAGTACACCTATAAAACAAATTTGACCAAAAAAAAAAAAAAAACAGAATCTGACCTGAAACCCTTCAGTTTATAGGTAGCTTCCAAAGCTACAGAGACGAGGTTTCCAAAATTTTTCTATTAACTGATTTTTTTTTGTTTTACTTGTTTTACTTGGCTCACTAACCAGATATATTTACTCCTAAGATAAATTTATAGCAATGGGTACTTCTGTATAATCAAGGCAAATAAATTAAGAGAGAGGATTAAGTAGTTTTTGATACTTATTTCGTGTAATTATATGGGAATCTGAGTTGATGACTTTGCACTTCATTTCTACCATGTGGCAGTAGGTAGCACTTTAATTCGCAGTGTCCGAAAAGCTCCATTAATAATTGTGCAAAGAGATAAGCCATAGGGTATTTGATTTTGTTACTTCTTCCTACAATAAAAGGAAGTATCTTTCTGGAAGAGCAGGTCTAAGTCTGTGCTGGTGAACAGAATCATGGGCAAGAGATGAATATATGATCCAAGGCAGATTCAACAGATTTAGTGACATCAGCCCACAAAATTTAGACGGTCTGAATCCCGTAACATAAAAGAAATGTGTCGGGAGGATGGGAGGGTCATTTAACAGAGCCACAATTTATTCTCAAGAAGGAAGGAATTCATTGCAGCACATAAACCTCTATGCAAATAAGAGCAATATAGTGTCTAAGGACACTGAGGATTAAGAATAATGATTCATTTCAACTTTAGGTCCAGAGACAATCCTGAGGCTGCCGGGGACATCTTCAAAAATGCCTCCTAAGCACATCTTATGTGAAATTTATCATGAGGAGAAATGGTCACGGGGGTGTGGGTGGGGTGGGGAATCTGGAGAAGAAGGGGCTGTAGCAGAAGAGAAAACAAATGATTCTCTCTAAGAGAAAAAGCTGCCTCTTCACTATATCATACAGAGAAAGTTTGGTCTGAACCTTGATTAGAAAGGGTGCCTTATGCCAAGTAAATTATGCTAATACCAGGGAAGCTGAATAGGTTTTACCTCCTATTGATAAGTATTGCCTAGTATGTAGTATTGAATGATTCAAAAGCCCTGAAATTATGGTTGATTACCTATGTCTAGTAAAGGCTCAAGAATGAAAGACACGGTTATTTCTGAGTCAGAAGAATCCCTACCTTCTTCTGATTCAGCAAGTATTCTTAAAGTGCTCTAGAAATTGTACCAATAGCCAAAGTGAGGTGCCCTCATACCTAACTGCTTTCTACAGCCCCCTACTTCCCTCAGAGATAAAGTGGCATCTTCATTTTGGTATATGCATTTGCTCTCTGTCAATTAGGCTCCAAGAATGTTTATTTCATCATACCTGGCTGCTTAATGTGGCCACTAGGAAATAGCTTAAAATAACTGTTGAAAACACTGGATTTTCATTCTCTCCTGAAATTTCACTGCTATATCGGTTTATTAGCTATCGAATATATCAGAAGCCATCAAATTTATCAATAATGAATTTGTTCAAATTTAGCTTAAACGAAGAATCAAAAATCAAATCCACTTGGAAACACATACGTGTGTCTTTATGTGTATAAAAAGGTGAAGACATGTGTGCATGTGTGTGTCTGTGTGTGTGTGTGAATTGGCAGCATGCATAAGCCTACTGAATCTTCTCCATCATTTTATTTTTTTCTTTTACCTACACCCTTTACAAAGGAATCTTCAGGATAACTGTTTCCAATTGTGCTACTATAAATTGATACTCACTAGTATATGTCCTCCCAAGTGGCATGTCTCTACAAAAAGACAGAAGTTGCCCTAAAAGGACAGGTTTCACAGATTAAGCTTCTATCCAGAACTACATTGCCCAATCCACATGTCACTATTTAAATAATTTAAATTTAAATGAATTTAAATTAAATAAAATTTCAAATTCAGTTCTTCAGTCACACTAGCTATATTTCTAGTGTTCATTAGGCACATGCAGCTTGCAGCTACCATATTGGAAAGCAAAGAGAACATTTCAACATCACAAGGAGTTCTGTCGGAGAAAAAGAGGAAGGAGAAGAGAGAGATTTTAAAATAATGAATAGGCTTGGGTAGATTGAATCAGACTTCTAATACAAAGCCTACAGCACTAAAAAAAGGGTGGCAGAAGAGGCACATCTCTGAAGCTGAAAAGAGTTAAATTGAGACCAGTTTCATTGGTAAGCAGCAAAATGTAAATATAGAGAACTTTACAACCGAAGGTAGTAGATAAAATGATTTTGGAAATTTATAGAAAGTCATAGATTGATAGTCAGTTGGGCTCTCTTGAAACCAAAAACACATGTCCATGTGCTATGTTAATAGAAATCTTTGAAGGAGCTATGACTTTACTTTTTAGTTATATCCAAAACTTCTATTCCATTTAGAATACCACAATTCAAATAAATATAAAATGATTTCCGATACTTTCACATTAAATTGTTCTTTAGTATTATGGGATCAAAATGAGGGTTAAGAGCATATCATGAGCAAATACCACATCATTGAATATTTATAAGCACTTGCAATGTATACAGAATTGTGCTGGTTTCTTTAAGAGGTAGCAGTTTAACAAAAGGCTGTCTTTATACTCAAGTGAATGTCATTAACAGAATAACTCAAGTTTGAGAGGGGCAGACAGTTAAAATATATGCCAGTCTGATTAATATGTAGTGATAAGAAGAATGCTAATATCTGAAATATTAACATGGCCTTTGTTAAAATAGTTCTATGCATACAACAAATGTATTTACAAACAGTGAAAATGAATTATGTCAAGAAAGTCAGTAGGTTTATTTTTGCCATGTACTGTAATTTTTTTCCCAAATTTGTCACCACTGTTATTGCAAGAAGAGGCACAAAACTGAAACACTGGCTCATCAATGTTTCTGAAATAAATGGAAAATTAATTATAGAATAGTATTACAGTCATTGTCAGTGAAGTCTTTGATTTAGGATCATACCTGAAATAACTCTAAAATGTAGTAGTTTTAAGTTGTTTCTTTGGAAATATTTCAGTTGCTCAGTGACCTGATAAGTCAATTTTGTAAAAAATGCAGAGCTTTTCTTTGTTGAGTTTTTAGATGTTACCCATGGCAGAGGTCTTGGCAGCATACTCTTTTGACATTGTTAGCTTGTGATTATGATGTCTGTGGTTAACAGCAGATTTCTGTGTCCATCAGCTGCAGGTCAGTTCTATAGCTCTGCTGATTGTAGATGGCCTTGCCTGGGATGACCAAGGAGGTCTGGCTCTGCTTCACATATCCCCCAGCAAGCTTATCCTCTAGCAAGATAGCTCAGGCATGTCCTTGTCATGGTGAGGTGCACAATCACACGAGCCTTTTTCAAGTCTCTGCTGTGTCACATTTGTCAATATTCCATTGGTCCACAGTAAGTCACATGACCCTGGGCAGGATGCCTGCAAAGAATGAAAGAGCACTGCAAACTGACATGGGGAAGGGCATGGAAAGAAATAGACAAGAGGAATCAGGGTCATTAATGCAATCAGTCATCTACAAAGTATATTTCACCTAAATACAGAGTATACAGAAATCTAAAGCAAGGATTAAATGGAAAAGGGTTTTAAAAAAAAAAAACACAAATTTATGTTTTTGTGTTGGAAGAGTTTCTTATTCTCAATCTTTAATTCCTATAAATTTTGAACCAATAAAATGCAAAACTATTCTACTAAAATAAGTCGGAAAGTAGATCTACCCTAGCTAAAACAAAAATCTTGATCTATAGCAATGGATACAAACCTTGTATTCACTTCCATAACTCTACAACAAAGAGCTATTCTGAACCTACCCAAATGCAAAGGGCAGAAGGGCAGCAAATAAAGAGCTCTACTTTCCTGGGGGAGAAGGGGAAGTTCTTTCTGAATCAATATTTATAGTTGTTTATTTTTTCCCTATACAAAAGGTGTTTTTCCCCTAGAGAATAATTTGTAATAAATTGGTTAGAAAGATGTAATATAAAGATACAGAGGAAGCTTGCCCTACAAGTTACTGTAGAATTCGGTACATAGACAAACTGGAAATGTCACTGCAATTAGTAAGCAAATAAATTTGTCTATGAGAATCAGAATCTAATAAAGGTAGTGTCTCTACAAACAAAGTTAAAAACAACCATCTAAATAATTCAAGACCATGTAAAACCAACCACTAAGATGGAAAGGGGAGTTTAGTCTGAATGAGTCAGATTGTTTGTCTTCACACAGTAAAAATTACTAGATAATTATCACTTTGTTTTCCTACTTAGGCAGTATCAGAAAGCCAGAATGTAGGGGTTGGTTGCTTGGTTGGTTTGTTGTGTTTTGTTTTGTTTTTTGAGACAGAGTCTCCCTCTGTCACCCAGGCTGGAGTACAGTGGCTCAGTCTCGGCTCACTGCAGTTTCTGCCTCCTGGGTTCAAGGGATTCTCCTGCCTCAGCCTCCCGAGTAGCTGGGAAGACAAAGCACACACCACCACGCCCACAAGCACATACCACCATACTCGGCTAATTCTGTGTGTGTGTGTGTGTGTGTGTGTATTTTTAGTAGAGACAGGGTTTCACCACGTTAGCCAGGATGGTCTCGATCTCCTGACCTCGTGATCTGCCCGCCTTGGCCTCCCAAAGTGCTGGGATTACAGGTGCAAGCCACCGCACCCAGCCCTAGAATGTAGGTTTTTAAGAAGGATTAAGAAGATACAGAAAGAGTTTGGCTTCTTCAAACCCAGCCCTCACATCCACAATCCAGCAGGCAAGAAGGAGGAAAACATGCCCCAATACCCCCAAGTGAATGCGACACTTGCATTTACTTCCCCTTAATCAGAACTTAATCACCTGCACATACCTGCCAGTGAGGGGGCTTAGGAATTACGGTCTCCATTCTGATCAGCCTATGCTCAGATAAATATGGTAGCTCTGTACCCAATGGGAAAAGAAAATGAATTTTGGAAGAATATTGGAGGAGGAGGGTGAATGGCAGCTCTTTCAGACTGTGGGAATCTCTTCTGTGTTCCCTTTGTGCTAGAGAGTTCTTAAGCACTTCACCATTTAGATATTCTCAGAAGAGCATCAACCCTCATGATTGAATCCAGGAACTGAGCCTTTTTCTAAACTCCATTTCCTTCTTTCTCCATTCTCTGAGCTCCTAACACCAAGAGGTGGTGGGAATACCGTCACAAAAGAACAGCAAACAGAAACTCAGGGAGGAGCCTCCAAGTTTGTGGTAGCCCCCACTATTAACATGAGCTGAACAATGCTTGATAATTCAAACAAGGTAGGCCTGTGACTCAGGATGTTCACATCCTAAAAAGGCAGTTGACAACCTGTGAGGAGAAATGTCAATATTCACAACAGTTCAGGAGGTTAAATATCTTAAGAAACAACACACTGAAATGAAAGCACCTTGATATTACCCTGTGACTACTTGCAGCACTTCTTCCTTCTTTTTCCTCAGACTGCTGAGAATATTGCCAGAAGAGATAGGAAAAATAAAACTTGGGAGTGGTAGAATGAGAAAAGATAGTTACTGTTTTGGTCACTTGCTAGGCATTGGATGCCCCAAATTGCTATTTTCCAAAGAATCTTATCATTTGATCCCAAAAGCCAACTGAAGGCAAATGATGCCATCACTTAAAATTATGTTTATCACCCAGCCCCATGCCTTCGGTCTTACCCAACACACTATTTAGAAAATCGGCCTGGCCGGGTGCAGTGGCTCACATCTGTAATCCCAGCACTTTGAGAGGCCGAGACAGGAGGCTCACTTGAGGCCAGGAGTTCAAGACCAGCCTGGGCAATATAGCAAGGCCCCGGCTCTACAAAAATTAAAAAAAAAAAAAATAGCTGGACCTGGCGGCATGCACCTGCAGTCCTAGCTACTCAGGAGGCCAAGGTGGGAGGATTGCTTGAGCCCAGGAGCCCAAGGTTTCAGTGAGCTATGATCATGCCACTGCACTCCAGCCTGGGTGACAGAGCAAGACCCTGTCTCTTAAAGAAAATTATTATAAAAAATAAAAAGAAATTTGAGAAAGAAAACAGAAAATAGATTTGAAAGTGAAATACTAGGGTCCAATCTGGCAATCTAGTAATCCTAAAGATTAAGAGAAAAGTTAGTTATGAGTGTTGGTTAACATTTTAATAGCGGGTACTATTGCTAATTTGGTATTTTGGTTTTTTGCATTTTTTTCCACAGGTAAGAAAAAAAGAGGAAAACATGCTTTCTAACTTCATGGCAATGAGAAATACATACATAAGTTTTTATATTTCTTCCTGGCTTAGATTTATTTCTCACTGTGGGCATAAACCAGGACAGGTACCCTCTGAATATAACCTTTCCCCAGATGTGGAGTGCAAATGAATGGGTTCTTAAGTTATGGTGCTAGACATTTGTGCATTTGAAGTTGAAGGGACAACCATCCCATGACCCGTTGTACCTGAGGTGGTTAACGCGAATGATAACCACAAGTGCTGTTTTCTGCTTTTCTCTCCAACCCAGCTGTGAAGTTTGGGAGGATGTCCAAGAAGCAAAGGGACAGCCTGTATGCTGAGGTGCAGAAGCACCAGCAGCGGCTGCAGGAACAGCGGCAGCAGCAGAGTGGGGAGGCAGAAGCCCTTGCCAGGGTGTACAGCAGCAGCATTAGCAACGGCCTGAGCAACCTGAACAACGAGACCAGCGGCACTTATGCCAACGGGCACGTCATTGACCTGCCCAAGTCTGAGGGTTATTACAACGTCGATTCCGGTCAGCCGTCCCCTGATCAGTCAGGACTTGACATGACTGGAATCAAACAGATAAAGCAAGAACCTATCTATGACCTCACATCCGTACCCAACTTGTTTACCTATAGCTCTTTCAACAATGGGCAGTTAGCACCAGGGATAACCATGACTGAAATCGGTAAGTGGAAGTCTCCTCCCAGTGGCTTTTTTTGAGATTTTGCTTTGAATTTACCTTGGTCCTATTTAGTATGGTAATTTTCTTAAGACTTAAATTGAATTACTTGGATTCACAGCTTCTACTGAGAAAACAAATTGATTTTTAAATATATTCTAATAAATGTCATTTTTCCCCACCCCATAAAAGTTTATTTCAAGCAAAGGAAGAAAGAAGAAATTATAAATAGAAAGATGCTATCTGTAAAGAACAGATGCTATCTGTTGAATTTGGGTTCTCACTGAAGGAAAAATGTTATTGGTATAAACAGGGAAATTTCGGCATGTATTCAAAGTTGATGCTATTCAAAGTGAAATTGCTGAAGGATATAGAAACAGTGTGGAATAACCAAACGAACAGGGGCCCAACTCTTCCTCTAAGATAAATGGGGACAAACTTTAAGCAAACAGTATCTCAGCTTCCTTCTTGGTGAAGTCAGGGCGATAGACCAGAAGACCGCCAAGGCTCTTGGAAATCTGAATTCAAGAATTCCATATAGGATTCTGAATTACAGCAATGAAAAGAGTGTAGTCTGGAATCTTATAGAACATGAGAGCAACAAATAAGCTAGTCATAGGCATGATTGCATCAGAAAGCTGATCCTCTTTCCTTCGATTCCTAAGGAGCGATCTTCAAGAGTGCCCTGCCTTAGGCAAGCTCTCTTCTGACCCACTGCAACTTTGTTTTACTCCATCGAACTCAGGAGTCTATTAAATGTTTAACCAGTTAATCTCATCAACTAACTGCCATAAAAATATTGAAGTAGGTTTAACACATTACTCTCCTGGGTAACAGGGTTGCATGTTAACAGTAGGCTAGAAGAGCTAAGCAAACAGTGGCGATGTGATCCCAGGCTTCACTGCAATATTTAGTGTACTGGAGAAAGCAGGCTAGAGCTCAGGAACCTTCAAGGGCTCTTTACATTTCTTCAAGGGCTCTGCCCAAAGAGGTGGCAGAGCAGAGCAATTAAGAACTGTGCTACCTGAGTTTAAATCCTGGCTCTTTGGCTTACTATTTAAGCTGGAGCAAGTTTCTCAATCCCAGTTCCTTCATCTTTACAAGGGGGAAAGCATTAGCTTGTAGCTCACAGGGACATTGTAAAGCTTAAATGAGTTAATACGTGTAAACCATAGCAAGGTTTGGCACTCAGGAAGTGCTCAATAACTCTTAGCTATTACTGTTTTATGCTACATGCTCGGTCACCTTCTCTGTCTAACCTGCAAATAGGAGCCTAAAGCCTACAAGTGTTTTAAATTAAGCTGCTGTGAACACATAATGAAATACATGGCCATATTCTTGGCTACTTGTACCATCTGGTTGAGGAAGAAGCAATGTTACACAGTTATAAACCTGAAGCGTTATTTCTCCCTTTTAGCAATGCAGCATGTGACAGTGAGTAACATTGTTGACAAAGCACCTGTAATGACTTTCACAGCTGAGAGACACACAAAAAAAGAAACATCAACTAAAATAACAAAAATAGTTAATTATTACTGTCATCCTTAACTGTTTTTACTATATCATGGGCCCTTCACACGTTTACTTTTCACGAACATCTTAAAAGATAAATTAAAATAGTATTTCTGTTATACAGATGCTGAAACCGAAGCTTAGAGATGTCTCATAACTTCCCAGAGTCCTATAATTACTAAATGACAGAGCCAGGGTTCACCTCAGACAGTCTGATTCCAGAGTCCCTCCACTCCTCTGTTAACCTGCTACCTGCCATGGGTCTCAATTCATAGACTGCATTGTCAACTAATAGGGACGGTCATTTAAAATAGTCATTCAAACTTTTCAAGAGGGAAAAGGCACCTTCCTTTGCATTTATACTACTTAATATCTAAGTTCCTGAGTCTACTATTAATTTGAGAGATATGTTTGAATCCTTATAAAACAAAAACTCACAACAGTGGAGCAATCTTCTGGCCTATATTCAAAAGGGGAGTCTTCTAAGAATTAATAAATCATAACTTGTTTATGATTTAGCAACCACATTAAATATTATGGAAAGAGAACTACAGCCAAACCATCAGGTCTGCGTTACCCTGAACAAGTCATTTTTCCTCTCTGACCCTGAGTCTATTCTGTGAACTGACAGAACTGGACTAGAGAATCTCAAAATTTATCCAGACACTCTGCACAGACATTGACATGCAAAATAAACTCGCGTATATTTTACTCAATTATTTCAAGATACCTCTAGTCTTTAGATATCTTTAAATATGTTTCAAATTTTGGAGGATTTTTTTCATCAGACATTTAGGGATGCAAATGGGCTGTCCTGCCAGTGCTCTCAAATTTAGGAGACCCCTAAGCCTAAATAGTGGTTTGGTTCACATTTCATTAAAACAGCAATGCCACCTAGTGGACACAAACCCATTCTATGACTGTTGAATCTAGGTACCAATGAAGAGCCACAATAGTATAATATACTGTCTTTCCTGCACCGTCCAAAACATTGACACTCATTTCACTAAAATATTAAATCCTTGACAGTATCACTGGGCAGGAAGGCATCTGTGGTATAGTGTGGTGACTAAGAACTCTGCTTCTGGAGTCAAAGTGCCTGCATTTAAAACCCAATTGTGCCTTTTCCCTTAAACAATTTACTTAACTTCTCTGAGTCTCAGTTGTTAACCCAGGCCAATAATAGTCTTTATCTGTGTGTGTGGATTAAGTGAGTTAATATTTATGAGTTCTTAGTACAGTACCTATCATATGTAAGCACCATTATTATTAATAATATAACTGTTATTTTAATTGACTATTAGTATCACTGGTTATTGCAGATAATATAATTACCTTTTATCGAGCACCTACACTGTGATGAGCAAGTCCTATTTAAATTCTCATAACAATCCCATTATGCCTGTTATGTATTTGTATATTTTACTGATGGAAAAATCGAGGCTTAGAAGTTATATAACTTGTAAAAAGCAAAGAACACTTATAAGCCCATATCTGAGTAACATCAAAACCCATTCTTTTAACCGTTATACTGTATTTCCTCCCACCAATGGCAGCTCCTCACAAGTTGATTGCCATTCTCACCACAACACAGGTTTGGTGTTTGCTGCCTACCTGACCTCCTTCTAGGCACTACAAACTGGAGCTTTCAGAGTATGCACGCTGTCATTTTGACTTGATTTGATTAATGGGCATCTAAACCAATCTGGTTGGTGGCAAGCTGCCATAGAAAAAAACCCTATGCATATAAAACAGAAAATCAGATTTTGCCACATCCTGACTGGGTGAATTTGAGATTATGTCACACCAAAAAAAAAAAAAATTTAACATCACCCTTGGCTACCAGAAGTCCTGATCTGCTTCCTCTGGATTCTAAGAGAATAATGAAATGTATGCAACTAGGTCATTATGCTTCTGATATTGGGTCATCTTAAAAGCAGATCGCTTTTAAAAACCAGTTTTTAGACCAGTCCATATAGACTAAGATCTCATGAGTTTGAAATTTTTGATAAAAACACACATGTAAGAACCATAACACAACTATATGAGCAACTGCATGCAGATCCCAAAAAGTCAGTTTTTGAATATTAGCAGAGTCAGGAATACTCTCCCAAAAAAACAAACTTGTCTTGCTGAAAGTTCACCAACGAAACTACAAAATTCCTAGGTTAAGGGCTCTAATGATAATGTTTGATATATGGAGAAAAATGTAGAAAATCATTTCATGCATTTTAGTCATTTTGAGCCTCACACCAGTTCCTTCAGGTGAGCAGTGAAGAAACCATTTCATTGTACAGATAAAGAAATTGAGAGTCTGAGACAGTGAGTGATATTCCTAGGACAGAGAGTTAAGTGATAAAGCTTAAATTCTAAGGTTAAGGTTAAGTCACTGTCCTAGACTGCCAGGCATTTTTCTTCAAATACCTATTTTTGAAATGTGCCATACACTTGAGAAGAGCAGAACGAGGTTTCTGCCCTCACCATCTAGGAGATACCACGAAAATAAATAGTCACGACAATTCACCACATCCTAAGTATACGTTCTGGGCGGGATGCTACCACACTCTTCTGGAGGTGAGGGAGACGGCAAGTATTGATCAACCTGAGCCACATCTCTTATCAGGAATGTTTTATTCCCCTAGTTTTGAGAATAGAAATAAAATGTGGGTAAGCAAACAGAAAACCATGAAACATTTCAGGAGTTACATCCTTGGGTTTTTCTAAAACCATAGGAAAAAGAAGCCATGAAATGAAAGAATGGCAACAAGTAAGCCGAAAATTAATATTTAGACAGCAGTATTAACTGGGTTTAGCTGGAATTTTACTTCAAACTGGCGTGATGGATGTGTTACATCTTTAGGGATAACATTTTGCAGTGGTTGGTGGCAGGGAGAGGAAGCTAGCTAGCTAAAAGATGTTCCGCAAACATGCAGAAAAGGAAAGTAGAACATCTTGTCTTTGCTCCACCACTAACAAGCTGAGATGAGTTGGGGAATTCTGCAGGACTAATACTCTTAATGAAAGCTCATTTAAGCTGGAAGTGATTGGCAATGTATCTACAACGTCTCAGACAACAAGACAATTGAAACAGCCAAACAACATGCTTTTTTATATTTAAAAAAATCCATCAAATTAGCTACAATGCTAAGGGTGTACATTGCCTTTTACAAACATCACCATGGTTTGCTCTTCTATTCAGTAACTTTCTCTCCAGATAAAGACAATGAAATGTGAATTAACTGATCCCTTCTTATATTGTCTTTAACACAGACTTATTTTCATATTGCTTTCGTGTTCTATTTATAGAACCTGGAATGTTAAGCATCATAAATAAATATAAATCTCTTTTTTAAAAATTCACCTATTACAGAAACTGAGTATTAATAGTTAAAGGAGATTACAAAGAGGTATTGGCCTAAAAGCGATCTAGTCCCTGTAATGTACTACTTCATTCTATTAAGGCTACATAAAAATACAGAAGATTTTACTAGTAGTGTTTTATTTTGCAGAATTCTATTAAAAGTGGTGGTGCTTCAATTGTGGCTTATTAAGAACCCCAAGCAGATGCTTTGGTCTTAAAGCAGCATCTTTAATGGCATATGCTTTTAAGGATAAATATTTTATACTGTTTAAATCTATTATGCACATCTAACTACCCATGCAGAAATGGTGCAGAGAATAGAACTTAACTCTTGCTATATATTTCCTGTGTCCTGTGATAGAACCTGTATCAAATACAGGTAGGCATTCCATTTAGAGGTAACTGTCCGATACATCATTAAAACAGATAGAAGTAGACCAAACTTGCAAGAAAAATTACTTGAACAATATGGGAAAAGGAAAATTCAGTGTTTAGCTCTTTCTTCCTTGCCTTGAGAGGAGACATCTTGTGAACTTTCATTGTCATCTAACCCCTCTCTCACCCCCACCCCAACCACACACCCTTTGCAGGCAATTTAGGGAAAGTACATTGAGATTGGGGGTCCTAACTCTGCATACTAGCCATGTGAATGTATTCAAAATTAGTCCAGCTGTCTGAGATTCTGTCTCACCATCTGAAAAATAAGACAATTGGATCAAATGACTTTTAAAGACTATGGTTCTCTCATCTTCCAGGGAGCTTTGGTCATGTGCATTAATATTCCCCCCTTGTTATAGCCACGTCACACAGATAAGAGTAGGGTAGAAGAGAGGAGGGGACTTGGAAGCAACTAAGCAATTCTGAATGATGCTGAATAACTTGTCCATGGCAGTAGCCAGCACACTTCCCTCCTGGAGAGCAGGACGATACTCGGGGCTTTCACTAAGTGAAATGACCCAGCCAAACATGCAGTTAACAACCACTGTCAAATCAGAACCGTGCACTAGCCTCTTCTCTCCGTCCATCCTCCTGAAAACAAAACAAAACAATAAAAACAAGAAATCAGATTAAAATGAATGTCAAGGACAACCAGGAGCAGCTCAAGGAAAGGGTAGTAGCCAATCCCAAATCACTCCAAGTTCATGTACAATCCAATTAAAGAGTGAGCTGCTGTACAGATGCCGCTTTAGGGCAAACGCACCTGTCCTCCCTAGTTCACTACAACCTGATCACTTCCAAGCTCCTCTTGAAGAAAAAGCAAATATGTTCATAAAATGAAGATAGGTTCTTTTTTTTTTTTTTCGACGGAGTCTGCCTGTCACCCAGGCTGGAGTGCAGTGGTGCGATCTTGGCTCACTGCAACCTCCACCTACCAGGTTCAAGTGATTCTCCTGCCTCAGCATCTCAAGTAGCTGGGATTACAGGCCTGGCTAACTTTTGTGTTTTTAGTAGAGACAGGGTTTCACCATGTTGACTAGGCTGGTCTTGAACTCCTGACCTCAGGTAACACACCCGCCTCAGCCTCCCAAAAGTGCTGATATTACAGGCATGAGCCACCATGCCCGGCAGAAGATATTCTTGACTACTGAGGGACCAAGCTACCTAAGTCACCTGGGTCATTGGAGAGGGTCTTACTTGACTCTTCTGAAATTTTAGCACCACCTTGTTCTGTGCCAACCACAGAATATCTCCCAAAGCCTGCTTATTTCCAAAATCTTGCTTTCTATCTCAAAAAGGAATTCTCCCAGTTTGGGGCCAATTTGTCATATTCCTAGGACCTCTACCATGGTTACATCTATAGTATTAACCAGTCTATGACTATGAATTATCGTAGAGGATACCTGGAGCCACGGACTGTACAGTTAATCCCTAGGGTTATTTGAATCCATATCTTTCTAGGTATCCTCTAATAACCCCGCAAAGATGGTCTACAATCACCTAGTAACATGTATAGTGCTTCCCCACAACTGCAATAAATGGTAGAATGTATACAAAGCACTTTGTAACCAGCCAGTTTCCAAACAAATATATGATTTACATCACAAACAACACACACATATATGCTCAATTCAAGTACTCATAGACATACATATCTACTTACAGTACATGTGTGCATATCAGTCACTACAGGCTTGTGCCTCTGTCAATACAGTTTTCCCAATGTGCTAGCAATTCATTAGACTACATTCATCTAAAGCACCGTTTTTATTTTGAGTTGAAACTATGCAAAATTTATCTTCCTCAGTGTATTTCTCCTGGAGATACTAGTTAGGTATTACATTTTGCCTTAGAATTCAGAACCTCATAAGAAGATTCTAAAATCTACCACCACCACCAACAACAACAAAATCTTATTGAGAAGCTACTGGAAAGCCAACTCCATTTCAAAAGCCATAGTAATTATAAAATATTCTACAGTAAGCAAAAGGAAAGGAGATTTCAGGAGGTTCTGCCTGTGACTTGGAGGAGCAGGGAATGTTTCTACTTATGAAGTGACCTCAGAATCAGTCCCTAATGACAGTTTCCACATTAAATAGTATTTCAAGACATTATACTGCAGAGAAGCCATACGTTTAAGGCATTGCAAGCTTTGACATTGGCTTTTAGAGCTCTGAATTACTTTTCCACTGGCTGGGGTGAATGTATTAGCCACATTTTCAAGCACCCATTTTTGGAAGAGCTGGTAAGAGTTAAAATACCACATGGGCTATGGAACCCAGAAGCGCCAATTGATCACAAGGTTGATGGGGATTAGCATACTTTGGTGTGATTAGCGTGGTATGCAACCAATTTAACAGGTGCTCTCTGCTAACCAATACAGGATTTATTTCTGTGATGTTTGCAAATGTGGGGAAACCTGTTAGAAATTGTCCCAACTGGAAAACAATTTTTGTTTTATTTTATTTATTTTTTAAGGTAAGCTTTCTCTTGAAAACATAATCTTAATACTGAGGAGAATGAATTTGCTATTTAAATTTGAGGCATGTTTATGAGGCCTACTGGGGAACTGCTATTTGGTTTTCAGCAAGATTTGTTCTGGAACAATTTGACACAATAAGGAACCATCAAAAACCACTATTTTAAAGCTTTAGTCAATTAAATGCATTATTTAAATTACCATGTACTTTTTAAAATTTAGGGTGTTAGAAAATATAAAAATGACCTTCAAAGATTACTTCTAAATTAGTTCTTCCTAAAGGTCAGAAATGCATTGACTAAACATCCAAAAGGGTGGTGAGGTGGGGGAGAGATTGCATCTGTTTAAATTAACAATCAATCCATATGTCAACAAAATTCAAATGGTGAAAATCAATCCTAGTGATGGCCCTGAGCAATTTTCATAATGAGATTTCATCATCTGTGACCCATTGGTTGTCCTTTGGTGGCGTGTGGAGGTGCAGTTTTTAAGAAGACTAAAGGAAGATTTTCCATGGCCTCTGGATTTTGCTGTTTTGGTTTGTCCTATCTAAGACTCTTCAAGTGTTTGTAAGCCTGTAAACTATACTCTCACCTTCTGTAACTCTGCAAGGCTTCTCCCCCATGCGTCACAACAAAGAAAATTCTCATGTCAGCCAGGCGCAGTGGCTCACACCTGTAATCCCAGCACTTTGGGAGCCCAAGGCAGGTGGATCACATGAGGTCAGGAGTTCGAGGCCAGCCTGGCCAACATGGAGAAACCCTGTCTCCACTAAAAATACAAAAATTATCCAGGTGTGGTGACACGTGCCTGTAATCCCAGCTTCTTGGGAGGCTGAGGCACGAGAATTGCTTGAACCTGGGAGGCAGAGGTTGCAGTGAGCCAAGATTGCACCACTGCACTTCAGCCTGGGTGACAGAGTGGGACTCTGTCTCAAAAAAAAAAAAAAGGAAAGAAAATTCTCATGTAGCCTCTCCAGACTCAAGTTGTCAAGCTTCACACAGACCTTAGAAAACATCGCTGATGCCAAATCCTCTTGCAGATGGAGGATCAAACCCCAAAAAACTGAGTTAAATAGGTTAAGCGACTTCCCCAAAAGCACAAACTAAAAGACTGAAAGGGACCATGTTGGCTTCCTTGGTCTTACTATATAACCCCCTTAAAACTCATCAACTGCAGGACATTTAAGTAAATTAATCTTTCTGACTGTTCTGTGAAGGAGATCTTTTACTGTAAAACTTCACTTTTAAATGTAATCTTTTAACAATAGATTCTTTCTCGTCAACTGATTTCAAGAAAGGAAACTGTAATTTCCAAAAAATTAGACACACACTGTTGCAATACAGCAAAATGCTTCTGATCCAAAACAGCTTTCTGTTGTTAAATAAAGAAAGCACCCTCTTAGATAGTTAACTTGTTTTTCCTGCTTGTAATTTTTTCCCTGCTTTGGATATACTCTGTTTAAACACAAATGCTATGTAGGTTCTTTCAGCTTTACTCCCTGCTTTCTTACCTTTTATTAGAAAATGCTATCTTACTTGAAGCCAGGCGCGGTGGCTCACTTTGGGAGGCCGAGGCGGGCAGATCATCTGAGGCCAGGAGTTTGAGACCAGACTGGCCAACATGGTGAAACTTCATCTCTACTAAAAGATACAAAAATTAGCCAAGTGTGGTGGCTCGTGCCTGTAGTCCCAGCTAGTTGCACGACTGAGGAAGGAGAATCCCTTAAGCCAGGGAAGCAGAGGTTGCAGTGAGCCAAGATGGCACCACTGCACTCCAGCTGGGCGACAGATCAAGACTCCAACTCAAAAGAAAAAAAATGCTATCTTATTTGAGCTTCCTAAAATTTGAGAAAATGTTAATCACTTTATTAATCTATTCATTCAATCTTTGCCCAGCTATTACTATTACTTGCATTAATCTGATTTTTTAATTTTTTTTCCATTTCATAGTTTATTGAATTGTGTTTTATTATATTTTTATTATTTTTAAAAGTTAGCATAGTATCTTACATTTTGTCAACATATTTTTTCTGAAGAACTCTAGGAGCAAATTGGTCTTAGAATATTCAGGTCTGCATGAAGTAAAAATCAGTTATGCCATTCGCTGATATGTCAGTTGGCAATAGAATTTGCATGTAAAGGAGATTGAAAGCTATCCTGATTAATTGAGGGGGAAGTAATGAGTGGTTGGACCATGAACTGAGCCAACAAATAAGTTATAAATTATTGATGCCCCCAATTTCTGCTTAAAAAAACTTGAGGAAACGAAATGCTAAATCTCCTACTCTTCCTCCGAATCTACAGATCACTAATAGATTACTGTTTTAAGCTTAAATATATCAATGGTTTTATTCTGACAGCAGAATTCTATTTATGCTAAAAATAATGATCTCTAAATAGGGATTAGAAAAATCAGAAAGGTCTTTAAATGACATTGTCTTTTCTGACATTGCCATCAGTGACAAACCACTAGACTTGTTCTGTCTAATGACAGAAAACAAAACTGGCTGTCTGTTTTGAAAAAGGAAAATTGTGTGTGCATTTGGTTAAATGTTTCACCTTTCAACCAAGTGTTTTAATATGTTTTAGTTACTGCCTAAGAGCACAGATTCTAAGAAATCTTGATATTATGAAAACCTAATGTAGGCACTTAAAACATGCCTTGGGCAAGTCCATAGAGATATCCTGCCACTAATTCACAGTGAATCTCCTAAGAATTCCATTTTCGCACTAGTAGTATAAACTAAACAGAGAATTCAGTGGTACTCTAGATCCTTAAGGCAAGTGACAAATTAAAAATTCATTAATCACTTTGAGGCTGAGATACGGTATTTTTAGGAAGAATACTTCCAACTTTAAAAAAAAAAAAAGTCCCTTGTGGAGAAAAATGAATAGAGGGTATAGTTCACCAAGAAGAAACCATTCTTTCTCAGGAGGAAAAAAAGAGGGAGGAGGTGGGAGCTGAGAATTACGAAGTTCAGGAGCAACACCCTCTAGCGCTATATATAGCTCTGAGGCTCAGCTTTCTTGCCTTGGTGCATGCAGTTGGGCCTCCGGTGCTCTTGGTAATAACACCGAAAGCAGCAGTTTTTAAAGATATACTCAACTTTCCCCACTCCCAGGATGTGGCATTCTAATGAAACTACCCGTGCAATCCGTGTCTGAGACATTGTAGCCTTTGGAGAGCGCCATTTGCTGAAATGTCTATCTAGTGAGAGGTAAAATAAGCCGCTTTGGTGGAAAAAAAACCCGCTGAGTGGTTGAAATCAGAGCTGCAGAAGGTCACTTGCTATTTTAGTAACTGCAAGCTGGTCCTCATTTTATAACATCACAGTTATAAACAAGACATCGTCACCTTGCTTGTCAGTTTACTTCTTTTTCACCAAAATAAGCAGATGTAGCCCTTTTTCTTTCTACATAGAATTAGGTAATTTGGATGACTTGTTTCCAAACTTTGCTTAACTGTGTGGATCAATATGTAAGAGAAGTTATTTTTCATATATTTCTTTAAACATTGCTTCAAAATATTATTCTTACACCTTTTTACATCGTCTGATATAATTGACCTTTTAAAACTCTATTTACTTGTATAAACCTTATCACGCACATCTCAATCATGCTGTAAATCCTTACATTGGACTTTCTTTCTTACTTCTTTGATTTATTAATAGATCACAATGAAGAGTATTGAGGATGGGGTAGGATATGTAGAAGTCCTTTACAGTCTCAGGGGAGAGAGAGAGAGAGAGAGAGAGAGAGAGAGAGAGAGAGTAAGGAGACTCAGCTAATTTCTAGGATTATTTAGATACAGTCCATTTGGAAATGGAGGAAGGAGGTTAGGTCCAGCCCCAGGGTTCTATAATTATTGCACACACTATTGAGAATTACCATCAATTTTATTCTAGTTTTCCCTTCAAAAATTTAATTTCTCTCTTCTTATTGCACACATCAAAAGTAAAGATTACCCTTAAGACTTCTAGGGAGGTTTGACA
Source organism: Homo sapiens (assembly GCF_000001405.40). Classification (NCBI taxonomy): domain Eukaryota; kingdom Metazoa; phylum Chordata; class Mammalia; order Primates; family Hominidae; genus Homo; species Homo sapiens. The sequence continues at coordinate 74,654,594 of NC_000009.12, forward strand.
ATTTTAACAATATTTTAAAATATTTTTTCATCAAAGTGATGCAGAAGTATATTTACCAATATCAATTATTTTAAAACTTTCTGAGACTTCTTTTTATTTGATTCACACATTGTCATTTCTATCCCATAAAGTTGCTCAATATATAAAGTTATAAATTCTGTTAATTGAATATAAATCTTGGATTCCAATAAGCCTTCCACAAAGAATAGTATCAGGGTCAAAGTTGAAAACAAAACAGCAACTTTTGGGGGGAAAAAGTTTTATGTGTTTATACATGTGAGAATATAGAAGGGAAAGGAAGAGAAAGAGAGAAAGTGATAGCAAGTGATTGTTCATGAAATTAACAAATAGAAAATGAGGAATGTGGATTTAATATTAACCTGCAATACACACCCAATTTTTCCTTGCCTGCATCAATGTTCACTTTTTGCCTTATCATGATTAAAAGGAATGACTGGACAGACTGAGCATATAAAATTGTTTTTCTCTTTCCTCTATATCATTATATTAACTATCAAAGCAGCCCACATACTCTTAGTAAATTGAACAAACCTCTGTCTCACTGAACACATGTAGGGAATCTTAACTACTGAGAAGATGTAGCTGCATTTTCATTACAAGTTTTCTTTCACACCCACTTAAGAAATCTCCAGCCTCATCCGTGGTCTCAGGAAGAGCAGAGTGTAGAGTTTGTGTGCATCACCTTTGGAGGTGGTAGAATTTCCCATCAGTTAGTTATCTGGGCAATATTCCTGTTGGACTTACTATTCCAGCACAGAGCATACTGACTTCTTCTTCGACATGTACCATCTGCAGCCCAAGCTAGTCAAAGAAGCCAACAAAAACTGAGCTGAAAACAGCTGCAATCCAAGTTAGGGTAACGGATGAAGGATGTGAGATTGCCCAGAAAGATTCCATATCCTCTGCTCTTTTACCTCAGTCCCTTTTGTCTGGACTTTCTCATGTGGTTGGTCCCTAGAGAGGACTACATTTACTATTACCTTTTCTACTTTTCCAAGCAAGGACTCTTGAAAGTTCCTTTGGCTCCCAACAGAAACTTTGCATACTGTATTCATTGTCTCTCCTTTGGCCTTTCTTTTTAAATCCCTCTCCTCTTTTCACAACTGCAGACTCTCAGTCTAAGCAAACCATCTCCTTGGACATTCAAGCATCTTTCTAATTGACAGAATGAGCCCTCCAGTCTTGCTCCCATGAGACCAAGTCTAGCTGTACCGCGTCTTGTAACAAGCTGAGCTTTGAGAGGGTCAAGTCGGTTTTTGCACATGGCTCACCTCTGCACTGCAGAATAGTGAGAGAAAGTGGTGGAGGAATGTGTCTGCAATTGCTGCTACTGTGCTTTTGCCTTCATTGCCATTCGTAATAAGTCTTATTTATAAAAGAGATTTGACTTGTATTTCCCACCACAAGGATATGGAAAATAATTTTGCATGCTTACCATTTGACTTCAAAGCCATTCTGAGTGCTTAGGCTTTAAGATCATCAAACAAAGGATCAATCTTAACTCTTATAAATCCTTTGAGAAATAAAGCAGACAACTGAAGGAAGGAAGAATGGATAGACAGATGGACATCTTCAACATTATCTTCACTAACTCAGCGTTGGTTGAGCACCTACTATATTTAATATTTTGTCTCGGTGCCACATCTGCTGGTCCCATGTATTCTCCTTCAAAATTGTCTTGACTGTAGCTCCTCCACTCCATCTCTGTCATTATGACCTAGTTCAGACCTTCCTCATAGCTGGTGTGAATTTTCACAACAGCCTGATTAATTTCATGTACTCACTAATGCCATCTCATCTTTGCCATGACTAAAGTCACCTTTCTAAAACAAAAACCAAGGCCGGGCATGGTGGCTCACGCCTGTAATCCCAACACTTTGGGAAGCCAAGGTGGGCAGATCGCCTGAGGTCAAGAGTTCGAGAACAGCCTGGCCAACATGAAGAAACCCCGTCTCTACTGAAAATACAAAAATTAGCCAGGTGTGGTGGTACCCACTTGTAGTCCCAGCTAGTTGGGAGGCTGAGGCAGGAGAATCACTTCAATCCGAGAAGTGGAGGTTGCAGTGAGCTGCAATCATGCCACTGCACTCCAGCCTGGGCAACAGAATGAGACTCTGTCTCAAAAATAAATAAATAAGACAAAAAACAGACCATACTTTACAGCTCCTACTTTACAACTTCGGTTGGTTACCAGTTATCTCTGAATTGGTAAAATTCAGAGATAAAATCCAAAAATCCTACAAGATGAAATTCCTTGACCTGTTTACTCAGACATCCCTACTTCAGTCACAAAATCTGTCCACCCTAGTCTTATTTCTCCTCATCTCCTCCATGCACCCTGTGTTGCAAATATACAAGACTTCAAGCCAGGAAAGATGGACTCGGTTTCAAAACATTGCTTACTAGCTCCATAGAAACTGGTCTAGACTCACTTGGTCTTTTCTTTTTTTGAGACGGAGTCACGCTCTGTCACCAGGCTGCAGTGCAGTGGCCCGATCTCAGCTCACTGCAACTTCCGACTCCCTGCTTCAAGGGATTCTCCTGTCTCAGCCTCTTGAGTAGCTGGAATTACAGGCACCCGCCACCATGCCCAGCTAATTTATTTATTTATTTATTTATTTATTGTATTTTTAGTAGAGATGGGGTTTCACCATGTTGGCCGGGATGGTCTCGATCTCCTGACCTCGTGATCTGCTTGCCTTGGCCTCCCAAAGGGCTGGGATTACAGGCGTGAGCCACTGCACCCAGCCATCACTTGCTCTTTCGAAACCTCACTTCTATCCTCAGTAAAGGGGAGACTGGTCCTAAAGAAGTAAAGGTTGTAAAGATATAAGATGTAATGTCAGAAATTACCTAGCCTACAGCTAGCTTTCTATCTGTGCCTTCATAACATCATTCCCTCTACCTGGGATACATCTTTCTCTTCTCCATGTGACAAACTGTGCTCATCCTTCAAGACCCAGGCAACTCCTCTATGGTTATTTTCCTGCCCCTACCCCCAGACTAAGTTAGCCACTTTCTTCTTTGGGCTCCCACAATAACTGTGGGCATTTATTGCATCATGACATGAAATTATATTATTGTAAGATACTTTAAAACACAGGCAAGGGTAGGGGATGGTGGCTCACGCCTGTAATCCCAGCACTTTGGGAGACTGAAGCAGGTGGATCACTTAAGGTCAGGAGTTTGGGACCAGCCTGGCCAAGGTGAGGAAACCCTGTCTCTACTAAAAATACAAAAATTATCCAGGTGTGGTGGTGGGCACCTGTAATCACAGCTACTCGGGAGGCTGAGGCATGAGAATCACTTGAACCTGGGAGGTGGAGGTTGCAGTGAGCCAAGATCGTGCCACTGCCATCCAGCCGGGGCAACACAGTGAGACTCGGTCTCAAAAAAAAAAAAAAAAAAAAAAAAGAAAAGAAAAGAAAAGCCAAAATCTTTGTTTTTTTAATCTGTACCTTGACCTGATATAGGGTACCTTCTCAAAAATATTTGGTGAATGAATATATGAAGGCATTATGCTGGGCTCTGCTGTCCAGTTCTTAAGGACCTCATAATCTTAAAGGGTGTGGGACAAACAGAGGGATTCAAATAACCACAGTATGAGTCTCACTGGAACAAGGGCTCAATTGAGGCAGAATCAAAGTGTGATGGCAGCCAGCCCTTCTTCCTGAGGACATGGTTGGCAGGGAAACTTTCACCAGGCATGACCATCCGGGTTGAGTCCTGAAGCATGCATGTGGATTTAATTTCCTATTTCCTTAACCTTCCCACGTATTTATTGTACCTACCCTTCCTCATAAACCATAGACTCCTAAATTTTGATATCAGAAGGCCAGAGAATCCTTAAGCTTTGGCCAACAGTTCCAGGCAGATATCATAAAAGAACAGATAAAGTTTTTCACAATACAATTGTGAGTGGCAATGATAGTCTTGTTTATAAACCCTGAAGCCTGTAAATTACCAACAAATCAGCATGTCTTTGAAAATGAAAACAAACTACACCAAGAAGATAATAGTTTGAAAACTATAAAGCTATAAAATCTTTTGTTAACATTATATACCTACTGGAAAGCAAATATGTTTTTTTAGATTCTAAGTAATTAGACTGCCCCGGTGAAATTGAAAAATGATGAGCCATGACATACCAATCTATTTTAATATGATGGATAGAGTAATTTTTACCCTTTTTATACCATAGGAGAATGTTCAATTAAACTTTGAATATAGGATTTTTTAAAGAAAGGATTTTGTAATATCATAAGCAGTGCAAGTCTAGAAATGCTCAGTGCTGAATCCAATAGAGTAGAGCTATCATCAGAAGTTAGCATTTGGTAGCATCTTCTACATGTATTATTTTATTTTGATTGAAAAACTCTTGAAATATCTTCTTTCTGCAGGATGGATTGCAGAATTAAGTATCTCCACTGAATTGTATCTCCATTGGAGTCATCATATTGCTCCCCTGATGACAAACTATGTAGACTGTCCTAATAAGGATAACCGGGGCTACCATTTATTCAGTGTTTCCAACGTGCCAGGCAATGGTCTGTAGGAGATTTTTGTTTAGAAAATTTATTAGAAGCTTAAGTTTACAATTTTTTGTTCTCTACATCACTAAAATTTAATTTACTTTGTACCCTATATACCAGAAGCTTAGTGAGATAGAAAGGAGACAGCCAAATGCTGCTTTGAGGGCTGTCCTGGAGAAATGGGGTTGGCCATTTAGAAAGAACAGAACTTACATTTGAAATGGCGCAACCTGAAATACAAGAAAATTTTATTTTCAACTAGTGTTCAACTAGCAGGTGGGATTACAAGGGACCACCTCCTAGCTCTAGCCACCTTCAGGGGACTCACAGCAGGCTTGTTTTGTTTTGTTTTGTTTTGCTTCGTTTTGTTTTGTTTTTGAGATGGAGTCTCGCTCTGTCGCCCAGACTGGAGTGCATTGGTGTGACCTCCACCTCCCAGGTTCAAGCGATTCTCCTGCCTCAGCCTCCTGAGTAGCTGGGATTACAGGCGTGTGCCACCACACCTGGCTAATTTTTTGTGGTTTTTTTTTAGTAGAGATGGGGTTTCACCATGCTAGCCAGGATGGTCTTGATCTCCCACAGCAGGCTTTTTTTAAGGAGAGCTCTTATGTCTGGTTCTATTGCTCAACTTTCATGTCTCCAAACCCAAAATGATTGGTATTTAAGATACAATGTGAAATACAACTCGATTGGGATAAACTGCCCAAAATTGTGTTTGCTACTAATTTTTGTGAATATAATCATTTAATCATTTTTAAACTTTTTAAAAGAAAAAGGTTATTATATAAAAAATTAAAAAGGAGAATATAATGGTCCCTATGACCCAATTCCAATCATTATCAACTCATAGCCAATATTGTATTGTGTACACCACCTCTCCTATTATGTAAGATATTTACATTGCCCCAAAGTCAAATCTACAAAAATAGTATTATCAGAAAATTTAATTTGTTTCCTTGTCTCTGCATTCTGTTCCCTATTTCCTCTATACATAGCCTTTCTTTTAGTTTATTGTTTAATGCTTCCTTTAAAAAAATAAGCAAATAAATTTATATTTTAATGCCCCCTTTCTGAGATAAACAATAGGGTTCTAGTGATTTTCAAAACATTTTAAAGTATTTGGAGTACAAGTGTTAAGACTGTTAGTTGACTTTCAAGCCAAAAAGCAAGAAATATAATAATTTTATATCTTTTTTATAAATAAATACCTTTGAATGGTTTCCAACTTGTAAAACCCCTAAGTTGTGATCAAAAGACCTGGGGGAAAGCAATAAATTTTGATTAAAATACTGAAAATTGAAAAAATGCAATAAAGAGTTTGTCTGAAGATTTTAAGATAGATAGCAATGTTAAAGACACTTTAATACAATAGGAGTATCTCCAAAAGGCATTCTTATAGTAAACACATTAAAAGCTAATGAGCAGAGTAATTTTATTCACAAACCTTTGAATTGATATCTTTTCTCACAGACCGAATTGCACAGAACATCATTAAGTCCCATTTGGAGACATGTCAATACACCATGGAAGAGCTGCACCAGCTGGCGTGGCAGACCCACACCTATGAAGAAATTAAAGCATATCAAAGCAAGGTACTCTGGGAAACCATGAGAAAGTTTTTCTGTGATTACCCTATTGCTGTGTTGCTCAAGCTCAGCACTATTGGCATGTTGCACTGGGCAATTCTTTTCTGTAAGGGCATCCTGCAAATTGTTCGATACTTACCAGCATCCCTGGCCCTACCCACTAGATGTGCCATCGCCCTCACACACACTTGTGACAACCAGAAATGTCTCCAGATACTGCCAACTGTTTCCAAGGAGGCAAAACTACCCTGATTGAAAAACCACGGCCCTATTTGAGTGACTACAGAGACCGTGCCTTCATCAAATGATTTTAGGACATCTCTTGCTGACTTCTTGGGTGGAGGCAAGGAGCAGGAGCAATGTAATAATCACAGCAGTTGTAATCGTCACAAACTTACACAGCAAATATATGGAACAAGGCTTTCTAAAGTTTTTTCTTGCCCTGCATGTTAAAAAGAATCCAAAAAACAGGACAACTCATCCCATATTTTCATTATTACACTGTGTCATTTCTTTGGGTTTGTTGAAGAAGTTTTTAAGAGGAATTTATTGTTGTTTTTCAGTATTTACATTACATTACTTTGGGATAGAGATCCCCAATTACAAAATCCACCAGTAGATGGAACTTTAATAAAATATATAAATGTGTGTATATCTAAATAAATGTTTACAATATGCTGATTTTTCTCCACCAGAACAACTAAATCTCAGTACTTTTATATAAATAGGGAAACAAAGGCATTGTGTCGCTATGGTCAATAAAAATTAGAATTAACACACATAGATTTCTGTTTCTCATTTCAAAAAATAAACTGAGGACTAAAAAATATTTGGGTGATTCTACTGAACTTAGGTGAATGATTTGATTTGATGTAATGCCTTTTTCCTCGGAATTCTTTTTTCCTTTTTTTTTTTTTTTTTTTTTTTTTTGAGACGGAGTCTCACTCTGTCACCCATGCTGGAGTGCAGTGGCGCGATCTCGGCTCACTGCAAGCTCCACCTCCCAGGTTCACGCCATTCTCCTGCCTCAGCCTCCCGAGTAGCTGGGACTACAGGCGCCCCCCCACCACGCCCAGCTAATTTTTTGTATTTTTAGTAGAGACAGGGTTTCACCATGTTAGCCAGGATGGTGTCGATCTCCTGACCCTGTGATCCGCCTGCCTCAGCCTCCCAAAGTGCTGGGATTTCAGGCGTGAGCCACCGCGCCCGGCCTCGGAATTCTTTTTAAACCAGAAAACACTCTCCATAGGTCTGGGAAAAAGACACAACATAAAAATACTACAAATTTAGTGCCCATCAGATACCCATGAAAATGATGTCATGGAAGCCTGTGAATGAAATCACTATCCCTCAATGCAAAGCTTTGTTTTTTATATTAATAGTATGTGAAGATAGATTTGTTATTTTCTTTACAAACTCAGATTTCGTTTAGGTGAGAAGGAGGAAAAGGAGGAAAAAGAGTAAAGAAAATAACAAAGCTATCCTTACTTACTATAAACAATGTTGCTATTATTTTAGCCTCAGTACTTTGATCATTTTGGCCTATTGAGGTCCAAACAGGTCAAAATATTAACTTAGGGAAAAAAAATAAAAGTAGTGCCCTCCTTTTTTAAAGGAATCATATAAATTCCCTCCTTTGGCCCCAAGTGACAGATAAGCACCAGTAAGGCAAACCTGAGTGTTCTGTTGACTCTCCGTAAGTCGTTTGCCCTATTTACATTCTGTGTCTTCTCTCCTCAAGTCCAGGGAAGCACTGTGGCAACAATGTGCCATCCAGATCACTCACGCCATCCAATACGTGGTGGAGTTTGCAAAGCGGATAACAGGCTTCATGGAGCTCTGTCAAAATGATCAAATTCTACTTCTGAAGTCAGGTAAGCAAGAAGATTCATGGGAGGCCTATTTCAGATAAGGATGTGGTCAGCCCTTAGCACTGTGTTGGTTCTAGAAAATCCTCCTTCCGATATGCAGCTCGTTTCTACCACCCACATTGTCAGCCAACTCCCAAAGGAAACTCTCAGTAATAAAAATGCCCTGATACTCATTCAGTTCCCCTTTGAAGTCAAATACAATTTTGCTTATTGAAAGTGGAGCTATTAATTGCGGAGGTTGAAATACCCAGCTTGACAGGCAGTGCAAGTAATTAGCGTGTCAAGGTGGCTGAATTGCTGAGCCGGCGCTAAAACGTACTCCTTGCCTTCTGTGAAAGGAAAAAAAAAAAATGCAGGCTAGCTGAGTTCTGCCTCTGTGGTCATTTCCAATCATTTTAATGAGGATAGCCTGCAGCCAGTATACACCAGGAGAAACTCCACGGTACTCTAATCTTTCCCTACCCTTCCCTAACACACTGTCTGACACACACAATTGCTACAATCGCTGCGGAAGTAGCTCAAGAAACTCTGCATATGACTGACTTTGCGGATGTTATTACCAAACAGGAAAAAGAAATTATTTGTCTTTCTTGGGCCCCTTTGAAAATAGAAAATAAGAACCATGATGGTGTTTATGCGAATTTTCATGGTCCTAGGCCATAATAATAATAATAACATACTCATAAGTAAAATAACATACATATGTGTTTATGTTTCCCTATGACATCTCAAGTAATCTTGTGAGATCCATATTATTATTTCCATCTTACAGAGGAGGAGGAAAAGATTCAGAGAAGTGAAGAGCTACATTCAATATTACAAAACCAGTACACGGCAAAGTTGGCATTTGAACTTGGGCCAAATATAACTGTTATTCTAAGATCCCTTCTTTACCAAATGACTCAAGTTGATGAAAACCTTGACTGAAGTGTCAACTTGATGTACCAGTCATCTAAACCACTGCAAAATTTAACTAAAACAACAAGAATTATTTCTTTCGCTCTCAAAGCTACAATTTGGGCAGGGCTCAGTGGGAGTGACCTTATCTCTGCTCCATGTGGTATTCACTGAGTCAGTTCAGCTGAGGGCAAAGGAATCCACTTTCAAATTGGCTCATTCACACAGCTGATGAGTTGTGCTAGTTGACAGCCTGGAACTGGGCTAGGGGCCTCAGTTCCTCTCCATGTGAGACCCTCCAAAGACTGCTTGGACTTGCTCAAGGCTCCAAAAGCTAGCACCCCAAGAGAACACTAGGGTGTTCTCTAGGTTCCAAAAGCTAGCACCCCAAGAGAACAAGGCAGAAATGCATAGATTTTTCTAACTTAGCTTCAGAAAACACATATTGTTATTTCCATTATATACCATCAGTCATGAAGCCCCACCCAGATTCAAAGATAGGAGACATGGATTCTACTACTTAATAGGGGAGTGGTAAGGTCCTAGAAAACATATGGGATGGAAGATATTTTTTCTGACCCTCTTTGAAAAGTGAAATCTGCCACACTTGATATGTGACCTTGAGCTAAACTCTCTAGATAGCAGTTTCCTCATTTGTAAAATAAAGAGATGGACTAGAAACAATGAATTCCAAATTTAGAATTGCATCAACAACATCAAAGGAGATTATTGACAGTTCAGAGACATGGGCACCATGAGTCCCATGGAATCCAAATCTCCTGGAGGGGAACCCAGTTCATTGTATCTCTAACTAAGACTCAGATATAACCAATCCATGGGCTGACATTTGGGAACAACTGAACCATATAATCTTTAACATCTCTACCTGGTGTAAAAATGTTGACTCTAGTCAAAAAGGTAGGGTACTTAATATTTTCAAGCCTCATGTAACTCCTCCATAAAATAGGGCTAATAAACTCACCTGAAATAGTTATTGTAAGGAGCAAAGATAAAAAATGAATGTAAGAGGCCAAAGAAAGTTCCTTCCATTGTGTAGATACTCAATAAATGGTACCCATCTACTGTTTGTGTCAGAAAAGCATTCCTTCAATTAATATTTGCAAATCCTCCCCATGTATAAGCCTCTATGCTAGGTGACGTATCAAAGACAAGCAGAGAGAAATCAGCAAACATATGTACAGCAAAGGAAATAAAACAGAGACATAAAGATAAAGTGATGGCATAAGACAGGTACCAAAGTTGTAGGCTAATCACCAGTATGATGCTCTCATGCAAATCTGTGGCTGCTGAGTCTGGCTGTTAACTTCAACTGCACTATGGGGCAAAAGCCCATTTCTCCAAAACATGGGAAGCTATGCAGCAGTATTTCCTCAGGATGTTAATAATGCTCAAAGGGAAAAACAGTGGTAGTAAACAAATTCATTCAATAAATATTTGCTTAGCACCTACTATGTGCCAGAAACTTTTCTTGGTCCTGGAGATGCAAGAGTGAATACAGTAATCATGGCTGCCTATCACTGCAGACAAAATTTCTGCCCTCATTTCCTCAATTGTGAATTCAGGAATCAAAACTAGCTTTAATATTAGTGGAAAAATAGAGAAAAATGTATTTTCAAAAAGTAATGTCCAGCTTAGCCACCTGTAAAATATATTTTCTCCTTAATTCCTCATATAAGTATCAAGAAAACTTTATTTCTAATATATTAAATTGGTGCAAATATATTAGGTTTTTGCCAATACTTTCAATGGCAAAAACTGCAATTATTTTTGCACCAACCTAATAGTTATTTTAGGGGAAGGAACTTAAGGGATTTCTGTATGTGTGTGCCTGTGTGTGTGTGTATGTGTCTCTCTGTGTGTTTTAAAGTTCTTGAAAGTCTCTTACCTATATGCAGTAATAATTTCTTTATTATTGGATATATATGTGTATTTTTATTTTATTTTTATTTTTATTTTTTACTCATAGGTTGCTTGGAAGTGGTTTTAGTGAGAATGTGCCGTGCCTTCAACCCATTAAACAACACTGTTCTGTTTGAAGGAAAATATGGAGGAATGCAAATGTTCAAAGCCTTAGGTAAGTTTCCCTTTGATGAGGACACAATTTTATTAGCCACCATCAGTTTCTCCACTTAGATTGAAATTGGTAAATGAAATGCCTTGATTCTTTGATGTGAACCAGTATCTCATTATTCGATAAGCGATGGACCAGGTGAGCTTCTAATTCAGGCAAGCCTCTCCTGATCTTGTAACTGTGGCCTCCAATACAAAAGAAAGAGAGAACTGAGGACCCTCCTGAGAACAACCCTATTGAGACATCGTTCATTCAGAAATAAATGGAGGCCCAGCGTGGTGGCTCATGCGTATAATCCTAGAACTTTGGGAGGCCAAGGGGCGCAGATCACTTGAGCCCCAGAGTTCAAGACCAGCATGGGCAACATGGCCAAACCCCATCTCTACAAAAAGTACAAAAATTAGCTGGGCATCACCAGGTGTGGTGGCTCATGCCTGTAATCCCAGCACTTTGGGAGGCTGAGGCAGGTGGATCTCTTGAGGTCAGGAGTTCTAGACCAGCCTGGCCAACATGGTGAAAGCCAGTCTCTTGCAAAAATACAAAAATTAGCCACGCATGGTGGCTGACGCCTGTAATCCCAGCTACTCAGGAGGCTGAGGCAAGAGAATCGCTTGAATGTGGGAGGTGGAGGTTGCAGTGAGCTGAGATAGTTCCACTGCACTCCAGCTTGGGCAACAGAGCAAGACTCCATCTCAAATAAATAAAATAAATAAATAAAATTAGCTGGGCATGGTGACACACACCTGTAGTCCCAGCTACTTGGGAGGCTGAGGCAGGAAGATTGCTTGACCCTGGGAGATTGAGGCTACAGTGAGTCATCTTCACACCACTGCACTACAGCCTGGGTGACAAAGCGAGACCCTGTTAAAAAAAAAAAAGGAAAGAAATAAGAAATAACCGGAGGCTGATGCTAAAAGAGTAAAAGAGCTGGGCTGAATTATAGATCATTCTTTGTGAAATCAGCTTTTTTTTTTCAACTTTATTGCATATTGCATAGACCCCTGGTCATCCATGGTGGTGACCTCTTGCGTTTCTTATGTCAATTTATCATCATGAGTTAAGATACTTAATTAAATGAGGAGCTCCTCTACTTGTTTCTCACCCACAGAAGTTAATTCACAAAGTTCTGGGAGCACAGAGTTCATGCCAACCTGTCCACAGTGATCCCAGACCATTCCTGTGGGAAGGCACTAACAGAGTCAGTCTTTGTTTGGAAGTGTTATATATCATCACATCCAGTCATCAGTGCATGGCATGGTAGGAAGAACATTAGCAAAGATGGGCTGATGCCAGGAAAGGTTTTAACGATTGATAGTGCCATTTGTTCCATATCCTGCCCATGGACACCAAAGAAGGCCACTGCCCTTTCACCTCTTGTGCTGTTAGTTGATATGGCAGCCAACAACAAGTCCATCGGGGCTGGCAATGTTTCCCTTCTACAGTTGATACACATCCATGTCATCTCCAAGGCTAGATTTTCAAGAAAGGAGGAAAAGCCTTGGCAAGCAACCTCAGTATATTTCCAGCTTCATCAAATAAACATTCACCAGGGATCAGTGTAGAGATGCAACATTATTTTGCCAAAATACGCAACAGCTAAGCAACTGACCTGTGAGTCATTCATTAGAAGGTAATAATAAATAAACTCTAGCTCCTCAGTGAAATTTCCAAGGAAATTGCGAAACTGAAGTGCATCTCATCTCTGTTCCATTAGATATTTCTAACGTCTCAGTTTAAAAGTCCAGAATACCCTACATTGCTAGCTTCAAGTGTTACGAAGACTGACAATCCTCAGCCCCTGTATGTAATGTTTTAGGTTTTCTATGAATACTATCTCTATTGTAAAGGATCCCCAAATCACTTATTTTATATTCTTTAATGTGAAATCATTTCAAATTTATAAGGATGTAATCATATTATGGATTGCCAGACAGATGTGACACCACTCACACACCAAGTCTACTTGCTTGCCATTGGTAGGTAATGTTAACTTGGATTGCCTGGCCAAGATGTTGCCCAATTTTCTCATTCTTTGATTAGTATCAAATCACTTTTTATAATTAGAAACTTAAAAAAATATCTTTTCTAGAAGTCTAGTATGCACCTCCTTGGATAGCTTATTGATTATGAGATTTTTCTTACTCTTGCCCCATTTCAAGTTCAAGTATTTTTATTCCATTTTTCTTCTTCCTTTATAGGTTCTGATGACCTAGTGAATGAAGCATTTGACTTTGCAAAGAATTTGTGTTCCTTGCAGCTGACCGAGGAGGAGATCGCTTTGTTCTCATCTGCTGTTCTGATATCTCCAGGTAGGGCAGTCTCAGTTCTCTTACCTTTTTAAAAAACTTGTTTTACTATTTTTAACACTGATGACACCTGCCTAAGCCAAAGTGTTCAGGAGAAACTTTAACAGAGCTATATTTTCTTTACCAAGTTTTTGATATTTTTGGACAGTGAAAAGGGAAGTAGCCTCAAGTTTATTAAAATGACCAATTTTGGCCCGAAAGCAAGAGTAGAGCATAGGTTAGGGGTTATTCCAGATTCAGATACGCAGAATCATTCCTTAGCAAATAAAGGAAGACAAATAGTGGCCTGAGTTACAGCCAAGTTCTATTTTGACTTTAAGAATAAAGTACATAGAAAATAAATGTCCAGTTGGATGAGACACAGTAGAAATGTACCTAAATGAAAGCTCCAGAATGGGGACCTACATAAGTAAAAGGAACACTTTCTACTCTTTAAACACCTCTTGTGTTGGCATCTTTGCCCAAATTCATGTTGAGGTGCTCACTTCAGACAAATGCTGGTGCCTATTTTCTTAGCAATACATTTGACCTTGAACAATGCAGGGGTCAGAGCATTAACTCCCTGCATGCAGTCAAAAATCTGCATGTAACTTCTGACTCCGAAAAATTTCACTACCAATAGCTTACTGTTGACCGGAAGCCTCGCTGATCACATAAACAGTCGATTGACACATACTTTGCATGTTAAATGTATTGTATACTGTATTCTTACAATAAAGTAAGCTAGAGAAAAGAAAATGGTACTAAGAAAATTATAAGCAAGAGGAAACAGATTTCCTGTTCATTAAGTGGAAGTGGATCATCATAAAGGTCTTCATCATGGTCGTCTTCATGCTGAGTAGGCTGAGGAGAAGGAGGAAGAGGAGGGTTTGGTCTCGCAGTCCCAGGGTGGCAGAAACAGAAGGAAAATCTTCATATAACTTGACCTACACAGTTCAAACCTATGTTGTAGAAGGGTCACCTGTATCAGGAGTTTTTAAAAGGAGGTGAGGACAGCAGAGGGGAAAATGACTCATACTGAAGACTGCCCAGTAGAAGAGGAAAAACTTCAGACATGGAGGTGGACATTCTGGTGCCAGCTCTGTGACCAAGTATCTGTGTGATATTAAACATTTGACCCCTCAGAGCCCTAGTTTCCTCATCTATAAAATAAGAGGGATGGACTCCATAATAACTAAGACCTCTACTAGCTCTAAAATGCACTGAAATGCCAAGTTCTTAAAGAATTCAAGGTGTGGCAATATTTATGGATCAACTAGAACTGTAGTGAGTAAAATATTTTTTTAAAGTATATACTAGGCCTGGCATGGTGGCTCACGCCTGTAATCCCAACACTTCGGGAGGCCGAGGCCAGCGGATCACCTGAGGTCAGGAGTTTGAGAGCAGCCTGGCTAACATGGTGAAACCCCATCTCTACCAAAAATACAAAAACTAGCTGGATATGGTGGCAGATGCCTGTAATTCCAGCTCCTTGGGAAGCTGAGGCAGGAGAATCACTTGAACCCAGGAGGCAGAGGTTGCAGTGAGCCGAGATTGTGCCATTTCACTCCAGCCTGGGCAACAAGACCGAAACTCTGTCTCAAAAAAAAAAAAAAAAAGTATATGCCAACTTAAAATATAATAATAAATAATATAATCATAATAATATAACAACAATAATATAGTAATAAATACATGAGTCTCTAACCAGAATGAGAATTCAGTTACTTCCTCAGCTGTTGTTTGGTTACATTTTGGGTTAAGGGATAACAGCATCACTGACAGGTCTCTACAGAAAGAAAAGCAAATTCCTGCCTAATTTTTAAGGTCAAGAGTCTCATTTCTTCTGTTACCCGTTTATCTGTAGAGACCAGATGTCTTTTCTTATATATGCTCTACTATATTTTTCAATGAAACTGGAAGAAATTAATCTTACCTGTGATGTAAGGTAACACATTATAATTTTAGCATGTCATCATAACTGTATTTTCCAATAACACCAATGTCTACAGTTTTTATGTTAGGCTTTATTATTCCTAATATGATTCTTGATGATCTTATCAGGATATTTTTAATTTGCTACTGTTTTTTATTTAACCACTTTATCAAAAATGGAAATTAGTTATCACATAGAGTGTTTTTACTAACAGTTTCTTTTATGGCTCTGTCTAAAATCAAGCTGTTCCTCTAGGCCTTTTTTTTTTTAAACCCTAGAAAGTTTCCCAGGCTTGGAAGCACAAAGATAGATGGAAGAAGTGACAAGAATACTTTTCTCTGTTAGCAGCCACATGCCAAATAATTTTCCTTCTACCATTTTCTCATTGCATTTGATTATTTCCATTGAGAATAGTTCAATAGAAAACTAAACCTAAGCTGGTGAATCTATGGATGAGGGAGATGGTTTTCCTCTAGTTCTTGCTTGCTCCAAGGAAGCGTTAGAAAGAGTCACTTTTCTCTTTGGGTATATTTGTGGCAAGTCAGTAAATTTTAAGCAGCAAATATTTAAGACATGAAATATTAAATGTATTAAATATGAATGATCTATGAAAATGATCACCTCAGAAGAAAAGCTAGCCTCTTCCTTCTGAACTAGAAATCAGCTGAGCTGTTTGGCCTTTTTCTAGAAAAAAAACATACTATCATCATTAAATTCTGAGAAGTTTGGAAGCATGCAATTTGTTTTACTCTACCTAGTGGGGACTCTTCCAGTGCTGCTAGCAGACTCACACTGACAGGCTTCACAAACTCCAAATACCTCATTTGCCACCCTGGCTTAGTGCCATATTCAAAAAGATTTCCAGCCTATGTAGGCTCCATCTCCTGCCAGACAGCCCCCTATTCTTTCTCCAGGGTCCTGACATAAGAGCCACTGTGTATTAGGCTTCAAACAGCTTAGGGAAGGGAGAGGGAGGGGAACTTAATGTATTCTGATTGACAATTGTCACTGAAAGCTTTTGTACTCACTTACGTAAGGTTTTGCTTAACTGTTGGCTAGACTTGTCTTCATCCTGTCTAGGATTACAGAATTGAGTTTCTCACCTGACCTGAACTGTGTTCAGGAAGATCATGTTCGAGTTCTTTTCCATGAGTATTTGTTCGGCATTTGAAGATTTGGGGTGTCTCTTCCATAAAGGTCCAACCTAAGGCATTGATGCTGGGCTGAATTTTGTCACCGTGGTGTATAAATCTTCTAGGAAGGAAGGAAGGAGAGAGTGAAGGAGAGGGGATGGAGGGAAGGAAATAAGTGTGGGAGGGAGGGAGGAAGGGAGAAAAAGAGAGAGGAAGAAAGGAGGGAAGGAAGAAAAGAAGGGAGAGAGGGTCTGAGGGAGGGAGAAACAGATGAAGAGAGGGAAGAAGGAGAGGAGGGATTATCCTATTCACCATTTAAGAATTCAATATAGGAAAATAGAACTTAGAAGTGAATTTTTGAAACTGATTTATGTTTATGCTATATAAATTCTAACATAGCTTCAGCTTTATATCTGATGAAAGAATAAGCTGAGAAAAGGAAAAGGGATCCTGAACACCAAAAATATTCCTGTGATTTTCTTCACTTCTATAATTCTTCTTCACAAATCGCTAACTTCTACTTTGAAAGAAAACCTAAGCATATGTCCAAAGCAAAGAGTGAGAGATGTAAATTGTCACAGACAATAAGAAACAAAGCAGTAGATTATCTGAACCATTGTGTCCTTTCCTCCAAAGTGATTTCCTGCATCATAATATTGCGCATTCCTGGCATCATGGTATTGCCTATGAAATACTTATGTTTTATGTAAATAATGACATGTCTTCAGAAGCAACTTAGAACTAAATAATATGAAATGGGTCTGAAGCTTGGCACTTATGTATGTGGGTGAAGCAAAACAAAGTTGATGTTCCCTCCACTTACCCACTCTTTCTTTCATCAGACCGAGCCTGGCTTATAGAACCAAGGAAAGTCCAGAAGCTTCAGGAAAAAATTTATTTTGCACTTCAACATGTGATTCAGAAGAATCACCTGGATGATGAGACCTTGGCAAAGGTAGGTCCACAGATCACAGAGCCACCACCACCAAAAGAGAGCACAGTGAGCAAAAAGGACTGCTTATAAATCAAGGGAAATTTCTCAGCAGCAACAATTTCTGAAAGTTACCAAAGACTGCATAAATTGTGAGGTATGCAATTTAAAAGAGAGGCTAGTGAATTGTAATAGATTGCAAGAAGGGCTTTCTTATAGAGGGATGATATTGACAGATCTGAATCCAAGCTTCAGGAGGACAAATCAATGAAACCAAGGGTGTTTCATCAGAAGAACAAGCACTCAAAGCAAGGAAACAGGTCTTCAAAATTCATATGTGAAGAAAGAGAGGGCTTTGTGCCAGTTCAGGAGCCAGGTCTGGGACAAAGTTAAAAGTAGGCAGATTTTTATTCAAAAAAAGAAAGAACAATCAAATGATGAGAATTGTTGTATGGGGGGTGGACTACTGTGTAAAGCAGTGAGCTCTGTGTCATAGGACATGTTCTAGTAGATACTACCTAGTCACTTCTCAGGTATGTTATAAATGACATTCCTACTCAGAGTGCAAGATTAGACTGATGACTTGTAAATTTCCCTTCAACGCTGATCTCTTCGTGCAAGACTTGCCCTGAGGTTCTTTCAAAATGGGGAAGTTTCCCTGGAGCAAAATCCATGCAACATGTCATCAATTTCTTGATTCAGCTTAATTAAGAATGATCTTTAATAAGAGTACTGAAAAAAAGTGTTTACCAAAGTAAAATAATCACAAAAGGAAAAAGTAATTCTCAATGATTGATATTCAGCATTATTTTATATCTTAAAGTATCTTTGATTTCTCAAGAACTGAAATTTTTGGGCAGCCAGAATTATCGTAGATTTTAAAGTATCTTTGATTTCTTAAGAACCAGAATATTTTAGAGGGTAAGAAATTAAGAAATTGAGCTTATTCTTGGTTAAAGATCATAGGAATCCTACTCTTTATATTTTTATCATTAAAACCTTCCCACTCTGCCCTTGAAGTTCTTTGTTTTAAAAAGGGGGATGGTAAAGACTCTATTTGGAGACACCATCAGATTTTACTTTGCACATACAGAGTACTGCTATAAAAAACCTCCATGAGTTAAATATGCTGCTTCATTATGGTAACATTTTGTTAAAATTAACGCATCACTAGCAAGAACATTTCCACATTATAGAGCAATAGTTCTCTTTCACGTAACTTTTCATTTATTAGGTGGTCAAGGACAAATCACCTACTCTCTGCACCTGTATTCTCCTAGTCAATAGCGAACTTCAACATGCTTTCAGATTCACTGGGCAGAAAAGACAATAATGTAAATATATGCATGTGTCTCTATAGTTGCTTGGTAGCGTATATGCATAAATACATCTTGTTAATTAATGTGGAGGGATGTTGTCTGCATTTGGGATCTCCTGAAGACTTTTGTCCCCATATTTACCATCCTAAAATTAGTCTTGAAAAAACACAAAGTTGGATGAAAATTCTCGCTATTCTGCTTGCTTGGGAGGATTGTCCGCTTGTATGAAAACCATGGTCTCATCATCTATAAAATGAAGATTACAATTTCTTCTCCTGTGCAGATGTGTTGTGAGGTTCAAATGAGATTCTAACACGTTGTGAAATGGTGATTATTACTCCCCTAGGAGGGTAAAATGTTTATGCTTGCACCACTTTCTACCTCCCACTGTCCTGGTTATGATTTGAGGTATGTGAGGTAGGAAGAAGGCAGAAATTGAAGAACGAAAGATATTTGAAGGCAAGAAAGAAAATTATGTCAACTGTAGATCAGATTAACTTCCCTTTCTCCATCTTTACTTGGAAAAGTACATAATTCAGTTCTTTTCTTATAGACAAGTAATGTTGCAAAACTGAGAAAGCATTAGAAGAGGATTACTTCTTGGATAAAATTGGCTAGAACCAGGTGACAAAGCATTGCTTCTATAGGCCACAGGCAGATGTTGGGTTTTTGTGTGGCCCCTTTCTTGTAATAGTTATCATTTTAATAAGATGTTATCTGAACTAATGCAAACTGACCATGAAATTGAATGAGAACTGAATTTTCATTTATCGCAGCTCTGATCTCTGTGGCTTCAGATTAAGTCGCTCCATTTGTCTAAGTCTCACATTTGTCCATTATCAAATGCTGGAGGGTTAGGAATATGGACTGAGCCCCGTTAGCTCCTGACTGCTTTAACACTCCGGACAAATGTGCCATCACTGTCTAGGATGCCCTCTCATCAAATTCCCCAAAAGGAATATTTTATTTAAATGTGAGAGAAACTGTTTCATCCCATCACAGATTCTTCTTATCTTTGCAGAAAGGCTCCTTATGCCATTGTAGTCATGGAGCTCTTCTGCCTTCCACAATACCTCTAAAACAGTGAGGGCCATTCTGAATATTTGTTATTCATAGACCCCTTGGGGACTCCAGTGAATGTTGTGAAACCTGTCTCTAAAAAAATGCACATGTACCCGAAATGTTGTGTTGAATTCCAGGGGCTCCGGTGAAATCGCCAGTAGGTAGAGGATACCTCTGCTTTCTGTGTCGTGTGCAAAAGATTATTTCTACCGCTGACCTGTTCAACTCTGAATAGGTGTTAACAGACATCAGGTTAGAGGTACAGGGCTCATACACAGTCACTGAACTTCATCTTGCAAGGGCAATCTCCAACACACTTTCTACATGCCTACTTCCTGAAATTAAAGTTCAGGTAGCAGTGCCTTCTACTTTGGGCCAAACTTTAACCTTAGAAGGTTTGAAAATTTGGGGATTATGTATCCTAACATTAACTAGAAGATTTCAATTCCCATGTGTTAACCTGTGTTGTGGTTTGGGGAGAGGAGAGAGTTGGTTAGGGGAAAAAAAAACCCTATTAAAACATCTAGTTTCTTCTCCTTATCAGCATAATTATGATACATAGCGTATTTATAATAAACCATCAAAGCCACTTGCTAGATGAGTGTCCCTGGACATGTGACTTTAACTCTCTGTGCCTCCATTTCCTCATTTGTACCATATGACTAAAGATATACCAATATATGGCTAACTAAATGAGATAAAATATAAGTAAGCTGCCCAGTCCATAATAGGTAATATGTAAGTGCTGTTGCTGTGTTGTAGCTGTTGTTGTTGACAGAAAAAAAAATTATTTCGGCAGAGACATTTTTATCTAAGAGATGGCGTATTTGAGCTAGTCACTGATAGATGAAAACCATTTCAAAAGATGGAAGTTGGGAGGTTGAAGAAGTGCAGGATGGCATTCCAAGTGATGGGGGCAATGGCATGGAGGTAGGAAAGCATAAGGTATATTCAGGCTATAAATAATAGTTAGATTTGGCTGGATCCTGGATTTGAGAAGCCAGGAAATGAGATAACACTGGTCACTTTCACTAAAGCTCATGAAAAAAAAAATACATACATATATATATATATAAAATAAATATACATATATATTTTTAAGCCCCATATGACTAGAGGAGGCAGCCCATCTGTTCTCTGGGCTTCACTTTTCTTGTCTGGGAAATGAGTAGGTTGGACTGCATGGTCTTTAAGGTCTCTTTAGTATTATCTTGTTTGACTCCGTAAAGAGAAAAACAAAGGTTCCTCCTGACATCTTGTGTTGCCTTCCAACGTCCAGTCCAGTGTGATTGTTTTAAGTACTCTTTGGATATTTTACTGTTATAAAAAGTGAAGAAAAAGACTGATTTTGCCAAGTCTTATGGATCCAAATTAGTACTCATTGCACTATGGTCATTTAGTTGAGGACGATACTCCAGCTTCAAAGCTGCAAAGCATACAGTGTGTGCAAAGCCCGGGTTCAGAGGTCAGCGTGCCCGTCAGTCTTCCAGGAGGAGCTCCATGACTTGTGCTTTGGATGCTGCCATGACTCACTTTAGGAGGTTTACTTCCTCAGTGAAGACAGCTGTGGGGATTAGGAACCTGTGATGCTCTTTCCCCACTCAGTTGAGAACAGCAGGACCACTGCCGAGGTTAGAGAGAGGGTGAGAGATAGGGCAGCAAATGTTTGAACTATAAAGACTGTTGCTCTTCCATTCTAGGGCTTTCTCTATTAAAGTCACTGAGTCTGCCATTCTTGTTGCCCTGACCAGAGGTGCAGAGGGTAGAGGATAAGGAAGGCCGGTCCAGCTGGGGCCAAGTTGTGGCAGTGTGCTCACGGCCAAGACCAAAGCTTGGATCTGTAGTGTCTTGCTCACATCTTGTCCTCAGATGCATGGGTCTAGCCCATTCCCAAATGCAGCCTACAGGTCAGGCCCATAGCTGGAGCCTTGCTTAATGTTGGCCTTCCCCAGTCTAGCCCCTCCTTTTGTGCCTCCTGGTTAATTAGAGTCATGAAATATTGTTAGATAGCATATTTATTTTTCCCAGCACTCCTGAAAATAGATACAACACTCCTGGAGGTGTGTTCTTGCCCAAAGCTGTATTGAGAAGTTTGAAAATAGCTAACTCTATAACAACACATATATCCAACAGGAAGCCATAGAGAACTGCTGATATCCCTCAGAGGCAAAGCCCACTCAGCTCACCATATGCAGGCTTAGAGAGGATGTTGCTTTTTATTTTCTCACAACTAACACTCAGCGAGTACCATGCCTTCAATTCACTTCTGAAAACATGTTCAAGTGCTTGTGCCTCACCATGTGCTTTACATGCAAGCTTTCCAGGAATCATGGGCCACACCACACCTCTGGGTGGTTTTAGGCCCATAGCTCTATGCTGATAAATCCTTTCTAATTCTCCTAGGATGTAGAGGAGTCTATAGTTACTTTGCTGAAGTTCACAATCTCCCTCTCTCTTTCTTCGTATTTCTGGCTGGCCAGAAAGTTATATCCCGTCCCCCGCGGGGCTCTCTCTTTTCCCGTTATTCTTCCTAAGCTCCTGCTAACCATGTAGATGTCCTAACCACACACCTGCATCCACAAGGAATTAGTGTAGTCTAAGGTTATGTCACGTTAATGAAAATGCAATGGGAATCTAAGGGTAGCCATGGAAAGAGAATATCCTGACTTAGAAGAATGACTGAAGCCTGTGCTGACTTTGAACTTTGAAGTTCATCTCCTCAGATCGTTTGGTTGATTCACTGTCATTGCCACGTGGGCCACAGAGGAGACAGATCCTCTCTCACACAGCTGAGTCCTAGAGTAAACACTAGGCATTTCCCCGGATCCCCCACAGACCGCTAAGAAGCCAGACTTCTCAAAAAGACATAATCCATACAGGCTACGACATAGAGAGAGTAGATTGATCTAACTCCGGATGATCAAGTGTAAAAAGTCCAGCTTTCCCCATCACACACCCATCCCATTCCAATAAGGCTCAGGAAGACGAGAAAGGGAGGCGTTCCTTTCATTTCCTGACTTCTGACCTACTATACCGTGGCCAGCACTACTTTGGGCATCTATGGTACAACATTCTCCTTCTTAAGGCTTTAGACTTATATATACTTATTTCAAATAGTTAGGATTTACAACAGAATGGGAAATATCTCATTAATTCTTTTTATGATTATATGTTGAAATAATAATATTTTAGGTACTTTGAGTTATATAAAATAGATTATAAAATTAATTGCACCTGTTCTTTCTTTTAACTGTGTGTAATGTGGCTGCTACAAAGTTTTAGGTTACATCTGTAGTCCACATTATATTTTTATTGGACATGGCTGATCTAGAATCTCTGAGGTTCAGACGAGAGGGAGATTCACCTCCCCTGCCTACTCCACACACATTCTCTTGCTTCCGTCATTCTGTCTGAGCAAAATCTTCTTATCCAGGTGAGGAACCTGAGCATTACCTTCAGCTTTCAGGTGAGACACTATCTAGAGTATGCAGCCTTCACTTTGCAGGATATAATGATAATGTGCTGTATTAATACAACATCATAGCCACAGCTTTCATATTGCAAAAGAAACATTCACGTGGAAATAGGGCGAAGTAGGAAGAGTTTCTAAAATTCATTTTTATCATTTTTGTTCACTCAATAAATACTTACTACAGGTCAAATATGCAAGATAAATAAACATAGATGAGATACAAGTTCACATGCTGTGGAGGAAAAAATCAAGTGCCTCACTGACTACAATGAAAAGAAACACATGATCAGAATCACAATGACGGATAAAAAGAATGGCGAAAGTTGAAAAGGATTGAGCATTTACTATGGGCCAGGCACTGTGCTGATAGATTCTAAATAGATTGACATTTAATTCTCAAAACTATACTCTCATTAGTTGAAACTTCAAGTGATTACATATCTTGCCTAACGTTAAGCAGCTTCTAAGTGGGAGAGCCAGAATTTGAACCCAGTTAAGCCAACTCCAGCACCTGAACTCTTAATGTAAGGCAGCTACTCCTAAATGTTTGAGAGGCCCAGAAAATGTCTCTTTCCAGCTCAGACCTCTGCAACTTCCCAGGGAGAATTGCAGTAAGTTGGGCCAGGAAATGTACATGCCAACAGATTCACTAACTTCTTAATTCCTATGCTTGTTTCTAGCATAAAGATAACAAAACTGTATCATCAACATGAGAGAGAAGCATGTCTTTCTATTATAACAATAATGAATTACTAAAAAAAAATTTAAAAAGCTTAAAAGATAGAAGGCTTAAACAACAATGCTAATAAGTGAAATTGTACTTGAAAGAAATCATTTCTGGTCACATTGGTAGTGCATTATCATTCAGATTTAGGAAAAACAGTCATGTTGATTTGTAGATGGAGTCTATGGACCAAACACTGATTGAGAGATCAAAGGAAACTACAAAAGGTCATTTATGGTTATTTTTATTGCTTTCTTATTGAGATCAAAATAGACTTCACTATGATTAATAATGGGATGGGCCAGGCGCTATGGCTCATGCCTGTAATCCCAGCATTTGGGAGGCCGAGGTGGGTGGATTACCTAAGGTCAGTTCAAGACCGGCCTGGCCAACACAGTGAAACCCCATCTTTATCAAAAATACAAAAATTGTCCCGGCATGGTGGCAAGTGCCTGTAATCCCAGCTACTCAGGAGGCTAAGGCAGGAGAATCGCTTGAACCCAGGAAGCGGAGATGGCAGTGAGCTGAGATCACACCACTGAACTCCAGCCTGGGAGACAGAACAAGACTCTGTCTCAAAAAAAAAAAACAAAAACAAACAAACAAAAAAAAAAACAAAAAAACCAACCAAACAAACAAAAACTGGGTGTTATATTAGAATTCCTAGCAGGTGGGACTAGAGATTTGGGTTCACTTTCATCTTAAATAGCACAGTCTGACTAATCAGCACTTGAGGAGCCACTACCCAGATGATGTGACTCGTGGTCTTAGTCTCCCTATTTTCATTTCTATTTGGTCAGGACTTTGATTTATACTTTAAAATGTCTATACTTTTTAAAAGTATAACATACATAGGGAAAAGTTCCCAAGTCATAAGTATGTACTTCACTGAATTATCACAAAGTTAGCATACCCGTGTGACCACTGCTGAGGTAAAACTGGCATCCCCAAAGCTTCCCTCAGGCTTCCTCCCAACAGTAAATATACTTTAAACTAATGCAAGAATAGGCAAAATTATAGAAAACAGTTCAACAGATCCCCCAAGTTTTTAAATTTCAAATCTAGACTGAAGAAACACAGCTCTCTCCTGGGATAGTTTTCTGCTTGAACCTGCATTTATTATGAATAGGTACTACGTGCCAGGTGCAAGGAGACAATTGTGAATAACACATGGCAGGTTTCGTTGAGGAACTCCACTGAGAAGCTAGATTATTTCAATGTATTTTAACTGTTTATGGTTTGCTGGCATATACTATAGGTAAAACATCCAGAAATTCCAAGAGTTGTCCATCAGATTAATGGTCTGTAAATTAGAAGAAAGGTTTTGATATTACTCCTCATTCATCAAATTGCAAGTTGATGTATTCATTAAGACTCTTTGGCCTGTAATCCCAGCACTTTGGGAGGCCGAGGCAGGCGGATCAGATCATGAGGTCAAGAGGTCAAGACCAGACTGGCCAACATGGTGAAATCCCATCTGTACTAAAAATACAAAAAAATTAACTTGGCATGGTGGTGCGCATCTGTAGTCCCAGCTACTCGGGAAGCTGAGGCAGGAGAATTGCTTGAACCCGGGAGGTGGAAGTTGCAGTGAGCCGAAATCATACCACTGCATTTCAGCCTGTCAACAGAGCGAGACTGTGTCTCTAAACAAATAAATAAATAAGTACTCTTTGGTTACAAGTAAGAGGAACCACCTCCAACCAGGTTAAGCAAAAGTATAAAAAATAAAAATAAAACAAATAATGAAGCAATATCTCATAGAACTCAAGGTTAAAAATGCAGCCATCAATCAGGAAAGTACTGGAACTACGAATTGGGAAGCCTTCCGAATTCTTCATCTTACACACTTATGTCCCTGTAGGTATCTACTTCATTCTTCTCCCTCTCTGAGTACCAGTTTTCTGTGCTTCCCTGGTCCACATGATGAAATATGGCTAGCTCTTGGCTCCTTAGGTTACTGGTAGTTTCTGCTACAATTAAAAAGCAACTTGCTGACTCTCAGTCTGGTTTCCTATTCCAGCCCCAGCTGAGTCAAATGTCCACTTCCATTTTGGTCAGCCATGCCCAGGGTAGAAAGTACAGGCACTGCCACACGGATGCTAAGGATGGGGTCAGGATTGTGGGGGCAGGGCTTATGACCCAGAAAGATGTCTCAAGTTTAATGTTATAATTCGAATCCAACTAGGTTTGACTCAACAGAAACCAAAAACAAAAAAAGAAAAAAAGAAAAGGAAATCAAATGGACATGTGAAATTGATGTGTTCAGCTTCACTTTATGTGCCCTGTTTTCATTCGTGCTCCTGAAGCTTCTTCCAATTTGATCAAACCATTGCTGGCTTCCTGCTTTAGGCTGGAGGGCATCTTGATGGCCTGGAAGCCCACATGAACAAGATCACTAGTTTTACCCTCTGCATGTTCCATTTTTCTAACATCAAATGTACCAGTTATAAAATTGTGAATTTTCTCATAAAACCGCCCACCGGAGAGAAGCATAGGATTATTATCTCTTCTCAAACAGCTGCTTTTTCTTCTTGTAGACCCCTGTAGGTATAAGCTAAAGCTCCCTTCTCATAAGAAATGCTTGTCATAAGAAAGAAATGAGTGTGAAAATGCCTTTTGATAGATCCTCTGTCTACTTCTGCTATGGGGATTATTTAAACATGAAGGAATTTCACGATGATTTAAAATTGACTACCCCCTCCATCTCCAAGTGCTTCTGGATCACTTCCCCAGCTGTTTAAAAAGTTGTTGAGCTATTAACTGCTGTGGAGGCTGCTCTGAGCTCCCTTTGAAATGGGGGTCCCCTGGCTGCAGTACATAATATTAATGAGCAATAAGTGATTGCCTGCTGCTCTCTACACCAGGCCCTTCTGGGCTCTGACAAGTGCTGCTGCCGCCTCCACATGGCCTCCTGGCCCACCATGCCTCCAGAGTGATGGATGCCCCTATCGGCACTTCTGTTTCCACAGCCGACTGGGTGTCTTGCAGTCAGCCTATTCCAAGAGCATGGACGCTGGGAGAGCTCTTCGCCTTCTCTGTGCTGTTTGCTGAAGCGATCTGAGTGCTCTTTAACAGAAAGCAATTCTCACCATCCAGCCCATTCTATAGATGAGCAACAGGAACTAGATCCAAATCGCATAAAAGAAGGCAGAACTGGGTCCTGAACCAGACTCTTAAATCCCAGTTTTTTTCCCAGGAAAAGAGGAAGAGTCCATATTAACATTCCAAAACCAGACACGTAATTAAATATTTCCAGGGCAAATGAGCAACTATAAAATGGTTTCAGTCACCCTCTTATACATTTCATGTCACACACCACCCTGTCACTAAAGGAGCAGAAAAAAATGCTTCAAGAATTGTTGTACATATGATTCTACATTGTGAGTCACAGTTAGTAAAATAAGCAACTTACTTGAATTGCTATAAGAAAATGAAAAATCAATATGATTTTGCTTTTTCATTTCAATAAATGTCAATGGCTGACTTTGCCATGCATTAACTTTTGGTTAATGACTCCACTTTTGGAGCTTGGTTGAGAGCTAAGCTGGCTTCCTGCCTTCCATGTCCTTCGACTGAAAAGCATGGCCTTGACTCTTTCTCTCCTGAAAGGAAGAGAGATATCTCAGACTGTGGGAGTGGAAGCATGACAGCTACCACATAGATCACCACTGTGTGTCAAGCACCACTGTAAAAAAATTTTTGTTGCCTCACTTAATCCTCACAACCTCCCTCTGAGGCAGGGACTGTTATAATCGTCATCTGACAGATAAGAATGCTGAGAGGTTGTTCCCCTTCCTGTGTCCATGTGTTCACCGGGGCCTGTTGTGGGGTGGGGGGAGGGGGGAGGGATAGCATTTGGAGATATACCTAATGTTAAATGATGAGTTACTGGGTGCAGCACACCAACATGGCACATGTATACATATGTAACTAACCTGCACGTTGTGCACATGTACCCTAAAACTTAAAGTATAATAAAAAAAAAAAGAAAAAGAAAACTGAGAGGTTAAGTGACTTGTCCGAGATCACATAGCTGTAAAGGACAGAAATAGGATTCAAACCCAAGCAGCCCAACTCCAAAGTCCATGTTCTTTATCAATAGACTAATCCTCTCTATGTAGTATTTGTGTGTCACAGGGAACTCAGGAATTTCATTACTTGACCCCCACCAAACTAATAGCTCTGAGCACATGGAACCTTTCCTCTCTAGATGTGAGAACTTCCATGTCTGCCTCCCGAAAAGCAGCTAATTCTACACTTAGTTCAGAGGACTGTTTCAAATTCAATGTATAATTTACTTTTTTAAGAATTTTCTTAAGAGACAAAGTCTTGCTATGTTGGCCAGGCTGGTCTCAAACTCCTGGCTTCAAGCGATCCTCTTGCCTCAGCCTCTACAGTAGTTGGGATTACAGATCTGAGCCACTGTGCCTGGCTCAACTTTTCAATTCTGAAAACCAGTTGTAAATTTATAAAATTTGAACCTCTGAAGCAGTGTTTTTCAAAATCGATCCCATGAACCCACTGCATCAGTGTCTGCAGGGAATGTTTGTTTCAAACATGGAGTCTGAGCTTCACCCAAACTCACTGAAACTGAATCCTCTAGGAGTAGGTCCCAGTAATCTGCATTTTTAAGAAGCACCCCAGCCACTCTTATTGACAAGATTGACAATAATTATAGAGTTGCATCTGGAAGTTTCAAGAGCTCTGCACATCATCAATTCAACTGCAGATGATTGTAGAAAGCGTTCAAAGCCACTCTGCATTCAACAGCTATTTCAGGGAGAATTACAATGTGCAAGAACTGTTCCTAAATTGTTGTAGTCTCCTTCTGTGTGAGCCAGCTGGTTAAGAGAGTTTGAATAATTTCCCAAGCGACTCCAGTTAAGTGGACACTTGAACACTCTGTACCTATGAAAATATAGAAAAGACACAGTTTTCCACCCTGGACCCAAAGTGAGTCTTTCAGAATGGGACTCTGAATCATCTTTCTTTTTTGCTTAAAACCCTCTCAGAGAACATAACGTGAACTATGAGGGCTTACATAATCTGGCCATGCACACCTCTCTGGCATTACCTCACCCACTGCTGCAGCGACTCTGAACTGCCTTCAGTTCTTCCAGAGTGCAAAGCGCTACAGCATCTTTGCACATGATCCTAGGGCATGTTATGTACCCTCTGCCCCAGCACCTAATTAGGTCTCTCACTCTTCCATCAGAGCTCAGCTTCAATGTCACTTTCTCAGGACAGCCATCCCAGGCCTGCCACAAGTCAGGGCATCTTCTTACCTCCCATTTTTCCTCCCGCTATTCTTCTTTGGCACTCACCACAGTTTTTCAGTCTGCTTTTGACTGTGTGGTAAACTTATTTCATCAGTTTCATCAAGTAGACTACAAACAAGAGTCATAATGTTTTGTGCATTCTGGTGTTTAGCCAAGTGCCTGCTACATACTAGGCATGCAATTCCTTGTGGTGCATCAAGAATGAAAAAAAATTAATAATGTTGGAGGTAAAGTTTTGATTCTCAGTCTAAAATTTAGCATCCATTCTATCGACAAAGATTCCGCATTTTTCATTTCTATCTCTGTCTTTAAATAGCAGTGGAGATGGTTAAGATTGGAAAGTCTGAACTCTAAACTTCTTTACACGTTCTAGATCCCTTTACTGAATATGTCAACAGCTCTAATCCTGATGCTAATTTTAAATTGCTTGTAGTATGGTTATATAGTCATTACTTGTTAAAAGGAAAGTTAATGAAAGAGTGGAAGTTTCTGATTTTGAAAAACCACAAGGCAACTAATTATCTATTTCCTCTTTTATTTCAAAGGCTGAAATGGATTCTTGTTATTGAATAGGGTAGGGAACATGATGAGCCTAACTGGTGATGAGATAGGTTTTGTTTAACTGTATTTTTCATCAATTTCAAGTGTGTCTTTAGTCAGCCATATGAGCTATCATGCCTATCTTTTATAAGAGTGTTCCTCTATACAAGAACATATCTCTCACAATAATTTAATCACAGTGACTTTTGTTTAAGCTAATTTTGACACAAAAATGATGGATTCGAAATGTGCCTAAACTATAAGTATGTTAAAAGCTGGAATTGTTCATCTCCTAAGACCCATACGGCATTTAAATTATTATAAAACACTGTCTTCTGGGTATCTTAACTCAAAAAATTACATCTTACATGATACATATATCAAAACCTAACAATTGTAAGTGGATATCCTTCCACTCATTTTTAGAACACCTTCCTAAGGAAGCTAAGTGCCAGTGACCTCCCAAATTCTCTATGTGTTTCATATTATGCATTACAGTGGAAACGGATTAGAGAGCCACTCTACAAGTGGGTTAGTGAGCTTGATAGCCAAGCAGTCCAGATCATTATAGATTGCACCTCATACAGTTTGGTTGTATATCCCTAAATATTGTCACCTTCCAAAGCTAAAAATCTAATATTCATGTCACAAAAATCTATGGGAAATTATGGGTAATAACAGTGTTCACTAACAATTACACTTCACATCTCCAGTGTTGTTAACACTTTTGTAGGAATTACCTCCCTCAGTCCACACAACAACCCAATGAAGTAGGTACTGTTAGTAAGCCCATTTTATGAATGAGAAAACTGAGACATAGACAAAGTCACAGCTACACCATTACTAAGCTCTTTTGGAACTCAGGTAGCCCAACTACAGAGCACCCACTTGTAACTATTAAACTAGAAAACCTCTCATATATACTTATTTAAGAGCGATGAATCAGGGATCTTGGTCCTGCTTGCTTTATTTTTCCTTTAGGAGATGGTGTCCGGGGGGGCGGGGGTGGGTACGTTTTATTTTGTTTTGTTGTAAGAGAAAAGCTGAAAGTGCGCCTTCTTTCTTTCTGAACATCTTTTTCCAAAGCCTTTTACCTTCATCTGGGGCCAGAAAGGACACTGGTTCCACAGACAGAGCACTAATGAGCTTCCCTCTCTATCTCCCTCTCTGTCTCTCCGTTCTGCAGTTAATAGCCAAGATACCAACCATCACGGCAGTTTGCAACTTGCACGGGGAGAAGCTGCAGGTATTTAAGCAATCTCATCCAGAGATAGTGAATACACTGTTTCCTCCGTTATACAAGGAGCTCTTTAATCCTGACTGTGCCACCGGCTGCAAATGAAGGGGACAAGAGAACTGTCTCATAGTCATGGAATGCATCACCATTAAGACAAAAGCAATGTGTTCATGAAGACTTAAGAAAAATGTCACTACTGCAACATTAGGAATGTCCTGCACTTAATAGAATTATTTTTCACCGCTACAGTTTGAAGAATGTAAATATGCACCTGAGTGGGGCTCTTTTATTTGTTTGTTTGTTTTTGAAATGACCATAAATATACAAATATAGGACACTGGGTGTTATCCTTTTTTTAATTTTATTCGGGTATGTTTTGGGAGACAACTGTTTATAGAATTTTATTGTAGATATATACAAGAAAAGAGCGGTACTTTACATGATTACTTTTCCTGTTGATTGTTCAAATATAATTTAAGAAAATTCCACTTAATAGGCTTACCTATTTCTATGTTTTTAGGTAGTTGATGCATGTGTAAATTTGTAGCTGTCTTGGAAAGTACTGTGCATGTATGTAATAAGTATATAATATGTGAGAATATTATATATGACTATTACTTATACATGCACATGCACTGTGGCTTAAATACCATACCTACTAGCAATGGAGGTTCAGTCAGGCTCTCTTCTATGATTTACCTTCTGTGTTATATGTTACCTTTATGTTAGACAATCAGGATTTTGTTTTCCCAGCCAGAGTTTTCATCTATAGTCAATGGCAGGACGGTACCAACTCAGAGTTAAGTCTACAAAGGAATAAACATAATGTGTGGCCTCTATATACAAACTCTATTTCTGTCAATGACATCAAAGCCTTGTCAAGATGGTTCATATTGGGAAGGAGACAGTATTTTAAGCCATTTTCCTGTTTCAAGAATTAGGCCACAGATAACATTGCAAGGTCCAAGACTTTTTTGACCAAACAGTAGATATTTTCTATTTTTCACCAGAACACATAAAAACACTTTTTTTCTTTTGGATTTCTGGTTGTGAAACAAGCTTGATTTCAGTGCTTATTGTGTCTTCAACTGAAAAATACAATCTGTGGATTATGACTACCAGCAATTTTTTTCTAGGAAAGTTAAAAGAATAAATCAGAACCCAGGGCAACAATGCCATTTCATGTAAACATTTTCTCTCTCACCATGTTTTGGCAAGAAAAGGTAGAAAGAGAAGACCCAGAGTGAAGAAGTAATTCTTTATATTCCTTTCTTTAATGTATTTGTTAGGAAAAGTGGCAATAAAGGGGGAGGCATATTATAAAATGCTATAATATAAAAATGTAGCAAAAACTTGACAGACTAGAAAAAAAAAGATCTGTGTTATTCTAGGGAACTAATGTACCCCAAAGCCAAAACTAATTCCTGTGAAGTTTACAGTTACATCATCCATTTACCCTAGAATTATTTTTTTAGCAACTTTTAGAAATAAAGAATACAACTGTGACATTAGGATCAGAGATTTTAGACTTCCTTGTACAAATTCTCACTTCTCCACCTGCTCACCAATGAAATTAATCATAAGAAAAGCATATATTCCAAGAAATTTGTTCTGCCTGTGTCCTGGAGGCCTATACCTCTGTTATTTTCTGATACAAAATAAAACTTAAAAAAAAGAAAACAAGCTAAGAGAGAAGTTTGTGTATAAGACAATGAAAATTATGGTCTCCTGTAAGTATATCCCAGCCACCAACTCCTAAAGAACTGCCCTTTTCTCCATATTAAACACACACACACTTACACACACACACATACAAACCCCTGCTTTGTAAAGTTTCCATCAGTGGAAACTTTGATTTCTTTTTTTAATCTCTTATGCTCTCCTGAAGTTCATGGTTGAGCACCATCTCCAAGATACCACAGAACTCTTGATTGATGATCAAAACAGTAGTGTCATCTTTTCCTTTTAGAAAACGGAACATTTTCTCACCTCATGATTGATGAATTCTAAACCAATGGGGAAAAACAAAAAGGCTTTAAAATAATGAATCTGTTTCTCAACTACTGTTATATTCAATTAATTTAACTACATTGAACCAAATTACCTTTGGTTCTAAGAAGACAGCTGTAGACTGCTTATTATGCTGCTACAGGGACTCAATTCTTTTTGGTGTAAATGTCACTCCTGCTAGCTCTTTGTATAAAGAATTAATTCCCAGAGTCATATTTCCTTCTAATGGAAAGATTACTCTACTGATTGCTAGGAAAACAGGGTAATGGAAGGCACTCAATTAAACCAAGCCGTTTCCAAATGCAATGTATGTTTTATGATTGGCTTGTGATAGGCGATGCTTCATGTGTCTACTTGGTGTTTCCCTTTGAGCTTTGAACTTATGTCAAACTTTGTTTTCATTGTTCTGTTGGCCTAGTGTTTTCCATTGTCAGCCTGTAATTCCTGCTCAGTTGCAGAGGGAATTATTTATTTCCTCCAATTTACCTTAGAGGATTTAAATTGGCTCAATTGATGAAGTGGCTCAGAATTTTTTCCTCCCTTTTCCCATGGGTGATATAGGAAAAAGATTGTTCCCCACATTTACCTTGGGAGGTACTGCTTTGAATTTGTGTTGTTTCCACTAGCGTTAAGCATTTCACTGGGACGGCATGGACCTTTTGAAGCTGGGAGGAAGGAAACAGAGCTAGCATCTGAACCAGAGCAAAACAATGGCAACCAGGACATACTCATCCCACTTAGTTGAGAGAAGAGATTTCTAGTTTGGGTTACAGTTGCCCAACCTTCCCTTTAAAGAGAATCCAGTCATGTTTTCAATGGTAAAAAGCCTTAAAAAGCTGCCCTTCGAAGATCTCCTATGACTGCATGTCAAGGTATTTTGTACCTACAATCCCAGAACTTGGTTCCTTCCCCATGAGGACTAACAAATGTTCACAACAATCATGATCAAGTGTGCACTGGAAGAAAAAATCCACAATCTGGGCTTCTCACTTCGTGCTTCATAAATGACAATCACTGCTTGATGCAGATGTTGCACTGTATCCACTCAGGGATGTTTCCTTAAAAAAAAAAAATACATCAAGAAGGAGGAAAAAATTAAAAACAGGAAAATGACAACAAAATGTGAATGGTATAAATTAAATATGTTGCTGAGAGCACCTCTCTGACAAGGCTTTCAGACCAACAAGCAGTAACTTCATGTCATAAACTAGATTGACTTATTTGGACTTGCTGAAAAGTTGCACCCAAGTAAGGACAACTTGGTCTCATTTTCTAAACTCTGCTAAGAGCCAAATAATCTAGCTGTCCCATTCAGAGGAATTTTTATCTCCCTGCAAATCCAAACTTTCTATACAAATCCTGAACAAGGAAAATACAGAAATCTAACTGGCATTAGATAAAATGGACAAGGGAGGTGAAACCGGGTGAATTCAAACTTCAGTGTATTTGTGGTCCATAAAAAGAAAGGGAAATTTTGGAGGGAAAATAGGACAGGAAAGGATTCCAAATCTGGTTTGACACCCGTATATGCCCGTACTGTCCATGACTCAACTAATCTCTTTGCCCCTTTTTCTGTGGCTCCTTTTTTGTTTTGAGACAGATCTTGTTCAACATGTTGCTCAGGCTGGAGTGCAGTGGCATGAGATCTTGGCTCGCTGCAATCTCTGCCTCCTGGGTTCAAGCGATTCTCCTGCTTCAGCCTCCTGAGTAGCTGGGATTACAGGCACACGCCCCCACACCCGGCTAATTTTTGTATTTTAGGTAGAGATGGGGTTTCACCATGTTGGCCAGGCTGGTCCTGAACTCCTGACCTCAAGTGATCCACCCGCCTTGGCCTCCCAAAGTGCAAGGATTACAGGCCTGAGCCACTGCGCCCTGCCTTCAGTGGCTCTTTTATCCCCCAAAGACTGAAAGCTGAAGGTGGAGATGTTCTCCACAAACATACCCTTTCTGAATTTCCCTTGTTTTAGCACTGTGTTCAGGGCTCTGGACTAAAGTACCTCTGAGTAGGTAAAATCAGAGAATATAACGATCTCCTGAGTGATTAGATTTCTTTGGTAGATTCCAAGAGATCTTAAATCATAATAAACTCTGAATATTAACAAGAGGTGCCAGGGAGGTGTCAGTACATTTCCTATCATAGCTGCCTTGTTCAAAGCATAATCTCAGAGCAGTCAAGCTAAACTGTTTGTAGAAAACCATGAAGATCAACTCATGCTCACTCTCTACAATGCAATGTGTACGAGGCTTGAAGGCAAAAACAATTCTTGGGTCCCAAGGACAACCTAAAACTTACCAGCTTTTTTCAAAAACAACAATCAGATGCAAATAATGGCAGTGTTGTTCTATGTTCTTTGTTTCTGTTCATTATAGAAGCAAGGAAAAATTCTATTTCTATTGGAAATTAGAAGAAATAATTTCTTCCTGACTCTTTTTTTTTCTATAAACTTTTATTTCCAAGGAAGCTGCTACAATTTGCAGTCAATTCAGGCCATGGACGTCTGTGCCCTAACAGAAGCACCGTTCAATAGAACAGCAATAACCTTAAAGTGTGCATCTGTAGTGAAACTCTGCACAAAGTCCCCTGCATAAAGAAGAGAGGAAAGCCTACCATCTGCTTTAGACGAAGTGTTATTTGATGTTCTGTTTCCAACTGTCAGTATAAGCAGCAACTAGAGTAAAGGCCTGATGTGGGAAACTATGGGGGGTCTTTCAAAAAAAAGCTGACACTCTATTCATTTTTGGGTCTCAGGACCAGAGGGTACAGGGTAGAGGGTAGTTTACCATTTAAAGCAGGGGTTGAAAATTCGAAAGCCTAAAAGGGCCAGGGGGCTTAATGCAAATGGGTGAAGCAGCCCAGGGGCAAGCTGGCCAGGAAATGCCCTGTGGAAAAAGGGACATCCACGATTTACCTGAAACTGAATGCTGCTAGAGCTTCTGAATTTTATAAAATCTCTGAAATTATACATGATGGCAGTTGATTCAGAGCTTAGTGCAGACCAAACAAATACATCACTGAGCAGAAGAGGGCCCATAGATCGTCAGCTTGCAGCCTCTGGTTTAAAGCAAAATCGCATCTGGGGCCAGCTCAACTGCAGCAAGTCTGGTCAGATTCAACCCTGGACGATATTAGAATGATATTAGTTTTGGAAGGAGGGGATGGAGATCTTCCCCTTCTAATACTCAATTTTGTTTTGGTATTTGATTGTCACAACTAGAGGATATAACAGGAGGTCAGTTTAAAAAATAGCAAACAGTCTAAAAATGAAAACTATTCAATTTAGTGATGGCTTATAAAAGACACTCCAACTTGTCTTGCCCAAACTCCCTTCTTCATAGAGCCAGGGGGCTGGATTTCTTGCCACTTTTTTTCTGAAAGGCAAATGCATGACTTTTATTCTTTTGGGTCTCAGTGTGTTTCTTGAACTGTGTGACTTCAATATCTGTGACAAGTTTTTATTTTCCCTTAGTTGTATGTGAAGAATTTATTCTATAGTCGTGATCATGTAGTCCTCCATTGTTTGGAAGTGCAGACCATGGATTCCTATGCAGCAGATGGGGGTTGTCTGTTTGTGCACTTTTTTCCTAAGCTGCTGAAATTCCTCCGATGTGAATGGGCCATAGTAATCTTTGCCTCCTGCGTGACTGTAAGCATGGCCTCCAGTGGATCAGAGAAAGCAGCTCAGTGATTGTTCTCATGGCCAAAAATAAAGCACAAGGGTTACCGGAATTGAATGAGCCCTGTTCAGGGCAGCACGGGGCATCTGCACCCCAGCTGGGCAGCATGATCCTTGTATTCAACTATACTCTTCTGGCAGTAGTTGGTGGCAAGCATTCGCGTGCCTCTGTCACAACCATACGTAGAAACACATTAGGTATGTCTGGAAAGCTACAAATCCCACATCCAAGCACAGTACCGTCTGCTTCATCTGATTAACACACACACAAGAAAGAAAAATTACACCCACAGAAAACTGAGTATGTATTGTAGAAATGTAGAGGAAAAATAAAAATATTTTTTCAAATGTAATTACTTTTAATATATGCTTGTGGAAGGTCTAATACAATGTATGCTGTCTCTGTAATTTTTGCTGTAAATAACTGGAGACGGTGAGTACACTGATTTTTCTATGTCTCTGTTTAAGCATAAGACTTTGTAACAATTTTTTTAGAGGGGGAAAATCAACAAAGAGCAAATATGTACTTGCTTCCTTTCTGCGTGTTATGTACTTCTCAGTTTTTTAATGGAAACTGGTTGTAACAGTTTAAGCATCTTGACGGGTCATTGGTGTTAAGTGTATGCTTCTTTTTGTAATATGACTGAGAAAGGGACAGGGCTGTCAATTAAATCTGCTCCAAAGAATTTGTATTGAAGATTGGCCTAAGACCTGCAAACTCCATCTATAACTAGAAAATACGAAAAAGGAAAATTAAAAAAAAAAGTTGCCTGAGTTAAGTCATCTTTCCTTGTAGCAAATGGCTTTGTCCAAATCCTTTCTGCATGGAATAGCTTAAGGAAAACAAACTCCGCTTTCTGATGAACAAGATATTTTTGTACACATTTATTTCTTGTTAATAACCTGAGGTCAGACCACTCATTTGCTGAAGCCATAACTGACCTTCACCAAATAAATGTTGTAAAGAACCTAGGGGAGGGTTGGGGAGAGACTGAGAGGGAGGAAAATCCAAGGTGTCATGAGCTATAGCAACACAGGCAGGAGCAAGTTGTTGAAACTGATGCTTTTCCTGCATCCCAAATATGACTTTAAAAGGCTAGTATTTTATGATGATCGATTTATAATGATAAAAAGATATTTAGATTTAAATGAGACATTCCAATATTTTTGAAATCCCTAACAATGCTTCCTTGCTTTTAGGATTGAGAGAAATGATTTTCATATACTTCCAACATTCAGAGATTTAATGTTTTTACCTTAGCTCCAGCCTACGCTTGTAAAGTGAAGAGTGATTCTAAGTCCCGTGAAACCGTGGGCTGCCTGGGGCTTGGCTGTGCCCACTAACCTACTGCGCCTGGGGGGCAGCATGGGAGGGGTACAGTTTGCATCTCATTAGCATGCACACCACTGTTGGCAATGCATAAAAGTTGCATTGCCACAAGTATGTAAAATAAAAATATTCACTCTAAAAAGAATAATAATTCTACTTTTTTAAAAGAATAATGTCTCTTATAGTCACCATTGATTTTTCTGGAGTTTAATTACATTATTACCATGTATTCTTATTGGCCTGTAGAGGAAAAAGGCAAACCACAAATAAACCCAGTGACATATATAGTTTTAAAATCTACAATTTTCTGATCTCTCTCTCCTTGTTTAATATATAAGCCCTAATTTCTGTGTATGTGAGTAAAACTGCAGCCTGAGTCATTTAGGAAGTAAGTATTGAGTTTTTTTAATCATAAATATACTAGAATAAAACAGCACTCCCTAACAATTAAAAAAGAGTTTTATATTACTTTAGAATGTAATAGGTTTTTGTCCTTATTTTATGTCCTGTAAATTATTAGTTCAATACTGTTAGCATTCCCGGATAATGCACACATGATTTCTGAATGTTTTCTGTAAATGACAATCAATGTTTATGAAGTTTCCTCCTTTAATGCTGAACAAAATTAAAAGAAGAAAAAGAAAAAAGGACTGCCTAATGGTTTTCTTTCCTCCCCACCCCAACCCCCACTCTCATCCCTGGGAACAGGGAATGGGTAGAAAAGATAAGATTTAGCTTTGAAAACATTACCCCATGGGTTCTTACCTACAGAGTTTTCCTTTTTCTAGTAAGTAATGGTTAATTTTTTTTTTTTTTTCAGGAAATTCTTGTGTCCTCAGGGACCTGGCCTGAGTTAGAAATATTCATTGAGAAAAGACTGAGTCCATTCTAGCCAAATAGCTTACCAAGTTACAATTAAAATGAGAGCAGCATCTCTCAAAGATAATAGCTCTCTTTTTCTCAGCACTTTAATAAAAGGAAGCCCCAGCTAACAGAGCCATAAGCAACTCCCCTGCAACCATTTTGTTGAAATAACGTGCAGCAGGTTTGAAATGGATATGACAATCCCTACATCTGATGAAAGCTTTCAGATAATTAATGATTAAGTCTCTGTGTCTGATTTTTTTTGTTTTGTATCAAGCTGCTCCACTACCAAAATCAATGCCCACCAACATATGAATGCTCTGAATCTCATTTGGAGCTGGATTAGGAAGCAATTGAGGATAATCACAGACTCACAGTGATGTTGAAAAAGGTAGTTCCGAGAGAGGCCAGCAATTTTTCAGGTGCTTGGAAGTTGCTGCAGATTGGGGTCCCTAGAGCTGAAATGCTCCAAGAAGAGTAGTTTAAAGCAAGACTTAAGAGATTTTAAAAGTAAAAGCGCTGATGCAAATGACAGGATGAGCTCTAGAAACCCTTCTGTAAAGTTTCTTCCAAACTTCGCTGGTCTTTGGAACCAGTGAAAACCCTTCCAGTATGTTTCAAGCCACATCTCTACTCAAGACATTCAGATCCCATGTGACTCTGCTCAGAGATTACAGAAACAGAGAACTGCACTGATGTTTCTGTGAGAGCACCATTTATGTCCCTTGGTTTATAATAAGGTCTTCAAGTGTCTAGTCAGAGATGGCAAACATATTACCTCAGCCTATCCCAGGCTCATGTCAATTGTCGTCAATGACTGGTCATAGAACTCTTGGCTAAAAAGTCATCTAAAGTTTTTTTCAGAAACTTAGATCTATGCAGCATTGCAATACAAGATAAAACTTACCATTTTAAAATTCAGCTTGGACCATATAACATGATAATTATTAACTTTTAATAGAGTTATCAGAAATTATAAATTAAGCCCTTTTTATGCACATAGCTTTGTTCTGTTCATAGATCCTCTTCTTTACTTAAGAGCAAGTCCTGGTGACATATTCCCACAATCACAGTAGGCCAATGTGCATGAGACATGTCAATTATCAAAGGCATAGCCCGGGTGTGGCCACTTATTCCAGGTGGCAGCAGCTCCTTGATCCATTTAGAGAAGAGGCAGAAGTGAAGCAAACCCTCTAATACCATCTTGGCAGTGAGGTGTCTCAGATTACAAAGCCACCATGCTATAAGTTTTCTCTTATTGTTTTCTGAACTTGAACTTGCTAAGCTTAACTGGTTGAATAAATATTATTCCAAGATACTGTAAAATTCTTGACAGCCTTGTCTCAGAGACCTTTAAAGCACCCAAGATCGTGAGGTAAGTCATGGCATGGTGGCACTCAATAAATGTGTCAACTACATTTATTGGAGTCTGCTGTCCTTTTCTACTTCTAACTTCCCAACTATTTGCTGTCATTTCACTGATTTTGCCCTTGAGAAAATCATCCTCCAGCAGAGTCACCAGACATAGACATGCTTTTCACCATAAGCAATGAGAAGGAAAGTGATGGCCCATTGGCAATGGACATTGAAAGAATGGTCTTTCCCTTTCTCCAAAGATTTAGCCAAAAGCAACAAGAGAAGGAGCCTGAAAGTAGCTTATCGGAGGGTACTAGATATTAGACATATCTTCTCAGATTTTCACAGAAGACTCAGCTGGGCAGGAAACAAGAAACAGAGAGATCTGGGAGCCTAATTTGTAAAGCAAATTTGACATCAAAGCCTGGTGTTGGCATGCCCTTCTCCAACCTTCCAGTCTGGTTTGATCAAATCACAAAATCTCAGTCAAAAAGTAGAGAATCTGGATAACTGATTACTTCTTGAGGTATATCCCTGCTCAGGTAAGAAATTTTAGAAAAGGTCCCACTTTTTAAGAGATGGAAACCATTTTATCTGTGATCATATGTTCCTGTTACAGCAGTCAAAACAACAGATCAAATGTCATTTTAGATGTCTATCTAGTCACTAGATGCTTTGCATGTGGCTAGAAGATGAAGGAAGCAAGAAAGAACATGCAAGATTACACAGTAGATTTACATAGGCTAGGCCTACCCACACTTCATCACCCGGAATTAATCCCATAGCACCAAAGCAGTGGAGGTGGCTGAGACATGTAACCTAGTTAGTTGTGTGCCCACAGAGAAAAGGAAACAGGGTTTAGGAAACAGTTAGAAGTCCTGACCCAAATATGAAAGAAATTCAGCAAAGTCTCTAATTTCATCTTCCATCAGATACTGCAACAAACATTTATTCAACAAGTATTTATTGATCCACTACAATGCCAACAAAGTCACTGATAATACGATGGTGAAATATGACAGGTACAGACTCTGTCCTCATAGAATCTATGGTCTGGGTCCAAGAAAGGTGGATATACAGAGGAAAAATATATAATATAAATAATTATAAAGAGTGGACCTTATTACAGCTGCTATACCAGCTACACCAAAATTATAAGATGTCACTACAGATTGTCTGTTATTCTCTATTTAGCTCTACTCTTGAACTCATTATCACCCATCATAGCCCACTTGGGTTTTTTTTAATAATGTTAATTATTTAATTAGTTTCTTAATAGTGAAATAAAATCTTTCTTCTCATATCTTTTCCCCAAGTTATAGCTAGTTCTGCTCATTGAGACTAAGCAGAGCAAGTGCATGTCCAAACCTATCTCTGTCTTATTAACTGACACACCGGGGCCTGTCGTGGGGTGGGGGGCTGGGGGAGGGATAGCATTAGGAGATATACCTAATGTAAATGAGGAGTTAATGGGTGCAGCACACCAACATGGCACATGTATACGTATGTAACAAACCTGCACGTTGTGCACATGTATCATAGAATTTAAAGTATCATAAAAAAAATCTTCAATAAAATTGATACATATTTCAGTCCTTGCTCCCAGTCTAATTTTTTGCACAATAAAAATTCTCACTTATCCCTGCTATCCCTCACAATTTAATCTGTTCATAAAATCAAGTTCCGTTTCATTTGAAGAACATCATCAGAACAACCAGGAACACAGATTCTTCACATGGAGACCAATCAGGGATCTTGTCTATGTCATGGATGCCAGTCATACACATTTAGAACATGGCTTTTGCAGGCACTTGTGTTACAATGTAGGTTTTATTATTATTCAGGTATTGTGAAGCCAAGAGATGAGGAGACAATTACCTTTGAGAAGATAGTTTGTTACTCACAGTTTCCAAGAGAAGGGGGCATGCCACACCACACAGGGCCACAAGGGGAAGCAACGGTGTAAGTGCCAGGAGGCAGAGGGAACAAGGGGGACATGTGGGTAAGACTCTTTTTGTGGTTGTGAAAAGGAACAGGTAAAGTAGACTAAGCAGGTTTAGGATTGACTAATTTGAATAATTTCAGTTGACTCTGTGGTGTGGTGGCTGTCTCTAGTTGTCTAGTACCTGGCTCTAGGTGATTAGGCAAGGGGACTAATGTCATCCTGTGTGAGAGCTCAATAAAGATGGTTGGGAGTATGGACTCTGGATTGGTGAATTTGTATTCAAAAAGTGGGCTCAGAGGCAAATAATTAACTGTCTCTAGGAACTGGGTAGCACTGGAAGGGGCAGTCTTTCCTGCATCAGTGAGCCCCCAGATGTCAAAGCAGCAGGATAAAAAGGCATGCTCAACACAGATTAATTTGTGCATGTTGACCCATGATGGGAAAATACCTGATCCCAAACCTTATGTATGAAGAATAAAGGAATATCTGTCCATCAAGGAAGGGAATTTTTCTGAGAATTTCATCTGTATTTTTTCCCCCTTTATTTTCCCTCCTCTGACTCATACCTAAGCCTCTTTGTACTTCCTTTCCTCAAGCACTTTTACTGGGTAGAAAGCTGACTCCAAGGCTCTTTGCAAAGATTACTGTGTCTCACACAGGGCACCAAAGAGAAGGATTTTCAATCTGCAAGTTTTGGATCATGAAGGAATATGCAGTGATTAAGATGACTCTAGAACACAGGCACTTAATCTCAATTTCTAGATGCCATAGAGGCCTCCTATGTGAAGAGGGTATTTGTTTATTAATTCATGCAGATTTCCCAGGGATCGAATGCCCCACTGTGTATTTAAACATGAACCAAAAGAATTTACAACACCTTCTTGCAGCCAGGTAAAAATATTTAACCAGGAGGATGAAGAAGGGAATTAAGAATTCCTTTACAGCTCCAAGTGGCAGCAGAAGAGACTCACCAAATGGCAGGACAAGTTCTACCCGAGCTGTGAGCCATACTGAGCTACCACCTGGTATCATCTAGACATTTAGACTGTTAACAACTTCCTCCTCTGTACTTTCCATCTTCACCACATGTTACAAGCCTAAAGTCCTGCAGTCTTCAAACATGCTTGGTTTTAATGCCATTTGGATTTTCCCCCTTTGGAAAGATTAAACATTATTTTAAGGTGGGATGGGTTGGAAGTAGGCGAGTGGAGAGAGAAGAGTCAGGAAAGACTTTCCCAAAATAAACTCTCACGCCCCTCAGTCACCGGAAACTTTTTCTTCTCAAACCACACATCCACATCATTGGCTAGAGAATTCTTGTTCATTGCACCTCAAAATTCCCTGCACACATAGTAGACAATCTAAAAACGTGACATACACAGAAACTTGA
The DNA here is from genome assembly GCF_000001405.40 of Homo sapiens. Classification (NCBI taxonomy): domain Eukaryota; kingdom Metazoa; phylum Chordata; class Mammalia; order Primates; family Hominidae; genus Homo; species Homo sapiens. Next base: position 74,698,086 of record NC_000009.12, read on the forward strand.
TTTTTTTTTTGTCTTGTGCTTAAAGCCATTAAGCCCTAAAATGTTTCTAGTCTTGAAGAAAAAAGTCATAAAAATGTTTGCTATTAAAATAATCCCTTGGCACAGATCTTAATTCTACATCTTCCAACTAAAAGAAAATCTTCACCTTTATTGATTTTTTTAATCAAACTACTTTTTTTCAGGATAACAGGGAGGGGGCTCTAAGTTTTCTCTATTTAAATTTACCTTTTGAAAATACCATTCCTCCCTGAAGTTAGGATTTTAAATTCTAAAAGTAATTTTAATCTAAACTTGTGGAGACCTCAATTCTCAGATGGTTTAATGACCATCTGAGAGTATTTTGGGGAAAATACTAATTTATTCCTTAGTAAAATTTAAATCTCTTTTTTACATAGATTCAAGGTAGCAGTTAAATTGCTCTTTCTAATTCACATTCCAGAAAAAAGAATTCCAGATGTTTATAGTTTCATCCAGCTTCCACTTTGTACCTTGCTCACACATTGCCCCCCAACCCTGGCAAGAACAAATGCCTGCCCGATTGCTCTCAATAAACTGCACAGGAAAATACTCTTCAAAAACAGACTTTTCAAAGAAAGAGCCCAGACATTTGATCAATGCAACCAGTAAGTTTTTTTCACATTAGTTTTCCACATAGATTGTATCAGCTATTTTTCTGCTTGTCCCCAAAGATTAGGAATAACAATTTTTCAAAGGCAATGTACATTACACTTGATCACAATGCCTTGCCTTGTAGCAAAAAGAATTTGAGAGGTAAAGCAGAAAACAGATCTCATGTCTCAGGTCCCAGAATCATGTCTATTTCCTTCATGCATTCAACAAATGTTGAGTGCTTACTCTGTGCTAAGTACTATACCAGATTCTAAGGATGAAAGGATGGTTGACATGGTTCCCATCTTTAAGTTTTTCACAATGTAGCAAAGCAAGCAGACCAGCAAAAAAAAAAAAAAAAAAAAAATGCCATGACACATTTAGAAAGAGGTATTTGAAGAGAGAATTCTGGGAACTGCAAAGAAGTACCAGTCTGGTCAACATGGCAAAACCCCATCTCTACTAAAAATACAAAAATTAGCCAGGCGTGGTGGTGCACATCTGTAATCCCAGCTGCTCAGGAGGCTGAGCCACAAGAATCACTTGAACCCAGGAGGCAGAGGTTGCAGTGAGCTGAGATCATGCCACTACACTCCAGCCTCGGCGACAGAGCAAGACTTCGAAAAAAAAAGAGAGAGAGAGAAGAAGAAGAAAAGAAGAAGAAGAGGAAGAGGAAGAAGAAGAAGAAGAAGTGAAGCAGTGAGTAAAACTATAGGGGAGAATGACAAAACAGAGAAAAGGTGCCATTTGAACTGAGCCCTGAAGGATACCAAGATGTTTGTCACAACATATAGTGAGAGAAGCACGTTGAGACAGAGAGAAAGGTCTAGAATGTAGAATAACTGGCAGCTGCATTCTAAATATTGCCCCCAGACATGTTTTGTTAGGCTTATACCTAATTAGAAAATTTTGTATCAAATCAAAATTTCTAGATTATTTTGTAAAAACCAGAAGATACAGCAACATGGTTCCCACATTCCCACATGCAAAAATTGATGAGAGCCCAGTCAAGGCTGTTCCCTTTAGACAGGACACATTTCCTCTGGTTTTGTTCTTGTGAGAATTTGCTACCTGCCTGGCTCCATAGGCGGTTGAGTACATGGTGAGCAGTGATGGAGGGAGAATGGAGGAGGAAGGTCGGAAGTAGGCTGGGTACAGAGGCTCAGTATACCTACCCAGGAAGCTTATTTTTAGCCCAGTGTTTCTACCACTATGCCCTCACCAAACTGGTCATCCACAAGCTAGATAAATCATTGATTGTTCTCCCTTATAATTTTTTTTTAAGACATTGGGACTGGATGCCACTCATCTATATTGGTAAACCAGGAAAAAATATCTGTTACTTAAAATCACAACTACCTGCTCAGAAAGACAGTTTCCATTAAACATAAAATGCTCCATTCTGTTGAGACTGTATGGCTTTGTACTTACAAGTTTTAGAGAATAATTCAGTTTCCAAGGCTCTTCAAGAGAGAAGAAGTGCATAAAGAAACCAGGGAAGGAGACACCAAGAAAAGACTCAACGAGATCATGCAACTTGGGCACTGATGAACCAACAGGTCAATGAGAAACTCTTGGTGGCAGAAAGGCCCAGAGGATTTTAAGAACAGGGATGGCTAATGTATGGTTTTTAAGTTGTTTGCTGCTCATTGAACAATGTCATTCCCATGCACTTTCAATTTTTTTGTAAAAACCCCAAAATGATTTCTGTGATGCTGAGGATTTAAATACCCAGAAATCTTGAGAAGAGGTTTAGCTGTCCATGGGCAAGGAACTGTGTGTTGAAGCTAGAGCTCATAAAATAAGAAAGCCTTGGCTAATATTAAGTTTATGCTAGAATTTAACCACCAATGAAATAAATTTGAAAACCAAAATATTTATTAAATTATTTTATGCCTAATAGTAATATTTGATAATGAGGTATTATTTTCCTGTAAGGAGCATGTGACTCCCAGGAGCTCTGACACCTGAACACATCTGATGACCACAAAGCAGAAGAAGACATTCTGATGTTCTTTACTTGGGAAATGGCTCATGGAACTCAACCTAGGAGAAACCACAGGGAATATTTTCTAAGTCTCCACTTACCTTGTGGAAAGATATTTCCCTTGTAGGCAAAGACCCTGGCAAAGTCTATGCCAGCTTGCCTGATTGCCCTTTGTTAATGAATGCAGTTCTACCTGCTTTGGAATTGAATTGCAAAGTCTCACCAGCTGGTGAAACAGCTTTAGCCTATAATTCACCTTCTGGCTCCTGGTCCTTGTGCCTGATGGATACAAATCCCCAAGCTTCCCATTTCATTCCGAATATAAATCCCTATAGTAAACCTTGGGTCTCACAGTAAATCATCAACTCATAATCCTGCCTTCAGCTGGAATGAAATGTGTTCTTCAAATTTCCCAGCCTGGAGACTCTTGCCAAGTCAACAAAGGCCTGCCAGGTGGTTGGAGCTCAAGCATGCATCTGCTCAGCTTCGTGTTTGACCAAAATGACCACTGGGAAGCATGTATTTCACAGATGTGTTGTCAGCATCAACAGTAAAAACAAGCCCCAAAATCTGCCTTTAAAAAAAGGCTTTCTGTTGTAATTCATCTGTAAGTAAATAATTCCTACATACCTAACGCATCCCTGGGCACAGGATCACATATTCCTTTTTAAAAGGACACAGATCATTGAAAAAGGAAATATGCTGTTAAGCTGGCCAAGTTAGGTATCAAATTGAATTAACATATACTGATTGAGCACTTACTATAATAACAATGAATAACCACTGCAGAGTTCTTTATATCTTATGACATCTTTCACATATATTTTTATCTGAACACCACAACAGCCCATTATGAGAAAAACAAGTATTACAGAAGATTAGTATTTGTAAACAGTACTTCCAAAATTCAGCTATGAAGTACAATTTCCCACCATAAAAAGAAGTACAAATGAGAAATATAAAGAAGACCTTCAGATCTTTCTATTACTAGAAATTTAAGATTAAGATCATTTATAAAGTTATTAAAATAAATTCTACCATTAAATAAATGATACATCACATTGCATTATTATTGTAGTAATATTACCCTCTTTATTGTCTGCATATGCTGAAAAGAAAGAAAAATGATTCCTAAAAGCTATAAACTAAACTTCCCACATAACAAATTTAGGTTGAAATAAATGTTATGTAAGAATTGATTAAAGAAGAAGAGCCTACAGTTTTATTAATAGCCTCCAAAAAGACATACTTAATAAAAAAAAACTCTGACTAATATATGAATAGAAGGAAACCATGTATACCTGATAAAAAGAATTATATAATTGGAATAAGTATCAGAATAAAAGAAAAAATCATCTTTGTGTTATAAGCAATATTATTGTGTATCTACAAAACACAAAAAGACTATTTTCCAACAATCTATTCAAAGTAAAAAGATAATTTTTTTAGATAGTGGCATTGATGATACATATGCAAAAATCTACATTTTAAAGTACTATATCAGCAAGAAATGAAATGAAGAAAACTCACTGACTACAGTAATAAATACTGTAACATACAAAATCTCATATGATCACACTTACAAACTTATTGTAAGGCAGTAAAAAAAATTAAAATACATGGAGAAGCATACTACATTCCTGGAAAAAAGAGAAACAATAGCATAATGAACAGGAAAACATACAATAAAATGACACAAAATAAATTTATACACACTAATTTGTAACAGATGTGTTAATTTCCCTTTATAGAGTTTTATAGTAAGGCAAAGAATGAAAAAAAATTAAACAGAAAGAATATATAGAATCACAAATCAGGTTGTTTTTTTTTAAATCTAAATATGTAATATTTTAAAAGAGAACCTCAAGGGAGAAGGCAGAGCAAGACAGTCTAAGAGAGCCCTCCAGTGATTGCCTCCCTGCAGGAACACCAAATTGAACAACTCTTCATGCAAAAAGCACTTTCATAGGTCCCAAAAAATAAGGTGAGCAATCACAGTACCTAATTTGAATATAGTATCACGGAAAGAGTCATTGAAGAGGATAGGAAGAACAACCTTGAATTTCCTGCTCCACCCATCTCCCAACCCCAGCCAGGGCAGCACAGAGAGAAAATCCATGTGCTTGGGGGAAGGAGAGTGAAGTGAGTGTGGAACTTTACATTGAAACTTAGTGTTTCCCTATCACAGAAGAATACAGCACAGGGAAGAGTTCTGCAGGTGCTCACTGGGGAAGCATTTTAGCCTGGAGGATAATTCCCTGCCCTGGGGAGGAACTCAGTCCTAGCTGGCTTCACCACTAGCTACAGACCAGTATCTCTGGTGAACATAGATGCAGAAATCCTCAACAATATACTATCAAAACAAATTCAACAACATATTGAGAAGATCATTCATCATGATCAAGTAGAATTCATGCCAGGGATGCAAGGATGGTTCAACATATGCAAATCAAGAATTGTAATACATCATATCAACGGAATGAACAACACAAAAACCATATGATCATTACAAAAGATGCCAAAAAGGCATTCAGTAAAATTCAACTTCACTTCATGATAAAAACCCTTAAAAAACTGGGTATAGAAGGAACATACCTCAACTTGATAAAAGCTATATATGACAAGCCCACATCTGGTATCATACTGAATGGGAAAAACTGAAAGTCTTTCCTCTAAGATTTGGAACAAGACAAGGATGCCCACTTTCACCACTGTTATTGAACACAGTACAGTGTGCAGGCAGAGCAATTAGAACAAGAGAAAGAAATAAAGGACATCCACACTGGAAAAGCGAAAGTCAAATTATCCTTGATTGAAGATTATATGATCTATATTTTGGAAAAAAAACTAAAGACTCCACAAAAACCCATTAAAACTGATAAATTCAGTAAAGTTTCAGGATACAAAATCAACATACAAAAAATCAGTAACATTTCTATATGCCAACAGTGAACAATCTGAAAAATAAACCAAGAAACTAATTCCACTAACAATAGCTACAAATAAAATAAAATACCTAAGAATTAACCAAAGCTATAAAAGATCTCTACAATGAAAACTATAAAATCCTGAAAGTATCTTTTTCATATCATGATTTCTTTTCCTCTGGGTAGATACCTAATAGGGGATTGCTGAATCAAATGGTAGTTCTACTTTTAGTTCTTTAAGGAATCACCACACTGTTTTCCATAGTGGCTGTACTAGTTTACATTCCCACCAACAGTGTAAAAGTGTTCCCTTTTCACTGCATCCATGCCAACATCTATTATTTTTTGATTTTTTTATTATGGCCATTCTTGCAGAAGTGAGGTGGTAGCACATTGTGGTTTTAATTTGCATTTCCCTGATAATTAGTAATGATGTTGAGCATTTTTCCATATACAGCGTTTGACCATCTGTATATCTTGAGATGGAGTCTCTCTCTGTCACCCAGGCTGGAGTGCAGTGGTGTGATCTAGGCTCACGGGCTCAAGCAATTCTTGTGCCTCAGCCTCCTGAGTAGGTGGGATTACAGGTGTGCACCACCACACTATGAAAAACAGACATGAAAAAGATACCTGCACATGCATGTTTATAGCAGCACAATTTGCAGTTGCAAAAATACGGAACCAGCTCCAATCCTGTCAATCAACAAGTGGATAAGGAAAATGTGGCATATATATATATATATGGCATATATATACACATATATATATATGGCATATATATACACATATATATATATGGCATATATATACACATATATATATATGGCATATATATACACATATATATATATGGCATATATATACACATATATATATATGGCATATATATACACATATATATATATGGCATATATATACACATATATATATATGGCATATATATACACATATATATATATGGCATATATATACACATATATATATGGCATATATATACACATATATATATATGGCATATATATACACATATATATATATGGCATATATATACACACAATGGAATACTACTTAGGAATAAAAAGGAACAAAATAATGGCTTTTGCAGCAACCTGGATAGAATTGGAGACTATTATTCTGAGTGAAGTAACTCAGGAATGGAAAACTAAACATCATATGTTATCACTCATATGTGGGAGTTAAGCTATGAGTATGCAAAGCCGTAAGAATGATACATTGGACTTTGGGGACTTGAAGGAAAGGGTGGGGGTGGCAAGTGATAAAAGACTACACATTCAGTACAGTGTACACTGCTCAGGTGATGAATGCACCAAAATCTCAGAAATCACCACTGAAGAACTTATTCATGTAACCAAACACCACCTGTTCCCCAAAACCCTATTGAAATAAAAAAATTTAAAAATTTTTAAAATGTTTATACTATCAAAAGCAATCTGCAAATTAAGTGCAATCCCTATCAATGACATGCTTCACAGAAATAGAAAAGAAAATCCAAAAATTTATATGGAACCACAAAAGACCTAGGATAGCCAAAACAATACTGAGCAAAAAGAACAAAGCTGGAAGCTACCTGACTTCATATTATACTACATAGTAGTCAAAACAGTATGGTATTGGCATAAAAACAGACACATAGACCAACAGAACAGAATAGAGAACACAGAAATAAATCCATGTATTTAAAGCCAAATCATTTTTGACAGAGGTACCAAGAACATACATTAGAGAAAGAACAGTCTCTTCAGTGAATGGTGCTCAGAAAACTGGACATCCAAACACAGAAGAATGAAACTAGATGCCTATCTCTTGTCATATGTAAAAATCAAATCAAAATGGATTGAAGACTTAAGTCTAAGACCTGAAACTAAAAACATTTCTTGAGAAGAAAACATTGCAGAAACACTTCAGGACATTGGTCTGAGTAAAGATTTCTTGAGTAAGACTTCAAAAGCACAGGCACCAGAAGCAAAAATGGATGAATGGGATCATGTCAAGCTGAAAAGCTTCTGCACAGCAAGGGAAACAATTGACAAAGTGAAGACACAACCCACAGAATGGAGGAAAACATTGCAAGCTACTTATCTGACAAGGGATTAATAACCAGACTATATAATATATCAGTAGTTCAAACAACTCAATAGCAAAAAAATAATAATCTGATTTTAAAATGGGCAAAAGATTTGAATAGACATTTGTCAAAAGAAGACATACAGGCCAGGCACAGTGGCTCGCACTTTAATCCCAGTACTTTGGGAGGCCAAGATAGGGGGGATCATTTGAGGTCAGGAGTTCGAGACCAGCCCGGCTAAGATGGTGAAGCCCAGGCTCTACTAAATATACAAAAATTAGCTGGGTGTGGTGGCAGGCGCCTGAAATCCCAGCTACTCAGGAGGCTGAGACATGAGAAACACTTGAACCTGGGAGGCGGAGGTTGCAGTGAGCCGAGATCGCATCACTGCACTCCAGCTGCTTAGGCGACAGAGCAAAACTCTTGTCTCAAATAAAAAAAAAAAGACATACAAGCAATTAACACGTATGGAAAAAATGCTCAATATCACTAATAATCAGGGAAATGCAAATTAAAACTACAATTAGATATAATCTTACTCCAGTTAAAATGACTTATCCTAAAGACAACAATATATCAAAGAGATATCTAGGCCAGGCACAGTGGCTCAAGCCTATAATTCCAGCACTTTGGGAGGCCGAGGTGGGTGGATCACTTGAGACCAAAAGTTCGAGGCCAGTCTAGCCAACATGGTTAAACCCCGTCTCCACTAAAAATACAAAAAGTTAGCCGGGGCCGTGGTAGCACGTCCCTGTAGTCTCAGCTGCTCAGAAAGCTGAGGCATGAGAATCACTTGAATCCAGGAGGCGGAGGTTGCAGTGAGCCAAGATTGCACCAGTGCACTCCAGCCCGGGCAACAGAGTGAGATTCTGTTTCAAAATAAAATTAAAAAAAAAAAAAAGAAATATCTAGACAGCCACATCACCATATTTATAGCAGCACTATTCAAGATAACCAAGATATGGAATCAATCTAAGGGCCCATCAGTTGATAAGTGGATAAAGAAAATGTGGTACATATGCATGATGAAATATTATTTAGTCATAAAAAAGAATGAAATCCTGTCATTTGCAACAACACAGATAGAACTGAAGGATATTATGTTAAATGAAATAAGCCAGGCACAAAAAGACAAATATTGCATGTTCTCACTAATATACAGGAGCTGGAAAAAAAATGAAGATAGAGAGTAGAATAATGGTTACTAGAAGCTAGGAAGGGTAGTGAGGATGGGGCGATAAGAAGGGATGGTTATTGGGTACAAAAATACAGTTAGGGAGAAGGAATAAGGTCTAGTGTTCAGTAGCACAATACAGCAACTATAGTTAACAATAATTTATGGTATACTTCAAAATAACTAAAGGATTGAAATGGAATGCTCCTAATTCAAAGAAATAAATATTTGAGGTGCTGGATACCCCAATTACCCTGATTTTATCATTATGCATTGTATGTTTGTGTCAAAATATTACATGCACCCATAAATATGTATAACTATTATGTATCCATAATAATCAAAAATTAAATATTGGAAAAAATATCCCATAGGTTTCCATCAATGGAAAAAACCTCTTCAAATATCTAATTGGTATTTGTGTTGACACTCATAATTGAGAGAAATTAATGGAAAATTGTCTATGACTAGACAAATGCCAGCAAAAAGATTTTTTTAGTACGTACAAATAGTAATCAGACAAAAAAATCAAGAAAATTATAGTTTGGATTATTTAGCATTTCAAAAAGTTAAATTCACCTACAGTCATTTTTTTTTTTTTCGAGACAGGGTCTCACTCTGTTGCCCAGGCTGGAGTGCAGTGATGCAATCATGGTTCACTGAAGCCTCAACCTCCCATGCTCAGATGACCCTCCCACCTTAGCCTACTGAGTAGCTGGAACTACAGATGCACACCATCATGCTCAGCTCTTTTTTTTTTTTTTTTTTTTTTTTTTTTTGTAGAGACGAGGTTTTGCCATGTTGACTAGACTGGTCTTGAACTCCTGGGCTCAAGTGATCCACCCATCTCAGCCTCCCAAAGTCCTGGGATTACAGGTGTGAGCCACTGTGCCTGATCATCATCTACTTTTGCTGAGTACCTAAATGTAGTTTTGAAATATATAAAGCAAAATCTATTTGAGTTCCAAGGGGAAATTGAAAAACCCACGAAGAACAAAAATCACACAGTTCTCAGATCCTAGATCAAACAGGTTTTTAAAATAAAATTTAGAAAATATTTTAATAACACAGTTAACAAGTTTGATCTACTACATAAAAATATTTAACTCTGTAACCAATAAACAAAAAAATTGACATTATTTTCTTTTTTAAGGCCCTGGGAAAAATGCACATTATTTTCAAACACATGGAACATTCATAAAAATTTACTTTGTATTGAGTCACGAAAAGACAATAAATTCCAAAAGCATGAAATTACCATAATGGAAAAATTAGAAGTTAAACAAGAAAATAAAGACCCCATCACCACCACCAACAACAACAAAAATCAAAGCACGTAGAAATTTAAGAATACATTTCTAAGTAATTCTTGGATTAAAGGAGAAATCAAATTATAAATGATTTAGAAATGAAAATAATGTGAGCTCTAAATACCAATATTTATGGGATGTAACGAAGTGGAACTTAGTGGAACACATACCTATGTTTATACAGTTTAGAAAGCAATATTTAAACTGAACTCAGCTTTCAGCTCAAGAAGTTAAAATAAACGCAAATAAAATTGAAAAAGAAAAATAATATAAAGAGAAGAAATTAATCCAAACTGTGTAGAATTGATCAATAAAACAAAAAGTTGACTCTTTGAAAAAGCTATAAAAGAAACTTCCGACAGATCAGATTATTGGGTGCAGTGGGGGAGAGCTACAAACAGACATCACCAATCAGTATGAGAATTTAATTACATATACATCTGTGCTATTGATTTTATCAGTTTCTTCCTCTTAGGCTTCTAAGCAGCACAGCTTTTAAAATAATTTTTTTTAAAAAACTCCCAACAACTAAGTCTGCTTGAACCCTGTTTGCTGACTCAGAGAGGAGCATCTATGGGATCAAGCACTATCTTTGACAGGTAAGCATGAACTCTTCTTGCTGCTGATCCCGTGTTTCCATCTGCCAGGATCCCTAGGCTTGAATGCCCCCCGTCTACTGAAAGTTGGGGCCCTCTGTTGCTGTCTCTCTCCTTGCCCCCAACCACAAGACTGCAGTCTACCACGTCTCAGGAGTGACCACTGATCTGACTGTCTAGCCATGGATGCACCCCTTGCAACTGCAAAAATGTCAACCCCTGATTAACAAAAGAAACCAACAAACAAAAAAAAAAAAGATAAACCTGAGAAGCACTTAGGGAATGCAAAGAAAAGAATGAAGGGATAAAAATGATTTGAGAAAATAATAACTGGATACAAAGAACAAGTCAGAGAGATCTAGCCAATTAAGGAAGAAAACAGAAAAAAATTGGAATAGGAGGAATAATTGAGGCTAAATCAAAAAAGATGTTTCAGATTGAGAAGGGTCATTGTGCTTCAGGACATTTACTGAAAAAAAAAAAAGCATGCCTAATTAAATGCAGTAAATATTTACATGGTAAAATGAGGAATCTTCAGGAATCCACTCTATCAGCAAATCCTGATTGTTCTTTCTTTAAAATATACCAGATCCACTGTAATCCAAGCTACTCGGGAGGCTGAGACCGGAGAATCGCTTGAACCTGGGAGGTGGAGGTTGTAGTGAGCCAAGATTGTGCCACTACACTCCAGCCTGGGTGACAGAAGATATTCCATCTCAAAAAATTTTTTAAAAAGTGTATATATATTCCATAAATATATTCCAGATCCAGTATCCACCCACTTCTCCCATCTTTTGTCCCATGTCAGCTCTGGGACACTATAAATTATATTTATTACTATAAATAATTGTTACTTTGACTGATTTCTATATTTTTGTTTTCTATTTTATTCTACATAGTTGTCTTTGGGTCCTATTAATCCTAAGTCATAATATGTTAGCTAGAGATTCTCTTATTTTAGCTTATGTCTTTATCCGGTGTTTTTAGATGTCTTTCATAGATATTTGATCTGAATTATAGCTAGATATTCTTTTAAATATTTTATGAGTGGTTACAGTAAACTTTGTTTTCTTTGAGAATATGCTTAAGCCTATATTCATGTAATCATCAATTTCAAAGTCAAAACAATTATTTTTTATTTTTTATTTTAAGCATGTGTTTAGTATCTTTGCTTAAAAGATGAGTTACTCTACTTCCTTTGTCTTTATCATCTTTCTCTTGGGTTTTGCAGCATATCATTTGGAACAAAAATTTTTTTAGCATTCAGTTTTGTAAATAATAAGTGAGGTAATAATTTAGAATCACCAATATTAATTTCTGTGATTATGTTTAAAGTCTTATTAGAGGCAGCATAGTGTAAGGGTTAAGAGTGCCAATTTTGAAGCCCAAAATGCTGAGGTTCAAATCCTGGCCCCACCTTTTAGTGGATGGATGGGTTTGAGCAAGAAAGTGAACCTCTTTATGCCTCCGCTTCCTCACTGGAAATGGGGAATAATAATAGTAGCTACCTCTCATTGGTTTGCACAAGAATAATTAAATTAATTAATGTATGTACCCAGAAGAGTGCCTAGCACATAGCAAGCACTGTTAATTATTATTATTATTTCCTCCTTTCTTTGCGTTTGATTCATCTTTCAGTGGTCTGACAAATGTCTTTGAAAATAGTCTTTTTTTTCATTATCTAGGAAGACCAAGTAGTTACTATTCTTTTGCCATCTTGCTTATTTGGATTTTTTTTGCATTTTCACACAGTAACAAGAAATTGGTGGAGTATAGGATTCTTGGATAATAAATTTTAACTTTTTCCCTGAAAGCTCGTAAATGGCATTTTATTGTCTTCTAACACTTATTGTTGCAAAAGTCAATGAAATTTTTGTCTCTGGATGGGGAAATGTTTTATCTTCTTGGATTAATTAATCAATTCAATAAATATTTATGGTGCTGATTCTTTGTATAAGACAGCCTAAGCCTGTCTATGGAGTAGGTGTATATGTGTGTTATATGTGTAAGTTTCCATGAACGTGTGTGTCTGCAATCTGTAAGTTTCTATGAACGTGTGTGTCTGCAATCTGTATCAGGACTTGGCAGGTGCCTTCCACATCAGTGCTATACGACAACTTGCAAAAGAACCCTGCCTTTTAATGAGTTTACCATTAAAAAAAAAAAATTGGGACACTGCCTGGTTCCACAGTGTTAAATGAAAATAACATTCAGAATTGAGTTAATCTGATTGCATGGGATCTCTTTTCCCCCTTACTGCAAATCAGAGCAGTTTTCAGCTGACAAGAATGGGTGCCCTACTTGAATGGGCAGCAGGCACTGCTGCTAGTCAGAGCGGCACTTAGCATGGCATTGCCATCATTACATCCCCAGGTTCGCAGCAATGAAACTCCAGGAGTGGCAAAGTCAAATCAGTTCAATTGTCTGATTGTTCATACTCATAAAGTGGGGGAGCTGGCAGGGGTCCGGCATAAAACTTGGAGTTCTGCAGTGCAGCTCCTTTAAGGTAATTCATTGCCCTCTGCAGTAGCTTAAATCAGAGGGGCCAGCATGGTCACAGTAAATGCAGCTCCCCATACTGCTTGAGAGCAATATCGCAGATAGCCGGCTGCTATGCCAGATGTCAAAGGTGCACTAAAAGCACTTGGTTTTGATCTACCCCATTCCCGAGAAGTACAATGGATGGGCCTTTAAGCGCTGCCATAAAAAAAGATTGTGATTAATGAAGCAGCACAACTTAATAAACCAAGTTGACTCCCGCTTCCTTCTCCTAGGCATTTTCACTGTCCACAAAGCAGTTCTTTTACTTAGCAGCAGGGACATGTAAAATGTTAATCATCAATCTGTGGGCCATTAAAGAAGTTGCTTTCCCTTTCTCAAGTTGAAAACCAAGGGGGAAAGATAATAGGTTTGGTTAACAGAGCTGTTCACACAATGGAGATGTGCACAGAAAAGCTTTGATGAAGTCAGCATGGGAGCCCTTGAGCACTAATCCATTCTGCTCTCGGGACCATGAGTTCAAATCCTAGCTGGGGCTGGGAGGCTCAGGATGGAGGCTGGGGTGAGTGTCTTGATCACAGCTGGACCAGCAGGACGTTACTGTACCTGAGTGAGGCCAAACACAAGATGAGAAGGCACAGAAGCTTTCTGTGTCAGCAGACAGGGCAAGAGCTTGCTGGTACTGCCTTAACCTTACATGGCCTTCTTCCTCCCAAAGAATGCCAAAGCATTCCTCCCAGGTAGGCAAGTGACCGCGAGCAGAGCCCTGGGCAGTTACATCCTCCCTCACCCAGAGAACAGTGCAGAGTTTCTGGCTAATTCACCAAAGCCTATTGAAATATTTTCTCTGGGGACTCAAAAGTACATCAGTCGGAGATACACAATTTTATAATCTACTCATAATTTAGGAATTGCTTTGAGCAAGGTCAGGGATCAGAGACCTGAGGAAATTCCACTTCCCTGCTTAGAACTTTTAATATTTAGTTGTCTTTCCTTACTCCAAAAAGTATATAGGGGCAAGGCCATTTTCTGTCTTTTAAAATCATGCACACCTGAAGGCCATTGTTTGTTTGTTTGTTTGTTTGTTTGTTTGTTTTTGAGACACAGTTTCCCTCTGTCAACCAGGCTGGAGTGCAGTGGTGCGATTTTGGCTCACTGCAGCCTCCGCCTCCCAAGCTTGACTGATTCTCGTGCCTCAGCCTCCTGAGTAGCTGGGATTACAGGCATGCACCACCACAACCAGCTAATTTTTGTATTTTTAGTAGAGATGGGGTTTCACCATGTTGGCCAGGCTGGTCTCGAACTCCTTGACCTCAAGTGATCTGCCCACCTCGGCCTCTCAAAGTGCTGGGATTACAGCCGTGAGCCACCACATGTGGCCCTGCAGTCCTTTTTACGTGTTTTTTTTTCTCAGCATGCTTCTCCTGAATGCCCAGGTTCAGACCTATGGTCCAATGAAAACCTGTCACTAATCCGGGCGGTTCATTAAGTCCAAGGGAAACCAAGCAAAGTCAAATATGTGACACTCAAAATCTCAGAAAAGACACAGGTCATATAAGAGTTGCCAACAATCTTAAAAAGTAGACTATGGCAGAAGAAATGTTTGGTAGTTTATACTAGGGCCATGATTTTCATTGTTTTAAGAGATTTTTTGAAGCAAGAATATGAACTTATGGGAGAGCTTTGTTGAGTCAATAAGGGTGTTTCCTTTCTCCCTCTCACATCTCACTTGAATTCACTGGATGGCCATAAAGGAAGAGATGTTGGTCAAATGAGCCTGAGCACTATCTTTAAAACCTTGTATTTATTAAGATGACCACATCATTCTCCAACTCTCAGGCTCTAATCTCTCCTCCATGAAGCAAACAAAACAGTTGTTCCGAAACACTTGATGCTCCAGTCAAAGCAAACCACTCCTTTTTCCAGACATACCTTCAGCTCGAAATGTGCTTTTCCTGTCTTCTTCCACAATATCTTCTCCAGGAAGCCTCCACATGCCACTACCCCCAACCCTGGCTGCACATACTACGTGCCTACAGAATGGCTTCTGATGTACCTTGTTTCTCTCTCTGCACTTACCACCTTGTGCCAGAACAATTAATTTGGAGCTGTGTATCTCTCAGTGCACACATAGTTATAGCAACTTGTCTCAGAGTACAGTAAAACCTGTCACTGTTGGCTACTCTAGGCTTCCTTTACGGGACAGGTGTGAGGAGGGGACAATCAGATTGAAAGGGTGGATGAGGGATTTTTTTCTTGCTTGTACATGAAGCACATTGTTTTCACACAGGGTTTACATTATAAATCAATAAGATAGCAGTATTTTCAAAAACGCACTTGACAAAGATTGAGGAAACTTCCGTCAGCCACATAAAAGTTAATAATGAGATTAATGGTGAAATGAAATGAATTTGGAAGAAGTTGATGATATGAGCAATTAATCCTCTTCCCAAAAAACCTTAGAACCATCTCTACTGGTTGTAATCATTCACCAAACTATAAGTCCCCATGGGCAGAGTCCACATCTTATTCACTATTACACTTCTAAGGCCAAGTAGTTTGCACTCAGTGGATGATTCATAAATGTTTGCAGAAGTAATTAATTAGTAAATTGACCTAGAATTAATTATGCTTAAAACATTTGCTAATTTCTCTAACCTGCATGATAAAACTTAACTCCTTATAATTATATAAAAGGCTTTTAACACATTTACCCATTCTTTCCACCTTCATCTTTTGCTATCTTCTCTACCTTATCCCAATGTATGCCCTATGAACTAGCAACACAATTATTCACCATTGCCTAAACATCTCCCCCAGATGTTGTTTCCTCTACCAGGTAAACTGCTTGTCATTCTTTGTGAAGCCCTCCCTTCCCACTCGAAAAAGAAAGTCTCTCCTTAGCTAAACTCCAATAGCATTTTGCAAATGCCTCAACTGTAGCTCTTGGTGCAAGAAGATTATTTTATGTCTGTCTTCTCATGAACCTATGAGTGCCCACCTTACTAATCGGGGCACAGTGCCTTGCAAATACTAGGCATGAAATTGATCTTAGTTAAATCATAAGTCAATGATTGAACAAATAAAAACCAAGCAGCCACCAGGGAGTTATGAAAAGATCACATGCTCTGTCTTAGCTATGTTCTGTCATCTGTGGTTCTTGGGGATTAAAAAAAATGTAGATCATAAATTTTCACAATAGTACTCTAGGAATGTCTTCAATTTTAAAATTCGATGAATTATAACATTTCATTACAAGATTTCAATTCCCCAACCATTGTCCTTCAAGAAATGATCTAAGCTTAAAAATCATTTTCAAGCTATAAATACAACCTTTAAAGTTGGAGCGCTCTTTAAAGTCCTCTACTGTGTGGAAAAGGTACATGATAATTAACTCTCTTTGGCAGGGTGTGATGGCTTACACCTGTAATCCCAGCACTTTGAGAGGACGAGGTGGGCAGATCACCTGAGGTCAGGAGTTCAAGACCAGCCTGGCCAACATGGTGAAACCCCGTCTCTACTAAAAATACAAAAATTAGCTGGGTATGGTGGTGCATACCTGTGATTCCAGCTACTTGGGAGGCTGAGGCAGGAGGATCACTTGAACCCAGGAAACAGAGGTAGAAGTGAGCTGAAATGACACCACTGCACTCCAGCCTGGGCAACAGAGTGAGACTCCATTTCAAAAAAACCCCAAAAAACAAAAAGGCTCTCTTTATAAAATTTAGTCAATTCCCATCTCTTATGTATATCCAAGCTTTCCATTTCCATATTAGGTCTTGCCATGGTGAAAATTTACAGTGATCATGGCCATTCAATATAGGAAATGAATTAACATTCTCCATGGGACCCTCATTTGTATGGTATATTAATAGGATCCTCATGTAAATTTCTGCTTTTACCTCACTGCCTATTTGCCTGCTAGCTGGTTGTATGCAATTTAGAAAGGCGGACAAGAAATATTTGATTTCACATGATGTTGCTTAGAGGGATGGGGAGGCAGAGGGAACAGATAGGGGTCAAGCAGCAACAGGAGAGTTACAATGGGAATATTTTATAGCTGTCAAAAACCAACAGTGCTCAATAAAGCCATTCTCATTACAATTAGATTTTACTTCCTGGATGCAACAGATTTGGCCAATATAAATGAATTATGAGAAAATAAAAGGGAATATGTCTGATGAGATTTTGAAGATGCCTGGTGCAAGAAGACATGGAGAGCTAGTCGAAAAGGTACCATGTTCTAAATAAGAAAAACTCTGTATTAGATACTTCTGTATAAAGAAAAAACCCACTTGGAAAAGCCATACCAAAGAACACTCCAACTTCCAGAGCCACACACAATTAAATGAAGAATTAGACCAAGATAGATAATCCTTAATTTGACAAAGATTTCTAACTGTTCATTAAAATTACTTTTCTCTTTTTCTTGGACATACTGCTAGACTGCATTTTTTGTGGGTGGACATGGCCTTCTGATTGAGTTCTAGCCAGTGGTATGTGAACGAAAGGATGTGTACCACTTCTAGGGCTGGCCCCGAAAATTTCCCGTGTGTGTTCCTCCATGTTCTTTTCCTCTTCAGATGACTGGGCTGAGAAACCCCAGGGCTACTTTGAGATCCATCTGTTGAAGATGACAGAACCCTGTCAGCCTGTATCCCAGAAAGACTGTGTGAAGCAGAGAACCCAGTGACTTGCCACTGCCCTGGACTTTTCAGTAGGCAAGAAATAACTATTCACTGTGTTAAGTCTTCACATTTCGGTGCCTATTTATTATTGTTGCCTAGCCCACATCATAGAGAACAATTTCAATACTGACATTCTAATATCTATGTCATGAGCTATTTAGTCTTTGAAAAAAAGAAGCAGCTCCAGCTTTACCAATCTTGGATTTGAGATAGCTTTGGTGATTAAAAAAATAAATAATAATTCATAATTTGGAAATAAAATTATTCATTATGACATTTTAATAATTTCCCATCATGCCTATTTGTGTGCCAGACACTGTACCAAGTACCTTATGTACATCACCCCTAATTCTAGCAATAATCCTGCTTGTTAGACATTAGGTTACAGAGATGAATTTGCTTTATAACACTCAGTCACAAGAAATGGCACACTACCTTATTTTTCTAAATCTAGACATATGTCCCCTCTCTAAATGATGAGAGAGTTACTGCCAGTCAAATTTGGGTATTCGAAAATATGTGAGGACAAAGGTAATTCACAGGAGGCCTGAAAGATATGGGAGGGCTTCTCACCTTTAAGTCATCAGGCCCACTGTTCAGGGCCCTGTAGTTGATTCCCAGGCAAGTGACTCCAACTGCTCCATGATTGGCATGGACATTATTGCTTCCTATGACTTCTTAGGCTATAGCTATAGTCAGTCCTCCTGATATCTATGAACTAGCCTACACTTCTCACCAAGAACATCACCATCTTCCCTATCCCCATAAATGAATCTCTCTTCTCTTTCCCACAGGAAGGCACCTTCTGCCTCAGCAACTCCAATAACAGCTCCCATCCATTTCCAGAAGTCTTGGAGGGAGGTTGTCATACTGGGACCTCGCCACCTCTGTGGTATGCCATTAACGTCCTGAGGCATGACCATCCACCTACCTTGTTGGGATAGAAAACAGCAAGAAGGAATAAGAGTTCGGTATATTTACAGATTTTCCTGCCATGTTCAGATAACAGATTGAGGTTCAGAGAGGTCAAATGAGTTGCCCAAGACCACAAACTACTCAGCAGCAGAGCTTCATTTCAAAACCAAATCCATCTGGCTCCAAGGCCTAGAGAATTTTCTATAATCCCAGTTTTTCCCAGAAAAACCCAAGGCACCACAGGCCTAAGAGGTTTTTTTTAATGACAATGGAAAATAATTATAAATGATTTAAATGAGATGAAATATTTGAAATCCAAATCTTACAGGGTTTTTTCACTTGAAAAATCACCCAAATAGCTTACCTTTTATTTACACACACACACACACACACACATACACAGAGAGAGAGACACAGATGCACATACAAATAAGTGAAGACAGTTGGTAAAAATCATTAATTTGTAATATCATTTTGCAACTAGAGTTCTGAAATCACGTATCTAATGAATTATCTTCATTAAAACACATAGACAATTAAAATCTCACTTGGCCCATCTTAATGACAGTCTTATAAATATTTCCAAGTTTAAAATTTAACTGCATACATATCTGAATATTTTTCAGGAAAACAAAAATTTTAACACAAAATTATTTGCTTTAACATACAAATGAGGCCATTATTAGACTAAATAAGGATGACTTAGGAGGCCTGAGTTATAGTCTCTCTTCTAACAATAGTTATACAAATTAACTTTGGGTGAAGCACAATTTCTTTGGATTTAATCGTTCTTATTTATCCTTTTAGCTCTCACATTTTCTAATTTTACATTTCTCAGAAAATTGGTATCTCTTAAAATCAGTGATGTTTAGTGATCCACATTTGTAGCCAATGTAGTGTAAAAAGAGGTAACATAAAGAGGGCATCAGAGAAAGAAAAAAGGAATAAAGAAAGAAGGAGGAGAAAGAGACAAAAAAGAGAGAAAGAGCGAGAGAGAGGGAGAAAGGTGAGAGAGGGTAGAAGAAGAGAAAATAAATATTTTCTCATCATGGTCCATGTTTCTCAAGGCTGGTCTAAGAGTTGCTTGAAATTCTGTTGCATCCTTTGGAATCAGTCTGAAGCATTTCAAACTTCGAGTATTCCACTCCCACTGGCAGGCCCGTCCCTCCAGAGAAGATGAGATGAAACAGGATGTCTTAGCCTGACACCATTAAAAATTTGATTTATCTACCTCTCTTTGTTCTGATTCCATGCACTTCAAGCAACCTCTTGATTATAATCCAGCTTCCATGGCCTCCAGGGACACCGTGTGATGGTCAGGCTGATAAAAGTTTTGTAACTTGCATAGGTTCTATTTCTCACTATAAATTGATATGCTGCAGGTCACTAAATGCTTTCAAATGGTAAGTATTGTGTGTTGACCAACAAATTGTCTAAGTAGCAAAAAAAGGAGGGGAGGGGCAGACATGCAAATGGAGGCACAAAAATTCACCGGCTGACAGTGCCAGACTCAAAAGAACCCACCCATTCCCTCATGACATGCCAAGAGGAGCTGGCTTTCCCATGGACTCACGGGGTCCACAGATGGCCATTAACTGTGCAAGAAAGATTTTCCTGACATGACAGGAGCAGAGAAGACATCGGGGAACATTCTATAGACTTCATTTTAGTTTTTCTCTTCTGATGGCCTAAGTTAGGTCCCGATTTTCAAATCTATCTTTCAAACCATCATAGGGATTCATGTTCTAGTACTTTTAAGTGTGCTGGCTAGCATTGCATAGAATTCTACATCATCAGTTTGATCTAGCTTCAAATCCCAGCTCTCCCTTTGGTAGCTGATTTAGTCAAGTTACTTAATTCATAAGTAGTATTTTAAAATATTTATAATGGGAATAATAGACCTAGCCCATTAAGTCATTATTCAGATTAAATGAAATTATGCACAATGCTTAAGACATAATGACTGCTCGATACATATTACCTACAATCATAACAAGTTATCATTATAATGATCATGGCTGAGCAATGCTGAATCAGCATATTGTAAACTCCTTATTTGTTTTAGAGATCCTTAAAGACAGAAATGGATCTTATTTAATAAATTTAATCTTAGTGTCAGTGCATAACATGTGGTAATGCTCTAAAAATATGTCTTAAGTAGGATATACAGTGAACAGTTGCACAAAACTAAGGACCCAACCGCAAGTTTCTTTCCACTCTACCTTCTAAGACATCCCCAGAAGCCCTTTCGTGGTAGGCAAACATCCAATCCCATGAAGCCCAGCCCATATTTGTTTTCATCTGCAAGATACATGTGATCTTCCAGAACACACCACTCCCTACTTTCTCAGTAAAATAATTCACCAATCCTGCCACCATCCATGACATTCTGTAACCTCACCCATAGCAGACACACACATCTAATGATCGTTTCTCCTCCTCCTCTCCATTGTTTTTACCAGCACCTCTGCTCCCCAAGTCCTTATCAACAAAATTTCCAGGGTGACTAGGGAATTCTAAAACATGGCAACATACCAAGGGTTTCTTTTGGTTACCAAAGCATCCTGAAGTCCTGTGACCTGTTGGGGGGTGACCATTAGGATACAGAACAAAAGATTTATTCAAAGCCAAAGTGCAGTCACGTGACATCATTGGTGATTTCCCCAAATCCCTCCAACCAAAGGCAATTGTTATGTCTATATTGGGATAGCCATTAGCAAAAGAGTCTCCACCATAATATTTGGAAGAACTTTGTGACTAATTTAGCAGATGGATTTTTTTAAAGTTACAATAAAAAAATTCACTATAAGATGAAAATCCTAAAGAAAGTCAGTTGCTAAAAGTAGATGCTGGCAAGTTATAGGCCAGAATTTTCTTATTCCTAAACAGCCCAATACTGACAAAATTTAAATCATCATTAATTAAATGTTTTTTTTTTTTTTTAGACAGAGTCTCACTCTGTCGCCCAGGCTGGAGTCCATTGGTCCAATCTTGGCTCACTGCAACCTCTGCCTCCCGGGTTCAAGCAATTCTCCTGCCTCAGCCTCCCAAGTAGCTGGGATTACAGGCGCCCCCCACCACACCCAGCTAATTTTTGTATTTTTGGTGGAGACCGGGTTTCACCACATTGGCCAGGATGGTCTCAATCTCCTGACCTCGTGATCCAACCGCCTCGGCCTCCCAAAGTGGCGTGTGCCACCACACCCAGCCAAATTTTTTTAAACCTTCAAGTTTTTTAAGTATCAAGATTCTAAACCTACTCTCCTTTCATGCCTTAAAATGCCACCAATGATGGTGCCACCTTGGCGCTTTACTTTTTCTCCTGGAACCCTTTCTTTGGGCAAAGGATGGCAAAATAAATTAGCTGAGTAAACCCAAATCCATCAAAAAGCAAAATAAATAAGACATACTGTGAAATAGTGAGTTTTCTCATCTTGAACTATTTAATTAAGTTTTAAAACAAAAAGGCAGCAATGAGCTCTTTCCCCTTGGAAAGGAAGAAATAGTAGAAATCACTTGTGTTCATGCTGAAACAGGTCCACTGAGCATCCTCTGTAAACATTAAATAACTATCACATAATATCAAAAATGAAAACCCCTTATTATTTATTTATTCAACTGAATTCCATGCTCACAAGAAGCCTTTTAAATGAGTCTCAGAGAACTTCATAAATAATCTCTCATTATCACTCACCTTCATTTGAAAAGGTATTTTCATCCCCATTTCAGCATTAGGGGTTAACAGAAAGGTTAAATGAATTATATAAAGTTATATTAAATGCCTGCAAACAATAGAGACCAAGCTTTATTATCCCTTGAGAACTAAAAGTCTTTCTTAGAAAAATTAAGCAACTTATCTAATTATTTTTAGGAGGATGTTTCACAAAAATACGGTATTTTATGTCTACATCATGGTCTATAAAGAAAAGTCACAAAATAATAACCATGTTAAATAAAACATCAGTGTAGTTTCCAGAATCCTTTCTGTTCTGTGTACCCACCCATGTGGCTGGAGATTCGAAATGCTATTTAAGTCTCATTTTCCTTCAGAAGCTAACCTCTGTGGAATAAAATGCTGTTAAGGGGGAAAAATCTTTTCTGTCATTTGACTTTAACTTATGATAAATTAGCTTCAACTAGTTTCTTAGAAAATTGCCCAAGAAATGACTACAGAAAATTAAATACCGAGACTTCAAAGAGGCAAACAGCCTTCAAATTCCGACCTTAGAGAATAATCCTCCCTTTCTCATGCTTTAGAGAGATGTGAGTAAAGAAATCGTACTAGGGCATGGTAATGAACCATCTTTCGAATGACTTTTCTATCAATCTTCTTTTCAAAGGGTAATAAAGTGATGATTATTTCTACGCAGTTTCTGGGAAGTTATCATCTCATTTCAATAGTCACCAGTGAAGGACTGTACTCTGGTATTCTCACCAAGGGTGATAAGGGCAAGAAGTGGGTGAGAATTCAATAGACAAGGTATAGGTTGTTAAAAGCTATTTCTTAGAAAATTAAAACAGAGAAAGATCAAAAGAATTGTGTTGGGTCTTAAGGAATTGGTAATTATTTCCTTCTAGATTAAAAGTTCAAATCTGATTTATTACCTAGCGAATGAAATCCACTATTATGTGAAGATTTTTTTCTTTCAACAAATATTGTTGAAAGCATATTATGTGCCTTCCTTTGTGTCAGATGTTGGTGACTAATTGAGAAGGACAACGAGAGACAACAAGGGAATCTGTGTCATGATTTCTAGAACCAGAGCAATAGGTCTCATCTAAAACAACAGTAACAAACAACAACAACTCAAAAAAATTCTTTGAAAGCATTGACTAAATGGTTGCTGGGAATTCTTAGTCACCCGGTGTTTGTTTTGCAAAACTGCAGAAAATAACAACAGGGCAAAAATATCCAAAATTGTATCTGATTCCATTCCCCAGAGCTCTAAGAAGCTTTAAGATAGCATAGGGCAGGAGTCACTCCAGGACCATATGGCCTTGAGCAAAGAAAATCCTATGTACTGGATGCCTTCAGGAGAGGTCTCTCTGGAATGTGGCTGCTTCTCTGGTTGCCAAAGTCAAATTCAGATCCTGTCTGTGATATGGTCTTTGTGCTCAGACAAGGATTATGCGGTCTGCTTTTCCTCAGTAGATCCTAAAACCAGCCCCAGCCATGGCTTCTTATTTGTCCTAATTCTCTTACCCAGTCCAATCCTACTGCCCACTGGCAGATAGGATATGAAACACATTTCTGAATTTGACATTTGGCCAGAAGTTAAATTTCTTTAGCATTAGCTAGAAATCCAAACGTGGAACAAAACAAACAAACAAAAAGAAACATGAGACAAAGCTTTCTGAGGGCAAAAACATGCCATGTGCACCACTACATCCTCATCACTAACGCAGTTCAGAGAAGGCACTTAATATCTGTTGAATAAAATCAACCTACTGAATGAACACTCCACCCTTTTGTGGTCATGGTTCACTCAAAGTCAAGACTGCCACACTGGTATTTGCATGCAAGTATTCCCACAACGACTTTTGCTCAGCAGTTCATCTTTTTAAAATGTTATTCTGTTGATTTTTCTTAAAACAAACAAAAGAAAAGGCACACCACAGAAATTTGAAATCCAAATGTATTTGCTTTCAAGTTCCATTCCAGGTAACAAATATTTGACCAATGAACTGATGTCTTTAGTTTGGCAATTGGGCAAGCAAACTCTGCCTCTTTCCATAGTTGAGTGCAGCACTGAGGTGAGTACCAATTGTTCCTTTACTGACTTGTAGAATAGGATAAAGTTGTTAAGTCCCCAAAAAAGTATTAACATTTTATCCTCATTGCCAATCAACAAATCACCCAAATTTCCCGCTTTCCACCACCCCAAAACCCAAGTAAAAGGGGAATAAATTAGCCCTTGTGGAACTCAAACTTACAAGAATCAGAGGCAATCATTGGCAAACTAAATTCTTGGTTTTCCACCTTCCTTTTCAACATTTCCCCTGTATGCCTAAGAATGCAAGAGTGTAGATTTTTAAAGCAAGCTCACTAGCAAGTCAGCTAATGTCAGGATTAAAGATAAAAATAAGTTGGAATTTTTCAAACCCAGGAGGTTTGCTGCCTGTGAACTGGAACAGCTTATAATAAGAAAGGAGATGCAATAGGATGGGGAGAGGACTCCCAGCCCCACATCTCTCCTTGTGTGAAAAGCTGGTGCTTGTTCGAGGTAGGGCAACCAGGCCCAGCATACAAGAGGGATGACTGATCCCTCAAATACACTACACAGTGTGGCTGCCAGGAGTGCTTCACCTTAGGCCTCACAAACCAATGACATGTTCTCAGCCATATTTCAAAATATATATACATTCTTTATGCCAGGGGAATAGGGAACTCTGCTCTGGAAGGAAGCAAACACCTGTGAAACATGTTTTCAGTCTGAAACCGTATCTTTCTTCATAGGACCTGACATAAAGTAATTTAACCTGCAATATTATATATACAACTTTGGAAGGAGGAGTGGTGTTTTACAGGTTGAGTTAGTCAACTCCTAACTAATAGTACCCCTGAGCTTTAAGGAAGGGAAACCCTTTCTTAATGATTTCCAGTTCTTCATATTCTTGTTCTCGTTTAAAAAAAAAAAAAAAAAGGCCAGGCGCAGTGGCTCACGCCTGTAATCCCAGCACTTTGGGAAGCCAAGGCAGGTGGATCATCTGAGGTCAGGAGTTTGAGACCAGCCTGGCCAACATGGTGAAACCCCATCTCTACTAAAAATACAAAATTAGCCAGGCATAGTGGTGCACACCTGTAGTCCCAGCTACCCGGAAGACTGAGACACAAGAATCGCTCAAGCCCGGGAGGCAGAGGTTGCAGTGAGATCGCATCATTGCACTCCAGCCTGGGTAAAAAGAGTGAAACTCCATCTCAAAAATAAAAATATATATATATATATATAAAATATATATATTCCATATGTATTTTATATATATAATATATATATTCCATATATATTATATATATAAAAATATATATAATATACATATTCCATATATATTATATATGGAAGGGTATTTGTTTTAGGTTTCCCTTTCTTTTACAGAAACCTGAAATATCCAGGCATCATATGATTCACTGACAATATCTGAAACCCATCGAGATTTCACCAGTATACTTGGTAGTTTGTGCAGGAATGTGCTCCAATCTGTGCAAACCCACCCTTGTTCCATTGTTTTTCCTATCATTGCTATTCAAAGTCCTATGTTGTGGAAAAGACAGAGGAGGAAATCACATAACTTTTTATGAACATATATATAGACATAAATACAATCTGTGGGTGAGGTGACAAATAGTAGTAGGGGGTCCAGTCTGCATACATAGTGAGAAAATAAAATAAATGTATCCCCCCCAACCCCATCCTTTAATGTGCAGGATTCTGCTCCAAAGTTCCAAGTGACCAGCTAAAGCAATGAGGTACACAAGAACAATATTCCCAGCTGACTCATCCAAGCATCTTCGTGTGGAACTTGAGGATGGAGCTGCAAAGTGCCCTGGACAGAGGTCAGTGTCTAGGAGAACCCATTGATCATATACCAATGAGGCCTTTGAACAGAAGGAGATGTGAGGCTCAGAAGGCGTGTCCCAAGGAGACGCTGATGTAATCAACATCACGTTGATCAATCTATGTTATCACAGAGTTCCTGGCAGGCAGGGCAAGCACTGGGATCTTCTTGCTCCTCCCTTTTTATAGTTGCATATCATCTTCTGGGGAATTTCTACCCGTCTCCCTTGCTGGAGGCTCCTCAGCTGATTCTATTTTTATCTCAAGTCCAAAGGTGGAATTTATCCTTTCAGGGGAATAGTCATTTCTTTTTAAATCTGCAAGGAGGACAAGTAAAAAGGTTATAGTGGAACCCCAAGAACCTACTGTTCATGAAGACAAATGGGACTTTAGGCTTTGCCAAGTGTTCAGAGAGATCTCCTCTTCCTCAGACCATAGATATGTGGAACTCAAACCCTCAACCATGTCTAGATTAAGCCTCCTTTCCCACCCCAATACCCCCCTTCCTTCCCTATGCTGTTTGGGTGCTGTTTATGGGAGCAGGGAAGAAAGACTTGGTTGCTTGCTTCAATACACAGTGCCCTATAAGGCATAATCTGGCCAGAGTTAAGTAAGACCAAATGGGAAATGGGGCATTTTACTACTGAATGACAGGCAGAGGCAGAGAGGTCAGCCAAGAAGGCTGACTCCTCATCTCAGTGGTCAGTTTTCTGTGACAAAAGCTCCACCTCAGGTTTGGTACAGCCAATAAAAGCTCCATCCAGTTATCAGATCCTATGCTTCCTAAGCCCTCCTTCCATTTGAAAAGAAAAAAGTTAAAAGAAAATATTAATAGGCATAACCTTTGTAAGACATGTACGGAGGAAAATGGAGTTAAAATGTTTGTGACCTTTTTGTGCTGTACTTATTGTATTTGCTAGCCTAGAACATGTATTTCTTATTTTTTTAATGTTAAATGAGGATTATGTGGAAATAAAACTAATACATATTATATATTAATAATAAAACAATCAACATTTATTGAACATGTAAATTGATATGGTTTGGCTGTGTCCCCACCCCAAATTTCATCTTGAATTGTAACTCCCACAATTCCCACGTGTCATGGGGGGAATCCAGTGGGAGGTGACTGAATTATGGGGGTGGATCTTTCTTGCACTGTTCTTGTGATAGTGAATGAGTCTCACAAGATCTGATAGTTTTAAAAACGAGAGTTTCCCTACACAAGCTCTCTCTTTGCCTGCTGCCATCCAGGTAAGACGTGACTTGCTCCTCCTTGCCTTCTGCCATGATTGTGAGGCCTCCCCAGCCATGTGGAACTGTAAGCTCATTAAACCTCTTTTTTAAATAAATTGCCCAGTCTCAGGTATTTTCTTTATCAGCAGCATGAAAACAGACTAATACATATACTACCTAATTCAATCTTCACACAAACTTTATGAAACAGGTGCTATTATGCCTGGTTTACAGACAAGGAAACTGAAGCCCAAGGTCATATAGCTGGTAAAAAGCAGAATTAAAATGTTTGAGTTCAGCCTCTCTGGCTACAGAGCCTATGCCCTTTATACTATCCTAAACTGCCTCTCATATAAAAAAATATGAAGGGAAACGTAGTCAAACAAAAATGAAAAATCACCTCTAATCCTATTTTCCAGACAAAACTCTTTTTTTATTTAGATTACCAAATGTCTGAATAAACAAGGATATTTCTTATTTCCACTTAAATGTTGGTCAAAAACTAAGGTTTTGAAAGAAAACATGAATTAGGACTAGATGTGGTGGAATTATTGAATTACTCAAAACCTACCAGTGTATCACACCTGTAATCCCAGCACTTTGGGAGACCAAGGCAGGTGGATAACCTGAGGTCAAGAGTTCGAGACCAGGCTGGCCGATGTGGTGAAACCCTATCTCTACTAAAAATACAAAAATTAGCTGGGCGTGGTGGCGGGCGCCTGTAATCCCAGCTATTAGGGAGGCTGAGGCAGGAGAATCACTTGAACCCGGGAGACGGAGGTTGCAGTGAGCCGAGATTGCCCCACTACACTCCAGCCTGGATGACAAGAGCAAAACTCTGTCTCAAAAAAACAAACAAATAAACAAAAAACACCTACCAGTGTAGTATAAAAAAATTATCTCAACCTTAATCATACAGGACCACTAACTGAGCTCAAGGATTGGAAGTAGTGAGTTCTGTCTCAAGTCTCCCTGTGTCCTGGCTCCTTAGATGTAGTACTTGTGTCTTCAAGAATGCAGGCTGCCCTTCCAGGGTAGGAATGAATCAGACCTGGGAAAAGGACAGTATCGGAGGATGTTGAGTGAATGAGCCGGACTCCAGCCTGCCATCATGGAATGACTCTGATCGTTGTCAGCTCCTGCCTTCCAGAGGGCCCTTACCTGGAGGTCCTGATGACTCACAGTCCAGTCCCAGCCCCTTCCTGAGCTCCTTTTGACCAGAGAAGCCAGTGGGCAGCTTGGCTGTGCACTAATCTCTTTGCTCACATCAGGTATGTGATTTGTGAGAGTGAGTCCTGGCCAGTTGTGAGAGTTATGGCCCTCTGCTCTCTGACTGCTGCATTTTGATCTCCCCACCCCTGGCTGACCACTATATTCCCAGTGGAACTGGAAGCCTGCTCCAACTCTGTCTTTCTATGCCTTCACC
Source organism: Homo sapiens (assembly GCF_000001405.40). Classification (NCBI taxonomy): domain Eukaryota; kingdom Metazoa; phylum Chordata; class Mammalia; order Primates; family Hominidae; genus Homo; species Homo sapiens. The sequence continues at coordinate 74,727,092 of NC_000009.12, forward strand.
ACAAGAGCTCCCCCTACCTCTAACTCCAACCTGTAATCCCAGCACTTTGGGGAGGCCGAGGTGGGTGGATCATGAGGTCAGGAGATCAAGACCATCCTGGCCAACATGGTGAAACCCTGTCTCTACAAAAAATACAAAAAATTAGCTGGGCATGGTGGTGAGCACTTGTAATCCCAGCTACTCAGGAGGCTGAGGCAGGAGAATCGCTTGAACCCGGTAGGCGGAGGTTGTAGTGAGCTGAAATTGCGCCACTGTGCTCCAGCCTGGGCGACAGAGTGAGACTCCGTCTCAAAAAAAAAAAAAAAAAAAAAAAGAAATCTCCTTCGTTTGTTATAAGTTTACACCTGTCCCATCCCAGGTTACGATGGATGGTGCTCTTTTACTGACTTCAAATTCGGGGTATGATCATTTATTATAAGGCAAGAAGAGCTACTCAGCTTAAGATACGTGAAATCCCACTGTAAGGACAAGTCCGGTGTGACCAAAAGTAGTGGGCAAGCTGAGGCACACATGATGCTTCCCTTCTGGGACAAAAGAAAGGAATGAAACAGAGCCAGGACTGCCCATTTGGAGGGCACAGGCCTCCAGCTGCTTGCTTTTATAGTAGGAATTTTTAAGTATGTCATATTATCAAATCAGATTTAAAAAAATATATGTTGCAATGTGTGTTCAAAGTAGCAGATTTTTACAGTGAAAAGCACTACTTTAATTGAGGGTGTCATTTCCCTCCATACCACACCCTCCCAAGTACCCAATGGCGAAATTAGAATAGAATAGAAATGCGGTGGCCAACACCCTGTGGCCATCCGCAGCTGGCAGGACCCAAATGTGGGGGGTGGGGCGGGGGCAAAGACCAGCCTCGGTCAGATTTCATCCCATTTAAGTCGGTGGAACTTTTCTTTTGGAGTGACTGTGACAAGTATTGGGCCCCAAGTTGTTTTATCACATTTTGGCAGAACCTAAAGTAAATCCCTGTCCTTTTAATCCCTTTAGAGACTTGAAAATTTTGCAGTCAGAGAGTCAGGCTCTGCGAATGACGGTGAATGAGATAAAAATGTGATTACGATTTTCTACTTTATCCCAGGTTACAAAGGATGTTGTTCTATGAGAGATTTACTTAGAGAAAAAAGAACTGTTAGTGGCATACCCGGGAGTTTGAGCTTCCGGCAGCAGGAGTTACAATGATGTTTTGCAATGAAGTTTCTAATTGCATCTTCCCCCAAATTGGCCGGTCCAAACACCATTCCTCTTGATCTAGAGGAAATATCAGAATATCAATTAGATCACAGCTAAGAAAAAGGAGCTCAACTAGGATTCTCCGAGATACCGAACAGTATCCCATAGTAACCCAGTAAACTTGAAGGAGCCAACAAAAAACAGAGCACTTTGGGGAAACAACAATGTTAGGTTTGCAAATTTAAAATTCAAATGCACTTAAATCTTTGCTCCCAACTCCAAGACCTACTGTGAAACGCATTTCAACGGCATTTCAACGCTAATCTGATAGAAGAGTGAATTTTCTATGTACCACATTAAAACAAAATACAGCGAAATCCTTTTTAATGCATATGGGGTGAAAGAGTGACATTCATTACCAAATGTTCTACTAGAATACCCCAAAGGTAAGATATAAAGTAAAATACATTTGCTTTTGGGACACGCCTTCTAAAACGATGCATAGACATTGTTTCAAACCCAAATACTTTTCTGAAAATAACCGTCCTCAAAAACAAATTCCTGACTAAACCCTAGATCCTTACTCATGGCTCTTTCAAAGCCACTTGCTCTCCTGCAAACTGCTAGAGCTGGGCTTTTTGTGGAAAGACAAGACTATGACACAATGTGTTGGTGGAAGTAAAGTACATATGCTCGATGTAGGTGACAGAGTTACAAATAGAATCAGTATATATAAGGCACCTTTTGAATACTCTATAATCATAACAAATCCCTAGCAGATTCTAAGATCAGTGTTCATCCGTTATCATATCAAAGGCGACCATCATTCTTTGGATTTTGACACTGCACACCACAGAGCAGAGCACACCAGAAACATTTCCCAAGAAACTTTATGAAAGCTAATATTTTATTTTAATGACATGCAGAGTGGAAACAGCACATTTTAAAATCTGAACTCAATTACCGCTCTTAAATACCACGTCTTAAGAAAAAAGAAAAGCAAACTATCACAAAAGGAAACAATAAACTTCGCTTCTAAGGAATGCGGTTTTTCAAAAGGGACGTGGTGTAAAAATGGACTTTTTTCCATCCAAGGATTGAAACATTTATCTCAATTTCCACTTCCTTTTGGCAGAATAACAGTAGCTGCTCTGAAGATGTGCCAAGCTCAGAATGAGGGCTGATGTCAGTTTGATCTCAGATTGCCTCTTTGCTCCGAGGCGAGTAGGTGGAGGAAATCTCTTGGGAAGACAAAGTGAACAGACACACAGGATTAACTTTCCTGGTCACTCAATCGCTCTTACAGAGTACAGCTCTGGGGGTATTTACCCGGCTGCCTAAGCTGCCTCTTGTTAACTATTCCTCTCTCTTTGTGTCCATCTGGTAAGGAACCACTTCAATAAGGTGAAACTGAAGGTGGCAAAAAAAGTCGAAGCACTCAGCATTTAGACCAGGATTCTACGATGCCAATAAAGTGAAACACAGTGTTTATTTTAGTCGTTTAAATTGAAGAATGCCTTTTCATAGTCTCTCCAACATGACCCTGTTAGACTATTTCACTCATTTGCTTTCCATACCTGCCATTTCTTCCTCCCAGTAAAACATAAAAACCCCCAACTTAGAGATGCAACACTGAATCTCAGATAAAACCTGTAAGTTAAATGATTTCCCTCTATGAGCTTTGGGAAAGTTAAGACAAAAGAATCAAAATTAATACCAAATGCATATAGCAGGAGTTCGACCACTCCCAGTGTAGGGGAGAATGAAGGAGAGTTGTAAGGAAATTCATTTGCATCTACCCGCTACAGCACGCCTAGAGCCTTGCAGTCTTAGATAACCAGGTTTTAAAAAAAATACAAGTAGCTGTTTTCCAGATTTTTCACAACACAGGAAAAGCAGGTGGTAGCTTGGTTCCACATGCGAGGAAACGCTAATTAGTGCCATCTATACATAGATCTACTAAAGAACATCTCATCATCGTTTCATACTTGTCAAATGCCCAAAACTATCAAAGCAGCAAGCTAAAAAACTGTAATCCCAAATGACCAATAACCAAGGCAGAAGGTTAGGGAAAGTTAAGAGACAGTAAGCATTAGAAACAATATGAGAATTTATACCACAAGAATATCTTCTCTTTTGGTAGAGGGTTATCCTTTCATTGACCCCTTCTCCTCATAGGAACGTTACCATCTTCACTGAGCCTAAGTTTTCTCATTTTTGAACTGGGATTGAAAATGCTTCCTTTCATTGTTGTTGCAAAGGCTAAAATAAATAACCCGTGAAAGCACTTGCTTAAATCAGTGCTTCCCAAACTTTAATTTACACCGGATCACCTGAGGATCTTGTGGAAATTCAGATTTTGGTTCAGTATTTCTGGGGAGGGTCCTGAGATTTTGCATGTCTAACCATCTTCCCGGTGATGCTGACCTTGTTGGTCCACGTCCCATGCTTCGTGTAGCAAGTGCTTCAGACACGTAAGGCATTCGAAATGTGAGCCCCATTGAACTAATCAGACGTAATTCCCCATGATCATGGGAAAATAGTGCTTCTTGTTATCTTGACCATGAAGGCCAACTGCATCCAAAATTGGGTAACCCCACAAAACCAGGAAGGCCACAATGAAACCATCCTATCAGTTTCCAGAGTTCCTATCCTTAAGTCATAAGAAAATAAAGTTGCCCTAAGACAGAGTTTCTCAACCCTGGTTGCCCATAGAATCACATGAGAAACTTTAAAAAAATACAGATATCAGGGCCCTATCTTCAGAGATTCCAATTTGATGCCAATCCTTGGCTTTTGTTTTTAAGTTCCCTAGGTGACTTTAATAGAAATTGAGGCCCACTGGCCTACAGCATGCAATTAAATACCTACCTGTCAAGTGGGATAATATAATCTTAGAATTCTAAATGATAGAATATTCAGGTCATATTAAGTGACATATGCCAAGGTCAAAATTTAATAAATGATAGATGGGGTATACATAAACTTGGTTCATTATATATGCAAAAAATTTCCACTGCAAAATTATAAAGTACTTTTAGTACAAGATTCCTACTACTAACCCTTAGGCACACAGGACTACTGAAGAAATAATATTCTTAGCTAAAAACACTTTAGCAGAGCTAAAGTGAAACATAATAAAGTCTTTATGTATATAAGAGTGGTAACACGGTCTCCACAGTCAAATAAATATCATAGGAATTAGATGTGTATGTTCAATATGGATCACCTTTATTTTCTCTAGTTCACCTAGTCCAATTAAATATCTAATACACTTTTAGATGGGCCTCTTTGCATAGAAGCCTACATGTTTAGATTAAATCACTCAGTAAAATAACACAGCACTAAAGCAGTGAATATTTATGAGTTCTTGGGGAGGGAAAGTAAAAATTTCAGATTTTATTGATTGCCCACTTATGTAGTTATACATATAATATATATAATATATATAATATATATATAAAACTACCACCCAGGGGTCAAGTATAGACAATTATGACAATTAAGAAGTAAAAATGTATGCTGGCAGTTCTCAAGAGTGGTCTCTGGACCAGCAGCATCATAATTCCCTGGGAACTTGTAAGAAATGCAGATTATTTGGCCCTACCCCAAACCTACTGAAGCAGAAACTCTGGGAGTGGGGCCCAGCAATCTGTGTTTTAACAGGCTCTCCTGGTGATTGTGATGTAAGCTCTTATTTGAGAACCATTTTTGCCAGCCATATTGATCAGTGTTTAACCCTCACTATCACTTCTTTCTACCCCACCTTTAATAGAAGAATACAACCTGAGATCCTTTACTGCCAAGTCTTCCCAAAAACCTGCTTCTGGGATAAAATATCCATGGGAATTCAAGGGGCAGGTTGATGAGTCATCTCTCTATAGAATTTAAACTTCAGCTCTTATTTAAGTCAGATAATCTGATGCTTCATATTTAAGCTCCATTGTTTTGTCCTCTCATAAGATTTGCTGTTACTAAATAGCACACTTTATGCCCCTAGCTTTCATTTTATAAGCATATGATGGAAGATGCTGCCCATGATAAGATGCAATGACTCCATTGTGAAGACAAAAAAGGAAACTGTGCTTCTCCTATGACACTGCTCTCATATCAAAGCCACAGAGGCTAAACTTACACATTGGGAACTCAGTCAAATTTGCATTAGTCCTTATAATTTCCATTTATGTGTATAAATCTAACTGCAGATTTAATATCATTTTACATATTTCCATATTTTCCCCCCATTTCCTAACCTATGCTTTTTTATAATCTTATTGTTTTTGGTCTATATACATAAGCTACCTAAAAACCTTTCTAGGATCTAGGCAGGGAACATATATGTTTGTAAATTATTTTTAAAACCATTTACTATATGTTAAATGCAATTTTCTAAATGATAACACATAAATTAACTTACTGTTTGACTTCAGGTTTTATAACAGATGGATCTGTCAAATTTTCTCCAACACCTCAAAAGAAGAAACAAAATTCGTTTAGCAAATGGAGATTTCATTTTCTTAGAAATTCAAGAAAATAATAATTAAATTCTAATTTCTTAATTTAAAACTCACAGTCACTCTGTAGTAAATTAAACATCATGAGCCCATACTTCACCACTAAGCAATACTGGCAAGTAAAAAATCTGGCTGGGCGCGGTGGCTCACGCCTGTAATCCCAGCTCTTTGGGGGGTGGAGGTGGGCAGATGACCTGAGATTAAGAGTTCGAGACCAGCCTGGCCAACACGGTGAAATCCCATCTCTACTAAAAATGCAAAAATTAGCCGGGTTTGGTGGTGCATGCCTGTAATCTCAGCTACTCGGGAGGCTGAGGCAGAAGAATCGTTTGAACCATTGAATCGTTGAGGCAGAGGTTGCAGTGAGCCGAGATCACGCCACTGCATTCAAGCCTGGGCAACAGAGCTTAACTCTATCTCAAAGAAAAAAAAAAAGCACGTAAAAAAAATCTGTACTTGTACCCCCAAATATATGAAGATACATAAAAACTAAATATAAAAAATTAAATATTTTAATTCTCAAAAATTCATGTAAATTAAATGCACTATAAAAATTGTTCAGAAATGTTTGAAAATTTTAGTTAATGCACTGTTTCCCACAAACCCTCTGTTATAATAAACTTCTAGGCCTCAAATGATTGTTTTAGTGGTGTGTTCACAGTTACTGATAGTGGCATCTGTCATTCATTTACCACTTGTATATAGCAGATATTCTAATTTTATTTTCTGTAATTCTCAGCAATTATAAAAGAAAAGTGTTATCCTCGTAGCCTCGTTTTACATTTTATCCTCATTTACATCAATGAGTACACTGATGTTCAAACCAATTATGTCATCTGTCAGAGTTTGCACAGTCCATACATGGTCAAAACAGGATTAATGCTGAGCCAAAGTTTGTGTTCCTACTAGCTGGACTACAGGCATGTGCCACCATGCCCGGCTAATTTTGCACTTTTAGTAGAGACCAGGTTTCTCCATGTTGGTCAGGCTGGTCTCCATCTCCCGACCTTAGATGATCTGCCCACCTCAGCCTCCCAAAGTGCTGGGATTACAGGCGTGAGCCACCATGCCCGGCCACATACTTATACTTTCATTCTACTTATAAACAGTAGAATAGAAACCACCAAATTCTTGATCTGGGTGATGGTTACACCTGTGTATTCAGTTGTGAAAATTCTTTGAGATGTATGCTTATGGTATGTGAATTTTCTAAACGTATATAAGTCTTCAATAAAATTTACCTTTGAAAAAAAGATGACACTAAAGCCTAAAAAGGTAACATAGGTGCAATGTAAAGCTAAAATTTATCAAAACAGGAATCAGCACCTAAAGTGAATCTCTTATAAAATACAAGTGGTGAGGAGGCTGATTTCCACTGATGGAAATGTTCCAGGCCAGCCAGTAAGATTTGGGCACAATCCAGCGATTTCTGAGATCATTCTCTAATCAACCATGCTTCTGTTTGCTTGAAAGCAACTAACCTTGTGGGAAGATTATTTTAAAATTATATAAAATTTGTAAATTTTAGTGTATTTCTACTTGTTGAGAAAACTCATGTTTTCTAGCTGGTATGTTTTAAAAAGATTTTTGCTATCGTCTGTAGGTTTTACAATATGCTAAACCTTTCATAAGAAAATGTAATCCTTATAGACTTTCACCCTATGAAACTGACTTCCTTAGAAAAATAACCTAGAGCTTGAAATTGGGTGACCTGGATACCTCCCTTAATCTCTTTGAACCTCAGTTTTATCATCTGAAATTGTGAATAATAATGGGCCTAATCTTACAGGGTTACTGGGAGGATTAAATTAACTACTGGACACAAACTGCTTAGCAAAGTGTCTGCCCCCTAGGAAGCTGAAAAAATGTTCAGTTACTTGTATTATTTTTCTCCTATCAAGAACTTCTTGTGAAGTGAAATTTTATTTCCTTATCACTAGTAAAATCATGTTTCTGATTGATTATCTCATTTCCCTAAAGTGCTATGCTCCCTAAGGAACAGAACTCCTTATAAGAATGAGGGTAAAGAGTATCCACAAAACTTTATACCCCTAAACCCAATCTGACAATCCAAAGATTAACTAATAAATACATATTTTGGGGCACACAAATGGCAGAAGGACCTTTCAGTGTGTGAAAATAGAGAATAGGCCAGGCACGGTGGCTCACACCTATAATCCCAGCACTTTGGGAGGCCGAGGTAGGCGGATCTCTTGAGCCCAGGAGTTTGAGACTGGCCTGGCCAACATGGTGAAACCCCATCACTATCACTACAAACAAATACAAAAATTAGCCAGGTGTGGTGGCGTGTGCCTGTGGTCCCAGTTAACTCGGGAAGCTGAGGTAGGAGGATCGTTAGAGCCCAGGAGGTTGAGGCTGCAGTGAGCCATGACTGCCACTGCATTCCAGCCAGCCTTGGCTACACAGTGAGACCTTGTCTCAAAAAAAAAAACAAAAAAGGAAGAATTGGAGAGGAGAGGAGAGCAGAGGAGAGGGAAAAGAAAAGAAGAGGAGAAAAGAGCAGCCCCAAGTACCAATCTGACTTCAAGAGAGTAAATGCTCATGTCAGGTAATATGCAGCAACCCTTTATGAGGAACTCAAGATTGACATTCTGATCCCAACCATCATTGAGTACATCAATGAACTTGTACATTGGTGGAAAGAAGCTACCAATTTATGTAGCTTGGTGGAAATTTTTTTATGTAGTAGCAGAATTGATGATGATGATGATGTCGATGCCAATGCTGACATTCTGGAATCTGCTTTGTTGAATAAAAAAATTAATATCTCTAAAAATTAATATTAATATCTCCAAATTAATGTTGAAAAATACAATGAGCTAAAAAAATGCTATAAACCACTGTAATTTGAAATACAATTGTTTTTAATTCCTGTTGCTGGGAACTAAAGGTTGGATTTTAATGATGATGATTCAGGCCCTCACATGTAGGATTTTTTAAGTGGAAAGAGAGCAAAAAACTTCAGCATAATTACAAGTGATTGGAAATTGGTCAGGTCTCTCCTTAGAGTACAGTTTCTGACCTGGTGTGGCAGCTTCTGGGGTTAGTTATTGGCACTCCCTTGGAAGAAAGCAAAGAGAAGAAGAAAAGAAACTGAAAGAATAAACTGCTCGAGTATTTCACACTCCTTCTTTCTCTCAAAGCGGTAGGGAACCACAGCACACTGAGCAGGGCCTTCTTCTATAGAAGCTGAAGCTGCAGTCTCTCTGCAGCACCAACAGGACCACACAGCTGAGGGCGGACTCCCTGCAACTGCAGATTAACCTCCATATTAAAGAGTCACACAGAGATTAATGCTTACAGCAACAATTACTAACATTTACTGAAGGCGGTGTATCAGGAACTTGTCTCAATTCTTGCCCTTAACAACTCTATGGCTTAAGTGCCTAATACTATTTTCCCCATTTACAAATGAGGGAAGTGGGACTCAAGGTGGTTGCTCCTCCGTGTTATGCAGCTAATTCACAGTGGAACCAGAAGTCAGACTCCGGCATTGCAACTCCAGAGCTCCTCCTCCTAACTGCTGCTGGTGAGCCTCTGTCTCCACTTCCACCACCCAGACAATGTGCATTATCTCTCCAAAGACTAGAAATACAAATAAATTAAATACAATATAAAACTGAACTAAAACCATTAAGAGATTTTAAAAATACATTCTATTTTCCCTTTCCAACATGGTTTGGATTAAATATAATAATGCACGTAAACCTTTAGCCAAGTGCCTGGCACAAACGTAGTAAATGTTAGCTAGTAGTAGTGGTGTAACTGTTCATAATTACTATTATAGGATTCACATTCTTCCATACATCCAGGTCTAACCAATTGGCCAAAACTCTCTGATAAATATCTCAAATTTCATAACATTCATTCTATGATGTCCACTCTTTCCTTCTTTGAAGGTCAATGTTTTGACATCGTTTATTTGGAGCGGCCTATTTCTGCAATTCACATAATTGCCCATTAAAAGAATAAAGTTAATTCTCTTTTTCCCTCAAGACTGTCAACGCAGCATTTGTTCTGTTTAATGTTACTTTGGATTACTAAGAGACATAAAAATCCCCAAACATAAACATCATTAAACAAAAACCTATTCAAGTGGAATACAAAACACACTGAAGAGTCATCATTAATTCCTTAAAGTTTTTCTTTCGTTGTTTTTTTTTGTGTGTGTGTTTCTGTTTTTCCTTTTTAAACAACTCCACCCAAAACTCAAAGCACAAACAGTCAAATACAGATGAAAACAATCAACCTCTCTCCAATTTGAGCTACAAAAATAGATGCCTTGGGCATCAATGCTCTGGGTTTATAGGGATCAGGTACTTGCTGGTCTAAAAGCTGAATCAACTTGGTCATTTTAACTTTGTTTATATTGTTTCCTAAAATATTGGGTTTGAATTGAATTAAATATAATTCAACTGTGAGCAGCATAAATCTGAAAGGACAGAAGCACCTATATGTCATTTAAAAAATGCACTTATATGTAGTTTAAAAATTTGTGTCACATCCTTGAGCATGTGACACAAGTTTCAATCAAAGTACTTTGCAGTCTTACCGGACATTGCTCATGATGCCCCAGGACTGTCTGCTTATCTCTACATTCTCCAACCTCCAAGCCTGGCTTTCAGCATAGAATCCCAGAACCAGAGAGCTGGGAAAGTCAGACAGGACAAGAAAAAGGCCCAAGTTGTTTAAACAAACCATAAGATGGTTATACCCTCTACATATGAAACTCTTAAAAGAAATAAAAGAACAGTGAAAAGAAAAGAACAGGGATGTCTTAAGAACAGCTTAAGTCTGCATCCTGGCTCCCCCTTAAGCAGCTGTGCAACTCTGGGCAAGTTATTAAACTTTCTGGGCCCAAATTCCTATAATATTTACCTCAAGGTGCTGCTTCTAGGATTAAATGAGGTAACTTCTATGAACTTCCTGGACTAAATCTCTTATTTAAAACCAAAGCCCTAGTCAGTGAGCCTAAGGACTAAACGTTGACCTCAATACATATTTTGTTCTGTCCCTGCAAGGAAAGCCTGCTGGAGATACTCTGTTTTGTGCCGCAGGATTATAAGTCACATGTGAGGTATTGATAGCCAGGAGATGTGCTGACCAAAGGCTTCCATTAAATAAGAGTGTGCTGTGTTGCCTCTCTCAGTCTGTGTATTTTCATGAACTGTTGTAACAAGGGACACAGCAAAGAGAGCAAGCTAAATTATAAATTGCTAAAGCAATGAGCTCAAAATCATGAAAAACACCCAGAATTTAAATGTTCCTATGTGTATAAATGCATGCCTAAATATTAACATAAGGCTAAGTGAAGTCATAAAACTGAAAAATTTGTTACAAAAATCATTCCCCATTTTGCTCAAAAATTTAGATGTCTTTACATTTTAAATAGATAATCATCTGCCTACATTTTTCCCCCTACCTAAGTGGGAAATAACATAGCAGATTCCATGATTATCACTGTACAATGTCTCTGAAATAAATGTGCCCACCTCCCTTCAAAGCTAAATAGAGCAACTCCATATATTACCCATCCTGGTTCTTGCAAGATCTCTTTACACTTTGCCTCATGCTTGTTGTATCAAATCCTACATCATCAATCACCTTGCAAATCTAAAACCAGCAGCTCTCCCCGAGTGTACTCATAGGTCCAGTGAGAGAAAGCCAACATCAGCTCCTCCAGGGTGTTGGTGGGGGTGATTTCATCACCATTGTTGTTGTTATACTTCCGGAACTCCCCTGTCATATACTTCTCAATGGTCAACCACTGGTTGGCTGAATGGCAGTAGATTAAGAAAACTTCCAGGAACCTGTTAGGGAAAAAGAGGCCATTGATCCCCCACAATACAGCAAAAGTGGGACTTACCTTACTGAGCAGTCATCAGCAGGGAAGATTACCTAACTCTGGTATGATGCAGCCTCAATGCACATGCCCTTGCCCTTTCTATGGAAGGGATAGGATGCAAATATTGGGAATTTTTCTTTCCATGCTTACCCACCTCCCTTTGCTTTGAGGTAACTTTCCAACTCTTTTATGAGTACCAGACCCAACTCTTCTTGCTGTGCTCTATAAAGTTCCTTGTAAATGAAAGAATGAAGCTTTACTCTGTCCAGCACCAAATTATGATCTGTGTCTCAATAAATGAATGCAAGTGTATGAAGACACTCAAGTGAAAGTAACATGAGTTTATTCTTACAAAATTCCTACTTTCTATAAGATATTGGGGGAAGAGACCATGCTTACAATAAGAATAATTTTTCTACCATAATGCCCCTGGACATTAATAACACCCAAGATCTGTCTGTTTCCCATAACTGAAATCTTAGTTACAGCCTCTGAACCTCTTTTTTCCACTCATGTTTAAGTCCAGTGATTAACACCAAGGTATCTCTGGGGTCTCTAATTCTCCTTTTGCCAGTCTCCGAAATTATGGAAGGAAGAATCCAAAAATAAGATCATGGGGAATTTCCCCATGGATAAGATTTCTCATGAGTAATGGGCTGAGAAGACGTGATAGAAATTCCTACTTGAAACAAAGGGCCAAGGTGCCAAGATTTTCTTACCTTGGTGTGTAGGGTATGGTTTGTGGTTTCACTTGGTTGAAGGTATAGATCAATTTTTGAGCAGCTCTTTGTTGTTGAATTTCCTACAAAATAGGGAGCACTGATAAAAATACTGATTTACTGTTGTACAGCTATGATCATGAAATTACTATAGGCTACCCCAATGTGATTTTTAGCCTTATTCAACTCCCACCACTGCCTGCCCCAAAAGCAAAAGTCCTACAAAGCAATACTACCTCTAAAAAATAATAGGCTCCCCTTTGGGTTGAGGATAATGGCCTTAGATAAGGATGTAGCCAGATCTCTTTTCTTTGACTTGTCCCTCTGGGCTATGGGTCTCTGAGTTTCAGACTTACCCTGAGGCAAAGATGAAGCACAGTGCTCTCCTGGAAGATTTTATGCCATGTCCGCACAACCTCAGGAAGAAAGGACTTGACAATGAAAACTTGTCCCGGCTTGAGAATGTCATCCTCAGACCAAGTGCTGACGACTCTCATAGCTTTACGGAGGCCCCCATCCATCTCCTCTCGGGACAATACCTGGATCATTGCCGCTCTCCCACGCTGAGACCAAGAGGACATGCTTTTATCAAGGTTTAAAGGGGAACTCTCCTCCAACCTGTAGACAGTTATTTCTTCTCCTGCTGCAAAGAGAAGTGAAGGCTAGGAATTCAATAAGATTGCCATGTCTGTGACATGAATAGTATCCTAAATATCAATGCAGAATCAGTTCAGTTACCCAAATGACCAGAGGAGAATGGGACTAGCAGGGAACAGAACAGAATAAGGACATGTATCAGGCTGGCCATGTTTCCATGTTATTTATTGTCTAGTAGATGTGGGGAAGGGGAGAAGGGACAAATATCAGAGGATACAAAAGAATTAAGCTGTTCTTACTGTAGACTATAACTGGACAAAAACAAAGTGGTAAGGATATGCTTCTTTTGTTAAAGACAAATACTTCTAAAGAGACGGTTTAACCTGATGGTGTTGCTTATTATCATCCTCCTAAGGAGCCTAATTAGACATTCTTTTCTAATTGTTCTTCTCACAACCTATTAATACAGGTTGCATATCCCTTATCCAAAATGCTTAGGACCAGAAGTGTTTCAAATTTTAGATTTTTTCAGATTTTTGGAATATGTGCATATACATAATGACATATCTTGGGGATGGGACCCAAGCGCAAACACAAAATTCATCTTTTTCATATACACCTTATACATATAGCCTCATAGTAATTGTATACAATATTTTTAATAATCTTGTGCACAAAACAAAGTTTTGACAGTGTCTTGACTCTGACCTGTCACATGAGGTCAGTTGTGGGAGTTTTCCACTTGTGGCATCACATTAGCACTCAAATAGTTTCAGCCTTTGGAGCATTTTGGATTTCAGGTGGATTTCAGCTTGAATTTAATACAAGCTCAACTTGTATTAAAAATATTCTGTATATCTGTTTATGTGTACTCTGTAGATCTGTGCTTTATATCATAAAAAAACTTATTTTTTTCTAGGGGTGATATTACTTCATTGAAAATGCATGGTTTAACTCAGCTGGAGTCAAACAGTACCAATGTCATACCCCAGAGCCTCTCCTTCCTTCCCTTGTGCCTTTGGACGAGTTACTTAAAGCCTCAATTTCCCCATCAGAAAAATGGGGATGAAAATACTGTTCTCATTGGGCTGTTGTAAAGGTTAAATAGGCTAACATGTCTAAAGTGAATTACAACCTCAGATACAAACTCAATCCCACTTAAAGGATTTTAGACACAAAATACTACTTAACTGCTACATAGCTTCCACTTTTAGGCTGTTGAAGAGGGAAAAATTCCTGTTGAACCTAAACACTACCAAGTCAGTGTTTAATGTTTCTTAACAGAGCAACATAATCTATATACAACTTCTGTCCAGCCCCAGCTGGTGTTTCATTTCCCCCTTACACCTTTGCTTCTATATATATATAGAAGCATATATATATATATGAACACGGTACTGGTTTACCAAGAAAGGAATCCATTCTCTCCCTCTTGCATCTAATTCCTCACCAATAAACACATCTAGGTAATGCTCAGTAACAACTTTTCAAACCTTTCAAATATTTATTCTTGGTGCCCAGATAAATGCCACTGAAGATCTCTTTGGAGTTCTAAATCCCTAGAGGCTTTAGAGCAGAGCTATTGATTTGCAAAGCCAGCCATGGGGCCAAATGGAAGGGGAAGGCATCTGCATTAACAATCAGAAGCCAGGCCGGTGCGGTGATTCTGTAATCCCAGCACTTTGGGAGTCTGGGGCGGGTAGATCACCTGAGGTTAGGAGTTTGAGACCAGCCTTAGTAACATGGTGAAACCCCATCTCTACTAAAAATACAAAAATTAGCTGGGCGTGGTGGTGCACGCCTGTAATCCCAGCTGCATGAGAGGCTGAGGCAGGAGAATCACTTGAACCCAGGAGGCAGAGGTTAGAGTGAGCCAAGATCCCGCCATTGCACTCCAGCCTGGGCAACGAGAGTGAAACTCCATCTCAAAAAAAAAATAAAAATAAAAATAAATAAATAAAAACAATCAGAAGCCAACCTGGTCTGCCCCCATGTGAACAGTGTGAGAAGAATCAAGATCAAGGACACTTTGGGGACCCTTGCTATATTGTCAACTTGCTCATGTCTTATCCTGCCAGACAGAGAAATTTTGATAGCTTTAGCCAGGGTGAGATTGTTTTTCTTTACTACTCCAGACTTTTAAAATGACATTTGCAGTCTGAGATAAGAGCAATTAGTGTACACAAAACAAAATAAACAAAAAACAATACACAAAGCATTTCTCTTCAGATGCCTGTTGGCTTTCACCATATTGACATTTATCGCTTTCTCCTGTGCTTATTATAAATGGTTGGTTTGTTCTTTTCTTTCCTACTTACTTCCAGCCTTGAGTCAGTGAATGCCAGGTGCAATATTATTGCTTTCTTCCCAACTGCTGCTCATTATAGGTCTTATTCCCATAGTATTAGCTTTTGTCCCTGAATGCTGGCCATGACAGTTAACAAGAATTTCCATTTTAGGAAATGAATCTCACTAAACTACAACTATCAACAAAACAAAATTTTCAACTAAAATAATGCAATGTGGTTTCCTTTGATTCACTCAGATTTTATGCCTCTGTCCTGGCATAAACTCAAGAAGGTAGAAATGCTACTCACCAAACAGTTGGACTGGTGTAAATGGTATGGTCTGAGAAAGCCTCATTAAATTATTCCTTTCAATGGCTGCAAACAAAAACAGATTTTCTATTTTAAGTATGCATCAGTGGCTGAATTTACAGAAAGCCTCTCCACATCAATATATTCATATAATGCTATTTAATTTCAAAGACCTCTTATTTTTGCCATTATCAAAAATATAATCTATAATACAGTCTTAAAAATAAACTATGCCTTAAACAGGAAAGAAATCCCAATTTTAGAGGCATTTAATATGAGATTATGTCACATGGTCTGAGGTAGGACTATCACCTCCACTCTCCTGAATACCAAATCACATACTAATCCATACATATGTGGAACTTTCTTTTAAATGGCATTTTAATCCGTGGACTTTGGTTTTCCTTTCCGAAGCAAATCCAAAGCACGGTGGGCTGTGGGGACACCTACTGTTCACTTTGCACAGTTCATCTTCTTTTTCCAGAGAGAGCCGAAGACCGATTTTAATTAGAAGCGAGTGATCTGCATTTTCCTGTTAAGAGCTATAGCCTAACAGATCAGAGTCAATATGAGTTACAGTATTCCTCACTAGAGACTTTCTTAAGTTGACAGCTGGAGTCAAAATAATAGATTACTGCCGAGCTGAAAGACTCAGTTGTAAGAGCCTGGGTTGAGGAGTCTGGAATCCACTGCAACTCTATTCACTACAAAGGAGAATTCAGGATAAGGCAATCTATTACTAGACCCTGAACAAACAACCTTATATAATTATAACAGTAATTATCGCACCAATAAGCTCTTACTCATGTATTGAGCTTTAGATTTGTAAAAGGCTTGCCCATGTATTATCTCATCCAATGCTGAGAGCAATGACTCCCAAGAAACCATCCAATGGCACAAGTCCAGTTGGTTTTTATATTGCTTTGCATTTCAAAGTGTTTTCCTCTTAATTCTCAACTAGCCCTTTGGCAGACTGTTCCTCAGGAAGGGCAAGTACAATTATTCCCACTTTGAAAGAAAGACAACTGAAGCACTGTGAAGTGATGTTGCTTAAGAGAGTCAAGACCCTTGACATCTTTGTTTAATAACATCTTTGTTGAACTCACTTTGTGGGGTTGGCCTTCATTCAGTGATCATACTCACTGAGGCCCCATTGAGGGTACAAAACCCTCCCTCAAGGAACTACTTTCAGGTCTGCCTTTTCCCCAGTCCAAAACATTGAGATCTCTGGCTTGGGGCTGCTTTGAGCGTGCAAAGAATTTTTAGATTTCAAGGTCATCTTTCTACTTTGCAATCTGGAACTTGAGAATGCAAACATTTTGCAAAAATGCAAATTCTCTTAAATTCTGAAAACTTGTTTTCCCAAGTCAATGGCAAAGTTAGAAATTGGAATGTTCTTCCCATCAAAGTGAACAATAACTTTTCAAGTCGCGAGCCATGTCAGTAACACAGAATTTGTCAGTGTTTCTGTTTACAAATGCAGAAGCACAGACATTTAGCTCAGCTGACATGTCTATGTGCATATGCATCCTACCTGAATAATGATGGTGAGGCTCTTGAGGGCTTTTTAAGGAGGCTGAGATCTCTGAAATTAGAGAGGAGATTGGCATTTTAATTACATGGCTGGAGATAAATACATGTTTATGAATATATTGCCTTCAAAGTTATTATTGAACAGGTTAATCAGAATGGCTTCTCAGTATTCGAAAAAGCTTGCCTAATATTTTTTAACCACAGTATTGCGCATGGTATCCTGACAGCTTCCAATCATCAATGTAATATCTCCAAACATATTTATATAGGGAATTGAAGAAAGGCAGGTAATATTAGCCTCAAAGATGTATTTCCTCTGAATCAATTACACCTCTGGGTTGCAGAAGGCACTCAGCTGCCCATCATACTTCACGACATCCCAGAAGCATGATTCTCTGAGCTCCCTACCAAGATGCAGTGCCCGTAGAAAGACAGTATTAATACCAAGTTATTAACAGACTACTTCACTGACCTAAAATAACAACAAAATGCTGAAAACACATTAAAAGCTATATACTGGAAACAAAGAAGAGGGTGGATAATATAGCACCAAGAGATTTGTTTGGTTATACAAGGACTATGTGTTGGGAACACCTCTTCCAAGTTTAACTCATTCTCTTCTGTCTGCTCCAGTCCTAAATTACAAGGCTCTAGAGAAATCCCTTGCAACAGTTTTGCTATTTCATAAAATCAAAATTAAAGTGGAGAACTTTGGTCTCATGATGGCAACTGTTTTATACCTCGCAGAGTAAGCAGCATAATGAGCCCAATTTCGCAGATCTCTCTGGGTTTTTGTTGCTGGATAAGGAAAGGAACGAGAATCACTTCCTTTAGGGAGTGTTGGCAAAAAGTAAGATCAGCAGAAAAGACTGTTTCTTTCTGAAGTCATCAATAAAAACAAAAAGTATTCCTCTCCCACTATGGATCATACTAGGCATGAGAGATATGGGTAAGGTGTGGTTCCCACCCTACCGAAAAGCAAATGTATTAGGAGAGAGAGACAGGTAACTATAATCACAATACAGTTAAAGTAATATACGTAATAAAGGTATATACAGAGGTTTATGGAACACATTAATTCCACCTGGAAGGTAGGGCCTTCATAAACAGTGTGAAATGCTTAAAGTGTATGGGCATCTGAGTCTGATAAAACTGAGTTTCAGTCCTGGCTTCACTGCTTAAGGAGCTGTGAGACCACATTGGTATTTATTCAATATACATTTATTGAGTACCTACTATGTGCCAGGCACTGGTCTATGCTCAAGAGGAAGAGCAGTAATCAAAACAGATAAAGTCTCTAGTTCCATTCTAGTAAAAGGAAATAGAAAATAAATATATAGTGCATATAGTATAGTGTGTGTGTGTGTGCGTGTGTGTGTGTGTGTGTGTGTATGCATCAACTTAAGAGAGTTAGAAAGCATGGGGAAAGGAAAGTTGCTGTTTTATATAGGGTGGTTAGGCAAAGCCTCTCTCATAAGGTGAAATTTGAGCACAGAGTTGAAGGAAGAGAGGGGCAGCAATATGTATAAATGAAGAGTATTCCAGTGATAAGTAACAGCAAGTGTGAATGCCCTGGGGCAGGTCCATGCTTGTCATGTTTAAGGAGAGTGTAGCCACAGTGAAATGCACTGACAGAAATGAGGTTGAGGGGTGGCTGGAAAGCAGAACAGAGTATTGTAGACTCTGTTTGGACTTTGCTTTTGCAAAGTGAGGAGGAATGCCATTTGAGCAAGAGTGACTCAGTTCAACTTTCAGTTTAAAAGGATTATTCTGGCTGTTTCTGGAAAAAAGACTACTAGAGAACAATAGTTTGGAGGCCATACTATAATCCAAGGAAGAGATTACAACTGCTTAAAAATGGTATTATGGCCAGGCGCGGGGGCCCACGCCTGTAATCCCAAAACTTTGGGAGGCCGAGGCGAGCAGATCACGAGGTCAGAAGATTGAGACCATCCTGGCTAACACGGTGAAACCCCATCTCCACTAAAGATACAAAAAATTAGCCGGGCGTGGTGGGTTCCTGTAGTCCCAGCTACTCGGGAGGCTGAGGCAGGAGAATGGCATGAACCCAGGAGGCAGAGCTTGCAGTGAGCTGAGATCGCGCCACTGCACTGCAGCCTGGGCGACAAAGTGAGACTCCATCTCAAAAAAAAAAAAAATGGTGTTATGTGGAAATGGCAAAACATTATCAGAGTCTTGATATATTTTGAAAGATTTACTGATAGATGGGATGTAGGGATGTGAAAAAATGGAAGACAAGTATTCCAAGACTTTGGCCTGAGGAACTGGGAGGATAGAGTTGCCATTTCCTGAGATGAGAGAGGACAGTGCTGGAACATTTTGTTTGAGACACCTTTTAGACCTCCACATGGAGATGTTACTATGTGGTCAGTCATATTCTGCAAGGCAGAAATAATGAATGAAAGGGATCATGCCTATGGGCCTGGAAATTTGAATTGAGATCCAGCTTTCAAGAGCATTGAGGAAAAACTCAGGGGTTTGCAGTCTACCTTTGGGTAACAGGGAGCCATTGAAGGCTTCTACCTGAGTGATGATTTAGCATTCATAAAGATAATTCTGATAGAAACATAGGAAAGTTTAAAAGGAGACAAACCAATCAGACTAAGACAAACTCAAGGGCAAACGAAAGCATACACTTCTGTTTTGGAAAATAAATAATGGTGGCTTTAAGGCAGGAGCAGTAGGGTAGACCAAACAGATCACTCTGAAGATGAGGGGGTGGGGAGTGGCGGGGGAGGGACGGAGTTAGAAGGCAAGGTTAATAGCTAAGAGCAATGGGGTGGGAAGGAGATTGTAAATGACTTAAGATTTCCAGCTTGCACGAAGGAACAAGAGGCTCTCAGAAAGACCAAAATAAGTCGACAAAGAAGTAGAACAGCCAAAGAAGAAGAGCCTCAAGGAAACATAGAAAAGAGAGGGTGCCATGAAGGAAAAATGGCCAATATCAAATGCCATGAGTTCAACAAGAACTGAGAAGAGTCAAGTGAGTTAGCAGTTGTAGTGGAGTTTCAGAAAAGTGATGGGGCACACCCCATGGGCTAAAGATCAAATGTTAATTGCTCTTTCAATTAATTTGGAGGTGAAGGGTTGGAGTGGTAGCTTGAAAGCTAGGTAAATCAAGAAAAAGACTATTTGTTTCCTTTGTATAGAAACAACCTAAATTTGTTAGTAGGCTGAGGAGAAGGAATCAACTGCAAAGGAGGTGGGGGAGTACTGGAAACCCAAGAAAGTGTGATGGAACAAGAACACAGAAGATGAAGGTGCCTTTACATCAAGGAGTCAAGAATATGGAAAGGAGTTTGTAAATTGTAGTCAAGTTTGAGAGTAATTATAGTGGCTTTACCAGGGAGCTGTCTCACATGACCTAATCCTATTTAGCCATTTGGGGCCCCAGATCTTACTAAAACCCTACAGGAAAAGGCACCCATATAACAATCTTATAAATGGCTCTTAATGAGTAATGTGTGAAAAAACAAAAGGACAGTAAGAGTTGGTGAGCAAAATGAGCTCAGTGGTTATACTCTCATTCACACAGAAAATGGAGAAATAACAGTCAGAAACAGTCATTCAAAAAGTTTTAAACCAGACATCAATCCCAATTTGTCTGAAGAAAGATATTCAACTTTCTACTCTTCTACTGAACTTTCTACATTGCATGATGGACAAAAATCATAAATACAATTTCAAGAATGACAAAAATATCAGCAGGACAGTGAACCTCGCATTAAAAAGATGAAAAAATAAAAAATAAAATGTTTAAACAGAAAAACTTACTGTCAACTCCAATTGAACTTTTCAGCCTGTTTGAAAAAAAAATGAAGTTGTTTAGATAATGCTGCCTTAAATCTTACAGTTATCAAAAAAAGGAAACAGCACATGGAACAGTAACAACACAAAGTATATATTTTATATACATGTGAAATACATATACAGTCATGTACTGCCTAATGATGTTTTGGTCAACAACAGACAGCATATATTACAATGGTCCCATAGATTATAACAGAGCTGAAAAATTCCCAACACCTAGTGATGTCTTAGCCATCATAATGTCACAGCGCAATGCATTACTTATGTGTTTGTAATTATGCTGGTGTAAGTAAGCCTACTGTGCTGCCAGTCATATAAAAATATAGTACATACAACTATGTACAGCACATAATACTTGATGATCATGATGGATGACTATGTTACAGGTTTATGTATTTATTATATTATGCTCTTTTTCATTCTTTTAGCATGTACTCCTTATATTTATGTTTTCTTTTTAAGTTAACTGTAAACAGCCTCTGGCAGGTCATTCAGGAGGTATCCAGAAGAAGGCATTGTTATCATAGGAGGTGACAGCTCCATGTGTGTTATTGCCCCTGAACACCTTCCAGTGGGACAAGATGAGGAGGCAGGAGACAGTGATATTGATGATCCTGATCCTGTGTAGGTCTAGGCTAATGTGTGTATTTGTGTCTTCATATTTTTAAAAAGTGTAAGAAGTGAAAATAAATAAATAATTTAAAATCAGAAAATGGCTTCTAGAATAAGGATATAAAGAAAGAACATATTTTTGTACAACCATACAATGTATTTGTGTTTTAAGTGTTATTGTAAAAGAGTCAAAAAGATTTTTAAATGTTTTACAGTTTATCAAGTAAAAAAGTTACGGTAAAGCTAAGGTTAATTGGTTATTTTAAAAAGAAAAAAATTATAGAAATTTAGTGTAGCCTAAGTGTACACATAAAGTCTCCGCTTGTGTAGAGTAATGTCCTGGGCCTTCACATTCTTTCAGCACTCACTCACTCTGACACCCAGAGCAAGCTTCCAGTCCTGCAAGCTCCATTCATTGTAAGCATCCTATACAGGTGTACCATTTTTTATCTTCTATACTGTATTTTTACTGTACTTTTTTTGTGTTTAGTTACACAAATACCATAGCTTACAGTAGTCAGTACAGTAACATACTGTACAGGTTTGTAGCTTAGGAACAATAAGCTAAACCATATAGCCTAGGTGTGTAGTAGGTTAGACCATCTAGGTGTGTGTAAATGCACTCTACGATATTTGCACAACGATGAAATCACCTAATGACACATTTCTCAGAATGTATCCTGTCGTTAATTGATGCATGACTGTATATATATTTGAAAGAGAAGTATTAGTTACATCTAATCCCTATAGTATCAATAAAGAAGTAACTTTTCAGCGCTGCAAGTGTTTTTATAGAAAAATGAGCACCAGATATGTATGTAAGTCATTTACTGTGTACATCCTAAGCTAATTGAAAAGCAGTTGTTGTTTTTTAATTAGCTTTGTGATCACACAATATATATAAGATGTAACTGTGTTTGTGTTCTTCTGGATCAATTAAACTAAAGGATTCCTGAACTATGCAAAGCAGATGCCTACAAATGAGTCTGTGAATGTCTCTGGACAAGCCTACAAATCAGTTTCATTAGCCCACGTGGCTGCTAAATGTTCACAGGCTGAAATTAGTTCTCTTTAAACTGTTACTTGCCCTGCTCAAATGCACAAGTGGCCACAGGCGAGTCTGAATAAATACATTCAAATAATATCTTCAGCATTTAAGGTCCTTAAGAAAGAAAGTACAATTACGATTATTGTTCAATTTCATGCTGCAATAAACCCCTACTCTGCATGAGCACAAACTACTGAACCTTTGGGAGAAGAAAGTCATGTGTCCTTTAAGTCTGGAGGCAGGCTTGCACAGGGTCCATGATGGGAGCCCTAGAGAAAGACCATCTCTAAACAGAGCTGACTGCAAACTGAAAGTCACCTTCTACCTGCTGGGTATCAACTGGCACTTCCATAGAGTAGATGGTTTTGAATTCTACCTGTATGAATAGTTAATGTGATGATGCAACTAGGAAAGTCCAGAAAATACTACAAATAAAATAGAATTATCTTTGCTTGGTTGATTTACAACTTTTATTTCTCTAGATATATACTAATAAAATTCCAGGAAGACACTCAAGTGAGTTCTCTATCTTCTTTCTCTCTCCAACCAGTCTTCCTCTCCCTCTCTGTCTCAATCTTTCTCAGAGTTATTGCTTTGATGATTAGCATGCTACTGAGAAACCAAAAACAAAAAAGATATGCCTTATAAACTAAAAGGAAAAAATAATTATTTTTAAAATTAAAGAATAAACGTAATCAGGTGTTCAGTCTAAGTCTGTTTCTTTAAGCAAGACAGACTGATTTCTACTCTTTTATGCAAATTCACAATCTTATCTATCCAAAAAGATATGATAATCATTATTCTATGTGTGTTTTGACACTGAAAAGGCAAATGTTTAATTTGTTGTAGGAGTATGTGTTTCGTTATATTCTTAAAAGGAACTCAGGTGAGATCTTGTTGCCAGAAACAGGAAAACTTGGAGAAGAAATCATTTTCATTCTGCTAACAAGAGAAAAGTATTGTCATTTGACACACACTTCTTTTCTCTCCCTTTCTGACTAAATTAAACCTTTGCTCCTAACCAAGTTAAAAAAATGGAAGCCAAAGATTCTTAAACATAAACATTTAGAAATACTCACAGGGAGTTCCTATTGAGGTTGGTGCTCCTGGAATTCCACAAAGAGTTTTTGCTGAGATCCTGAGCAGAAGGGAAAGGCCGTTACGTGTGTGCTCAACATAGTCCCACCCCAAGTTTCTAGGAATGATCTGCCAAACACGCTCCTTGGAGAATCCTTCTTTTTTCTTCATCTACCTGAATATTCTTCTTTTAAAAAACATACTAAACCCAAGCTAGAAAGATGCATAATGTTAGAGCAATGTCAGAGTTACTCAGTGTGTTGATGGACTTTAACAGAATGAAATTACCTTTAAGGAGATATCAAACAGAAAATGTAATATATGAAATTTTTTACAGACTGAACATAGAAAATCAGGACTAAACATACACAATCAGTTAATCAGGACTGAACATACACAATCAGCTAATGACATGGAGAAAAATGAAAGTACAAGTTGACAGACAACACGGATCATCACATTGTTATGTCTTATGAAAAGATTCTCATCTCAGGTCATGATGATTATTTAAAATAACATTACCTTGGATTTACCTCATTTGATTTCCTACTCAAATTCAATTATTTCCTGAGACTTAGTATACTCCAGGCATTACTCTAGGTAGGCCTTTTCATAGTTGTTATTTTTGCTGTCCATTAGCAATAATCTTATAAGGATGGCATTAGTCCCACTTTAGAGATACAGGTAATGAAGCTCATAGGTTAACTGATGTACATAGCTTTGAAACGTAGAAAGTGGCAGAGCCAGAATTTGAACACAGGTCCCTGCTTCCAATTACCCTCAAGTAGTCTGACACTTTACTTTGAAAATCTTTCACAGATGCTATTCCTACAAGAATATCTGAGGTTGTTAGCCATAAAGGTCATGTCTCAACAGTTCTCAAGTTCAAACAGGTAATATTCAAACAAAGACTTAAAATTAGGTTTCTTGGGTTAAGCTAACTATTCACACTTCCCACGTGGCGGATGGCACAAAACAAGGCCCATATTTTTAGACAGCAAGAAAAACAGACTGCAAAACCGGAGAATCTCAGCATTGAAGAAACACTAAGGGTCTTTACCCTGCAAGGCTTGAATCCCCTCCATCATGCCTGCAAAGAGGTTTGTTCAGCCTATGCTTGACTGATCGCACTAGTGAGGGACTCACTACTTCCAGAAATAAATCATTCCATGCTTGGAAAGCTCCAATTGCTAAAAATTTCTTCTCAGATTGGGCTGAAATCTGTCTCCCAGTAGCTTCTATATGTTGATTCTAGATCTACCTCTTAAAAGTGTATAGAAAATAGCTTATTTTTCTTCCACATGACAACTTTCATATATTTGAAAACAGTTTCGAAAACTCCTGAATTCTTTCTCTCTCATGCTGAACATCCCCAGGATAAATTATTGAGTGGATAGGTAAATTGCATAAAGAAAAATGTCAAAGAAAGAATAATGTGGAGGGGATTGAAAAAATAGAACAGAAATTCAACTGAGCATAGCTTCAAAACAAAGATTAAGCAGACTGTCAATAAAAAGTAGAAGCCAATTAAGGGACATAAAGGTAAAATGGGCGTAGTCAAGAGTAGCACTGCATGCTCGAATGCTTTTTTTTTTAACTCCTAAAATATTTTTACCTCTTGAGACTGCTTTAGGTAATCACTGATTTGTATAGCACATTGTCCAATTTCTTTAGTTTTCATTTTCTGATGTATGTAAGGTTCTACACCTTGTAAAGAGGAAGAGAAAGATTAGAAAATACATGAAAATGTGTTACATTCAAATCACAGTTCCCAAATAGAAAAATCTGAACACAGTACATTCATTTAAACTTGGATATAGTTTTCCCTTTCTGTTTTTAGCAAGTTTTACCAAGTTTCCTTTATCCTTTTTTTCTCAAGAGGTTGAAAACTATATATTCTATTTCTATTCTTCTATAGTTACTTTCACATTTATAACAACTTACACTTCTCTATTGAAGTCAAGAATTAAATGATCCATAAACTGTCCTCTTATAGGACAACACCTTTAGCAATTTTTATATCTACCTTATCCTGCACACTATTGCACATGCTTTATTTAAAATATGTGAAATTTAATTCCATTCCTAGTCTAGTTAGGAATCCTTCCTTAGCAACTGCATCAAACATCATAGTAGGCTACTTAAAAAGAACAATAAAAGAATAATAGAGGCCAGGCGCCGTGGCTCACACCTGTAATCCCAACACTTTGGGAGGCCAAGGCGGGTGGATCACCCGAGGTCAGGAGTTCAAAACCAGCCTGACCAACATGGAGAAACCCTGTCTCTACTAAAAATATAAAAATGAACCAGGTGTGGTGGTGCATACCTGTAATTCCAGCTACTCAGGAGGCTGAGGCAAGAGAATCGCTTGAACCCCGAAGGCGGAGGTTGCAGTGAGCCAAGACTGTGCCACTGCACTCCAGCCTGAGCGACAGAGTGAGACTGTCTCAAAAAAAAAAAAAAAAAAAGAAAGGAATGCCATCAAATAAATAGATTTAATTTTTAGCCTTTTATTAAAAAGGATGATGAGGTTCATTACTGTTATTCTTTTTGTAGCTGGTACCTACAGAGTTACTACATATAGTAGATGCATAATAAATATTTAGTGAATACTTGGTTGGATTAATTCTGAGAATAATACTTATTAGGAGTCCTGACTAAAAATAGGAGATAACGGTTGCATTTTTCCTAATGATTTTGTGCTGGAAAAAAAAAAGTATACAAGAAGTATAAAAAATACTATTTGAAGGCCAAGTGGAGTAGCCGGCTCATGCCTGTAATCCTAGCACTTTAGGAGGCCAAGACAGGAGCATCACTTGAGGACAGGAGTTTGAGACCAGCCTGGGTAACATAGTGAGACCCCCATCTCTACAAAAATAAACAAAATTAGCCAAGCATGGTGGCACATGCTATAGTCCCAGCTACTCGGGAGGCTGAGGTGGAAGGATCGCTTGAGCCCAGGAGGTCAAGGCTGCAGTGAGCTGTGATCACGTAACTATACTCCAGCTTGGGTGATGGAGCCAGACCCTGTCTTTAAAATAAAAACAGAGAGAGAGAATGCTACCTGACAGGGCATCTGCCTATTCACAGACTTTTATTTTTTTAATTCTTTTTCAATTAATTATTAACTCAGACACGTTTCAAAAAAACAAGCTTCTCAACTCTGGATGTGGTTCAAGAAAGACAGTGGGCCTCATTACTCACTCAGATTAGCCGGGCACTCGGATCAACCTATTTCCCTAGCTTTACCTCTCCCTCTGATCATCTGACTTAATGAGATTCTTTCCCAGAAACCTCCTGCCACTTGTATCTCTCGATGTTTGAAATTCGTTGGAAAGAACTTAAATGATTTAAGAATGATATATAACATCCTAAACATAAATTATACTATTTATAAAAAATATAATACCTAATATATATAATATAAATATATGACACTTATAAATAAAATCAATCTATTTATAATTGGTCCTGGAGTCATGTCTTTAGGTGTGGGATTTAATTTATCCAAATTTATGGTCTCTAGTAAATGGTATGATTAAAGTCAAGGTAAATTAAGCTCTCACGCTATATCTATAAATTGAGGGGGTGCTGACTAATTTAATCTCTAAATGTCTCTTTCAGCTTAGAGACCACTTGATTCTCAGTGATTTAACAGACAACTGAGTATTTTTAAACATAAAATCAGGGTTTCTCCACCTTAGCAATGACATTTTGGGCTGGATAATTGTCATGAGGACCTATCTATCCCGTTCATTGTAAGATGTTTAACAGCATCCCTGGCCTCTACTCACTAGGTGGCAAGAGCATTCCCCCCACTTTAGTTATGACAACAAAAATATCTCCAGATATTCCCAAGTGTCCCACGGGGAAAGTGAAGGGAACGTGTAAAATCACCCCTTGGTTGAGAACCATTTACCATATGAACAAGCAGATTTTTAGAAAAGTCTGACAGCCTAAATTTCAATACAATGTCTACCTGTACCTTAAACTTAGTATTTTAAATATTTTTAAA
The DNA here is from genome assembly GCF_000001405.40 of Homo sapiens. Lineage (NCBI taxonomy): Eukaryota > Metazoa > Chordata > Mammalia > Primates > Hominidae > Homo > Homo sapiens. The sequence goes on from NC_000009.12 coordinate 74,754,677, forward strand.
ACCTTATGACTACTTAATCACTTAGTCCTTTCTGTTTAAAAATTGGTAAATGTCTCTTATCTAATGCAAGAAGTCCAAAGTTCCTATCATTGCTATCTTTTCTGTTCACAATCTGCCCTCATCTTACCTGTCCAGACCTATTTCACCGTCCAGGCCTAGCCCATAGTATTCATTCCTAGCTGGTTGATCCATCTTCTCTCCTCTACAAACACCATTATTAAGCTTATTAAGAGATAATTGCCCACAGAATAAACACTAAATGTAGACAGTAGTAAATAACCAAATATAACTTAACCCACTGAATTCTGTGTAGCAGTCCATATCAGTGTCATGTGTACTTTAAGAATTTATAAAATTAGACAATCCCCTATCCATAAATCAGACTAAATGAATGCTGTCTCGATAAAACACTCTGAGTCAGGTTCAACAGCTTTGAATACAAGAGACTATCTAAATCTTAATTTTTCTTTTCTGGAGTCCTTTAGACAAACAAAATTTTGTCCCTTTCATAAAAATGAAAAACAGAAAAATGCTATTTTCCTTACAGAGTGTAGCCATCTTCTCTTTCCCTCATCTCCATGTGAAAGAACAGGAGGAACCGCCAATGGTCTAAAGACCGTACCCTGAGAAAACCCCACCAGGGTTTTTGGGATCCAAAATTGTAGATGTTACATACCTGTGTGACTAAATTTGGACACTGTGAACCAGTTCTTGCTGTACTCCTCTTCAGAGATGCTGTTTTCTCCTGGCTCTGGATTCAACTGGTCACTCTGAGAGCAGGCATTGACTGTTATGATCTGGAGAGAAAGACACTTGTTGGAACACAGTGACATTAATTCAAAAGCACTGTGAGTCACACTAACAGAAGCACCATGGTGAAGGGCAGTGTCTGTTAACACTGGCTGCATATGACAATTGCCTGGGAAGTGCTGACAAATCCCATCACTTAGGCTGGCAGGACACAAGCATCCATGTGATTTCTCTTTGCAGTCATGACTGAGAACCCCTGCTCCACACCTTGGTTCTTAATCTTGAGTGCACATCAGAATCACCAAGGGCTTGGGGGCTGGTTTAAGCCACAGGTCACTGGGTCCCACCTCTGGAATCTCTAATGCAGCAGGTCTGGAAGGAGGAAGAATTTGAATCTCTATTAAGTTCCCAGGTGATGCTCATGCTGCCAATAGGAGATCATATTTTGAGAAAATATTAGAATCCAAAGAATTTGTGTTGGAATTCTAGCCCTGTCATTTAGAAGCCATGTGAATTTGGGAAAATCACTTAATGTCTCTGAGCCCCTTTTCCTTCATTACTAAAATAATAGATAGCCAATAATATGACCGTCCTATATACTTCCGAGCTGCAGAACAAATGCGGTAAATTGGTAACTCAAAAGCAATAAATAAATAAATCCAAGCTTGAATTATTGAACTCAGTTGCAATTTCTAGTTGAACTCTGGACATTTGAACTATTCCAAAAATAAATCTACTTAAGTGCATATTTCTTGGGATTCCAGAAACTCATGGCATTTTTCCTGAAAGAACAGCCTTTCTTATCTCTCCCCTAAAAGGTTCTTTTATGTAATTGTCTCAATACTAATCTCTTTGCTTCTGCTTCTCATTCTAAAAAAGGCTGAGGTATTTTTTTAATGCATCCAGATTATTATTTGGAAAAATAAGTGTAAACATTTTTTAAATAAGGCAGAGCATTAAGATCATGAAAGGTGAATTCTTACAGAATTGCTACTTGAGATCTAAAACTTCCAAACGAAATATAAAAAGACTCACTGAATGAAAATAAAAACAACACATCAAAATTTGTAGGAAAGAGCTAAAACAGTGGTTAGAGGGAATTTGATAGCACTAAATGACTACATTAGAAAAGAAGGCCAGGCACAGTGGTTCACACTTGTAATTCCAGCACTTTTGGGAGGCTGAGGCAGGTGAATAGCTTGAGCTTAGGAGTTTAAGAACCAGCCTGGACAACATGAAGAAACCCCGTCTCTACAAAAAAAAAAAAAAAAAAAAATAGCCAGGTGTGGTGGCACACCTGTGGTCCCAGGTACTCAAGGGGCTGAGGTGGGAGGATCACTTGAGACTGGGAGACAGAGGTTGCAATAAGCTGAGATGACAACTGCACTCCAGCCTGGGTGACAGAGTGAAACCCTGTCTCAAAAGAAAAAAAAAAATTAAGAAGGAAGTCTGAAATCAATGACCAAAGTTTCTACCTTAACAAACTAGAGGCTGGGCGTGGTGGTTCACATCTGTAATCTCAGTACTTTGGGAGGTGAGGTGGGCAGATCACCTGAGGTCAGGAGTTCAAGACTAGCCTGGCCAAAACTGAAAATACAAAAGTTAGCTGGGTGTGGTAGTGTATGCCTATAGTCCCAGCTACTTGGGAGGCTGAGGCAGGAGAATCACTTGAACCCGGGAGGCGGAGGATGCAGTGAGCCAACATGGTGCCACTGCACTCCAGCCTACACGACAGAGAAAGACTTTGTCTAAAAAAACAAACTAACTAACAAAAAAAAACCTAGAAAGAGAAGACCAGAGTTAAACCCAAAGTAAATAGAACAAAAGAAATAATAAAGATAAGAGCAAGCATGAATGAAACAGAAATCAGAGGCTGGGCATGGTGGCTTATGCCTGTAATCCCAGCACTTTGGGAGGCTGAGGCAGGCGGATCAATTGAGGCCAGCCTGGCCAACATGTCGAAAACCTGTCTCTACTAAAAATACAAAAATCAGCTGGGCGGGGTGGCACAGGCCTGTAATCCTAGCTACTCAGGAGCCTGAGGCAGGAGAATCACTTGACCCTGGGAAGTAGAGTTTGCAGTGAGCTGAGATTGCACCACTGCACTCCAGCCTGGGTGACAGAGAGAGACCCTGTCAAAAAAAAAAAAAAAAAAAGGAGGGGAGGGTAGGGGAAAACCCAAATTTAAAATGTTAGGAACAGGCCAGCCGGGCATGGTGGCTCATCCCTGTAATCCCAGCACTCGGGAAACCGAGGCGGGTGGGTCACCTGAGGTCAGGAGTTCGAGATCAGCCTGGTCAACATGGTCAAACTCCATCTCTATTAAAAATACAAAAATTAGCCAGGCATGGTGGTGGGCACCTGTAATCCCAGCTACTTGGGAGGCTGAGGTGGGAGAATCGCTTGAACCTGGGAGGCAGAGGTTGCAGTGATCCAAGATCAAGCCACTGCACTCCAGCCTAGGCGACAGAGCAATACTCCATCTCAAAAATAAATAAATGAATAAATAAAATAAAATGTTAGGAACAAAAGAAGTGATGTCACTAACCACAGATCTCAAAGACAATAAATGAATAATAAGAGAAGATTATGAACATTATGCCAATAAATTAAACAACTTAAACAAAATGAATAAATTCTTTGACATACACAAAAAAAGCTCATTCAAGAAGAATTACATAACCTAAATAGCTCTATATCTATTACAGAAATTGAATTTGTAGTTAAAAGCTTTCCCACAAAGATGGTTTCATTGGTTAATTCTACGAATACTTCAGACTGAAATAATATCAATTCCTTACAAATTCACCCAGAAAACTGAAGAGGAGGGAATACTTCCCAACTCACTAAATAAACCAAGCATCATCCTGATACCAAAACCAGACAAAGATATTACAATAAAAGTGAACTAAAGACAACTATCCCTCAATAATTCTGATGCAAAAAAACTAATGAAAAGTTTAGCAAAATGAATACAATATGAAAAAAAATACATCATGACCAAGTGGGGTTTATCCCAGTAAGGTAATTTAATATTCTAAGAATTCTAACATTATAAAATTAATGAATGAAATTCACTGTAAAATAACAAAATCAAAAGGAGAAATATCTGATCACCTAAGTAGATACAGAAAAAGCATTTGACAAAGGCTAATATCCATGAATGATAAAAATTCTCTGAAAACTAAAAACAGAAGGAAAGTTTTCACCCTGATAAGGGGCATCTATAGAAAAACCTATAGCTAACCTCATTCTTAATGGTAAAGGATTAAATGCTTTTCCCCTAAGAACAGACACAGGAAAAGATATCTGCTTTTATCACTTCTAGTCAATATTATACCAGAGGTTCTGTTCAGTGTAATCAGGCAAGAAAAGGAAATACAACATGTCCAGATTGAAAGGAAGAAGTAAAACTATCTATGTTTGTAGATGACATGGTCATGTATACAGAAAATTCTTAAAAAGCTACACAATATCTACTCAAGTAAAGAAGTTTAGCAAGGTTGCAAAATATAGGACCAGTATTAAAAAATTTCTATATACCATAAACAAATAATCAGATATTAAAATTGTTAACTAATGGCAGTTATAATAAAATTCAAAAATATGAAATAGGGATGCATTTAACAAAATATGTGCAAGATCAGTAGTCTAAAAGCTATAAAACATTACTTCAAGAAGTCAAAGAAGACCTAAATGGAGAAATACATCATGTTCGTGAATCAGAAGACTCATTATTGTTAAGATGTCAACTTTCCCCACATCGACATATAGATCTATGGCAATTCTATTCATAATCCCAGTCCACTTCTCTATAAAAATTGACAAGCTGATTCTAAATTTATATGGAAATGCAAAGAACACAAAATAGCCAAACTTTTGAAAAAGAAAGAAAAATTGACCTTTAATATATGACTCAAAATTTATTATAAAGTTGTATTCAAGATAACATAATATTGGCATAGAGATAGAAATTGATCCATACATATTGTGATCTATATGGTCAATTAATTTTTGACAAAGATGTCAAGGCAACAACAGAAAAAAGATATCTTCTATTATTGTTAATATGGTCAAGAACAGAATTGAAAAAGATATCTTTTTACCAAAAAATGGTAGAAAATTTTGATATTCATATTCAAGAAAGAAAGAGAAGGGCAGAAGAAACTCAATTCTTAGCTATCTTCATATACAAAAATTACCTCAAAATGGATTATAGACCTACAAGCAAGAGCTAAAACTATAAAATTCCTAGAAGAAAACATGAGAATAAGTCTTAGTGATCTTGGCAAAAATATTTTAAATGTGATACAAAAAATCATAGACTATAAAAGAAAAGAATCAAACACTTCATCAAAAAAATTATGGTTTCAAAGGACGTTTACGAAAATTAAAAGGCAAACCACTGAGACAAAATATTTGCAAAAACATCTACTCAAAAAAGGATTTATATCTAACATATATTTTAAAATGCTCACAACTTTATAATAAGACAACAACCCAATTTTTTAAATGGGCAAAGATCTGAACAAACATGTCACCAAAAATACCGTCATGCCCCGCATAACAATATTTCAGTCAATGACAGACCACTAATACAACGGTGGTCCCATAAGATTATAATGCAACTGAAAAATGCCTGTCACCTAGTGACATTACAGCTGTGATAACATCGTAGCACATTTTGTTTTTTATAAATTTAGTGTAGCCTAAATGTACAGTGTTTATAAAGTCTACAGTAGTATACAGTAATGCTCTAGGCCTTTGCATTCACTCACCGCTCACTCACTGACACTCCTAGAACAACTTCCAAGTCCTGCAAGTAAGTGCCCTATATAGGTGTACCAATTTTTATCTTTTATACTGTACTTTTACTGACCCTTTCTATGTTTAGATATGCTTAGATACACAAATACCATTGTGTTACAATTACCTAAAGTGTTCAGTACAGTAACATGCTGTACAAGTTTATAGCCTAGGAGCAACAGGCTACATCATACAGACTAGGCATGTGGTAGGTTAGACCATCTAGGTTTGTGTAAGTACATTCCATGATGTTTGTGCCATGATGAAATCACCTAATGACACATTTCTCAGAAAGTATCCCCATCATTAAGCAATGCATGACTGTACAGAGGGCAAATAAACATATGAAAAGATGCCTAGTAGCATTAGTCACTATGGAAATACAAATGAAATTGTACCATGAGATACCACTACACATTCATTAATATGGCTAAAATTTAAAAGATTGAGTATACTGAATTGGCGAGTGCTATGATTTGAACGTTTGTTCCTTCCAAAACTCATGTTAAAACTTAATTCCCAGTGTAATCATATTAAGAGATGGAGACTTTAAGAGGTGACTGGATCATGAGGGCTCTGGCTCATGAATACATTAATTCGTTCATGAGTTAATGGACTAATGGATTATGGAGGGGATAGGTTATTTATCATGAGAGTGGATCTGTTATGAAAGCCTGTTTGGCTCTCTCAGGAGCCTCCCTTGCCATGTGATGCCCTGTGCCACCTAGGATTTTGCAGAGAGTCTCTACCAGCAAGAAGTCCCTACCAGATATGTTCCCTCCACCCTGGACTTCCCAGCCTCCAGAACTGTAAGAAATAAACTTCTTTTCTTTATTAATCACCCAGTCTTAGATTTCTATTATAGCAACACAAAACAAACTAAGACAGTGAGGATGTAGAACAGCTGAAATGCTCATAAATTACTGGTGGGCATGTAAAATGTTACGATTACCTTGGAAAGCAGTTTGGAAGTTTCTTGAAAAATTAAAAAACACTTACCATATGACTCTGACATTCCGTTCCTAAGTATTTACCAAGGAGAAATTAAAACATATGTCCACAAAAAGACTTGTACACAAATGTTCATAACAGCTTTTTTGGAATAGCCAAAAATTGAAAACAACCCAAATGTCCTTCAACATGTTAGCAGATAAGTAAATTGCAGTATATCCACTCTAATGACTCTTAAATTTATATCTGGGTGTGGTTGTGTATGCCTGTAGTCCCAGCTACTTGGGAGGCTGAGGTGGTAGGACTACATGTGCCCAGAGGTTCAAGGTCAGCCTGGACAACATAGCAAGACCCCACCCATCTCTTAAAAAGAGGAACAAATTATATCTTCAATCCTTTCAACACAATGTTATTTTGTGTAGATGGCACTTTACAGTAAAGATAAATCAAACTAAGATAGGCCACTACCTTGACTGCTCAAAACCTAAAAGACAGAATAACAGTACACTTACTGGCACCTGGAGTCCTTGAGTATTCTTCTTTTTCTTTGACAGTCTCCTGTCTTTGGTTAGCATTTTCGCTTTGACCCATGCTCCCTGCCCTATTTCTGAAGAGCCTGAAAGATCTGCAAGGAAATGGTCTACATGAGAAAGTTGACAACAGTAAGTGGGGAACATTTTGTTTTACAGAAAAAGCTGAGAGAATGGGGAGAATGACAATGTGGTTAAGAGTCACAGATTTAAAAAACAAAACAAAACAAAACCAGTAGCAATGCAAAGGACTTAATGCTGATATTTTAAATGTTTATTCCTTACTTTTAATCTTACAGATCTTCATCAATTTCTCCTCCTTATGGAATCTAAAACTATGACTCCTAGCGAAGGGCCTGTATCTGCGGAGAGGATTGATCCAAAAGGATGTGTTTGGCTGAAGCCATGGTCCCACCTCTGAGCATTCACTACTCTGGGCCGATCTTGTTGAGTTATCAGATAGGGAGCTGTCCTGGGCCTGCTTCTGGTGCTGTTCACTCCGAGAGGAATCACTGTCACAAGTGGAGGGCAAGCAGGTTTGCCACTTTTTCTTGATGCTAAACACACCAGTTTCATCACCTTCTGAAAATGCCCAGTTTACATATCCACCTCCAGTTTGCATGATCTTGGCTTGGGAAAGAGGGGAGCTCATTGTCATGGGTTCAGGTGTGCAACTCAAAGTGGGTAGCACTTGCTCTGCCTTGTCTTGTCCATCCAGTAAGTGAGCAATAGGCTCGTGCTTTTCCTTGGGTTCATCCACTGATGCCCAGTCAGAGACAACTGGGGTCTGCCCAGTCAGATGAACAAGAACCTCAGTCTGGATGTCCTGTTCAGTTGCCAGCACATCTGGCACAGAGGGTCTGGACAGAGGCAAGACAGTTTCTGCTGAAAAAGGAACTCGCTTTAGATTAGAGGGGACCAGAAGAAACTGGCCATACTTTGAGTGTGCTTGCCTGTTAGGAGACACCCCAGAAACCACTATACTACTTTGTGTTTCTTGCCTTTCCTGGTCATTTCTTACATTTGTAGCCTCTCTTTTACTGTTTGTAATCTCAAGAAGTGCCCCCCTCTGCACTCTTGGGGGATGCCGGCCTCCAGCCAGGCTCCTCAGCAAAGAAGAGGGCATGCTATAATACTGGTATTTCTTCTCTCCAGCGATCTCCATGCTGCCTAGAACCTCTGCACAGATGACATTGCTCCAGCTGTGGGGAAGTTTTTTGCAAGTAGAATGCTTTCTCTTGGCCAGGAGAGCCTCATCCTCTTGCAAAGTGTCAACAGCAGAAAGGACTTTCAGGGTATCCACAGTCAGGGCAGAGAGATCCTGCAGGTGTCCCACCTGGCTGTCCAAAGACAGTAAGGAGTCCTTTATAAAAGACACCTTTTCATTCATTTCTTTCAGCTGGAAGTACATCTCTGTAACCCTAGTGGTGAAGGAAGGGAGAAAACCAACAAGCACATTAAGCCAGTGGGAATTTGCTCTCTTCCTACCCTACTTCCATCCTTAAATGGCTCCTGAGCCTCAGCTGCTTCCCTAGGTTAAGTCTGTCTTTTGCCTTCTTCTTCGCCCAATACATAACTCTCAACTCAGGTGATCTCATCCACTCCTATAATGCCCACTACTACCCATAGGAGAGGAAAAACTTACATATCTACATTTCCAGCCCTTATTTCTTTTTAATATTTCAGAACCACATTTCCAGTTCCAGCTAATGATTCCTTCAATTGTGTGATCAATCATCCCATTTTTACTCATTAATATATTTATTCATTTACATGACAAACACTTGAATACTTCCTAACAGCAAGCACCGTACAATTTTAATGCATGTAGGAGATCCTGAGGAAGAAATAAGAATGACAGAAACAGAATCAATAATCAAATATGTAATTAAGAAAAAGAAAAAAAACACAGATCTTTAAAATTAAAAAAAAAATCTCTAACTCTACTGTTCAAACAGGCTTCCCAAGTTTCAAACAAAATCCATTTTAGAAGACTTATATTCAGAAAAAGCCTAATGCAAATTTTTAAAGTTGTTTTGAATACTTTAACCCAAGATTATGATGTTCAGTCATTGATTCATGTAAAAGCAACACAACACATGTTCACCTTTCAAATGTAAATGTAAGTTGCAAGTAAATTGAATTAAATGTAACAATTAGTCCAAGTGCAATGGCTCAGGCCTGTAATCCCAGCACTGTGGGAGGCAGGTGGATCACTTGAAGTCAAGAGTTTGTGACCAACCTGGCCAACATGGTGAAATCCCATCTCTACTAAAAAATACAAAAATTAGCTGGGCATGGTGGCAGGCACCTGTAATCCCTGCTACTCAGGAGACTGACGCGGAGGTTGCAGTGAGCCAAGATCACGCCACTGCACTCCAGCCTGGGCGACAGAGTAAGACTCCATCTCAAAAAAAAAAAAAAAAAGTAAAAATTAATTTAATTGAGAGATGGCTACTATTTGTCTGTACATTTCTTTGTAATTATCTCTGTATGTGGATGAGGTTGGTTTTGTATCCCCCAAAAAGGATATGTTGAAGCCTTAACCCCAGAACCATAGAATGTGACCTGATTTGGAAATCAGATATTGATAGAGTAATCAAGTTAAAATGTGATCATCAGGCTGAATCCTAATCCAATATGACTGGTGTCCTTATAATGTGAAATCCTGATACACACACACAGAGGGAAGACGATATGAAGACACACAGGGACAAAATGGCCATTGACTAGAATGATGCATCTACAAGCCAAGGAACATCCACGGTTGCCAGCAAACACCAGAAGCTAGAAGAGGCAAGGAAGGATAGCAACATCGGAGAAAGCACGGCCCTGCCAACACCTTGATTTTGGACTTCTAGCTTCCAGAAGTCTGAGACAATAAAGTTCTGTTAGAAGACACATAGTTTTTGGTATTTTGCTGCAGCAGCCTGGGAAACTAATGCAGCTATCTAAACTTCATGAGTGATGGAATAAATTACAACATGTATGAGTTGATTACATAAAAAGAAACTTGTACGCAAAAATAGAATACAAAGGCTTAAAACAAAAATAAATTGGAAAACTGTGTTCTAATAAATTTGATGAGGCATTGATATCTCTTGATTAAGCAAAAACTTTCACAATTTATTGAGGAAAAAAAATTACAAAGACTCCCAAGGACATGAACAGATGAAAGGATACAATACAAAAGGTAAGGAAACCCAGTAAAATAGTCAACCTCATTATGTAATCAGAGATGAAAATTAAGATAATAATGAGTTCATCTATATCATAACAGCATTTGTTTTAACCTAGCAAATTAAAAAAAGAAAAAGTGAAACAACTCAGTGGTAGCAAGGATGGAACATAGGGACACAATATTATAAAGGAAACATAATCTTACTATGCTAAAGCAGACAGATATGTTTGTTATATTGTGAGATAGAATATTATGCATCCATTAAAAATCATACATTGTTGATAATTATTTTCTTGGGCTATTTCTAGTGGTAGAGGCAGGGCTGGGGATGTCTATTATGTTCGGCATTATGTTTTCAAATTTGGTATAAAATTTTAAGTTCAGAAACAATAGTTAAAATATATTTACAAAGTATATGTAATTAATTGGAGAAAATATTTTTGATGTGTTAAGAGCAAAAAAAAAAAAAACAGGATACAAAATAGTATCATTTTAACTGGAAATATGTGGAAGACTAAATTTTAAAAAGCCAAAATTTTCACAGTGAACTCTGGCATATCACATTGTTTTTTCTTTCTTTTCTTCCCTTGTTTCATTCTATTATTTGGGGGAGAGGAGGTATAGTTTCAGTTTCTCAATAATGAAAATCTTCAATAAACAAGATTAAAATAAAGAAACAGCATGGGAAGGAACCTAACCAATTGTGTCATGGCTGACGTGACCATTGCAGAAATGAAAAATGATTCCCGCTCTTATCTGGGGGCAGGGAGAAGTCGTGATTATGCCATGAAGAGTTTAACACTCAGCTGTAACAAGCACTTCCCAAAATAGTGTTAGACTTCCCATCAGGTTTAGAACACATCTCAAGTCACAGGGATTGAAAGAAAGATCTTCCACTTCCTCTTTCTGGGACCTTTGTAAATAGAAATTAAAGATAAAAAGAGTGGCACCTTCCATTTTTATTATATTCTATGTGAGTAGAACCCTCTCTTTCTTGCTTCTGCTATAGAATTCAACTTCTATAACTCAATAGAGGCTTAACAAATGCTTCCTGACCTTCTGGAATCTGCAAAATTAGAACTGGCAAGGATGATGTGGGAAACAGCACAAAATATATGTATACTCTCTTCCAAATATGCTTAATTAGAGCCTCTCCAACCAGTGAACTGTTTCATCTAATTCAAAAACAGTACAGTCTGAACACCAGTAATGGAGACTCATTAAGTTCCATTAGCAGCAGTCACATCGAATGGATACAATAGAAACCAGCAACTATTCACAGCCACAGGTAACATGCTACAATAGAAACCTGTTAGACAAACAACGTGGTCACCCTCAAATCAGGTCCCTTGCTTTTATAGACTTATTTTCTAAAACTTGATGTCCCGTGAAACATATTTTAATTATATTGCTGGACCACCAACGACATTAATTTAGCCTTTCAGTCATTCTGACACATAAAATTTATAATTTTAGTTTCCTCCATGCAAGGTACGAGGATGGAAGAAAGATGAGAATGGTAATTGTTTTATTATGGGCCTTTAGGCAAGATGCCTTAAAATGAGATAACGGCAAGTATAATTACAATCATCATGAAAATCACCATATTCACTGAGTGCTCACTATGTGCCAAGCATTTTATAAAGGTTCTACCTGTACTGTTTTATTTAATCCATGTAACAACCCTATAAGGTAGGAATTACTATTATCCTTTCATAGAAAAGAGCCTGGGTCAGCCGGGCACAGTGGCTCATGCCTGTAATCCCAGCACTTTGGGAGACTGAGGCAGGTGGATCATCTAAGGTCAGGAGTTCAAGACCAGCAGGGCCGATATGGTGAAACCCCATCTCTACTAAAAAAAAAAAAATAGCCGGGCGTGGTGGCAGGCACCTGTAATCCCAGCTACTGGGGAGGGTGAGGTAGGAGAATCACCTGAACCCAGGGAGCAGAGGTTGCAGTGAGCTGAGATCATGCCATTGCACTCCAGCCTAGGCAACAAGAGCGAAACTCCGTCTCAAAAAAAAAGAGAGGTTAGGTCACATAGCCAGAGTCACATGGCCCATGAAAATGTCAGGCATCAAACCTAGACAGGCCGACTCCATATTCAGTGGCATTGACCACTGCCTTCTGGTACCTCTCAGCAACTCACCTAGGATCCAGGCAATTTCTTTTGGGGTTTCCTAGAGTACCATGAAGTACTAAATGAACAACAATTCTCATGCTGGGAGGTGTCACAGATGTTCCTCAGTAAGGTTTCATGGTCAAATAGTGGTGGGACCTGCTTAAGCTATAACTGTACTGATGAATTACAATGCACATTATGTTAAATATTTTTTAAAACCACAGCATTTCCGAAATATAATGTACCAAACATGCTTAATGTGGAAAAACACCTAAAAGCATCTTACTCCACAGAACAGAGAAAGGGAAAAGCTGACTTACACTACTAGAATCAAAAAAGAAGTTAGAGTCCCAAATAGGGAAAGTAAGATTTAAAACAGCCTTGCTATGTTCTCTTTTTCCACTGTCGCAACTCACTTGATTCGAGAAGGATATAGCAATCTCTTCTTCAGAAGTAGGCTAATGTGCAAAATCCTCTGAATCTTTTTCCCTTCCCTCTTCAAACTATTGCTCAGTTACCTCAGGAAATATTCTCCCCTCTTTCCCATACCTCATTTATGAGGTCCATATAAATGACCTCAACAAAGATGACAGTATAAGAACAGTGCCACTGAGATAGCTCCATCAAGAGGGAAAATAGATTCTATTTTGAAGTTTAATTAGAGCTGCAGGCTCAGATGCGGTAACTCACGCCTGTAATCCCAGCACTTTGGGAGACTGAGGCAGAAGGGGTGCTTGAGGCCAGGAGTTCAAGACCAGCCTGGGCAACATTAGCAAGACCCTGCCTCTATAAAAATGAAAAAATTAAAAGTTAGCTCAGCATGGTAGCATGTGCCTGTAGTCCTAGCTACTTGTAAGGCTGAGGCAAGAGGATCGCTTGAGCCCAGGATTTCAAGGGTGCATGAGCTCTGATCACTCTATCTAAATAATAATAATAATAAATTAGAGCTTCATAACCAAATTCTAAATCTCTTGGAAGTACCCATAATTTTCAGACGGTACATATCCATTTAATTTCTAACCCTCTACTCAAATCCCAAGAAAAGAATCCAAGAGAAAGACAATGCTTTATGATGGTTAATGTTTTTAGGATTTTATCATTGAATTGTTTATGTCTGCTTCTCAATTTTCACTCTATATTCCCTTAGTTTATGATACCGCCTTCTTCTAGTTCTCTTTATACTCCTCTGAATGGTTATTTATGGTCTTCTCCATGAGTTTCTCTTTGCCCATTACAGGTGTTGGCACCTCCCAGGTTTTAACTCTCAGCTCACTAGGTTCCCTCACTCTTGCTTCCTGGGCATAATCGCTTCCTCTGTCATACTTTTAGTTTCCTACAATAGGCAGATGACTCCTACAGTTGACTGTCCCAATAAGCAGATGAGCTCCTCCACCAGTTCAAATGCTCCCCGGGGGCTTCAGATGCACACATCCAAAGCCTCCTGAACATCTCTGGCTAAATATACTACAAGAATCTCAAGCTCAAGAAATCTACAACTTATTGCTTTCTCTCACACCTCCTGTGCCTTCTTTATTTCGGTGGTGCCACCTTTCACCTGATTACCCCACTCTTTTCTGAAAGTCGTGCTGGACTCTATGCTCTCCCTTAGCTCCACATCTGATCCTTAACATGCCTAATGAATTGTTCTTTCTAAATGTCATATTCACCCCTTCTTTTCAATCCCACCACCACCAACCTTGGCGAGGCTGTGGACACATCAGTGCACTGCACTATTCTCTCAAATGGTCTTCGTGGTTCTTATTCTGACCCCCTCAAATCCACACCATTACTGAAGGTAAATCTGTCCATATCTTTGTCCACCTAAAATCCTTCCTTAGTTTATAGTTTAGAGTAAACGGCTCTCCATAAACTTATCCCAGTTCATAATCTTGGGGAGGCAGGGAGGCTATCCTGTCCACATCTCATCTGTTCATCCCCCTTTCCTTAAGGGTTGGAGGGGAATTTGTATTTAAAAAGAAATTATACTAACAATTTTGAGGGGCCCATTTTTACTTAATAATAGATAACTTTCATTGTACTCTTACTATGAGTCAGCACTCTGCCACACAGTTCATCTATATTATCTCATTTAATCCTCACAGCATCTCTAAGAAGCAGGGCTATTTCTGGGGTTTGTTTGTTTGCTTGAGACACAGTCTCATTCTCTTGCCCAGGCTGGAGTGCAGTGGTGCGATTTCAGCTCACTGCAACCTCTGCCTCCTGGGTTCATGTGATTCTTCTGCCTCAGCATCCTGAGCAGCTGGGACTACAGGCATGTGCCACCACTCCCAGCTAATTTTCTTTGTATTTTTAGTAGAGACGGGGTTTTGCCATGTTAGCCAGGCTAGTGTTGAGCTCCTGATGTCAAGTGATCCACTTGCCTCAGCCTCTAAAAGTGTTGGGATTACAGGAGTGAGCCACCTTGCCCGGCCTCCATGTCTATTTTACAAATAAGAAAACAGCCTGGCATGGTGGCTCATGCCTGTAATACCAGCACTGTGGGAGGTCGAGGGGGGCGGATCATGAGGTCAGGAGATCCAGAGCATCCTGGCTAACACGGTGAAACCCCGTCTCTACTAAAAATACAAAAAATTAGCCGGGTGTGGTGGCACACACCTGTAATCCCAGCTACTCGGGAGGCTGAGGCAGGAGAATTGCTTGAACCCGGGAGGCAGAAGTTGCAGTGAGCCAAGATCACGCCGTGGCACTCCAGCCTGGTGACAGAGTGAGACTCCGTTGAAATAAAGGAAGGAAGGAAGGAAGGAAGGACGGAAGGAAGGGAGGGAGGGAGGAAGGAAACCAAGGAGGTTCAGTAAATTTGCCTGTGTCCATATAACTAGTAAGTGCCTAAAGCAGGACTTCATCCCAGCTCCGTAAGCTCCTAATACGAGTCTATGCTTCATACAAAACGGAGAACCAAGCTTGCCCGTCGGACTCAATGAGCATAGCTATAAAGGGGCGCAGAACGTGTAGAAGAAGGAAAGAGAAATTCATATAACTATGGACTAAAGATATTATGTAGGTGAAATCAATTTTTGTGGACTCAATCTTTGATATTCAATTTTTTCTCCATATTAAATTTAATCTGAAATTCAATCAGGCACAGAAACACAGATTTATATAAATATGGTACCAATAGAGAAGTCCAGATTTATATAAACATGACTTATGCCCATAGTGAACCATTTAGAAAGTTCTTCATGTGATTCAGTTTAAGTAAAGCCATATTTAAGGATTCACATCTCTCTACCTGATATTTGACATCAGAAAAAAACATGCATAATTAGATATAATACATCATAGTCAGTTCCATATATGTTCAAAAATAGAGGAACACATTTAACTTCTGTCAATTTGCTTCCATTTACAAGAACAATTCTGTTTTAAAAAAATGCATTTCATCACATATAGCCTTCCATATTTTCACACGATGCCATGCACCCACAATTAGTAATAAATCCAACAGTAACTCAGATCACATTATAGCTTCCTAATATGTTCAGTCTCTCCAGTGTGTCTCCTCCTCTTTCCTCAAACTTCTGAATGTCCCCCATACCGCCTGCCTCCCTCAAAATCCCACACATAGGCACACCCAGCCGACGACTCTGCCTCGAGACCTGGGTCCCCACCAACCTTGTCTGCCTTCCCGTCTACTCTGGCCATATCCTGTCCCGTTCCCCTGCTTCGGGCAAAAAGCCAGACCCTCCATTTTCCCAGCTTCTTAGGGACTTCTCTTCAGCAAATGGCCTCCTCCCTCCACTCCTGAGTTTCTCCCTTGCTGGTGGATCATTTTCAGGACCATGCTGTTTTATTTATTGCCACATTACGCAAAATCCAACAAAAAAACCTTACCGTGTCCCCATACCAAGCTTCCCTGCACCGTAATACTTCTCCCAAAAGCCACCTGTAATTGCAGTCTCTGCTTCTCCTATTCTGTCTTCACCCACTTCAGTGAAGCAGCCGCCAACTCCACTGCACAACAACCGCCGGTCAGACGCCCTGAGAACCCCACTCCCCATCCAACCAGCACCCTCCATCTACCTCCTCCTCCCCTCTGGCTGCTGCCAGACACACCATGTGGCCTCAGGCGGCTGCGCTTGCTGTTCCTTCCGCCAGGGGCGCTATTCCACCAGACGCCCCTGCCTCGCCCACTGCCTCACTTCTTTCAGGCCTCCACTCAATGCCCTCAGAGCGACCTTCTAGAACCAGACCATCTAAACAGTCCACTCAACCCCCAGCTCCGCTAGATTTCACGCCACCATCATTTCCTGTTCTCTCCAGCTACTTTATTTTTCTTCATAGCTCTTTTACTGCCTGATAATAAATTACAAATCTATTTTTGTGGTTCCTTACTTAGGTTTTGTTCTCCATCCACTTCATTTCTCTCACCACCTACACACATGCGCACACACACACACGCGCGCGCGCATGAATGTAAGTCCCATGAGGACAAGGATTCTTATGTCTTATTAACCACTTATTCCTAGTAACTAAAAGAGTGCCTGGAATATAGTAGATGCTTAATAAATATACTTTGATTACATGAATATTATATGTTGTTAAATGTTTCAAATTATAAAGAACTCAAACCTCTGGGATTTGAAAGATCTTTCTACACCTTTAGATATTCTAGCAGAATCACGTTGTGTTAGTGGTTTCAGAATGGAAAAGATTTATATCTTTTACCTTTCTGATGTCACTCGGATTCGTTCCTCACAACTACAATTCACATCTTCCATCTTCTCATGGAAGTATTTTTCCACGCACTGCTCCTCAAAATCATGAAGTTTTTTCAGATCCTCCTTACTGAGGTAGAGTTCTATAGAAATAAGTATGAAACACAGAAAGAATCATTATTCACCTCAGGGCATGAGTGGCTTTTCTTCCACTTGTATTGAAAATGAGAAACTATAGCCTGTTGTGATAAGTTTGTCACCTTGTCAAACTATTTCTAATATTAATGCAGAAACAGCACCAATAAACAACTGGGAGCTGGGCGCAGTGGTTCACGCTTGTAATCCCAACACTTTTGGAGGCTGAGCAGGGGTGGATCGCTTGAGCTCAGGAATTAGAAACCAGCCTGGGCAACACAGGCAGACCCTCTCTCTACAAAAAAATTTCAATATTAGCTAGGCGCCTGTGGTCCCAGCTACACAGGAAACTGAGGCAGAAGGATGGCTTGAGCCTGGGAGGTCAAGGCTGCAGGAGCTGTGATCACGCCACTACACTCCAGCATGGGCTAAAAAGCGAGACCCTGTCTCAAAAAAGGAAAAGAAAAGAAAGAACTGGAAACACCAGCCTGGGTCTCTCCTACTCATTCTTTGAAAATGACTCATATATAGAATTCTTTCTCTTCAATATTTTCACAGGTTAGAATGCTTTCACATTTAAGAAAAATTCACTGCGTTTATATGAAAATGGGGAATCTGTCTTCTTTTCTCTCTGCCAACACTTTCTAAAATTAATTAAATTTTAATTGATTCATATTAGATGTACCTATTTTTGAGATACATGTGATAATTTGATACATTCATATAATCACATCAGGGCAATTGGTGGCACAAGCCTGTAGTCACAGCTACTCAGGAGGCTGAGGCAGATCTCCTTAAATATTTACCTGTCCTTTAAGATAGAAACATTTGAATTATTCTCTTCTAGCTATTTTGAAATGTATAATCAATTAATTTTAACTGTAGTCAACCTACTGATGGCAGGGCATGGTGGCTCACACCTGTAATCCCAGCACTTTGGGAGGCCGAGGCAGGTGGATCACTTGAGATCAGGAGTTCAAGACCAGCCTGGCCAACATGGTGAAACCCCACCTCTAGTAAAAATACAAAAATTGGGGGTTTCCTCTCTCGGCTTTGGAGCCCCCCTCCCTCTATCTCTGTACCGGGGAGCTTCTTCCTTCTTATTTGCCTATTAAACTCTCAGCTCCTTAAAACAAACAAACAAAAAAAATTAGCTGGGTGTGGTGGTCCATGCCTGTAATCCCAGCTACTCAGGAGGCTGAGGTGGGAGAAACATTTGAACCCAGGAGGCAGAGGCTACAGTGAGCCGAGATCGCTCCACTGCACTCCAGCCTGGGCAACAGAGCGAGACTCCATCTCAAACAACAACAACAACAACAACAACAAAAACCCTACCAATCTATTGAACACTAGGTCTTATTTCTTCTATCAAAGTGTATATTTGTGCTCATTAATCAACCTGTCTTCCAACTCTTTTAGCTATTACAATGACAGTAAATAACCAATAGGTTAAATGCAAGATTAGAAGAAGGCAGTCTATTGAAATTAATCCAGTAAGTATAAGAAAGTTTCACCTTGTTACGCAGAGTTTGTGCATACTAAATCCTTCTACTGAAGAATGAGATGTTATTATTACCATTCAATGGCCAATCACAGCTGTATACCTTCTCTGACACAATTATAAATAACTCATTAAAAAGACACATCACTAAGTGATATTATAAGGCTAACACAATTCTTCATCAAACTCCAGCATTCACATTTGGTCTATTACCTTGGCTTTCACTGTTGCCTAATAGAATAATATACCATCTTTTAAGCAAGTTTATAATACTTAGAAAATATATAATGAAGTGATGCTGCTAAAAGGATTAAATTGGAAAGTTCTCTTTCTTGAATGGTTTTGCTTACATTAGGAGAAAAAGAACTAATACAATTCTCCAGAATTTATTTAAAATGCAATTGTTACATTATTTTCTGTTAAAATTAATGACAAAAAATCTGAATTTTAAATTGAAAACATGGCTAAAAGTATTATTCAGCTGTAAAATGTATTCACAACTCAGGTATACAGTGCTTTCTGATTTAAATGGCAGGAAAAAAATTTTCAGACACTGAAAAGATTCGGTATCTCCCACCCCCTACCCAACTCTAATGTCTTCTTTCACTAAAGAATCTCCTATGAGCAAGAAACTTTACAGGTGTCATGATGTGAACCTTATGTGGATCCCTGAGAGCAAACAATCCAGAGTAATTCCAATGACAGGCGCAGCTTGCAGTATGTGGCGCTTTCCTGTAATTGTCCGCAAGGTGGCACTGCTGCCCCTTGTGTAAATGTCTTTATCCTCAATATAAAGGATCAGAAGCAATGTTATGAAAATTCAACAATGTTCCACAAAGCTCAGGGTGAATTCATTTTAAACTTTACTTGAGTTTTATATGAATCATCCTATAAGCACAGACCAAGGTGAACCCAGGAAACGTTCTTTCATGTGGTACTAGGAAGTCTGGGCAAATCCTAGTCAATTCCAGGATTTATCAAGTGATTCACATTCTGCTATTAGGTTGCAATGGTTCTGCAGCCAAAGCCTGGGACGTCTCTCTATTAGCGGCCTGAAATTTACAGTATAATTATAAGCCTTCAAGTTAACTTCAGGTATGCTTTGGCTTTCGTACAAAGGCTGAATCTCTTGGTCAGGGAGCAGGGTATGAAAAAGAAAAAAAAATCTTCAAAGTGACTTAGGAGGAGAAAAAATACTTCACAGAGTCACCTACCACCAGCAAAAGCATATCACCCTGTCAACCCCATAATATACTGCAGGGGATGACCTGTCCCCCTAAGGACCTACCTAAACACATAAATAGCCCGCTATCCCCTTAGCTGAAACTCCTGGAGTCCAGAGTATTTTAGAATTCAGAACTGTTTTTTTCTAGTTTCAGAAAATTAATATAGTGAGTATGTCATAAATGAAGTGAAATCCCTAGTTAAGATTAAAGCAATCCCTAAAATCAAACATATTGCTATTTTCTGCAGCCAACATCAATGAATATTCATACTACAAGAAATAAAGAGAATAAATGGCTTCGCATCAATTCTCATCAGCCTTTTTTGGCCAAATGAGTCTTTCCCCAATTTGTGAAGAAAAAAGGATTTCAGTTTTCAGAGGTATTTTAGATTTAGGAATTGGGAAGAGGATTGCGCATTTATGCCCCCTGCTTCCTGTATTTCTGGGAACTATCTAGAAATGGGCCTGGTACCAATTGTGGAACTGCTTGACAGGAACTACAGAATAAAACCACCAAACGCAATGTTCTCTGACAACAATTAGTACGATAGTCATATCATGCAGTGAAGATCTGGCTAAACAAGATGAATTAGGAAAACCTCAAAATATATAAGCTTATGAAAAAACACAAGTGAGAACCCCTATTTCCGCATCCTGACTCACAGTGTTGCCCAGGCCGAAGTGGCTATTCACAGGCATGATCATGGTGCACCCCAGCTTTAAACTTCTGAGCTCAAGCAATTCTTGTGCCTCAACCTCCTGAGTAGCTAGGACTACAGGCATGCACTACCGCACCCAGTTTCTGAGTTGAGGTTCTTGAAAATAAGAAACATCCATTTCAGAATCACCTCCATGCTCAGTAGATTAGAGAACCAGAGGATCGTGACTCTGGTTAAAGCCCAGCTTTGCTTATCTTTTCTCTTAGACCCCAAGGCCTTCTGTAACTCCATTCTGTCTGAATTCCATCTTCCACAACAAGGAGAACAGTACACGTCACATGACCACTCTCTAGGAGTTATTCTGATGAGTTCTCCGGTCAGCAGAGAAAACACAAGTTTTCCATGTGACATAAAGCCTTTACACAATCAAGCAGAGATTCTCTTCCTACCTATCCCTTTCTAAGTATCCGTTCATCTTGGCAAAAGGCACTGCGACCTCATAATGAGGTCAATATATTTACTCAGACCCAGAGCATCAGCTGATATTCTATTGTCAGGGAACTCCCAGAGCCCCACAGTGCCCTGAACTTAATTTATAATACTCCAGTGCATCTTTGCCTTGAATCCTACTTTTTGCTCTCTTTCTCCTGCCTCACATAGAACAACTTACTTAATCCAACGTCACCCTCTTCTTGGTCGTGAGGAGCTCGATGACAGCACAGGCGGCGGAGGAGAAGGCCCACGTGGCTCAGCAGGATGAGAGGTGGGGGCAGCCAGGGCTTCTCGTGGTAGGTCATGATGTAGCGATAGCGGTTGTATTTCCACAGGTTATTTGAAATGGATTCCATATCTAAGTAAACGTTGCTGTAAGATGAAGTAAGAGAGGGACAATGTTTTAATATGAAGTCTTGAAAGGTAACAGAGTCTATATTTTCCAACATTTATGATTGGCTCACCTGACATTACCGGCAGTTACCCAATACAAATACTATCCACGTGTTTACAATTCTTCTTCCACCAAACAAAATATATTAGCTACCTTCTACAATGAAACATGCTAATCAGAATAACAAGCAGAAGGCAGACATTACAATCAGAGAAAAGAAAATGCCAACATTTTCAGTGTAATGAACAGAAAATCCATTCTGGAACTCAACACTACTCTCAAGTCACCATCTCTTCTCACATAAGAAGCTCTTTTCAGTCCATAATTCATCGTTTATGGGAAACAGCTTTAATGTTCCTCTGTATCATCTACCTAATGTCAAATGTGAGAACTGCTAGAAAAATCCCAGTTAAAATATGCAAACAGTACAGTGTTAGTGAAGAAACGGAAGAAGAATCAATTCATCTTAAAAAACAGAGCTTCTATTAAAATCCAGACAAATTATTTACATTAACTTTACAATAAAAGTAACTCCTTATTGGTAGGTCACTTTGTAGTTGTAACATGGAGATAGGATGGTGAATGTTGATATTATAGAACTTGCCATGGGGGTAATGATTGGAGGTACAGTTATTCTGAAACAATATACCATCCTTAACTACTTAACTTTAAGTATATAATATGATATAAGAGGAACAAAATAAGATGTCCATCTTAATATTTTGCATAGACTAACAAAATTTAGTTTCTTTTTAAAACAATTCTTCTTCTTGCAGTGTCAAAATTTTAGTTTATTTAGAGAAAGATAGCAGAGTAGAACTGGAGGAAGGCAGCCAAATTTAGCAAATAAAAACACAGATAACCCATAACTTGAACAGTGATAAAGAAAAGGAACCAGGATTATCCTGGAGAAAGCCATCTTTGGGTAAGAATAGAAGTTTCTCAGAATCCATAAAGAAGGTGATTGAAACATAGATGACTGGGTTATATCAGGAGTTCTCAAGCATGTTTTCTGAACCAGCAGCAGCAGCATCACCTGAGAACATGTCAGAAATGCACATTTTTGGGGCCTGGTCAATGAGTGGGAAACTCTAGGGTTGCACATGCTATTAATAGCAGTTTCACTCCAACGTGACAACAGCCTTCCACCAGCAGGTGGCGACTTAACAGTGTATTTAAATTTTGGGGGTTGGTTGGTTGGTTTTTGTTTTTTTCAATTATTTTATAAAGAATTGTCTGTAACCAGCTCCTGGACAAGTAGTCAGATCTGGGGTTGGTCACTTTGTATGGTCTTCAGTGTGTTCATCTCTAACGTGAGAAATTTGTCCTATGCGAGGATTTCTCAACTTCTTTTTTGACACTGGACATTTGTTGTTGTTGTTGGCCAGGAGGCTCACAAAGAGGCCTTTATTTATCTAGCTCAAAGTATACACTACCACAGTCTTGTTTGCTACTCCTTCTACTAAAATAGTTCAAATCAATGTTTCTACCACACTATCAAAAAGTTATATTTCTTTTTGTCTCCCCACATCAGAGTGGTTGAATAGAAGGTAGAAACAGGCCAAGAGTCCATAGGCTCCCAGCTCTAAACCGTGCCAGGGCAGGAAGGGGTGGCTCCAGGTCTCACTGTGGCACCTTCTACAGAAAATAGACGTAGCTGCCAGGCCCGGGGACAGAAACCAGACATCCCAGTATATCTCCAAAAAGCAGCACAAATACTTTCCCCCACAGTATGAAAAATACACACCTCTAGCACTCTGCAGTCGTGCATTTAGTTTTCTTTAAGAACAAACAAATCAGTAGTTATGTATCCTGTTTCCTCAAGTTTCAAGAAAAAAAATGAAAGGTCACTCTTTTCTCTTTAAACACTGATGTGTAGCTAGCAACTTGGATAAAAAGGTGCCACCCTACAAAATGCCGCTCAGCATGTTCTGATGCCAGGATGGGCTTGGCCGCCTGGGCTGGGGCTAGAAAGGAGACCTCCAGCTGTCCCAGTGGAAACTGAAGCCGAGTGTCGGTGCTGCATTTGGCTTCAAGATCGAGAATCAGAGCCTTTGAAATGGAAAGGGGGCATCTGAAAGGGCACCCCCACCAGGGGCTTTTCAGAGCTAAGGCTCCAGAAGGAAGGGGTCGCCCTGCTAGTGACAGAGCTGGGAGTCACTCTGAGCTGCAGCCCCCACAGGATCCCCCTGTGGGAGGCCCCATCTGACCCTCTCCAGCCCATGGCTCTCTGCAACTGCCACCTATACTCAGGTATATGGCTTTGCTGCTGCTGGCTTTTAAAATCAGCTATTATGTTTGAGATGTGACTGTCACCAACAGAGTTCTGTCCTAAAAAGCCATCCCAGTGCCATGTTGGCTCAGGGGGCACCAGCTTTGTGCTGCCTCCATAATAGGCAGGAGAGTTCTCAAAGCAATGTTCCACTGATCCCTGGACGCCACTGCAGCATTAGGGACAGGGTCAGTCCCCTGGAAGGGAAAGGTGGCTTCAAGGCTGTTCTCTGGGCCGTTTGCAGGAGATCTGCAGGTACCAGGAGCCCATACTTATCACTTCTTTCAGTGGTGGCCAAGCCAACCAGACCCAAACATGATGCACACGGGCTCCCAGACTTGGCTCCCACTCAAAATTGACCCACACCCCTTGGGCTGCTCTACAGTTCTTTGGACTCCAAGATCCAGAAGGGCCTCTGCCCAGCTGCCTGCTTGGGCAAGACTCACTGGGTACCATGAGCAGCAGGTGTTCACCCAACCTCGAGTGTACACCCCTAGTGACTGGGAGTGCACCACCTCACCAGGCAACACTCCTTCCCAAAGAGTCCAAAGAGCCTCCTGGTGACACCCACAGCAGGAGCATCACACCATCCCATCAACAGCCCCCACTTACCTTCCTGGGGCTAAGATGCGGGGTGTGAGCCTTTCCCCTGAGAGCAAACGGGCAGTGAGACACTGGACATTTTTAATAAACAAAAATCTCAGACTACCAGCCTGGGCAACATGGTGAAACCCTGTCTCTACCAAAAATACAAAATTTAGCTGGACATAGTGGCATGCACCTGTGGTCCCAGCTACTCGGGAGGTTGAGGTGGGAGGATTGCTTGAACCAGGGAGGCGGAGGTTGCAGTGAACTGAGATCACACCACTGCACCACTCCAGCCTGAGTGACAGAGTGAATCCCTATCTCTCCCCATGCCCCCACAAAAAACTCAGATCCTTTTATTATCTGATCTATAAAAATAGCTATTATAACTAAACACCAGCAAATATTCCAAGTTCCTAAAATGGTTGGGCTAAGAGAGATGATGACTATCATATAACCAGCAGGAAGGTATGTCTTCCCCATGTTTAGGTAACAACACAGCAGTCACTTTTTTTTTAAAAGAATTTTGATTTACTTTGCTGACTCTCAACCCCTGTCTTCCCTACTTTTGTTACTTGTTATATTTTCCTCTTCAGTAAGATAAGCAAGGAATCAAATACCTAGCACAGTGCCTGACAGTTAAGAGGCATCTAGAAAATATGAGTTTCTTCCCATTACTTCACTTGGTTTCTTTTGTCTAGGAAACAAATATGTGTCAGGCACTCTTTTCAGTGTTTGAGGTAAATTGCTTGCTTCTGAGCAAGACGAGAAGAGGTGAGGAAGTGGCCCATACTGGTAGCTGCAGGAAAAGCATTCTAGGCAGAGGGAATAGCAAGTGCAAAGGCACCTGTATGGTCTGAAAAACTGAGGGGCCAATGTGGTTGGAGAGGAATGGGTCAGGGGAAGACTAGTGTGATGCATGATTTAAGAAGTGACGGCTGGGCGCAGTGGCTCACACCTGTAATCCCAGCACTTTGGGAGGCCAAGGTGGGCGGATCACAAGGTCAGGAGTTCAAGACCAGCCTGGCCAATATGGTGAAACTCTGTCTCTACTAAAAATACAAAAATTAGCCGGGTGTGGTGGCATGCACCTGTAGTCCCAGCTACTCGGGAGGCTGAGGCAGAAGAATCACTTGAACCCGGGAGGCAAAGGTTGCAGTGAGCCGAGATAACACCAGTGCAGTCCAGCCTGGACAACAGAGAGAGACTCAAAAAAAAAAAAGTGACAGGGGCCAGGCATGGTGGCTCACACCTGTAATCCCAGCACTTTGGGAGGCCGAGGTGGGTGCAGGAATTTGAGACCAGCCTGGCCAACAGGGTGAAACCCTGTCTCTACTAGAAATACAAAAATTAGCCAGGTGTGTGGCACACACCTGCAATCCCAGCCACTTGGGAGGCTGAGGTAGGACACCTGCTTGAACCTGGGAGGCAGAGGTTGCAGTGAGCTGAGATCGTGCCATTGCACTCTAGCCTGGGTGACAAAAGTGAAACTCCGTCTCAAAAAAAAAAAAACGAAGTGACAGAAAAGCCAACTCACATGGGGCCATATAAGTCATTGTAGTGACTTAAACTTTTACCCAGAAGTAAAATGGGAGGCACTGAAGAGTTTGGAGCAGAAGAGTAATATCCTCTGATGTCTGCTTTTAAAGGGTCATTTGGACTACTGTGTTGAGAAAAGAATATAGGGAGTCAAAGACAGAAGCAGAGAGATAAATTAGAGGCTCTGTGGTAACAGTGGGGTAGTGAGAGGTCATTAAATCAGTTATCTATTTGAAGGTTGAGTTAACAGAAGTTCCTGAGAGTTTAGAGGTAGAGGTTCAAGAGACATTAAGAATGACTCCATGTACAGAATCATGGTGTAGAGCAGAGAAAAAGTAAGAAGGACTACTTAGTTTTTGGTGTAAACAACTGAAAAGCTGGAACATCAACAAAAACTCGTGTTCTTCCTCACAGATTTGGGAAAGACTACATTAAATATTATAAATAAAAGTATGTTGGGAAAGAGGGGAGATGAAGAGTTTGGGTATTTTAAATTTTAGAAATCTATTAAATTTCTAACTGGTGAAGGAAGGGGCCAGTTGGATCTCCATGGCTGGAGTTTAAGAAAGAGAACTGGGCTGGGGATATAAATTGGGTGTGCTCAGGATATACAGGAAACTGAAAGAGATCACAAAAAGCATAAATAAAGGAAGAGGCAGGTCCGGGCTCAGGGACATTCCAATGTTAAAAGGTTGGGGAGAAGATGATCCAGAAAAGAAGATTGAGAAGTAGTGAGAAGTGACAGAGAAGAAAACAGAGGGCCTGGCACAGTGGCTCACTCCTATAATCCCAGCACTTAGGGAGGCAGAGGCAGGTGGATCACTTGAGGTCAGGAATTTGAGACCAGCCTGGTCAACACGGTGAAACCCCGTCTCTACTAAAAATACAAAAATTAGCCAGGCATGGTGGCAGGCGCCTGTAATCCCATCTACTTGGGAGGCTGAGGCAGGAGAATTGCTTGAACCCAGGAGGCAGAGGTTGCAGTGAGCTGGGGTCACACCAACTGCACTCCAGCCTGGGTAACAGAGCAAGACTCTATCTCAAAAAAAAAAAAAAAAAGAAGAAAAAGAAAGAAAGGAAAAGAAAAGAAAAGGAAACGAAAGAGAGGAAAGGAGAGGAGAGGAAAGGAGAGGAAGAAAGAGAGAGAGAGAAAGAGAGAAAACAGAGAACAGGGGAAGCTGGGAGCAAGTGAAGAAAGCATATCAAGAACTCCTTAACCAACTTGCAATTCCATCACTTGCTATCCTTTCATAATTCGAACTTACTGCCTAATCACAACTCAAGATCTCCTTGCATTTTGATGTTGTTACATTGTACTTTCCCCCCACAGTCAGTTCTCCATATCTGCGGGTTCCACATCTGTGGATTCAAATAACCACAGATTGAAAATATTTGGGGAAAAGAAAAGGATGATCGTGTCTGTGCTGAACATGCAGAGACGTTTTATCTTTGTCATTATTCCCTCAACAATACAGTATAGCAACCATTTACATCGCATTAATACTATATTAGGTATTATAGAGAATTTAGAGATGCTTTAAAGTATACAGGAGGATGTGCCTAGGTTATATGAAATACTACACCATTTTCTATAAGGGACTGGAGCATCCATAGAGTTTGGTATCTGCAGGGGGTCCTAGAACAAGTCCTCCACAGATAACGATGGATGACTGCATTTATTATTTCACTGTTTCCCATGCTCCATGTCCTTCTTATCAGTAGTTTTATGTGCATATTTCAAAACAATAATAATAAATATAGAACACACAAAAATCAAAGGTTACATACTCAAAGTACATGTGAATCTACTCAACATATCTGCCCACATTTCTTATTTAAATAATCATATTTAATTGAAATAACCTACTTGAAGAAAGCAATCAACAGGTTCACCATGATGATATATTGCACGAAGAGGTAGACAGCTTGCAAGAATGGAGTAAGAAAAGAACCAGGAGGGCAGGATGGCTGGCTTGAACAAACTACAAATAAAGAATTTTAAAAGAATGAAAGATAAGATGAATCACAGTCCTGCCACTCTAGACACACATTTAGCACATTAACTGCACAGAATACCATAAATTCAAACATTTTTAAGATTTAGATGATTGTTTTTCAGATGTATTTTACTCTTGTTAACTATGAAGGCACAATTTCTGCATGACGGTAAAATCCCATACACACCATCTATTTCTCCAGCATAGACTTCTCCGTATATCATCCAGTATGGCTCAAATACAATATCTCGAGCTAGACTCCAAGATGGTGGCTCTTTTGGCGAAAGGATGGCCTTGCGTGCCACTCCAAAGCTCAGCAGGACTATGGCCATGATGATCACAATATAGAACATGTTTGCTGTCTGCAAAAGAGCATAGTACAACCAGAATTTTACCACAGATTTGAAGTTCAAAAGAAACCAAACACCAGCAGCCATCATAACTATACCTGCAAATAATAAGATTGTCTAGTCATTGACTAAAACACCCTTGTGCAGGAACAGCTAGACTTTCTTTGGCTAAACTCTTGTTTTCTCACACAGTATGCATTTCAAGTCAACTTGGTCTATGGAATAATATAAATGTGCTGAGAGGAGAGAATCTGTGCTTCTTTGTTTAAGCAGTAATGAATTGTGAACACTTTTTGATTAGCTAATATCTAAGTTTGCCCCCAGTTGGACCATAGGTTAGGAAAATAAAAAAAAAAAAATAGGGTATTGTTGAATTAGTCCAATGGCTCCTTATTCCCAGAATTGTCTTCAGGAATTGATTAGAGTCTAAGAAACTGATCAAGCCAGTTTAATTCCATCTACTAAATGTACATCAACTCAGTCCATTAGTTTACTGTAACAGACAGAGCACTCACCACAATTCCCATCATTATTTCAAGAGCTACTCTACATCTCTTAGCTTTCCTTCCATTAGGCTGGGGCTGTGAAACGTATTCAAGCCAGTGGGCTGTGGTTTGATGGTGACTTGGGCACTTCTTGTCCAGAGCAGTTAAAAGCCATTAGACTTTCTCCATCCCTCTCACTCCCTACCATAGACCTTAGGAGCTAAATGTTCACATAGCTATGTCACAAGACAAAGGGATCCCAGATTCCTGAGTCACTGCATAGAGGACAGCCCCCATGAGCACTCACCAAACCTTGCATTAGGGAGAAATACCTTTGTGCTAAGTCATTGAAATATATTGGTTATCTCGGCATAGCCTATCTCATAAAGACTAATGTCACCAAGACAAGAGAAAACATTTCTGGTCTAAGAGAAAAATGTCAAATAGGAAAAATCTTTGGAGTCCTGGAGGTTGTCTCTTTTCTGTCCTCTTTGTTTGTTTGTCTCAGCACTACCCTTCAATCTCCAGAACTTGCCCCTTCCCTGCCAGTAAGTATCCTAGAAGGAAAAGCCAAAGATGATCTTGAGACACTGTACTTATTAAAGCGTAGGTCTTAGGTCCTTGTGAACAGCCAGATGGAAAAAGCCGGCCGGGCTCAGTAGCTCACGCCTGTAATCCCAGCACTTTGGGAGGCCGAGGCGAGCGGATCACTTGAGGTCAAGAGTTTGAGACTAGCTTGGCCAACATGGTGAAACCCCGTCTCTACTAAAAAATAAAAAATTAGCCGGGCATGGTGGCAAGTGCCTGTAGTCCCTACTATAGGCTACTCAGGAAGCTGAGGCAGGAGAATCGCTTGAACGCAGGAAGTGGAGGTTGCAGTGAGCAGAGATTGCGCCACTGCACTCCAGCCTGGACAACAGAGCAAGACTCCATCTCAGAAAAAAAAAAAAAAAGAAAGAAAAAGAAAAAAAGAAAAAGCTGACACAACTGTACGGCAAGCTCAGGTGACAGACTGGAGCTAGGTGGCCCAATTTTGAATCCTGGCTCCCCATATATTCCTTTGAGGAATTTGCTTAACCTCCATTTCCTTGTATGTAAATGTGTATAATAATACTACCTATCTCCTAAAGTTGTTACTAAGATTAAATGAGTTAATACATACTAATTACCTAGAACAGTGTGTGGCCTATAGTAAGCACGATTTAAGAGTGTGATGGTAGGGGAGAGTCAGTGAGTGATACAAGAATAAACGGATATTTTAGCAGAAAATATCATTGGTGGTAGCCTCACATGAATCTCGTCCTTGGGAATTACTGTGCTCAGAGACAGATTTGACTCAATCCCATACCATCTGGTCCTAATCAAAAGGGTAAGCTGAGTGTCCCAACAAACTAACTATGCAATATACTATCCAAGGTCATTTGCTAATACTAGTTTGTGGTTATATGGAAGGCAGTGGTGACATGATCTTGCTCGCTGTGCTTCTATAAATAATTCCAAGATAGCGAGGCACAATGGCTCATGCCTGTAATCCCAGCATTTTGGGAGGCTGAGGCAGGAGGATCATTTGAGCTCAGGAGTTTGAGACCAGCCTGGGCAACATAGTGGGACCCTGTCTATATAAATAATAAAAAATAATTAGCTTGGCATGATGGTGTGTGCCTGTGGTCCCAGTTACTCAGGTGGTTGAGGATTTCTTGAGCCTGGGAGGGTGAGGGTGCAGTGAGCCGTGATCGCACCACTGCACTCCAGCCTAGGTGACAGAGCAAGACCCTGTCTCACATAATGATGATAATAATAATAATAATTTCGAAAGTTAAACTATCGGATATAAACGATGAAGAACCATTAAAAAGAAGCCAGGCGTGATGGTGCATGCCTATAGTCCCAGCTACTCAGGACACTGAGATGGGAGGATCCCTTGAGCCCAACAGTTCAAATCTAGCCTGCACAACATAGCATCTTTACAAAGAACACTAGAACAACAGGGTGACTATAGTTAATAATAATTAAATGTACATTTAAAAATAACTAAAAGAGTATAAGTGAGTTGTTTGTAACACAAAGGATTAATGCTCGAGGTGATGAATACCCCATTTACCCTGATGTGATTATTATGCATTGTATGCCTATATCAAAATATTCCATATACCCCGTAAATACATACAGTTACTTATGTACCCACAAGAATTCTTTTGAAAACCTTTTTTTTTTGAGATGGAGTCTCGCTCTGTCGCTCAAGCTGGAGTGCAGTGGCGCAATCTCGGCTCACTGCAAGCTCCGCCTCCCGGGTTCGTGCTATTCTCCCGCCTCAGCCTCCTGAGTAGCTGGGACTACAGGTGCCCACCACCATGCCCGGCTAATTTTTTTGTATTTTTAGTAGAGACGGGGTTTCACCCTGTTAGCCAGGATGTTCTTGATCTCCTGACCTTGTGATCCGCCCGCCTTGGCCTCCCAAAGTGCTGGGATTACAGGTGTGAGCCACCACACCTGGCTAAAAATAATTTTAAAAAAGAATACCAGGATATAAAACTAGACTGTACTCACCATTTTTGCAATCATGGTCACATATGGACCTGCATGTTGATTCACAGCAAAGAAGTCCAGGAGCCGTGAGAACCAGAATATGATGTCTATGCAGTAGATCAGTCTTCCCGCTGTGTGAAAAGGAGGGTCACCCCATCGAAGGACGAAGCCAGCTGAAAACAGGCCAATGGCCACAGTTTCTGTTAAGTTCCAGTACTCACTAATCCATACCTTCACCTTTTGGGTAAACTTCCCAGGTTCTGAAATACAGATCTAAAAGAAGGAAGAAGGAAACTTTAAAAAGGAGGTACAACCAAAGAATCCCATCAATATGATCTTCTTAAATACACAAACCATTCACTGAAAGAGTAATCTAAAACCTGCCAAACCTTAAATCACTTGCGGATTTCAGAGACTTAAGTTATCATCAGTAATGAATTATTTAAACAATGCTATACAGATATAATTTAAGTCATTTGATAATACCAGATTGTCACTTGAAACTCCAACTAGAAGTCAAAAAAATAGAAAGCACTTTTTCTAGCTTTCAATAATCCTGAAATAGCATGAGAAAACACCAAGACATTTTAAAACTCAATACTGCAGGCTGGGCGCGGTGGCTCATGCCTGTAATCCCAGCACTTTGGGAGGCCGAGGCAGGTGGATCACGGAGGTCAGGAGATCGAGATCATCCTGGCTAAAACGGTGAAACCCCATCTCTACTAAAAATACAAAAAATTAGCCGGGCGTGGTTGCGGGTGCCTGTAGTCCCAGCTACTCGGGAGTCTGAGGCAGGAGAATGGCATGAACCCGGGAGGCGGAGCTTGCAGTGAGCTGAAATCGCACCACCGCACTCCAGCCTGGGTGACAGAGCGAGGCTCTGTCTCAAAATAAATAAACAAATAAATAAAACTCAATACTGCTGTGGATCTGTATAGCTACGATTTCATTTCAGGAGGCACAGCAGGGTGCAAAGAACACTGGATGGAGCAAGGAATCCTGTAATCCAGTCCGACTACTGCTATTTAGTGAGTTGTTGACAAACTACTAAGAATATGATATTGGGCCGGGTGCAGTGGCTCACGCCTGTAATCCCAACACTTTGGGAGGCCGAGGCAGGTGGATCACTTGAGGTCAGGAGTTCGAGACCAGCCTGGCCAACATGATGAAACCCCGTCTCTACTAAAAATACAAAAATTAGGCTGGGTGCAGTGGCTCACGCCTGTAATCCCGACACTTTGGGAGGCCGAGGCAGGTGGATCACTTGAGGTCAGGAGTTCAAGACCAGCCTGGCCAACATGGTGAAACCCTGTCTCTGCTAAAAATACAAAAATTAGCTGGGTGTGGTGGCAGGCACCTGTAATCCCAGCTACTCCGGAGGCTAAGGCAGGAGAACTGCTTGAACCTGGGAGGCAGAGGTTGCAGTGAGCCGAGATCTCACCACTGCACTCCAGCCTGGGTGACAGAGCAAGACTCTGTCTCAAAAGAAAAAAAAAAAGAAAAAAAAAGAATGTGATATTGGAACTCACTAAGATAAGAAAATACCCCTGAAACACCGTGTCAGACAAACAGAAATGTAAAATAGTACACCGATTTTCCCTGAAGCATTAAAAAAAAGGGTACAATTCAGATAACTATCTGTTTCTCTCCTGATTTTCTATAATCTATAAACTCCACATAGGAATTAGCAGGCAACATAGGTATAATTACAAAGAAGTATACAATGTTGGTTATATTACCTCTAAGACAAAATAAATATAGGTAAATACACAGACACAGAGGCATACATTGACATCTAAAACAGTCTGAGTCACAAATATTTATGATTACAGTTATAACTGATAGGAATGCTAGTTTTTGGTTTTGTTTTTGTTTTTGTTTGAGACGGAGTCTCGCTCTGTCACACAGGCTGGAGTGCAGTGGTGCGATCTTGGCTCACTGCAACCTCCACCTCCTGGATTCAAGCAATTCTCCTGCCTTAGCCTCCCAAGTAGCTGGGATTACAGGTGCATGCCACCATGCCCGGCTAATTTTTTGTATTTTTAGTAGAGACGGGGTTTCACCATGTTAGCCAAGATGGTCTCGATCTCCTGACCTCGTGATCTGCCTGCCTCGGCCTCCCAAAGTGCTGGGATTACAAACATAAGCCACCACGCCTGGCCCCCTCCTTTTTTTTTTAAAGTAACTCATTACGAACTAGAAATTTTTAAAAGTTTTGGTTTTTTGTTTCTTGGACTATTTGCCTCAGAGAGATTTCCAGCTTCAATTTTCAAAGTGTTTGGTAGGAGCTTTCAAAAACTATAAACATATTCCTTAGATATTGCACAACTTCA
Source organism: Homo sapiens (assembly GCF_000001405.40). Lineage (NCBI taxonomy): Eukaryota > Metazoa > Chordata > Mammalia > Primates > Hominidae > Homo > Homo sapiens. Next base: position 74,788,186 of record NC_000009.12, read on the forward strand.
GCCATTTATGCCACTCATTAGATGAAATTGATAATATGAAAATAATGCTAGGCAACAAAAATCAACCCCACCAAACAAAAACAAACAAACAAAAAAACTTGGGGAAATCAAATAGTTGGAGGGTTTAATACAATTCTATGGCATCATCTATCCTTTAGGATTGGTAAACACACCAAGATATCCACTTCAAAGATAACTGCTTCCAAAGTGCACCAACCAGCAGAAAGCAGCTGACAAGGATAAAGGGCTGGAATCAAGGATTCTCCCCCAAATAACCTTTATGCAGCATGTAAGTCAAGGTCAGTGTGTCCTGTCTTCCCCCACCCTTGACATGTCCATTTTCATCACCAGAGCCAAGGAGTCTTTCAGTGGACACCTACAGAAGCTGAGGACATATGCAGAAGATAAAGGTAGATGGCATAACTCACCTCCCTGACCACCTCAATAGCATTGGTGAAGATGTAAATGCTAACAAGCCACTCCTGCACGCTGGGCTGGGGCTGCATCTCCACCAACACGGTGTAAGTGAACAGCATGAGGAATGCCAAATACGCCATCTGTGAGGGGGACACACATTCCCCAGATGTGAGTGAGAGCAAGCATGGAGCATGCCAAGGAGACGCAGATGGAGCAGAAACCCAGGCATGAACTTCAACATGATAACACGAACACAGAACTAGGACCACCTTCGGGTTATTGATGACCTACTATCAAGGAAAGCACAACAATCCATGGTGTTCTAGTCTAGGATTTAGAGGCAGGAATGAAATCACTGTTCTCAGATGCATGGAAGGACACATTGTGCCTTTCTGCTGGCTCGTGACTGGCATTTCCAGGACCCTGCACATCCAACAGGGGCACTGGCAAGCTAACAGCAAGCCCAGGAGGAATCACAGGTCTTCCCCTCCATCTTAAACACAGAAAGAAAACGTGTGAAGCATGCCAGATCCGCAGTGGCAATAGATGCTTATTTTCAAATACAATGAACTGTGGCATTTACCACTGCTGGGAGTTCTATTTTATGTTGATTAAAATACTCTGTTTAATAGAAAAGTTGTGTCCAACTGTGAGCCCTTTTAATTAAGGACCGTTTGTCAATATTTATATCTTCAGCACTCAGCACTCAGCACTCTGCTTGACACATGATAGACATTCAATAAATGTTTGTCTAATTACTGTGTATATATATGTATGCCTAGATTTCCAAAGTCTTGAAAGAATTAAGACATAGTGATCACACATATAGATACATAGTGATTAATAGCTTTGTAATCTTACCTAATATTCTTATCTTCTTAAGATATAGTCCCAGAAGCAGAATATCTGTCCATGCGCATTGAAAACTGTGACAAATATTACTAAATTTTCTGACAGAAGGGCTTTACCAAATTACACTATTATCAACAATGTATGAGACTGCAGTCCTCTAAATAGCCTCAGAGACAACACCCAGTGCTCACTGATCAATACTTGCATTTAAAAACCTTGTATCGGCTGGATGCGGTGGCTCATGCCTATAATCCCAGCCCTTTGGGAGGCCAAGGCGGGTGGATCACCTGAGGTTAGGAGTTCGAGACCAGCCTGGCCAGCATGGTGAAACCCCGTCTCTACTAAAAATACAAAAAATTAGCTAGGCATGGTGGTGCACACCTGTAATCCCAGTTACTCAGGAGACTGAGGCAAGAGCATCTCTTGAACCCAGAAGGCCGAGGTTGCAGTGAGCCGAGATTGCACCATTGCACTCCAGCCTGGGTGACAGAGCAAGACTCCATCTCAAAAAAAAAAAAAAAAAAAAAAAAAGAAAATCAGTTGAGAGAAAAATGTGTGTGTGTGTGTGTGTGTGTGTGTGTGGGTTCATTCTCACAAGTCATATTATTTTAACCTTGATTCCTATTTCTCATACATTTTTATCTACCTAAATGGATAAGTCTGCTTCTAACTTTAGTTCTGCACAGATAACATAGAGAATAGCTTAAACCATTTCTAACTATGTAAGAATGGTATTATTGGCAATAGGTGGTCTTTTAGGCAGTCATAATGGATATTAGTGCCTATGATTTAAGGAAGTGTAGAAGAGAAGCATATAAGAAAGTAAAGGTAAATTTCAATAATTCTATACTTCTCTTGGTCTATATCTCAAAGTCTGAGTTTTTTTGATGACTCCTTAGGGACACACTTTAAGTTAATTTGTTCTTTCAAGCAACTTAAAAGTTTTTTGTCATTGGTTTCAGCATAGTTAGACAATTTACTCCTTAACTTTTACTCCGAGGTTCAGACCTTAGCCCATTTGTCTGTATATATTTTATTATTTGTATTTTGTTATCTCCTTATACTGATTCCTTATACTGGACTCATTTACGTACATTAATGGTCTCCCCTACATAACTGTAAGCTGTTTGAGGTCAGTATTGATGTTTGGCAACGTCTTCTTCTCACCGCCCCTCTGCTGCCTAGTATACTATGTCTTAAAGACAGCAGTTAGGTCTCAGTAAAATCGAATTGAATGACCTGAATCTTAGGTTACCCTCAGCCATAACTTTCTTTCTATATAGTGTACAACTATACGAATCTGGAAGATTTATAAGCAAAAGACTACAAACATATTCGATAAGTAGATATTCAGATTGAGAAAGCAGCACAATTCCTCTACTTGAGAACAGGTTGGATTCCTAAAGGCTATGTTAAGTCCACTTACTCTTTAGTCCAAAGTGGCATCACATAAAGGCTACAAGCAACCAAAGTACTCACACCTAGGTAAAATTAAGCACTAAACACTCTGGACATTGGCAGTATTGCTTCTGACTCTATTTGTTTCTTTCCAATTATTAAAAACACCATGGTGGGCAGATCTGGCTGGTTTTGTGCTATTGCTTAGCTTTGTTCCTGTTTCTTAAAGCTCCTGAACTAGAAATTTCCAAGGGAAGAAATGCCTAAATACGCTTTTCCCAATGGTATGACTATGGTTAAAACTCTCCCAGCACTCCTGTCAGAGTCTTTCGTATATGTTGTTGCGCATTACAAAAATAGCAAAACCTCATTGTTTGAAAGCAGATGTGATTTTTGGAAACAGATAAAAATCATACACAGCTACGTACTTATTCAATAAGTATAGGAAATAAGTGTGTGGTTGGCCAGGTAAATATTTGGAAATACAACACATTTAGATAAATATCCTTTTACAGTCACACTTCAAATGTTTTAGATATACAAACTCTTGGCCATGAGCTATTTAAGTATAGATAAGCATTAGAAAAATAAATGCTATGGGAGCACATGTTCTCAGATCTCCTGAGGGCTGTGTTACGGAAAAAAATATTTAAAAAAAAAGAAAAGAAAATTCTATGAAATAAATGTGAAAAGCACCAAACACATCTAAAGCACAGCTCATGCTTTCTCTGTAGCTCTACTATCCATAATAGATTTAGTATTTGTTCACACAGTTCAGCTTCTAACATTTTTCATTTTCTCTCTATATTTATAAACATATACTACTGAAGGCAAAAAAACCAAACACTTGCATCATTTTCTACCTATATAACACATTCCTACAAACAAAAAGCTGATTCAATTGCTGATTTTCTTTTTTTTGAGATGGGGTCTCGCTCTGTTGCCCAGGCTGGAGTGTAGCGGCGCAATCTCGGCTCACTGCAGGCTCTGCCCCCTGGGGTTCTCGCCATTCTCCTGCCTCAGCCTCCTGAGTAGCTGGGACTACAGGCGCCCGCCATCACGCCCGGCTACTTTTTTTGTATTTTTAGTAGAGACGGGGTTTCACCATGTTACCCAGGATGGTCTCAATCTCCTGACCTTGTGATCTGCCCGCCTCGGCCTCCCAAAGTGCTGGAATTACAGGCGTGAGCCACCACGCCTGGCCTCAATTGCTGATTTTCTAAGAAGAATCCACCCACCTATTGCTTAATTCTACAAACACTGCTATTAATTTGGTTGTTCCACAAATCTTTGAATGCTGTCTCCCTTCAAATGGTGAGGTTTTACCACTTTTGTGGAATGTGCAACAACATACTTGAGGGACTCTGATAGGAGTGCCGAGAGAGTTTTAACCACAGTCACACTGTTAAGAAAAGAATATTCCAGTGTTTCTTTCCGTGGAAACTTCTCGCTCAGAGTTTTTAGAGACAGGAGCAAAGCTAAGCAATAGGGCAAAGCCAGCTAGATCTTCCCACAATAACAGTGCTAACTCTTAGCACTCAAAGAGAGAAGAAAATGCTTGTTCTCAAACTCCAAAAAGTAGGTGAGCTCCACCCTAACTTCTCCCTGCCTTCCTCCAGTCCTCTTTGCTACCTACTTTGTCATGCCCTCACTTTTTTTTAACTAGGTTTCTACATTTTTAATGCAAAGTGGCAAATCAGGCATATTATCAACATCATCACTAGCTATCAATCATCATTAATCCGACATATATTGTTGCAATGAGACCAACCGTATAAAACCAAAACTTGACAATTGGAGCACTGTAGAACTCATAGACTTTCCTGGTCCACGGAAGGTGTTGGTGCCCACTTTCCAAACCAAAATGCTGATTTTCATCCAGTTTCTCATCATGGCCCCTTTCCAAATCATACTCTTTCTATAAAATAAACAAATAATCATTTTCTTGTCAGCAGCTTAACTAAAATAGTGACAAGCATGAACATCCAAAAAATATCATAAATAATATATTAGAAATTAGTTGGCTGGGGGCGGTGGCTCACACCTGTAATCCCAGCACTTTGGGAGGCCAAGGTGGGCAGATCATCTGAGGTCAGGAGTTCGAGACCAGCCTGGCCAGCATGGAGAAACCCTGCCTCTACTAAAAATATAAAAATAAGTAGAGTGTGGTGGCACATATCTGCAATCCCAACTACTTGGGAGGCTGAGCAAAAGAATCGCTTGAACCCGGGAGGCAGAGGTTACAGTGAGCCGATATCATGCCACCGCACTCCAGCCTGGGTGACAGAGTGAGACTCTGTCTCAAAAAATAATAATAATTGGGCACCCACATGCCAAATTATAATCTTACCTTTGAAGGGAGAGAAAACTGCATGTACTGTATAAATTACTGACCAGTTAAAACACATGAGGTATTTCTGAAATACAAGCTGACTCTGTAGTAATCAAACCCAAAGTAAGAATAGTTCCAAGGATTTAAAAATTGGTCCCTGTTCCCAATATCCTTTTTTTTGAGATGAAGTCTTGCTCTTGTCGCCCAGGCTGGGGTGCAATGGCGTGGTCTCGGCTCCCTGCAACCAACCTCCGCCTCCCAGGTTCAAGAGATTCTCATACCTCAGCCTCCCAAGTAGCTGGGCTTACAGTCACCCGCCACCACACCTGGCTAATTTTTGTATGTTTTTAAATTTTGGAACCTAAGGATACTCCTAAAATCCCTGTGAAATCAGTAATGAACAATACAATTATTTCCTTAACACAGAAGAAATTGAGCATACATTGATGATGCATGGCCATTCCTTGTCATAGGAAATTCAGGCACTGCATTAGTTTTAGGATTCTGACCTTCGATAGCATCCCCACTGATTTATAGCAGAGGGTCTGTTTGCCTGCAGTTCATGTGCTCTCTGAGCTTCCAGAGTTCCTTGAACACCCTGCAACCATGTGCAAGTATTTGTGTTGTACATGCATTTTTCTGGGGAAAGAATCAGATTTTTCATCAACTACCAAAAAGGTATGTGTCAGTCCAAGGGAATTAACTCATGTAGAGAATTAGCAATGAGTATATGTAAGGCAGAGCAGGAGTTGCCTGAATGTGACTATACAAACACCCATGCAGAATGAGCTTTGAAAAGAGGAAGGAAAGGAAGAGAAAAGAAAAGAGAAAAAGGAAAAGAAGAGACAAGACAAGACAAGAAAAGAAGCATTTATAGCCTGGCTACCTTTAAGAAGCAGCAATGTAAGGGTAGCGAAAGGAAAGCAAAAGCGATATCACTCTACTGTGTAGATTTCTAGGTGGTTTTAGTTTTTTAATAGGAAACACATGTAATTTTTAATTTTTTAAAGTAATATTAAAAGAAAAGAATGTTCTCTGCTGCCTCTCAAACTAGTCCATTCTTGCAACGTAGCCACAAAAGTTATCTCTTTAATGTCAGACCTGCAAGATTAGCAAAATTTTTTAAGCCAAGGAATGAATCAAATTTTGCTTGAGTTGTCCATATAATTGCAGAAAAATGTGACTTTTAAGGCCTCGGGCATCTAGATGGGTTATCGTCAGTGCCTAATTAATTATTCAGTCATTTATTTCACTTTGGGCAGTGAGGTTAGGATTGACTTAGAAATGTAGGAATTGGCCCAATTCCTAGCAGGTTTGAACCAGGCTAGAATTAAAATGGTGTAAAACCAATTAGAAAAGTCATCATTTATGAGCTTTTAATGACATCAACACCACATCAGAAAGACCCCAGAAAGCAATTTAAGTAATGACTTTATTATTAAATAACTTCTCTTATTATTTTTCTAGGAGTGTTTCATTAGCTCTTAATTGCTCTTGACAGTTTGGAGTGAATTATAAAGTGCTGATCGGGCCTGTCTCTGAGTTGAATTCAAAGACACCAATTGCTATGATGAAGACAACCTGAGAACATAAATTCAGATTTTTTTTTACTGAGAAGAAGGTAAAGACAAAAACATGTGACTTGAATAACTTTTATTATATATATACAGCTCCCCTCACCCCCCACACCCCCTGACCACCCCACACTCTTTTTTTCTAATTGTAATCTGATACACAGATTAAAATTATGACTACAACAATAAGTCTTCCCCCCATATCTGTTTTGCAGTCATATTTCCCACTTAATTATGCTCTGATAGAATAGATTTTGTTATACAACTTTCTTAGTATTATTTCACTGTGATTTATCGACCTGTCTAAGACCGAGCTCATCTTTCCCCTTCCAAACCCACTCCTTCTCCAGTTATCCTTGTGTCCCTTCAAGACGGCCTTGTTTAAAAGACCCTCTTCCTCTCCACGTCCATTGCTACTGACTCTCGTTAAAGGACTTATTGCTTCTCACCTGGATGGCTACCCTGGCCTACCCTGCTTCCAGCCAGTCTTCTTGCTAAACCATCCTATGCCCTGGAGGCAGAATAATTTCTCTAATAGTCAGATCATCTCACTACTCTGGCATACACATTCACTGGCTGTCCGTAACCTACAGAATAAAAATCATACTCCTTCACAGGATATACAAGATTCTACATGATCTAGCCTCAATCTACTTTCCAGCCATTCCTACAAGTACTCCCAGCTTGTCACATAACCCTCATAACCTAGATTCCAGCTGAACCATACCACTTGCGATGCTTTACATATACCTTGCCACTTCCCAACTCCATGACCCTGTTGATAGTCTCCTTCTCACTGATATGCTCTTTTCCCTCACCACATCGTCAAGTCAGGCTCAAACACCAACCCAATCATAAAACTGTCACTAACCCCTAATCCTTACCTACTGACTCCTAATGGGAAGAGTCTTCTTCTGCTGTTGGTTAACCCATTCTGCCATCTTACTGTAATTTAGTCCTAAGAAAACTCAAGTCATCACAGGTCATGTTTTCAAGAGGTTATCAGCTAAAAAGATCTAAATTTCACATGGCAAAGTTATTCTGCCTGTAGAAATTTCAGTAAGGAGTTTTATAAAACCTCAGTGAGTAAATGCAGTATTTGATGCTATACAGCTTCAGCTCCAGAATAATGGCTTTCCTTCTCTAATTACCAGAAGTGCCTTCTTTATATTCATTATTACCCACTATTACCACAAGAAGACAACACAGTGACACTCTAAAGAGCATCTAAGTATCACCTGCCTTCAGTTTCCTGCCACAATACGTAATGCAAATTATGTTCCTCAACTAATAAATTGCATTACTTAATCAGTGTTATGAAATCTTATCTACCCCATCAAAAGTGCTGCCTCCACCCCTTACACCATGCCTAGAAAATTCTAAAAACATAGCAGCTTATTAATAATTACTGCTTAAGTTAAATTCAAAGACAAAAGAAAGATTGTTGTTATGATTATAAGCCATTTATAGTGAACAGACTTGAAACACTTTTTCAATACCTGTTTTAATTGAACAATGGTGAGATATTGTGGATATTCTGATTGTAAGCCCCACAGTTGAAAAGGCTGCATCTGCCTTAATTAATTCAGTGTCCACAGAACCTCTAGCACATGTAAAGTGGCCACAAATGAGTCATTGAATTAATAAATTGGTATATGGCTATGTCCAAACCACGTCTTTGATTTTGGCTTTGAAGTAGAAATAGAATATTTTGCTTAATTGTGTACAGGGCTTAATTAGTTCTATTGTACATAATATACCTGACCATAGCATAATATGATTAAGATTAAGAGAACTAAATGCTTGATTGGTCAGAGGCATTTTAAAATAATGTACCCCAGGACCATATGTCATCACAGGCCTGAAATATAGGCAACATAACTTTTGTTTAATAGATGGCTATATAAGTAAACTTTAAGGATGTGTATATTTGCGTGCAGTCAATACAATGAAAATTCAGTTCATTATGATTTTGCACTAACCACAGAAGCACTTTCTTTGGAACTGCTGGCGTTCTGGTCACTGTAATACCACATAAATTGGAAGTCCTGGGACTGGGGAACATGTGACATCTCAGCTTTGCTTTTAAATTCCAGTGTCAAAATGGTGGGTGGTAAAATAATGCTTATAATAATCTGTAAAAGAAAAAAAAGCAAAACAAAGTAGTAGGGACTACAAAAGCACATACTAGACAAATAACAAAATTAAGAATTTCAGTGTATATAAAATGCCAGACCCATCCCAGTCAATTTTCATCGCATTTCTATAAATAATTTTTTGACTCGGCAACTTCAGTTCTAGTGTTTCTCTCAGAAATACTCATGAGTACAAGCATTTGCAGATAAGAATGTTCATTGCAGGACTATTTGGAAAAGCAAAACACTGGTGTCAACCTAAATGTCTATCTAGAGAGGGACAGCTGGTCTGGAATAACCTAATAGTGGAATACTGTGCAACCATTAAAAAGACCAAGGCAATGTTGAATATAATGAAAAGGTAGCCACGCTATATTGTTAAGTGAAAAGATCAAATTACAGTTACCTCTTGGTGTCCAAAGGGGATTGGAGCCAGGACACCCCTGACCCCCGACCCCAAGGATACCAAAATCTGAGGCTGCTCAAGTCCCTGACATCAAATGGTGTTGTATTTCCATATAACCTATGCACATCCTACCCTATACTTTAAAGCATCTCTAAATTACTTATAATACCTAATACAATGTAAATGCTATATAAATAGTTGTACTATATTGATTTTTCATTTGTATAACTTTTATTGTATTGTTATTTATTTGGGGGTGTTTTTCCAAATATTTTTTATCTGAAGTTGATTAAATCTGCAGATGTGGAACCCATGGATATGAAGAGCCAACTGTATAGAAGAACATAGAGTGATCCCATTTTTGTTAAAAAATAAAATTAAAAATCTTAGCTATTTATATGCATATAAATATGTATTTAAACGTTTAAAAATATGTATACTACACTGTAATTATTTATCTCTAGGAGTGGCAGGACAGGGCAGTGACAGGTATTATTTTTCAATGAGCACACTGCTTTAATAATATTTTAAAGCCATTAAGTAGCTATTACCACATAAAACACATTAAAATTAGTTGATATTATAAAATCAAGAATCTAAAAGTATACCGTCACCTTCTGTTAGATCCATCTCCCATCCCACACGTATCTTTTCTCTACTAGTAAAACCCAAGGAGGGTATAGATCCAGACATCCACAAGTTTTTTTCATTATATTGCTATTATTCATTAATTACTAACAGTCTTTTCAAAAAAAATTTTTAAGTTCAACTTGTATGGCCTTCCAAGGTAAAGAGTTTAAAAGATTTACTAAATGCTCTGATATCAACTTGATGAACACTACTTCTTTCAAGCTAAAAGTAGGCCTTAGTATTCTGGTATTCAGTGATGAAAAAGAAGATTTAAATTGACTAGTTGGCATTCATTATTAAGTATGGTAAACCGAAGTCATATCCTTGTCAACCTTCTTTTTTTTTTTTTCATGATGAAATTATCTTTTGTCACCCTGTTTTAAAGCTTGATCTCCTAGGAAGATTCTCTGGACTTTCTCCAGTTCTAATAGGATTTTATTTGTGTGTTTGTTTTTTGTCCAGATGTACAACCCAAAATACGTGCAATCTTCTAGGTCTGGAAAAATCGCAGTTATCATGCCCAGTGGTAATATTGTACTAATTAATCTCTAGACAACTTCCTGAAGAGGCCCCACATTCTATTGCCCTTGTGCATTGCAGAACAGCTGGCTTATGAAATAGTATTTGACAACATCAGTATCCCATCTCTAAGGGATTTGATGGAGCATTACAATGAGTTTTCCCATCCACATCTCTCTACATGGTTTTCCTACAGTATTCTTCTACTTGGAATTAGCCTAGCCAGGACATCTCACAATTATTTGCAAATGTGTTTCTAAAACTCACCAACCAAGCACTGATAAAGTAGCATCTAAACACTGGAGAAGAATGTTTACTGCAGCTTAGAGACTTTAAGTAGCTAACTCAGCCTTTTTTATTATTAACTCACTCTATCTTTTGGGGCAAAACATTTAGTCTTACTTCACAAGTCTCCTTTTTGGTATGAAGTATATGAAGAACAAGAATTCATTAAGTTCTCAGAAATAAGGATTTCTAGTAAACTAGAGTATATACAGGACAGAAACATGAGGAAAATTATTTCTCAAACTACCAGCTATCTATATCTTATCTCACTCCCTGAACATTGAACTTATGTAGCTAGAGGTGAACCCATTCACATCTCTGATTCCTCAGTTCCAAGGGTGCAATCAAAGCAAATCATTGGAGAACTTCTGAAAACAATTATTGTTTCTGATATTTTCTTTAAAAGGATTTATGTTGAGATCCTTTTTGGTTGACATTTCTCTTATTTCTATAATTTCATCAGTGGAAAAATAGTCATGTTTGGGACACATCATATTTTTAAGAACTCTAGGAAAAATAAAATTAAAATATAAAATACAGACTTATGTAGTTCTTAATAGTCACTCTTTGTCTCTTTTTATTTATTTGGTTTCATAAGTATATGTACTCCTTAAGCTTGTCCATAACCTAAAGCCTTTAGACTTAGGTTTGATGTCAAAGATTAAATGTCCTTAGCAGTCAACTAAATTATTCTTGATAATTTAAGATAATAGATGAGGCTGAGAAATTTGAGATGGTTAGTCATATGAACAAATGTATTGGAGGGCAGCCTTATGAAACAGTCACTTATTCTCTCAAAAAAAAACACACACACATACACACACACACACACACACACATTGGGTAAGCAGAACAACAGAAGTTATTAATTCTATTTAGTTTATTATCTGTTAGTATTCTTACACCGAGAAAAAAATTCAGTAAAAAGTCTCATTTACTTTTGTTGTAATTATTGGAGGCAATAGCAACTAGTAATAATGAAATCTTGCATGTTTGTCTATGCTTTTAATGTGTAAGCACCCTCACCTTTGTGGTGGACAGGGCAGGTAAAATTATACCCATTTTTCAAAAGGAAACTGTGGCCATGGGAGATAAAAGTCGTCTTCACAGATTCCTCTGGGAAGACCCCAGATCTTCTGTGAGAATCAAATATATTAACTAGGATGTGAGGGCGATCTGGCTGTGACATCTGTCACCCCATTGATCGCCAGGGTTGATTCAGCTGATCTGGCTGGCTAGGCAGGTGTCCCCTTCCTCCCTCACCACTCCATGTGCATCCCTCCCAAAGCTGCACGCTCTGTCGCTCAGTCGCAGAAGACGACCATCCCCGATAGAGGAAGACCAATCTTCTGTCAAGGGTATACGAGTAGCTGCAGTCCCCTGCTAGAACCTCCAAATGAGCTCTCAAATATATTAACTGGTTTTCCTGAAGACACAATTCTGGAACAAAATGTAACTCGAGTACAGAATTTTATACAAGACTAACATTAAACTCCATAAGACAAGTAAAGTAAATTTACCTTTAACCAAGAGTTTTTCCTCATTTTCAGCCTCCCCATCCACATGTCTGTCAGTAGCATCTGGGTACAAGTATGTGAAACAAAGGGTCGTAATCCTCCCGACACGGCCAGTTTAAGGCAGGTCGAATTGCTCCAGTTCCTGAGTTCATACGTCAACAGCGTCATGGCCATGCGCTCATTCTGCTTGAATGCCTTCTCCAACAAGTCCAGAGCCAGCTGGCCAAACTGTCTGCCATGAGGGTGGCCAATTAAGAAAACAAAGGCAGGTGAGAGAGCTGCATTATTAGAAACATTTTAGAACATTTAGAAACATTGTAAAAGATTGGATGTGAGGCTCAGAAAATATCAATTCATAAGGCTTCCTTTAAAAAAAAAAAAAAAGCCAACAACACCAAACAGCAACTTAATAATCTTAGTTTCCAGAAACTATTTGAAAGGAATTACAGCTCAGGAAAGGGATTTTTCTCCCTTTCCTGAAGGAACAGAACTAGGAGGTTTACATTGTAGCATACAGAATTTAATTTACACCTGAGCTATTCATAGGGAGTAGCCACTCCACACTATTGGACATAGCTTGGTTTGGGACTTATACATAGGCTTATACATAGCTTGGTTTGTTTGGGACTCCCTGATAAGACCTAATAAAGTGTGTTTTTTTTTTTTTTTTTGACAAAAAAAACTATTCAGAACCCAACTAGCAAGTAAGGAAAGCTGTGGAGTCACTTGTTTTTTTAAGATTTTATAAAATATCTACATGACTTAAGAAAGCTATAGACCTAGACCTAGAGACACCCCCATGTGATTTTCGAGGAGAATGTTTCCTCTGAAAGGTAGACATTGTCATGCTCTGGAATTTGTCTTTTTGGTAGAGACAGGGTCTTGCTGTGTTGCCCAGGCTGGTCTTGAACTCCTAGCCTCAATCAATCCTCCCACCTTGGTGTCCCAAAGTGCTGAGATTAAAGGTGTGAGCCACTGCACCAAGCCTGGGAATTTTTTTTTTTTTTTTTTTTTTTTTTTTTTTTATTGACGGAGTCTCACTCTGTCGCCAGGCTGGAGTGCAGTGGCACGATCTCAGTTCACTGCAACCTCTGCCTCCAGCCTGGGAATTTTTACATCAAAATTATAAATTAGTTTCCATTGATTCTAGCTTTCATTCTTTCTTCATTACTATAACACTTTAGTAACTTCAAAACCAAAAGCATTTTTAACTTCTATTTTCCACCATTACTCTCTGGCTCTTTAAGACAATGCATTTATTTGTTTTCCCACCTGAGAGATACTTAATGAAAACAATGTCTTAATTTAATTTAGCATCAAAGACTTCTAGAGTTAGGGGGAGCTTTCAAAATCATTAATTGAACATTTCATAGTTAGGAAACTAAAGCCCCGAAATCTGGTCAACTGACTTGTCTAATTAGTCAACAGCTGGACTAGAACCCAAGTCCCCTGACTTGAAGGTCACCTCTCTTTTCTTTACTTCACAAAGCTCCTTAGAATACCTGAAGACCCTTTTAACAGGAGAGTCCATAAAATGCATGGCGGTAAGTCCATTTGTCCTACAAGTTTAAAGATGAGAGAGATAAAAGTGTCTAACCATTCTAAGAAGTGTTGATGTTTAGTATGAAGTGAAGAGAGAACACTTACTTTGAGTAATTCTTCAACTCTTCTGAGGCATCATCCACCATGTGACTCTCCTTAGCTTCATGGGCCATTGCCCGGTAGAGGATACACGCAATCACGGCTTTAACCGTGGCCTCCTCTCCATGCTGCCAGAAGAACATAGCCATCTTCTGCCTTTTCATCAGCACAGCCCAAACCAGCAGGTCATTGTAAGGGTAAAGAAAGCCAGTAGACTCAGGGTCATCTGATACATTTTGTTCTTTTGACTTCTTCCTTGATTTATGAAGGACTATAGACTTTTCCTGTTGGAAAATAAAATAGGAATGAGTTTTCAAATACTCAGATGTATGATGTTTTACCTAATTCAACACAGCAGGTGTCCTAGAGATTTTTTTTAATCACTACTAAAAAAGAGATGGAAATAATAATAAGATTTTACAAGCCAGCAAGCAAAATTTAGACCATAAAAGGTAATCTACTTCTTGTTGCATTTAACAGATCCAGAGTCCCTGAACTGATATATCTTAAGGTCATTTAGCATAACTTAAAGCAGTGCCTCTTTAGGATATACCCAGAGTGCTTAATTGAATTTGAAAGATGGGTGGGTAGGGGGAGACATAACAATGCCTGAGAAATGGTTCCATCTTCCTCAAAGTAATAACCACAGAGCAGTACGATGAGTGCTGAAATAGAGACTACATGACAACTTTTAGTTTCTCAAGGAAATGGGTCGAAATAGCGTATTGGATACATGGGAGTGATGTATTTTTAAAAAGCTCTAACCTCACTTAGCAAATAGATTCATTATCTTCCCTTTGGGAAAACATCCCTAGTGTAGCCAACATGTATCCAAATAGATTGATTTGAAGTTTCTTTTCCTTTATTCTGATTATATTTATCAGCAAAGGTAACAGGTGATCATGAAATACCATTCTCCACCTGATAAATCCCCATTCATCATGCCATTCTACCTCCTCACATAATCCTGTATCATCACTTTGTGTGTCTTTATCTCTGGGCTCATCATACTGCACTACGGTTATGACTTTGAGGAAGATGAGACCATTTCTCGGACACAATTATATCCTCCCCTCCCCACCCACCTTCCAAGTTCAACCAAGCACTCAGTATAATGCCTGGCAAATACTAAAGATTCAATAATTACTCCTTTTAATTTGAGAGGTCTTAGCAAAAAATTATAATCCATTTCCTCTATTTCTATAAATAAAAGGAATTCATGTTCATTGATGATGACCAAGAGTAATTTTATAAAATACCTCTTTCATACCAGGAGCTATGGAAAGCAAACCTCTTTCAGCTAACATAATAACCATTTGCATGGAAATTCTTGAGCAAAAGCATTTATTCTCAGAGTAAAGTGGGACTGGAGGAGTATGAGACTAGGAGGAATAACAATGTTGTACACACACACACACACACACACTCATCATCATTGTCATACTGTAATATTAGATTCATAATAATTTCAAGAAAGCCTCAAAAAGGAAAAAATTTTTAAAAAAAGATGCAAAAAGTCAATGCGGCAGAGAAGTGAAGAAAAGAAGGAAACAGACTTCACATCCAACTGGCCTTAGGGAACAGCACATAAGAGTATGGTGTTGGGTTAATGATCACATTTTTTAAGTACCATCCCATAGATCACCTGACTGAGTCACTGTCTAGACACAGCAGGGATAGCAGCAAGGAAGAGAGGCTAAAGTGCAAGTCCAGAGAATCACTGTGCCTTTGCTCACTGTTGTTACTGGACAGCTGTGTTATGCTTTTGACTTGCACCATCTGTTTATGGCACTTATAAATGGTCCCTCTATTTGCACCTCCCTTTCTTTGATGTAAATGAAGAAACAGTCTCGAGCTGCAAAAAACATTTTCCTTTCAAGTTGAAAAACAAGTAAATGGTACCTTGAATTTGTATGGCTGTGCAGTTCTAATGAACTGGGAGTGCAGCGTACTTTCTGCAGACTCATTTCTATTTCCTGAGGAGTGTCTCTGGTGCTGGGAAAGGTTTTGAACAAAGCTGGTCACTCTCTGGCACGTTATTATTTTATTTTTAAAATAAAACAAAAGGAGGGGAGATTATAGTGGTAACAATATTTTATTTCTAGACAATAATGAAAACCAAATATAATGTTGTGTCCTACCAAATATCCATGCCTCTGTTTCTCTCCATGATTAGCACCCAACAAGAGCCTCTAATGATCTCATTGTGCATTTTGTTATTTCCTAACATCTTAGAGAACACACTCTTTTGTTCCCTATTATATATCTGCATACCTTCACTACGTGGAAATTCCATTAGAATGAATGGATGTTCTCTCCCTGGAACGAGTTCAAAATAGGCAATAAAGATTTACAGTTCTGATAAGAAAAAATTCCCATTCACAAGCAGTTCCAAGGTTAAGGTTAAGTCAGAAAGTTATGGAATTTCTCAGGTATTATATAATATCTCCACTGGAACTCCAGTGGCCAGGCCCAATAACAACACAACTCATTGCCATTAGCAGGAAGTTTTCATCAACAAGATACAAAAACAAAAAGAAGCATTCTTAAAGGGACTAACATAAAATATGATAAAAACCATAAGCTTGCCTGATCTCTATTTCTACAGAGATCCTGAAGAGATTGAAAAAGAAGAGCAGGCTGCTGCTGCAAACGCGGTGACCAAGGAGGAATTTCAGGGTGAATGGACTGCTTCAGCTCCTGAGTTCACTGCTACTCAGCCTGAGGTTACAAACTGGTCTGAAGGCATGAAGGTGTCCTCTGTGACTATTCAGCAGTTCCCTACTGAAGACTGGAGCTCTCAGCCTGCCATGGAAGACCGGTCTGCAGCTCCCACTGCTCAGGCCACTGAATGGGTAGAAGCAACCACTGAATGGTCTTAAGCTGCCCTTGCACGGGCTCGTAAGCAACATGGAAATAAGCTTAATGTAAAATAAACATCAGTTTCTAAAAAAAGAAAAGTCCGAAGCACAAAAAATCCCAAAATATGCACATAGCAAATGAATGATTATAAATATTTATGGAAAATAAAGTTTAAAGAGGGAGAACTTTTTAATAGAAAAATAATAAAAATTTTGTTTGAAATGTCATCTTAAACAATTAAAGACTAATTAAAATTAGTTTAATTTTACATTAGCTGTAACAAAGGTTAAATGATCATTGCAACTGAGCACAACTCCTTCAAATGAGCAAAGACTGAATCAAGTAATTTTTCTAACATAATTGGATAAAATCTCCAATCCTAATTTGTGGTTAACTTTAGAGGCAAAACCATAAACAGGATGCTTTTGGCATGAATGTTTCCATTTTTCCTAAGGCCTCTGTTAGTTTTTGATACTTAAGTCATTCTCCTAGGAAGAAATACAGATTCATTTTCACCTTGCTATTGATTTGGAAGATCATCCGCAAACCTATGCTCTGTAATGCAATTTCTTAAAAAGGAATGTCTTCACTTGTTGAGGGAGAACGTTTACCACTAGATAATCTGCCCACACTAAGAGCCCACAGGTTCAGTAAAGAGTGGCTCTGGCCGCTAATCCCAGAAATTACTCCCTCATTACTGAGGAAACTTATAAAGAAAATAGAAACAATTTTCAGACAATGCTACTCCAGAACCAAATGAGGAGGCCATAGAACTGAGATGTTGCTTAAGTAACATGTCTCAGAATGTGACAAATACGTGCTATCTGTGAATGTGAATTTTTCACATTTTCACCTGGACGAAAATTTGAAAGTTGAAGTTTAAGATCATTGGTGTCCTTAAAGCAAACTATACCTGGGTGACTGTGGCAGGGATGCCCAGGAGCCCCAGGCAGGCATTAGGGTGGTATAATGACTTGGGGATGAGGAGGAGGTGAGGAGAGCCCTAGTTGGTTTTTCTTAAGTATCGAAAAGACGACTGGAAAAAAAAAAGTGCCTGCCTATTTTGAGGTTGGAAGTCTTAATACAGAAAACACAAAGAGTCAAATGCAAGCAAGCAGTAGTTAGACCAGTTCAGAAAAGCTGGAACTGCTTAAATTGAAACCCTCACAGCTGAATCAGAAAGCATTGTGAATGTTGATTGGATATTTCATTATATTAAGGAATTATTCATTGATTATATTAAGGAATTATTCATTTTTTATGTATGATAATGGCATCATAATTACATTTTCCTAAGTACATTTCATTTAGAGATATTCACAAGAATTTATGAATGAAATGATATGATGTAAGATTTGATCTTAAATAATCTGGGGGCAGGAGGTTGGCCATTGTTGCTATTATTGAAACTGAGTGATAGGTACATGTGGATTCATTATACTATTCTCTATTTTTGTATGTTTAAAATTTTCCATTAAAAAATACAACTGAGAAAAAAAAACCATAGGCTTTTTAAAAATTTATTGTATTTATTTATTTATTTATTTATTTATTTAGAGACTGGATCTCACCGTGTTGCCCAGGCTGGTCTCGAATTCCTGGGCTCAAGCAATCCTCCTGCCTTGGCCTCCCAAAGTCTTGGGATTACAGGCGTGAGCCACCATGCCCAGCCCAAACTACAGGCTTTGAACTGCTTTATTTAAGTTTCTGTTTTGTTGATAAAAATTGAACATAGAAATGATGAGGTGAAGACTTTTTAAAGGCAACACCCAAATTATTATTACTATTGTAATATGAATTAATAGTGTCATTATAGTAATTATCATAATGACCATTATTACTAACGATGACTCTGCACCCTCTGTGTATCAGGAACATGGATTTTTCATATATTATTTAATCCTTCTGACAAATTTATAAAAGGGTCATTACTATTCCCATTTATAGATGAGAAAACATGCACAGAGAAGTTAAGCTTATTGTTCAAGATTACACAGCTACTAAAGAGCAAAATTGGAGGCAGTCCTAGCCAGATGTCTCTTGACTCCAAAATCATGTGCTTGTAACTACTACAGTCTAGTTTAATATGACACACAATAAACTCTGCACTCCACTGGAAGACAATCCAAGAAATGGGTGACTTCGTACTGGCAGGCCATTTAAAGAAAGGGCACTAAGGGAACTTCCCTAGCAAGCTCCACACTGGGCTGCACCAGCGCCACAGTCAGTCCTCCTACTTGTCACTGGGAACCTCACAGCAATGTCTGTTCTGTTTAAATGAAGTAGCTGATACCTCCTTAAGTGTATCCTTATGCCTTTGAAATCTTAATAGAGAACATTTTTCTGTGTCAGATTTGGCTTTCCTGTTTTGCTTTTTCATTTCTGAAAGCCAAGCTGGGCTTTCACGTCACTTGATTCTTTATAAAGGATCCCAAGTAGCTTGATATTCTAGGCTGTTTATGGAATCTTACCCCAAACTGCCTTTCCAGTCTCCTCCCTTAAAACCATATGACACTGATTCTCCAGCAACAAAGGTCTCCTTGTCACAGCAGAAACATACCTGAATATCCAAAGGCTGTGCCCTTTACTGCTCCTTCTCTTCTCTCAACAAAAATACCCAAAACTACATTTTCTAATCCTCCCCTCATCTTCTAATAAGAATGAGTCTCCTCAGGTTGCTAATCCATAATGGCAATTTCAAGAAATAGGCAATGTTTCCTCTGCTAACTACTAACCAACAACTCTAATTTTACATTCCTAGATTCTCAAAACTATCATGGAAAATAAAATATGTATCACTTATGTTTTTAAGGATATTCTACACGCATCTTTCAATATAATCACTACATGCTTATACCAAGTTTGTTATCTCCAGACTATGGACTAGGATGAGTTTACATATCTAATCTGATTAAGCTTTTGATATCAGTATTTTCGGAAGAAAAAAAGAAAAGAAAAAAAAAGAACTAGTCATCTCTCCCTCTAACCTGCCTCATCACATTATTTCTATGTCACTATAGCATGTATTATATACTGTTTTGTATTATGGCTAGTTACTCATAAATCTGTTTAAGAGTTTCTAAACTTCTGATCCTTACGCATCCCAAGCCAACACTGCAACACTTAGTACAGTATACTTCACATACAGCAGATAACAAATGTCCATAAATAAAATGACCATTTTAGGAGCTATTTTTGTCTGAACTTCCAAGGCCATTTTTCCAAAACAACAATTCCTAATCATTCTCAATTTTACTTGGGCACTTTTCAATTACTCTACCTTGTATTTTCTGTAGAGGTTGTTGTAGAGGGCTCTGAAATGTTTTCTAGTGTAGTTGCTGCGATATGCTCTACCAATGAGGTATTCTACTACTAATCCAATGTCAATCAAGGTTATTCGGTAGCCTGAAAGAAGGGTATGCTGCAACAAAAACATGCAACGACTTTTAACTTTTAGTTATCTTCTTTCATTTCTCTTGCCATGCCATTAGAACATAATCAAATTAATTGCAAGAAGGTAGACATACCTTTTAAATATCTTTACAAACTGATTAATTTAAGTGACCAGCCATTGATACAATCTGCTAGTTCAGAAGGAAAAATATCTTAGCCTTAATGTTTTCTCATTTCATAGACATTAAATGTGTGCTTCCATCTATGCGTGCTCTCTCTCTCTTACTCTTGCTCTCACTCTCCTTATCATGCACACAAACATATATACACACACGTTTGAGTAAAATACATTTAAATATTTTTTATTCCATATTGAGTTCCTAATTGGAAGAGAAAAATATTAAACAAGTAGAAAAACAAATAAATATGTATATAGAGAGTTTTTTAACTAGAAATAATATAGCTACTCCAACAGAAGTAAAATCTTAAAGTCTACACTGAATGTGTGTGATCCAAAATTAACATTGGGTTAGCTTTTCAGCTTCTCTCTTTGTTGAAATGGATATAACACTTTGCACTGCGTTGACTACATCATATGTAAAACAAGAATATGGGAGGAAGTAGAACAAATGAAAACAAGGAATATAGAATGACAAAGTCAAATTCAATACCAAAACATGAGGCTTATGCAGCCACGTTCTTCCTTGAATTGAACTTAATCCAGTATAGACAGTATAGTGTTTTCTATATTTCAGGGCATATTTGGGGGTCTTTGTGTCTATAATCCACTTTGCCTATGGTCCAAAATCCCACAGGATATATTACAAGGGTATTGAAGTTGTCAGCTTGCATGTCTGTCTTCCTTTACAGACTATGTGAAAGGGTCTGTCTTTGTCTACCCAGAGTTTAGCATATGCACTTGGCCAAGCTGAGTAACTATCTGAAACTCCATACAGGCATACCTTAGAGATATTGCGGGTTCAGTTCGAGACCACCACAATAAAGAGAATATTGCAATAAAGCAAAACAAACAAACAAAACCATGAGGCTGTGCCAAGACAAGTGTTATGATTGGTTGGCAGGAGGGCTGAGTGGTAGATTTCCAAGTATGTGGGTCTTAGTCTAAATGAAAATTATTTTGACTACTTAAATTGCACCTTACTACCTCTTCATAACTGTTCACTTTTAAACTGCCCATTTATAGTAAATTTTTAAAGGCACACAGAGTGTTGAACAAGGTCTCCGAAATGAAGATTGTGACTAATATTCACAAAGCTTGGAACAAGAAATAAGGTTATATATGAATGAATGTAAATAATTTAATTTTTCTTTTTCACATGCATAATTTACTTTTTTCAAGGAATGCCAAAAGTAATGCTCTTATTGCTGCTAGTTAGAACATATTTAACCTAGTTCATCACTTTTTTTCAGTTTACTGTGGCACAGTTTAAAAAAAATAAATAAAATCATTTTTATATTGCATAAATCAATACAAACTAAATTTACATGAGCACGGACACTTTTGCTTACTGCTAATTTGCCAAGGAATAGGTGGAGCACGATGGACCATGCCTGTAATCCCAGCACTTTGGGAGACCAAGGCGGGTGGATCACCTGCGGTCAGGAGTTCGAGACCAGCCTGGCCAACATGGTGAAACCCCACGTCTACCAAAAATACAGAAAAGTTGCCGGGTGTGGTGGCAGGCATCTGTAGTCCCAGCTATTCAGGAGGCTGAGGCAGGAGAATCACTTGAACCAAGAGGCGGAGGTTGCAGTGAGCCAAGATCCCATCATTGCACTCCAGCCTGGGCAAGAGCAAAACTCCATCTCAAAAAAAAAAAAAAAAAAAAAAAAAACAAGGATATGTCTTCCTTTCACTCTGGCTCTCTCTCCACGTCAACATAAACTGAAAGCTCACATTCCTTCTAACAAGATATCAGACTTTGGAAAAACAAGAGAATTTTAAAAATGTGCCTTGGATTTTAACCATAGTGACAAATAAATAAAAAGTACTCCCAATTTTCAGGGGATGTGGATAAAAGTCACTGGTAATGGAAAGAAAAGAAACTGAGGTATAAAAGTTTGTTAAAGTTGGAAGGCTTTGGTAACTAATGGGAAATCAAATACTTTAAGTTTGACCTAACTCACAGTTCAGTGAGAACACCATGAGCAAAACATGACCAAGAGTATAGAACAGGGAGGGGAACCACCTGACTGCCTAGAACAATGCAGACTCACAAAAGCAGCAAGAGAGTGCCAGAACTATCACTGATATCAAAAACAATGGAAATCACATATTAGTCCTCCAATAAGGATAACACAACCACAAAGTTATTTATTTCCAGCTGGTATCATCATCATAGGCACCACCACGGTATCGGGGTAAGCTGAAGTTCTGATTAGAAGCATTGCATGTCTCTGATTCATGGCTTTTTATTAGCAAATATCACCTAACTGATGGATCAAGTCTTTTAAAACATAAAGTAAATTAAGGAAAAAAGTGTACGAATGTGGTTTGTTGATGAACTTGTTCAAATCAAGGTAAAGAAGATAGGTAATTAACAAAACAATCCAAATCTGCATTTTACAAAGCAAAATTCAGTGACTCCTCCAACACAAAGCTAAGGCAATACACAAAGACATGTTCACGCCTTCTTAATTAGGTTACCTGTTTCACATCTTGGACGAGATGATGCAAGAGTGTATTAGTAGGTCCTTGTTTCTGAAATAAAGAACAAAAGGAAGAATTATTCTCTTTAATTACCATGTGCTGGGGGGTAAAACCTTTACTTCAGAATGCATAAGTAACTGAGAATACTGAAAATTGTGTTCAATATTTTTAGTAACAATGCTTAAGCCAATTAATTCTAAAGAAGGTGTTTTCCAAGAGAAGATGTATTTATATGAAATATTTTTCAAAGCAAGATGCAAATATGTAGATAATAAAGACTTTATGTGATAAGAGATAGAAATGAATCTTAGGTAATTTATTACTATCCTTTATCATACAATTACAAATCCTATCACACGAGCACATTCCAGCAACAAATATTTATTGAATACTTACTATATTCAATTAGGGATTCAATGACAAATATAAGCACTATTTTCCTGGAGTGTTTATAATAATAGAAAAGAGTGGCTACTTACACTAAAAAATAACCAACAATATGTGTGGGCTCAAAAAGAGTTACAAATAATTGGTACTCTAGGAACAAATCACTGTGAACTAACTGCAGTAATCAAGAAGACAAGACTTGAATAAATCATTGAAGAAAGAATAAGATTTAAAGGACAAGGAAGGCTATTTCAAGAAGTGTCCATGGCTTGAGCAATTGGTGTTTTCACAGTGTGTAAGTCAGGCTAGTTTCAACAAAGGGTTTACATGGGAAAGGTACAGGAACAGTATTTTAATAGTGGCCTTAGGTTGAGATACTTCCAATAACTCAATAAAAGGTAATTTGTTCTTATTCACAATTTAGTCTTTAACTATGTTTTACTAGGATAAAATAGAATTGGTAAGAATGTTTCTCCTTTGGTTGAAGAGTCTATCTATAAACTATCTTTGTACAAGAATATTCAAGGAGATAAATAAGTCTTAAGCTGATCAATAAATAATTACCAGGCAAGGTGTCAGACCCCTGGCAATGGAAAGTGACTGGCTTGCAGGTAGTAAGAATAATTTACTGACAACAGTATAGATTTTGAAAAAGGAACGTTTTATTAGAAGGAAAGAATGCTGGAGAAGAGTGCAGAAGGGAGCTTCAGCAAGAGAGAACTGAGCTCACAGCAGTGGATTTTCCTCAGGAGTATTTATGGACCTTAAAGTGGGAGCTTAAGGGTAATTTGAACCATGTTAGCCATGTAGGTCATGATAAATGATTGCATTTGTAGCCATTTTGGTGCCTTCATGTCAGGAAGGGTTGCACAATGAGTTTTAACATGTATGCATTTTGAAGATGTACAGAAATTCTAGTTACTTATAAATGTTGGGGAAAGAAGCCTGGAACTAGATCCAGCTTCAGATAATAGGGAAGTCCAGCTACTTCTAATTTCCTCAGATAAGGAGTTTTGCCTCTGCATGGTCTGCTTGATGATCCTTGCTCTTCTTGAATCTGGAGGGAAATGATTGATGAAATGTTCCATACTCACTGTATTGTAGAGCTCTTCCAGTCGAGGGATGGTAAGAAAGCGATGGAGGTTCACTCCATATTCTATTAAGAGCTTCACAAAATCCACCCGATCCATCACTAAAGCATCTGACATTGCTTGTTCCAGGGCATCAGGCTTCAGAAAGCACAAATAAGAAATATAAAGACAATTAAGAAAGTAGAAATAACTAAAGAATTACATGTTTTTGAACTCAAAATTACACAAACACAATAATTTTAAAATAAAATCCTGCCAT
Source organism: Homo sapiens (assembly GCF_000001405.40). Classification (NCBI taxonomy): domain Eukaryota; kingdom Metazoa; phylum Chordata; class Mammalia; order Primates; family Hominidae; genus Homo; species Homo sapiens. The sequence goes on from NC_000009.12 coordinate 74,812,555, forward strand.
CAGTGGGTACAGAAAAAAAAAAAAAAGGAAAAAATTTAAATACAGTCTTACTAGGCCAGGCTCAGTGGCGCACACCTGTAATCCTAGCACCCTTGGAGGCTGAGGCAGGTGGATTGCTTGAGTTTAGGTGTTCCAAACCAGCCTTGGCAACACAGCAAAACCCTGTCTCTACGAAAAATACAAAAATTAGCCAGGCATAGTGGCATGCACCTGTGGTCCCAGCTAATTGGGAGGCTGAGGTGGGAGGACCAATTGAGCCCAAGGGGTCAAGGCTGCAGTAAGCCATGAATGCATCACTACACTCCAGCCTGGGCAACAGGGCAAGACCCTGTCTTGAATGAATGAATGAATGAATAAATAGTCTTACTAAGAAATGTGCAGGACTTAAGTGAAGACATCTTGAATAAATCAAAGAACATCCCATGTACTTGGATGGGAAAACTGATTATTGTAAAGATCTCGAAGCTTCCCAAATGAATGAATGTACAGGCTTAATGCAATTCTGATAGACATTCAAGGTTTCTTCTTCTTCTTTTGTTTTTGTTACTTGTCATGTGTCCATTTAGACTCTACCTGGCTTCTAGGCACAAATGGCAAGTTGAACATGCTCATCTAATTTTTCTCCCACTCAAAACTTCATTAAAACTACAGTAAAGGGATTTTTGTTACAAAATAAATCTACAAGGACAAGGAGGACAAGAGTGGAGACAAGAATGCAACATTTTGGAAGCTGGAAAGCAGATGGTCAAGTCATAATTGACTGAGCAGTCACCAGAAAGCCAAATAGTAGAAGTGGAAAATGTCAAGAGACAAACAGATTTATACTACAGAATTCCAACAAAAACAAAATACATGTATACATGCTGAATCCCTAATGTTGGGGTCTTTCCAGTCATCTTTCCCCTTTGAGTCCCATAACACTAGCAACAAGGCTTACACCTTCCAGTCAGGGAACTAGAGGATTCTTTTCTGATAATGTCACCAATACAAGAGAAAAGACATGAATATGTTGGTATCTGGGGGCCCCTGAACTAATGGCAGTCAGATCACCCTACTGTGAAACTCAAACCTATAGGCAACCTCCAACTACAGGCTCGGAATTTCCAAAGAGTTTTTTATCCGCTACACTTAAACAAAAAGACCAAAACAAACAGATCAAAAAACATCAACTAGCAGGAAGCAGACAATCCAAGAAGAAGAAAACTTCAAAAGAGCTCTCATTCATATCCTCAAAAAGGTAAAAGAAGATATCGTATTCTGGGCCGGGCACAGGGGCTCACGCCTATAATCCCAGCACTTTGGGAGGCTGAGGCAGGCATATCACCTGTGGTCAGGAGTTCGAAACCAGCCTGGCCAACATGGTGAAACTCCATCTCTACTAAAAATACAAAAATTAGCCAGGTGTGGTGGCAGGAACCTGTAATCCCAGCTACTCGGGAAGCTGAGGCAGGAGAATTGCTTGAATCTGAGAGGTGGACATTGCAATAAGCCAAGATTGTACCACTGCACTCCAGCCTGGGCCACAGAGTGAGACTCCATCTCAAAGAAAAAGAAAATATTGGATTCTGGATGCTAATGAAAAACATAGGGGAGGGTGCAATCAGGGAGCAAGTTTGCTGTCACAAATTAATAGACTGCCAGGCATAGAAAGACAAATTTACATGTGCTCAATAATTCGTAGGAGCTGAAAATGAAAACAATTGAATCCATGGAGATGGAGAGCAGAAGGATGGTTACCAGAAGCTGGGAAGAGTACTGAGGGGGATAAGGGGGATAATTAATAGGTACCAAAAAATAGTTAGAAAGAATGAATAAGATCTAGTATTTGATAGCACAACAGAATGACTATAGTCAATAATAATTTAATTGTACATTTTAAAATAATTAAGTATTATAATTGGATTGTTTGTAACAAAGGACAAATGCTTGAGGGGATGGATACCTCATTTACTTTGATGTGATTATTACACATTGTATGCCTGTATCAAAATATCCCAGACACCCCATAAATATATACACCCACTGTGAGCACACAAAAATTAAAAACTAAAAAAAGAAGAAATTAATAGATTCATAGTATGCTACCAGAAAAGAAAAGCTTCATAGAAGGCTTGAAAATTAAAGTTGAGGCTCAGCCTATAATCCCAGCACTTTGGGAGGCTGAGGCAGGTGGATTGCTTGAGCCTAGGAGTTCGACCAGCCTAGCCAACATGGCAAACCCCTGTCTCTACTAAAAATACAAAAATTAGCCTGGTGTAGTGGCACACACCTGTGGTCCCAGCTACTCAGGAGGCTGAGGTGGGAGGATTGCTTGGTGTGGGAGGTGGAGGTTGAAGTGAGCCGAGATCATGCAACTGCACTCCAGTATAGGTGACAGAGTGAGACCCTATCTCAAAAATAAATAAATTAGTTAATTGATTATTAAAATTAAAATAAAAAAATAAAGTCCAGCAAAGCTACCAAAGGAAAGATAGGGAACATGGGAGGAAAGAGATAAGAATATTAGAGGAGCAGTCCATAAGGTCCAATATTCAAATAATAGGAATTACAAAAGAGAACAAAGGTTGGGGGTGTTACGGAAGAGAAGGGAATGGAATGCAATGAAAACATATGATTGCCAAGTTGAAATCATGTGCCCAACAAAATGGATACAGAGACTCACAACAACACACAGCATAACACTGGAAAAGAAAGATTTTTTTAACTTCCAGATAGGAAAAAAAAATGGTGACAAAGAATCTGAAAACAAAAAAGAAGTGTTTACTTCTCAATAGAAATTCTGGGTGCTGGAAACTAGGCATTCAAATTTCTGTAGGAAAAAATAGTTTAAATCATGAATTAAAATACACCCAAACATGTAAGTCCTCAAAATATGTATCTCTCATACTCCCTTTCTCAGGAACTTATTGACACATGTATACCATCAAAATGAATGAGTAAACAAAGAGGAAGACAAGGACATAGAAGACATGCCCTCTAACATGGGAAAGAGGCAAGGGAATCCCCAAGATGATGAGGGTGCATCCCGGGATGACAGCTGTGCACCAGGAGGAGAAGGAAACTGGTCCACATTGCAGCCGTGAGGCCCACAAGACAGAAGTGTTGAAAAATTTCTGAAACTAAATGAACCAAAATATAGCAATATGACATTATTTAGAAATATGGAGATTTATAAGTGTTAGAAAAATCAAAAACATCTTAAGTACTAGCTCTTGTGATTAGCAGGGCAGAGAACTACCATCTTTTAAAATTGCCTTTTAATATCATTTGATATTTTAAACAATGTGCATGTATTAGCTTGGCCCAAAAATAATATACCTGTAATACAGCCACAACTATAATCTTTTAAAATGAATGTTAATAGTGATTATCATTAGCATTATGGGTAATCTTTCTTCTTTTTTATGTTTTCACTAATTTCTAATGTGAGCACCTACTACATTTTAAAGCAAAAAGTAAACTTTGAGTTTTAAATAACAAGATAGAAATCTACCCAAAAATAAATTAAAAATTGTACGCCAGGCACAGTGGCTCACGCCTGTAATTCTGGCACTTTGGGAGACCAAGGTAGCAAGATCATTTGAGGCCAGGAGTTCAAGACCAGCCTGGGCAATATAACAAGTCGTTGTCTCAAATAATAAAATAAAATACAATTTCCAAAGAAATTAGTTGGGCATGGTGGCATGCGCCTGTGGTCCCAGCTACTCAGGAGGCTAATGGGGGAGGATTACCTGACCCCAGGAGTTAAAGGTTACAGTGAGCTATGATCATACCATTGCATGACATCCTGGGCAACAGAGTGAGAACTTGTGTCTAAAAATAAAATAACATAAATATATTAAAATAAAAACCTTCCATTCTGTCTTTCACTCAACTTCCCTTTTCAGCTTCAGGTAGATTGCAGAGCCAGGAAAAAAAAAAAAAAAAAAAAAAAACAGATGGTTTTCAGGAAGGCAAAGTCGATGGGAAAAGTGTCTTAGCTATCCCAGCTACAGAGATGCTACCCCACACTTCTACCAAACCAATCAATATCTCCTCTCATTTTCTCTTTTGCCCCTTCCTAACAGACCATCACACAAAATATTTTTTCCGAATAACTTCATTTTCACTATACCTTCCAGTGTTGTTCATAAATTAGGATATGTTTCTTGGCAATGTCCACCCTGTCCCAAGCCATTGCCAGATTTAATTGCTCTGACGCTGATAAATTTGTGCCTAGGGTAAAAGAAAGGAACAATCATATATTCTTTTCAAGATATCTACGCAAGAAGCACAAAGTACTGTGGAACATGAGAAGCGTAAATGAGGAACAATTGCAACCCCATCCAGATACTCACCCTTCAGCAAAGCTGTTAGGATTGCTAAGTCCAGGTCTTGCTGCTCTTCAGAGTCAGCATCAAATATGGTAATCTACAACAGTGAAAAACAGAGAGCCATACATTTGGGGAACTACCAAATAAATGCTTTCAAAGAGTACCCACAGAATTCAGACTGGAGCTAATGAATTGAGGAAAACATTCTTCTTTAAAACCTTTTTTTACTTACAGGAGAGAAAACTTTTAAATAGGGTAACAAAGAATTATGGGCACTTGGGGGGGAAAAAACTAAAAATTCCACATATCCAGAGGAAACATTTATGAAAGAATGTTATTACATGAATTTACTATGTACATGCTACAACAAAAAGAACCTCAATGTTAATTTCTGATGTAAATAAAATCATGTCTCCTTTCAAAGAGACAACGAATGAAATCCTTCATTCACCTAGCCTTGGAAACTAAGACTTTTGCTTTTTTTTCTCTTTTCTTAATTTTTTGTAGAGACAAGGTCTCACTATATTGCCCAAGCTGGTCTTGAATTTCCTGGGCTCAGGCGATCCTCCGGTCTCAGCCTCCCAAAGTGCTGGGATTACAGGCGAGTCACCACGCCCAGCCAGACTTGCTTTTTTACGAGAAATGAATCCTCAAGGGTTTGTCATAAAATAACTGAGGTAATTACAGTGGACCCAATGAGCAAGTACCCTGGGCAACACAGACGGTCTTTGACTCTTTTAAAGACAAGTAAGTTCGTTACTTATGGTTCCAAAGGGTCACCTATGGGCCCTTGAGGCACTTGCTCACCCGTTCCCACCCTGTGGGGTGTGCTTTCATTTTCAATAAATCTCTGCTTTTGTTGCTTCAAAAAAAGGGGGGGGGAGTCACCTGTTATTAATGGCTATATCTCAGTCTTTTTAAATTAAAATACATTTCATATAGTAGAAGGAGCTATTTTAATGAAAAAGCCAAGATTGGCAAGACCTAGTCCCAAGTATGCCACTAACAAGCTAGTCCTAGGTAAATATCTTGAGGCTGCTGCTGAATCTCAGGCTCCTCATCCATAAAATGAGAGGAACCTGTTGAATAATCTCTAAGGTATCATAAAGATAAAAAACTATGCTTCTATAACTTCACACATTGTTTCCTTTCACCTGACACGCCCTCTATGTGCACGAATAAAATCAGTCCTCAATTGTACAACCCAATTCCTATCACCTGCAAGCCCTTTGCTGCCTTCTCTTGACCCTCTTGGTCATTACATTGCTTATTAATTATTCTGCTTGATGGCAAGAAGAGGCAAACATAAGGGCAATCCCTTTACCTGTCCTTTTCTTAACTTACTGATTACTGTGGCAAATAGAAAGTGCAATAGACTAAGAAGATTTCAACTCTTCTGAAACTCACGTTTCAGATCTATCATTTCTTTTTTTTTTTTTTTTTTTTTTTTTTGAGACAGGGTTTTGCTCTTGTTGCCCAGGCTGGAGTGCAATGGTGCGATTTCGGCTCACCGCAACCTCTGCCTCCCGGGTTCAAGCGATTCTCCTGCCTAAGCCTCCCAAGTAGCTGGGATTATAGGCACCCGCCACTATGCCTGGCTAATTTTTGCATTTTTGGTAGAGACAGGGTTTCACCATGTTGGCCAGGCTGGTCTCAAACTCCTGATGTCAGGTGATCCACCCACTTCGGCCTCCCAAAGTGCTGGGATTATAGGCGTGAGCCAACGTGTCCGAGCATATCTGTCATTTCTTAACTGCATGACTGCAAATCCCTTAAATTCTCTAGCCTTCTGCTTCATCATTTCCAAACTGGAAATAACCACTGCCATACTGAACTCACTCACAGGGCTATTTCAAATGAAAAGAATACATTTAGAAGCATGCTGCTAATTAGAAACATGGTTGCTATTATTGTTGTTATTGGGCCAACTAAAACCCCAAAGAGTTTTCCACATAGATTTCGTCATGCTTCCTCTAGCCAGAACACTTCAGTTGGTTTTTTTTTTTGAGGCCAGGTACTCAAATATTACCAAAATTCTTATACAATTTGCTCCAGCCTTCAGATTCTAGAAAGATCACCTTGAATCATGACATATCTGTATATTTACTGTAATTGTCAGCTTCATATCATCTGAGTCATTGATATGAATTGATAATTCAGCCGGGCACAGTGGCTTATGCCTGCAATCCCAGAACTTTGGGAGGCCGAGACAGGCAGATCGCTTGAGGCCAGGAGTTCGAGACCAGCTTGGCCAACATGGTGAAACCCCATCTCTACCAAAAAATACAAAAATTAGCCAGGCATGGTGGCATGCACCTGTAGTCCAAGCTACTCAGGAGGCTGAAGCATGAGAATCACTTGAGCCTAGGAGGTGGAGGTTGCAGCGAGCCAAGATCTCGCCACTGCACTCCAGCCTAGGTGACAGAGTGAGGCCCTGTCTCAAAAAAAAAAAAAAGAATTGATAATTCATATCATCCAAGTCATTTTGTTCATAGGCTGGCCATGGTGGCTCATGCCTATAATCCCAGCACTTTAGGAGACCAAGGCAAGAGGATCACTTGAGCCCAGAAATTCAAGGCTGCAGTGAGCTATGACTGCACCACTGCATTCCAGCCTGGGCAAAAGAGCAAGACCTTGTCTTTACCAAATAAATTAATTAAATAAATTAATCTTTTTATCACAGTACCCTAAAACACTAAAAACTTTTCCTGAGTCTACATTATGGTAATAGCCCATAGTTTGTGGGCTCCATTTTTTATCCCAGAGTTTATTCTCACTTTTCCCATTGTCCAGTACATTCCCAATGATTTCCTGCAGGATTTACTCAGGACGCTGTGAGGCAGTCATGTAACTCAGCACCATGAAGCTGTGTTCATTGAAGACATGGAGCTGTTCCTTTACCCTCTGAAAATACTTCTGTGTAATTTTCACTAAATCTGATAACTTTTCTGGAACATTGTTATACTAAGTGCTTTTTCTGTAGTAGAGTCTAGTATTTGAAGCATGGAGAGTGCGGACAGCAGTGACAGCAAGAAGTCAAGTTTACTCAACGAAGAATCAAATTCTGTAGAGCTAGATACACTCAAAATCAAAATGAAAAATCCACATTTTTTATTTTTTATTATTTTAATTTTAAATAATTTTACTTTATTTTAAGTTCTGGGATACATGTGCAGGATGTGCAGGTTTGTTACACAGGTAAATGTGTGCCATGGTGGTTTGCTGCACCTATCAACCCATCACTTAGGTATTAAGATCTCCATGCATTAGCTATTTATCCTGATTTTCTCCCTCCCCCCTCCACCCTGACAGGCCCCTGTATGTTGTTCCCCTTCCTGTGTCCACCATGTTTTTTTTTAATTGTGAAAATAAATATTACAGTGTTTATAAATTAGCAGTTCTTAAGTCAGTTGAATCATCAACTCGTCATACTCACACAATCCCTGTGAACCATACACTCCATTAGAATTTGGAAAAGGTGCTTGGACTGTTTAAGACTAAAGTTGAAAGTGTTCTGAATCATGCAGATGATCTCCTCTTTCACCTGAGGTCGCAGCATCCTGGAAGAGAAATAAATGGTCTTGACACAACCCAGAGAGGGGAATGAGCCGGCAACATCAGTACAAGAAAACACCCCATCAGCTCCCCAGACTGAAAAGGTGTCTATGGACAGTTCTGCCAGAAGAGCAAATGAGGGGGAGCAAACGGAAGCAGGAGCTCAAGAAGAAAGCTGAATTTGAAAGTGGGAATGGAGCCGGGCATGATGGCTCACACCTGTAATCCCAGCACTTTGGGAGTCCCAGGTGGAGGATCACTTGAGGCCAGGAGTTCGAGGCCAGCCTGGGCAAAATAGCAAGACCCTGCCTCTATTTTTACATTTATAAAAGAAGAAAGAAAGTGAGAATGGGTTGATCTGCCACATCCTGAAAAGAATATACTCTGAAGTGGAGTTCTGAAGCTGGTAGATTTCCAGAGGGCTGGAAATCTCCAGAAATTATAGGTATTATATTCTCTAAAGGATCTGAAACCCTAAAAGGTTTAATAACCACACATCCAGGATGATTTTAGAAAAGGGAGAGGAGTGAAAGCAGAGGGAGATGGTAGAGGGCGGAAGTGGAGGCAGGAGAAATGAACAGGAAGAGCAATCATAAGCAAAGGCACTCCAGAGAGCTGTTACAGTATAAGCAGCAAATAACTGTTTACTAAATAAATTAGTGGGGTCAACATTTTAGTTCTTAGGCACTGTACTTATTTATACAGTAGAAATATCATGCTTTTGAAATTGGAAGAACCACACTGGCTAGAGGGATGGCAAGAGAAAAATTATCTTCTTATTTGAGAAGGGGAAAGAATTAAAGCCTGAAATAAGCACGACATATGCTATGAAAATGTCAGGATGTAGACCTTCCCAATTTCTGCTATTTCCATTAAGGGCAAATGAATTTGAAGGTGCTCTGGGCCCAACACTGGCCACCTCCCTTACAAGGTCCTTACGGCTGTAATGGCCAATTGCTCAAGCCACACCTCCCTCACTCCCCCTGCAAACACCTTTTCCCCAAAGTTCAAGCAAGACTCAAGCTTCCCTTTAAAGGCAGGCCATTCTTCAGCTAAGAAAATAGCAACTCTCATCGCTGAAGGGCATTTTGATGTTGAACAACAAACACAGTCACTGAGAAATGAAATCCAGTCTCAACTTCTATAATCCAAGAATATCTGGCTCACATAAATGCACAGCCAAAAGAACTAAAATGGAGGAATAAACAGCCCCTATAGTTTCAAAAAAGAAGAGCCAACAACTCACCCTTCATCTGCCAGGTGTTTGTGTGTGAAGGCCAGGAGGTCAGCCGCCCTACCTGTGCCCTCACACACCACCACTGGGTCCTTGTCCTTGACAGTCTCCCACACTGACAGGATGACGTTGGGACCGCCTTCCACCACCAGCCCCACGACCGGCACGCCTTGTCTTGAGCCTATTCCAGACCACAAACAATACCACACTGTTAGAGAATCCCTAGCTCAGCCAGTCGGCCGTTTTGACTTCCAGACACAAGTCTCTCAATTACCACCTATGTTCATTCCTCACACTGGCCCCTCTCTCATTTTACCCTGGTTTGCTTAGATCAAGACCAAGCCAGAAACTTGGACTTCAAATAAAATGTGGCATAAATATGGTGACAGCATCTTCAAGCTTTTACCAGGTAAAAAGGCTTTCAATAATTTTTCAAAAAAATAAGTATTGCTTAAGAAATAAGTATTCCATTACGGGAAACTCCCAAAGTATCTAAAAGTAAACAGAACAATATAATAGATCCCAATGTGTTCATCACTCATCTCCAAAAATGAACAACCTTAACCAGTTCAACAAACATTTTAATTATTACTTATTTATTTATTTTATATAAGACAAGGTCTCACTCTGTCAGCTAGGCTGGAATGCAGTGGTGTGATCACAGCTCACTGCAGCCTCGACTTACCAGGCTCACGCAATCCTCCTGTCTCAGCCTCCTGAGTAGATGGGACCACAGGTATGTACCACCACACCTAGCTTTTTTTTTTTTTCAGTTATTTGTAGAGATGGGGTCTCCCTATGTTGCTCAGGTTGATCTCAAGCTCCTTGTCTCAAGTGATCTTCCTGCCTCAGCCTCCCAAAGTCTTGGAATTACAGGTGTGAGCCACCACACCTAGACTCTATAAACTTTTAATGGTGGTTATTTCTAGGAACAAGGTAGGATGACAACACTCAAAGACTTTTGCATTGCCATTTATTTCATTTTTTATTGTTTGAATTTTTTATCATGACTATATATTACCTTTTTTTCTTGCAGACTACGTGACCCAAGCCTATATATATATTACTTTCTTAAAGTAAGGGAGAAAGAACAGAAAGGAATAACTGCAGAGTCATTCTTTTAAAAAAGATGTAAGCAAAAAAGCTTACAGAATAATATGCACAGTATTATCCTATGTATATTTTTTAAAAATATACTTACATACATATTTTATATGTATATATGCACATACCTGTATGTATAGCATGTTATATAAATGACCAGAAAATTCTGGAAGGATACACATCACACTATGAACAGTGGAAAAGAGAAGGGAAGGTTTAGGAAAATGTTGAAAAGGGACCTTGTCTATTTATTCTGTAGATTTCTTATTTGCTTTATGTTTTCACACCACACATATATTGATATACTACATTTAAATCACTGTATTTTATTTTATTTTCCAAAAGAAGAAAATTTGGCAAGCAATGCCACACTCACCCCTGAGCAAAAGAGGACTTTACTCTGAGCCCCATGTTTTCAGGGGCGCACACTGGCCTTCCTCTGGCCACACCCCTGCCCTCATGGTGAGACATCTACAGGGTCAAGGGTCAAGGGAAGCCTGTGCTCCCTCCCCAGCTTACTAGGATGCCCAAAGAACACCACGTTGCTAAGTACTTCCAAAAATCCAAGGTTTCCAAACTCAAGTCTGGCCTTCCAGCTATATGTGTCAAGATAAAAGGCTAGGACATATTTTATACAGTTATCTAGATTTAAGGCATTTAAATATCTAGACGTATAGTATGTGGTCTTCCATGTGTATCCTGTGTCAGGCTCTCAAATGTTAGGGATGGGTCAGTTAGCAACCATCCAAAAACTTCACTCCATCGATTTAGTTGCTTTGACATTCTACTCCTTTTCCATACACCTCCACCTCATTATTTTCTCCATATCACTAAAAAGCATATCTATGATGTACCAACTAATAGACATAGGGTTTCTCTAAATAGTCTTATAAAAGCCAAATGAGGCGGCAAAAATAGTATAAGGCACAAAAGTAATAGAAGAAAATTTCGATTAATATTTTATTGATTTTGGAATAAAAACACTTGTAAGTGAATTTTTTGTATCTTGTGCAATAAAACGTTATTCAGCCATTAAAATGTACTAAATTATACTCATTGACATGGAAATAGGACCGTGTTTAGTGGGGCAGGGGAAAAACTACAAAAGAAGCATTATGAAATCACCCCAGTTTTTGCTTAAAAGATGTTGCTTGTGTGTGTGTGTGTGCGTCTGCATGTGTGTGTAGAAAATTTGTGAAAATATACATATGAAAAGGTTAAGAATGGTTAGTTTTGATAGTGAGATTACAGAAAACTGTCCCTTTCTTCTGTTATATGCTTTCTTTGCATTACCTGAATGTGGAAGTATATAATACTTTTACCATCCGAAAAAGAAAAAAAAATTAATATGGGCATTTTTGTGGAAGAGGAAGAGAATTCAATTTCTGTTAGGTACACTTTTTTTTTTTTTATGGAGTCTCACTTTGTTGCCCAGGCTGGAGTGCAGTGGCACCATCTTAGCTCACTGCAACCTCTGCCTCCTGGGTTCAAGTGATTCTCCTGCCTCAGCCCCCTGAATAGCTGGGATTACAGGTGCGCGCCATCATGCCCGGCTGCTTTTTTGTATTTTTAGTAGAGACGGGGTTTCACCATGTTGGCCAGGCTGGACTTGAACTCCTGACCTCAGGGGATCCATCCACCTCAGCCTCCCAAAGTGCTGGGACTACAGGGGTGAGCCACCACACCTGGCCCACTTCTCTTGAAATAATAACTTATGCCCACAAAATCAAATATATTTATGGCTTTTTCTGAAAAAAAAAAAAAAAAAAAAAAAAAAAAAAAAAAATCTTACTGATACACTAATAAAAATTGGTTTAAAAAGAAAAAAATGTAAAATTCTTGCTGAGAAATCTCACTAGAGAGCTGCTTCTACTGTAAGGTCCCAGGGTGAGGCAGGAATACAATATTAGACCTCCAAATTAAAAGTTCCTAGAACAGACATTCCAGGAAAGAGCACTCTTCTCCCTTGAGACTTGGATTACGAAAAGATACAGAGGCATCAGAGCCTATGTTTCCTATCTTGAAATCACATCCTTAGAGTCTTACAAAACAGAAGCTGACATTGGCCACATTTCAAATGGCTGAAAGCCAGGGATTCCTACAGCAACTTTATAATGTGAGTCTTTTTTTTTTTTTAAAGTATTCTCTGCCAACAACAAGGGTTTGCCAGAGTCACCAAGAAGACTGGCTGAAAAGCAATAAAATAAATCAACCACAGGCTGGGCATGGTGGCTCACACCTGTAATTCCAGCACTTTGGGAGGCCAAGGCAGGTGGATTACTTGAGGTCAGGAGTTCGAGACCAGCCTGGCCAACATGGTAAAATCCTGTCACTATCAAAAATAGAAAAAAATTAGCCGGGTGTGGTGGCAGGTGCTTGTAATCCCAGCTACTCAGGAGGCTGGGGCAGGAGAATTGTTTGAACCAGGGAGGCAGAGGTTGCAGTGAACTGATATCACGCCATTGCACTCCAGCCTGGGTGACAAAGTGAGACTCAGTCTCCAGAAAAAACAAAAAAGTCAAATAAATCAACCACTAGTTAAGTATTTTCATGCCATCAAAAATAAATCCCTTTTTGATCAAATCAACAACAAATACAAATATGGTAGCCAACCTCCCTCATAAGTATGTTAGGTATGAAGATCAGCTTGATACATAAGAATTTTGAGTTTCTTGAGGGCATGTCTTCTCTTTCTTCCGTGTGTGTGTGTGTGTGTGTGTGTGTATGTGTGTGTGTATAGGTGGCTTCTTGTTTTTGCTGTTTTTATATGGGTTCTCCTTAGAATAATAAATGTTACCAGTCCACTGGAATTGACTCCATAGTCAGCAAAAGCCTCCAGATAAATCCTAGGTTTCAAGGTCTTTGAAAGTAGAAATGTCATCTGCTACTATAAGCAAGCTCAGGGTTGTTGCATTCTTACTAAAATGGGCAATCAGCAGGGAATAAGAAAGACAAAGACTCTCATACCTCCCATGGAGCATACATTATAGCGCTGCACAGAACCCCACGCAATTTAGGTGGTGGGCAAAGGTCAACAGAGGCAACAGGACATTTCAGGTAATATTTCAGGCCCCTAATGGATCCCTCTCTATACGGATTCTTCTTCAAGGTCCTTCTCTGACCTCTCTTCCTTCCCTCTGCTCTGCTGGTCTCCCTTCTCCCAGCCATTCCTACCCCGCAGAAGACCACATACCTGATCCTCTCTCCCCTTTTCCTGACCTGCATAAGCCTCAGAATCCTTATTCACACTAAGAGTTAAGTGAACGACCACAATTCCCAGAGTCCCTCCCCTCCTCCTACCCCACAACCATGAGATGATCACTGTACCAAAGGAGGGAAAAAGGAAGGAAAGAAACAGACATTTATTAAAGACACACCGTGCACCCAACACAATTCTAGACATCCCTAATATACATCTTCTCAATTAATTGTCACAACAAACGTTAGACGTAGATAGTTCTTTTCATTTTATAATAAGAAAACAGTTGACAGATGTTAATGCCATCTGGCCAAGGTCACAGGCACAAAATGACAGCGCTTCAATCTGTCTGACCTCACTACATTCTGCTGCCTCCAGGGATCAAGGCCAAAAACTAAATGGACTTCCAGTCTTTCATTTTTTCAGCCCAATGCTCAAAGGCTGAAGAGGACTTGAGCCTCCTGAAGGCATTCCCACTCCCTGGCCCTTTGTCCCAAGGAAGTATTTTGTGGAAGATTTAATTCGGCACAAGAGGCAGGGGTCGACTTTCTGGTGCCTTGAACCAAAAGTCTACAGTTTTCCAGGCAGCACTCAGCCCTCCTGCTCTCTGTAAAGGATTCACACTTCCCTGCCCAGTGGTGCATGCTGATTCTGGCCCTCCCTTCTCCTTGCCCTCCTCCAGATAAAACTACCAAAATGGCCCTCTTGAAGCACCACTGTGAGCATGACACAAACTTGACACTTTCCAAGGTCCCTATTTCTTTTTCTTTTTCTTTCTTTTTTTTTTTTTTTTTTTTGAGACAGAGTCTTGCTCTGTCACCTGGGCTGAAGTGCAGTGGGGCGATCTCAGCTCACTGTAACCTCTACACCCCAGGTTCAAGTCATTCTCCTGCCTCAGCCTCCTGAGTAGCTGGGATTACAGGCATGCACCACCACACCTGGCTAATTTTTGTATTTTTAGCAGAGACAGGGTTTCACCATGTTGGCCAGGTTGGTCTCGACTCCTGACTTCAGGTGATCCACCCGCCTCAGCCTCCCAAAGTGCTGGGATTACAGGCGTGAGCCACCACACCCAGCCCCAAGGTCCCTATTTCTAAAAATCCTGTCTGGTCTTAACCCCTTCCCTGCCTAGGGCCACCCCACCAACACATGAAATGTCATCTTCCCTGACCATCAAAGCTCACACCCCTAGTCCCCTCAAGCTAGCCTCCTTAATGCTCTTCAGCCACCCCCCTTCCCACATGGGTATCTCCCCTCCTCTCTCCCTCCATCTATCCAACCCAAATGACTCTTTGAGGATCCACTAAAGTCTTCATCCCTCCATCATCCCCCAAACATTTCTTCCTCTCTCTCAACTGTCACCCACAAGTCTGCACGGTCTTATATCCTGCTTTCTTCTGGCTTCGGGTTCCCTATGTTAACTTAATCCCTCTGGCTGCTCTAAGGCAGGGGCCAACTTCGGCCTCTACTCTGTGCAGGTGATAAGTGAGCACCTTGACCATGGTGAACCCACAGCCGGAAGAACACAGGATATCAGACAGTGCAGACTTGTGGATGACAGTTGAGAGAGAGGAAGAAATCTTTGGGGGGATCATGGAAGGATGAAGACTTTAGTGGATCCTCGAAGTGTCATTTGGATTGGATACATGGAGGGAGAGAGGAGGGGAGATGCCCATGTGGGAAGGGGGGTGGCTGAAGAGTATTAAGGAGGCTAGCTTGAGGGGACTAGGAGAGTGAGCTCTGATGGTCAGGGAAGACCATGAAAGACCTCAGCAGGCCTGCAACCAGACTGGGTGACTGAGCCCCTGTGATACTCACGGCAGTGTATTTTCTGCAGAGAGAGGTACTTCTCCAGGTTCCTTCTGAGCTTCATTTCATTTCCATACTTGCCCACGGTCCCATCATCAGACAGGATGAAGTGCGAGTGCATGCTGTTGAGTGTTGTGAGCTTGCTGAGGGGGTTATCCAGAGTCTGGTACAGGCACACCACCTGAGAGACAGCAAGGACAAGGGAGGGTCAGAGCTCTAGATCCTTCCCCAGGCTCACCTGCTCCAAAGGCCTATCTTTATGTGCTAAAAGAGTTCCTGTCTAGTTTAAAAAGTACTACTTGCGGCCAGGCATGGTGGCTCATGCCTGTAATCCCAGCACTTTGGGAAGCCAAGGTGGGCGGATCACAAGGTCAGGAGATAGAGACCAGCCTTACTAACACGGTGAAACCCCATCTCTACTAAAAATACACAAAAAAATTGGCCAGGCATGGTGGCAGGTGCCTGTAGTCCCAGCTACTTGGGAGGCTGAGGCAGGAGAATTGCTTGAACCCGGCAGGCAGAAGTTGCAGTGAGGTGAGATCGCGCCACTGCACTCCAGTGCAACAGAACGAGACTCCGTCTCAAAAAGAAAAAAAAAAAGTATTACTTGCAATTTAGAGCAGTGCTTCTCAAACTATCTGTGGTATCAATTTTTTAAATTTCCCATGTTTTAATGGACCGATATGTGATCCCACTATGAATAACTAGTAGGCAGCTTGTGGTACATGAGATTCACAACACAAGTTCAACAGTATTGAAACAAACCCTGTTCAGCAAGATTAGCCTGCTTTCCACGTGCTTGAATGACACAGCATGGTCACATTGCTGGCAGTGGTTCTAAATATTTTTTTTTCCTTTCTTTCTTTTTTTTTTTTTTTGAGATGGAGTCTTGCTCTATTGCCCAGGCTGGAGTGCAGTGGCATGATCTCAGCTCACTGCAACCTTAGCCTCCCAAGTTCAAGCGATTCTCCTGCTTCAGCCTCCCGAGTAGCTGGGTCTACAGGCACACATCTCCACGCTTGGCTAATTTTTGTATTTTTAGGAGAGACGGGGTTTCACGCCCAGCCTTCGTTTTCATTTCTGTGCTTACCTTGTTTCAAATCATTAAAAAACAGTTCAAGGACTGGCACCAGTACATAGACCACACCATTATTCAAAAATAGTGTCTTTTTATAGATTTATTCCAGAATAATATTTTGACACTGACTTTTCTCTAGTATTTCAAACAAAATAAAGAGTAACAGCTGGCCAGGAGCGGTTATGCCTGTAATACCAGCACTTTAGGAGGCCGAAGCTAGCGGATCAGTTGAGGTTAGGAGTTCGAGACCAGCCTGGCCAACATGGTAAAACCCTATCTCTACCAAAAATACAAAAATTAGCCAGGCATGGTGGCATGCGCCTGTAGTCCAGCTACTCAGGAGGCTGAAGCACAAGAATCACTTGAACCTGGGAGGTGGAGGTTGCAGTGAGCCAAGATCTCGCCACTGCACTCCAGCCTGGGCGACACAGTGAGACCCCATCTCAAAAATAAATAAATAAATAAAACAGTGGAACAGCCAACCAGCCAAACAGTATTTCATTCATTATAAAACATCAAAATCTTTATTACATTAATGGACATTTTCTTAAGCTGCTCCACTTCGTATTTGCTTTTAGAGGCAAAAGCACAATATTTAGAGTAAGAAAGCCCAAGTTTAAGTCAAGGCTCTTCTACTTACTAACCTTAACTCTGAGTAATTCTTGCTTTCTTTCTCAGGCTTATTTTCCTCAGGTATAAGTAAGGATGATGATACTGATAATTTTTATTCAGAGGGTTGTTGTGAGGCTTCAAAGAAATAATGGATGCAAAAGGCACTCTGAACTTTATAAACATTAGGCTTTAAATGTTACCTTTATAATTTCGAAGCATGACACTGAGGCAAGAAACCAAAAGGAAAATAATTGAGAGATTTAATACATATTTTGTATTTATTTTAAAAAGATAAGAAATAATATAAAATAAAAACTATGAGAAATGCAGCATACTTGACAAACAAAATTGTTACTAGGCTGAATTATAGGATCTTTCAAGGCTAGACACAGAGAGAGGCTCATTCCTATAATCCCAACACTTTGGGAGGCCAAGGCAGGAAGATCACTTGAGGCCAAGGGTTCAAAACCAATCTGAACAACACAGCAAGGCCCCATCTCTAAAAGAAAAAAATTTTTAAGAATTAGTTGGGTGTGGCGGTGCATGCATGTAGTACCAACTACTCTGGAGGCTGACATGGGAGGATCACTTGAGCCCAACAGTTCAAGACTGCAGTGAGCTATGATCATGCCATTGTACTTCAGCCTTGGCAACAGAGCAAATTTTATCTTAAAAAAACAAAACAAAACAAAAAAACTTGAAGGTTAAGAAGTCTAAAATCCCTGCTTGAAAATGTACAAAAACCAGATGAAGAGATGTTGAACCTCACTAGCAATCAGGGAAATGTAAATAAGAAAAATTAGGTATTATTTTATACCTTAACAGAAGGGTAGAGCTTGAAAAAAAAACAGAATACTCAGAACTCAATGGGCATCCACATACCCCATTGAAAATAATATGAATTGTTTTGTTTTGGGGTTTTTTTGTTTGTTTGTTTGTTTTGTTTTTTTCTTTTAGACAAGGTCTAATTCTGTCACCCAGGCTGGAGTACAGTAGTGCCCATCTGGGATCACTGCAACCTCTGCCTCCCGGGCTCGAGCGATCCTCCCACCTCAGCCTCCTGAGTAGCTAAGATCACAGGCACATGCTGCCATGCTGGCTATTTTTGTTTTTGTTGTTGTTTGGTTTGTTTGTTTGAGACAGGGTCTTACTCTGTTGCCCAGGCTGGAGTGCAGTGGTGCAATCACAGCTCACCACAACCTCAACTTCCCAGGTTCAAGCAATCCTTCCACCTCAGCCCCCCAAGTAGCTGAGACTATAGGCGTGCACCACCATGCCCAGCTAATTTTTGTTTTTTTTTTTTTTTTTTTTTTTTTTTTTGTAGACAAGGGTTTCACCATGTTCCTCAGGCTAGTCTCAAACTCGTGAGCTCAAGCAATCCGCCGGCCTCGGCCTCGGCCTCCCAAAGTACTGGGGTTATAGGCATGAGCCACCATGCCCAGCCAAGAATGTGAATTGTTACCACCCTTCCAGAGGCAATGTGTCACATTTTAAACGGTTATACAGACTGGTCCAAGCATTCCACTTCGAGAATTAATTCTAGGGAAATAAGCAAGCTAGTATCAAAGATTTACATATCTTATCACAATATTATTATTATTATCCTCAAAAGTGAAAAACAGAACATGACCTAAATGGACAATAATAGAGGAATCATTGATTCAATACAGTACAGTATGATACTAGCTGACATGAAAAATCAAAATGTTTCCTTGGCCTCCAGATGTGCTCTGCTAATACTATGTCTCACTGACCAGGCACAGTGGCTCCCGCCTGTAATCCCAGCACTTTGGGAGGCCGAAGTGGGTGGATCACAAGGTCATGAATTCGAGACCAGCCCAGCCAATATGGTGAAACCCCATCTTTACCAACAATAAAAAAATTAGCTGGGTGTGGTAGCGGGTGCCTGTTATCCCAGCTACTTGGGAGGCTGAGGCAGGAGAATCGCTTGAACCCAGGAGGCGGAGGTTGCAGTGAGCTGAGATCGTGCCACCACACTCCAGCCTGGGCAACACAGCAAGACTCCATCTCTGGGAAAAAAATAAAAATAAAAAGCTATGTCCCACTAAAAGCAAACAGCCTTTACTCTGAGAAACAAAAAATATACACAATGAGCCTGGAATATTTTTTCATACTAAAAAGCAAGGAAGTCATGATAGACAATGGAATTGTATGAAAAGAGGAGGAGACATCTTGAAAACACTCCACCGGCCAAAATGGGATAATTTGAACATTATTAAGAATAATAACTGTATTGATTCATGGATTGAAATATGACAAAGATGTTTACATTTATGAGTTAAGAAAACTCATCATTCACCTTTCATTATTTTGAAAACTGGCAAATAAAAAGAAAAGAGTCAAGCATTTATTCAGCCCTTCCTATACAACTGTACCACAAGGTAAACCAAGTGATTGGTGAGAAAACGTTTATCTATATGGAGTATTTAAGTATTAGAGTGTTAAGTACATAGAGCATGTAAACTAATAAACAAAGGACATTATAATTAAATGTCATCACGTTGGAACTCTGTTGAAATAATGAATCTATGCAACGACTGCTAACATTATAAAAAGAGAGACCCCCATATATTACAAGGGAAAGACATACCTCCTCCTATGGCATAAACTTACACAGAAAACCTGAACCTGATCATACCTCTCAATCAAACTACCAATTTACAGAAAAGAAGCAAAGAAACATGCTAAACACCACTACAAAAGATTAAATCTGGAAAATCCAAGCTGGAGGAAACTCTTCAGAACAAATGACCCAGTTTCCTCAATAAATAAATTACACACACATAAAAAAATGAGATGGAGGTAAAATCCATAGAT
The DNA here is from genome assembly GCF_000001405.40 of Homo sapiens. Taxonomy (NCBI): domain Eukaryota; kingdom Metazoa; phylum Chordata; class Mammalia; order Primates; family Hominidae; genus Homo; species Homo sapiens. Next base: position 74,832,297 of record NC_000009.12, read on the forward strand.
TAAAAGTGACAAAAATAAAAGCAAGTCAAGAGATATAACAACCCATCACAATATATGAAACTTTTTTGGATAATGAAATCAAATCACTAAATAATGAAGACTTAAGAAACCCTGTTTTTGAAAAAAACATTATGAGGCAATGAAAAACTTGACTAGACTGGATAGTCAGTGATACTCAGAAATTCCTGGTAATTTTTTAGATATAATAACTTCATTGTGATTATATATTTTCATTGTCCATATATTTTAGAAAGAACTACTAAAATATTTATAGATGAAATTATTTGATGTCTCAAATTTGCTTCAAAATAACGGAGGGTGTCGGCTGAATGGATAAGGGAAGAGGCGAAACAAAATTGGCTATGAGCTGGTAACTGTTGAAGCTGGAGATAGGTACATAGAAAAGAGTTCATTTTTCTAACTTCTCTACTGCCTAATATGTTGCAAGTTTTCCAAAATCAAAGTTAAAACAGGCTGGGTGTGGTGGCTCACGCCTGTAATCCCAGCACTTTGGGAAGCCGAGGCAGGCAGATCATCTGAGGTCAGGAGTTTGAGACCAGCCTAGCCAACATGGTGAAACCCTGTCTCTACTAAAAATACAAAAATTTGCCGGGCCTGGTGGTGGGTGCCTGTAATCCCAGCTACTTGGGAGGCTAAGGCAAGAGAATTGCTTGAACCCAGGAGGTGGAGATTGCAGTGAGCCAAGACTGCGCCACTACACACCAGCCTGGGCAAGAGAGCGAGACTCCGTCTCAGGAAAAAAAAAAAAAAATTTAAAACAACCCATAATCATGTCTGTATTAATCGACATGGAGAAATAACTACGGCAAATAGGTAAGCTGAAAAAAAGCACATTTATAGCAATCAGTTCTGTTACTATTTTTAAATACACACTTTTTTTGCTGTCCTTATACACACATACATAGAAAAAATTCTGAAATGATCCTGACAGAAATATTAACAGTAGTCATCTTTCTTCTTTAGAACATTTTCTCATATCTAATATTTTACCAAAAAATTATATTAGTCTTACAAAGAGACTGAGACAAGTCCGTTCCCTTTGAAAGAATACTTAGGAACAAAGAATCAATACACAAGAAGGAATGAAGCAGAGTAATACAAGATAACAGATGAGAACTAGGAGGGCCAAATTAAGAATGTCCCTTGTTTCACTACGGGCAAACCACTTCAAGAACCTTGGCTACTACCTTAAGTGAGACAGAAGTCCTTGAAGTGTTTTACACAGAGGAATGGCGTGATCTGATTTGTATATTTTTAAAGAATCATTCTGGCTACTATGTTGAGACTATGCTGTTAGGAGACAAAGGTAAGAGTAAAGATGGCTATTGCAATCATTCAGGCAACAGATAATGGTGGCTCGGATTCACTCAGTAACAGTAAGGGCAGTGAGAAGAAGAAATCAGATTTTAGATATATTTTTAAAGTGGAACTGATAGATCAAGTTTGAGTGTGAGACAAAGAGATCATTCCAGGATTAGTCCAAGGCTTTTGACTTGAGCAACTGCAAGGGTGGGACTGTCATCTTCTAAGACAGGGTGAGGGAAGCAGCAGAAAGTCAGGAGTTGGTAGTGAATATATTACATCTGTAATGTTCATTCATTAGACATCCAGGTACAGTGTTAAGCTGGCAATTTGCACACGTGTTCGTTTGCTTTTGTTATGAAAGGATTGTCTACTTACATCTTTTCCAATAAGGTCTCTCTGGTTCTCAATGACACCCCAAGGAGGGATTCCAACTGTCCAGATTTTTCTCAAGGAATGAGAGGAATGGGATTTCAAGGCATCCCCAACATGCTTGGACACTCCTATGAACAACCAGTTTAGAAGTCAAACTTTAATTCACAAATCGTGCAAAACAAAGAGACTGCCAGAAACAGACAAATAAATAGGCAAGCATATGCAAGGGCTATTCTTAGGGAGAGTTGCTGGTACAGTGGAATTAGTTTCTGATACCTTGGCTTCCTCTATTCTTTCTAGACACATCTTCCTCTTATCATTACCTCTCTCTACCTGAACAATGTTCCTCTGAGCCCTTTGGGCAATTTCTGCCTACAACTTCAGATCCGATCCTACTCTTGCCTAAGCAAAATGCTGTGCACTGTCCTTCCTCAGCAAGCCCAGCCCTAACATTATGAATGCTTATTATTATTATTATTATTATTATACTTTAAGTTCTAGGGTACATGCGCACAACGAGTGGGTTTGTTACATATGTATACATGTGCCATGTTGGTTTGCTGCACCCATTAACTCCTCCTTTAGGTATTTCTCCTAATGTTAGCCCTCCCCCAGCCCCCCACCCCCTGACAGGCCCTGGTGTGTGATGTTCCCCACCCTATGTCCAAGTGTTCTCATTGTTCAATTCCCACCTATGAGTGAGAACATGCGGTGTCTGGTTTTCTGTCCTTGCGATAGTTTGCTCATCTATGTCCCTACAAGGGACATGAACTCATCCCTTTTATGGCTGCATAGTATTCCATGGTGTATATGTGCCACATTTTCTTAATCCAATCTATCCCTGATGGACATTTGAGTTGGTTCCAAGTCTTTGCTATTGTGAATAGTGCCGCAATAAACATACGTGTGCATGTGTCTTTATAGTAGCATGATTTATAATCCTTTGGGTATATACCCAGTAATAGGATTGCTGGGTCAAATGGTATTTCCAGTACTAGATCCTTGAGGAATCGCCACACTGTCTTCCACAATGGTTGAACTAGTTTACACTCCCACCAACAGTGTAAAAGTGTTCCTATTTCTCCACATCCTCTCCAGCACCTGTTTCCTGACTTTTTAATAATCACCATTCTAACTGGTGTGAGATGGTATCTCATTGTGGTTTTGATCTGCATTTCTCTGATGGCCAGTGCTGATGAGCATTTTTTCATGTGTCTGTTGGCTGCATAAATGTCTTCTAATGAAAAGTGTCTGTTCATATCCTTTGCCCACTTTTTGATGGGGTTGTTTGATTTCTTCTTGTAAATTTGTTTAAGTTCTTTGTAGAGTTTGGATATTAGCCCTTTGACAGATGGGTAGACTGCAAAAATTTTCTCCTATTATGAATGTTTTTTTTATGCCTAATCTTACCCAATGTCCCAGCACAACATCCTGCAGATATGTCCCTTGCTCATTAAGGCAAACTAATTTAATAGCTTTATATGCACAAATATTTCAAAGCTAATACATTGAGGAGTAATATGTTAATGTTCGCCCTTCTGGAATTAATACTAGTAATTAGTACAGTAGCCAACACTTACTGGCCTACAGTAAGATTTCAGTAAGTGTTGGCTACCTTTGTATGTATTTACACTTTAAGTAGGAATGTTTTTAGTCCACTTTATAGGCAAAAAATTGTGGCACTGAGAGTTTAAATAAATTGTCCAAGGTTTGTAGAGCTTTGGACAATTTATTTAGAGCTTGGATTTTGTAGAGATTGGATTCCAATTTAGGCAATTTGACCTTTTTCAAGAATAGACTTTATTTTTTAGAGTAGTTTTGGGTTCACAGCAAAATTGAATGAAAAGTACAGAAAGTTCCCATGCCATGCCCTGCTCCCACACAAACACAGCCTCCCCGACTATCAGCATCCCCCAGGAGACTGGTACATCTGTTACAATTGATGACCCTACATTATAGGGTCATGACAATAGAATATCACTATTCTCCATAGTCCACAGTTTACATCAGTTTACATTAGGGTTCACTCTTGCTGCTGTACATTCTATGAGTTTTGACAAAGATACAATGATGTATATCCACCATGTTAGTATCACTGGCCTGAAAATATTCTGTGCTCTGCCTACTCATCCCTCTCCCCCCTCAGCTCCTGGCAACTGCTGATCTTTCTACTGTCTCCATAGATTTGCCTTTTCCAGAATGTCATATACTATAGTTGGAATCATACAGTAAGTAGCCTTTGAGATTGGCTTGATCTGACCTTTAAATCACAATACTGCATTGTAAGACTTATTCTTCCTATTCTTCCTATGTGTGGTACTGACCTTATATGTGTCATTAGCACAGAAGGAAAAATAACCTGCATATGGCATGGATCTGAGGCTTAGCAGCTAAATCACTTCCTCATTCCTGGCATCTTCCCTTCCAACTCATTTTCTGACCCTCTCCCAGAGCCATCTCTAGAACCTGGGATCTGGATCACAGGCACACATCAATATCAAGTGTGGAGCCATCCACCCCAGTAGAGATTCTGATTCCATGGTTTGGCATGGTGTGCCAACACTGTTGTTGTTTTAAGCACCTTACATGTGATCCTAACACATATCGTTGTTTGAGACTCTCCGTAAAACCCAATTTGACCATGTTATTCCCCTATTCATCCTGCTGTTCAAATTCCTTTCAGGGCTCCTTGCTATGTAGAGAATAAGACTTCAGCATGGCACCCAATCTGGCTCCAGTCTCCTTTGCAGTCCCTGTCCCCTGCCACATGGCACACACTCCAGCCAGGAGCTTTATCACTTCTTTCTACACATGCCTTCACCTCTAGCTGTGTGCCTAACCCTGAGCTGCCACTTCTTACTAATGCCGCTTCCTACCTTTACCACAAGACCAATGCCAAGTGCTATATCCTTCCCAAGACTTCCAAGGTGCCCTCAGTTGAAACTAGAATTCATGTCCGTCTTCCTTGTATTCTCAAAACAGTTCCTTTGAATCTCAACTATAACCCAGTCAGCATCAATTTCTCACTAGTTGCTTTTTGTCTGTCACAGCCCAACCCATCACTAAATTCAGGGTCCGTGTTACTCCTCTTTCATTCCTAACACCTATCCAAATGCTTTTCACATAGTAGATTCTTAAGGCTTGTGGCATTCAATTTAAGTAAATGTCAAAGATTCATGCGAAATTATGTTCAACTATGGTTGAGAAGCCTGTCAAGAATAGACAGGAGCTCATAAGCAGAGTTCAAATTTAAACGTGCACGGGAATCATCTGGGGATGTTGTTAAAATGCAGGTTCTGATTCTGCAGGTCTGGGGTGGGGCCTGAAATAGGCACTTTCAGCAAGCTCTCAGCTGATGCTGATGCTGCTGGTCCAGGGACTAATCCTTAAGTAGCCAGGCCATAGAGGAGCTGTGGTTGAATCAGGTTAGCCTGATTGTTTTATGTTGTTGTTGTTTTCTTTTTTTTTTTTGAGACGGAGTCTCGCTCGTCGCCCAGGCTGGAGTGCAGTGGCACGATCTCGGCTCGCTGCAACCTCCGCCTCCTGGGTTCATGCCATTCTCCTGCCTCAGCCTCCCAAGTAGCTGGGACTACAGGCGCCCGCCGCCACACTCGGCTAATTTTTTGTATTTTTAGTAGAGACGGGGTTTCACCGTGTTGGCCAGGTTGGTCTCGATCTCCTGACCTTGTGATCCACCCACCTTGGGCTCCCAAAGTGTTGGGATTACAGGTGTGAGCCACCACGCCCGGCCCCCTTTTTTTTTTTTTTTTTTTTAAGACAGGGTCTTGCTTTGCCACCCAGGCTGGGTAGAGTGACATGATCATAGCTCACTGCAGCCTTGACCTCCCAGGCTCAAGTAAACCTCCCACCTCAGCCTCCCCAGTAGCTGGGTCTACAGGTGCACACCACCACATCCAGCTAATTTCTGCAATTTTTTAGAGATAGGGTTTTGCCACATTGCCCAGGGTGGTCTCGAACTCCTGAGCTCAGGCAATTCACCAGCCCTCAGCTTCCCGAAAGGCTGGGATTATAGGCATGAACCACTGTATCTGGCCTGACTGTTGTTTAGTGGAGATCCAAGTATTTCTCATGTCCCATTTCTTTTGTTTATATGAAGTATTTCAATCATCTCCACACTACTCTATTTGTGTTTCTTTAGGTTAACTGGCCATAAACTCAATGATCTTTTTAAGGCATTAAGTAAAATGAAGCACGACATGCAGTTAGTTATTCAAAGAAAAAGCCTTGCCCAAGCCTGTCTTTTCAATGAATTATGTGAAACTTCCCTACCCACCCACTTCACTGGAAATCAAATAAGAACTATACAATGGACTTAGAACTCTGCCAACTTCAGTTTCTTCCAAGAATGTGAAACAATCTCTATAAAATATGTATGATAAAGTGTGCGTTACCTATTTGTGATGGGCCAAATCCCTTGGTTTTATTTTACTTTGTTTTTTCAGTCATTCACTTCCTTCATTCCTTTTCAGTCAAAAGGAACTTTGTTATGTCAGTACAAGGTGCTAAATGCTTAGGCAGATGCTCAGGCCCTTGCCTCTAGTACACAACCAGAAGGAGAGCTAACACACTGACTCATCCTAGCCTGTAAGGCAAAATACCAACATTCTGCAAGTGCTACAGGCAGTAAATGCTGTAGAAATTAAAAGACAAAAGTGAGTAGCTCTAGTTGAGATATTCAAGAAGCTGTTTGACGAGTGCGTTGGCATCTCGTGTAGATCTTAAAACATGGGCAAAATTTGATAGGAGACACTGGGCAGGGCATGCCAAATCAAAAGAGAGAAAAGTAAAGGGAAGATAGAAAACCACAGGTTAGGCCAGACATGGTGGCTCACGCCTGTAATCCCAGCACTTTGGGAGGCCAAGGTGGGCAGATCGCCTGAGGTCAGGAGTTCGAGGCCAGCCTGGCCAATATGGTGAAACCCTGTCTCTACTAAAAATACAAAAATTAGCCAGGTGTGGTGACAGGCACCTGTAATCCCAGCTACTTGGGAGGCTGAGGCAGGAGAATCGCTTGAACCTGGGAGGCGGAGATCGCAGTGAGCCAAGACTGCACCATTGCACTCCAGCCTGGGTGACAAGAGCGAGACTTCATCTCAAAAAAAAAAAAAAAAAGAAAAAGAAAACCACAGGTTAGTAACAAACTGGTAAGAGACAAGAGTTTATGGAATCACTAGTTCTCAATCCTGGCTGACATACTTCAGAAGCTCCTGACTAAAAGCCTCTAATTCATCTGGGGAAGAGCCTGTACATTTGTATTTTAAAAGCTCCCCAGGTTGTCCTTATGTGCAGACAGTTCACAAACACTGAAGCAAAGAAATAAGGTCAGAGCCCCCCATATACAATTCTGGAATTTCAGATTTTAAGAAGTGTAGAAGAGTCAGTGATTGAGACGGTGAGTGTTTTGGCAATCATGTAGTTAAAAAAAAAGTATCTACTCATGCCCAAAACACGCAATGCAAGTTTTACCCACATCACTGATTTCCCAAATCTGAGAAACTGACAATGATTATATGAGTTTAGTGAAAGTCCAGGCCCACACACACTATGCACTTGCATGGATTCGATGTCCCTTCTAGCCTTGCTGTAGTTGGGAGCTCAGGAAAGACTATTTTCTTTTCCAGAGGTTTATCTGAAGTTACATTAAAATAGTATATTCTGACAATGGTAAAAACACATTCCAGGAAAAATCTATGATTCTTCTGGGTTTATTTTCTAGTCACTAGGATTTTCATCTTTCTTCCTCACAGCACCACATATCCTAGGAGTGCTACAGAGCAGAGATTATGTGGCACACTACCTGATTCACAGTTAGAAAGAAAAAAGAAAAAGAGAAGAGAGAGAGGAAGGAAGGAAGGAAGGAAGGAAGGAAGGAAGGAAGGAGGGAGGGAGGGAGGGAGGGAGGGAAAGAAAAGAAAAGAAAGAGAAAGGAAAAAAGAAAAGAGGGAGAGAGGGAGGGAGAGAGGGAGGGTGAAAGAGAGGGTGGGAGAAATGGAGGGAGGGAGCTTTACCTGTATTGATGCCTTCAGTTATTATCCACGCTCCTGTTGTCTCTGCAGCTTTAACCAAACCTTGGCTGAAAATCTCTTTAAATTTAGAGGGCATAGTAAAGTTCTGGATGCCCCCATGGACTGAGATCACAAGCTTGGGCAGTTCCATTTTCCACTCTTTCAACATTAAATGTAACAGATGATCCAGTTTTGTATCATAAGAAGTTCTAATATACTGCAAGAAAAGCACATGTAGGTGAACAGAACATTGTAAAAAAGTTATGCCAGGCACAGAAACAATGAGCACACAGCAGGGCAACTGAAATGGCCAAAATCTAAAAGGAAGTATGTGGGATCTCTTTAAAGTTCATCTTCATGTAATGGAAATATTTACTTTTAAAAGATTCCACACTCCCATTAAGTTCCTTCTGGGAATTACAAGTCACTGTAGGAAAGCTTCCTCTGGTTTTCAAGGCTGGCCCACCAATGCTCTCCAGAGAACCTGGGGTGAGGCAGAAATACTTCAAACAGGCAGGGTGCGGTGGCTCACGCCTGTAATTCCAGCACTTCGGGAGGCCGAGGTGGGCGGAACACCTGAGGTCAGGAGTTCAAGACCAGCCTGGCCAACATGGTGAAACCCCATCTCTACTAAAAATACAAAAAAATTAGCCAGGCATGGTGGCACACATCTGTAATCCCAGCTACCCGGGTGACTGAGGCAGGAGAACCGCTTGAGCCCAGGAGGCGGAGGTTGCAGTGAGCTGAGATCATTCATCCACTCACGCCACTGCACTCCAGCCTGGGTGACAGAGCAGGACTCTGTCTCAAAAAAAAAAAAAAAAAGAAAGAAAGAAAAAAAAAGAAAAGAAAAAGAAATATTTCGAACAACTGGCCAAAATCACTATGTCAGCAAACCTTTTCATCAGAAGCTATAACAAATAGGTGAAATGGGATTTTTCATAAATGCTATGGCTTTCTGTTTACTTAATCATTTCACAGATTTGCATAATTTAAATTAAGATTCTAGAGCATGGACATTTAATTTATTGTAAATTTTACCTTCTAATTAAAATTGTAAATTTTACCTTCTAACCATTATCCCTCTGAAAACACTTTTGTTCTGAAACAAATACTTTTCACAAAAACAGTCATCTCTTTAATCGTCAATGTAAGCAAAAGAAAAGATGAGGGAAATCAAAGCCAGCAGGTAGCCCCAGAATCATTTTTTATTTTACCTAATATTGTATTGCACAGCTGGCTTGCTTTTTCCAGCAAATGCAGATCACTCAAAGGATATTGAGATGAATTTGCCTCCCTCAAACTTACACGAACCAACAGCAAGAATAAGCCAGATTTACAGGAAGAAGTAAGGACAATAAGAAACCATGAATTATGAAACAAAACCACAGGCAAAGATCTCCATACATGCAAATAGGAATTAACATATGATCCTCCAGAACATGACAGTAATTTAAAACAATTTCCAATTCATCTTTGAACTTCTTTTTTTTTTTCTTTTTGAGATGAAGTCTTATGCTGTCGCCCAGGCTGGAGTGCAGTGGTGCAATCTTGGCTCACTGCAACCTCTGCCTCCCAGGTTCAAGTGATTCTCCAGCCTCAGCCTCCCAAGTAGCTGGGATTACAGGCCTGTGCCACCATACCAGCTAAATTTTGTATTTTTTAGTAGAGATGGGTTTTCGCCATGTTGGCCAGGCTGGTCTCAAACTCCTGACCTCAGGTGATCCACCTGCCTTGGCCTCCCAGAGTTCTGGGGTTACAGGTGTGAGCCAACGTGCCCAGCCTGAACTTCTTGATACATAATTCCTTTATTCCAAAATTAAAATATTAAAATTTCTGAACATCAGGAACGGTGCAGCTATTGAAAAATGTGAAGGCACAAATACTTCAAACAGGCAGAAACCTGTTAGTAGAAACCCCGTCTCTACTAAAAATACAAAATTAGCCAGGAGTGGTGGCCCATGCCTGTAGTCCCAGCTACTCAGGAGGTTGAGGCAGGAGAATCACTTGAACCCGGGAGGCAGAGGTTGCAGTGCGCCGAGATCGTGCCATTGCACTCCAGCCTGGGCAACAAGAGCAAAACCCCGTCTCGAAAAAAAAAAAAAAAGAAAGAAACCAGCAAAACAATTTGGGTTATTAGCAAACCTTGGCATGATGGGTGTGCTCTCCATCTTGGAAATTAATCGTGCCAAAAGTATCTGTTGGGCTTTTCGTTGTGTGCTTTTCAACAGACCATTGTTCACTTTCTTTACCCTTGGCAGCTGAGATGGTCCAGGAATAATCTATCCCAGCATGGTCTCCAATCAGTCGGCCACAGTAACACCTTAAATTCAAGACCAAAAAAAAACTCAACTTCAAAATAGAAAATAGATGCAATATGTCTACCTTTTTCTAAAGTAATGTATAGATGCCATATACTATTTCTTAAAACTTCACATTAAGGTTTATATTAAATTTCTAACATAGGACTGTCTTCTAAGTTTAGAAACACTATTAGTGGTTCTCTCTCTTGGCTGCACATTAGGATAATTTGGAGAATATTTTTTCTTTAAAGGCAGGAATACCTTGGAGACATTGAAAGTTTGGTTCCAGTCCACTACAATAAAGTGAATATGGCAATAAAGCTAGTCACACAAATAGTTTGGTTTCCTAATGCATATAGTAGTTATGCTGACACTATTAAGTGTATTAAGTGTTCAATAGCATTACGTCTAAAAAACAACGTACATAACTTAATTAAAATAATTTATTGCTAAAAAACGCTACCAACCATCTGAGCCTTCAGTGAGTTGTAATCTATGTGCTGGTGAAGGGTCTTCTCTCAATGTTGATGGTTGCTAACTGATCAGAATGGTGGTTGCTGAAGGTTAAGGTGGCTGGGGCTATGTCTTAAAATAAGACAATGATGAAGTTGGCCACATTGATTAACTCTTCCTTTCACAAAAGATTTCTCTGTAGCATGTGATGCTATTTGATAGCATTTTACCCACAGTAGAACTACTTTCAAAACTGGAGTCAATCTTCTCAAACTCTGCCACTGTTTTATCAACTAGGTTTATGTCATATTCTAAATCCTTTGTTGTCGTTTCTACAATGGTCTATCTTCACCAGTAGATTCCATTTCAATGAACCATTTTCTTTATTCATCCATAAGAAGCACCTCCTCATCTAATCAAGTTTTTTAATGAGATTCAGTCACACCCTTCAAGCTCCAGTTTTAATCGTAGATGTCTTGCTATTTCCAGCACCTTCTACAGTGACTTCCTCCACTGAAGTCTTGAACCCCTCAAAGTCATCCATGAAAGTTGGGATCAGCATCTCTAAAACTCTCATTAATGTTGCATTTTGACCTCCTCCCATGAATCACGAATGTTCTTAATGGCATCTAGAATGGTGAATCCTTTCCAGAAAGTTTTCAGTTTACTTTGTCCAGATCCATCAGAGGAATCACTACCTACAGCAGCTAAAGTCATACCAAATGTATTCCTTAAATAATAAGAGTTGAAGGCCAGGTGCGGTGGCTCACGCCTGTAATCCCAGCACTTTGGGAGGCCGAGGCGGGTGGATCATGAGGTCAGGAGATCGAGACCATCCTGGCTAACGTGGTGAAACCCCGTCTCTACTAAAAAATACAAAAAAAAAAAATTAGCCGGGCATGGTGGCAGGCGCCTGTAATCCCAGCTACTTGGGAGGCTGAGACGGGAAAATGGCATGAACCCAGGAGGTGGAGCTTGCAGTGAGCCGAGATAGTGCCACTGCACTTCAGCCTGGGCGACAAAGCAAGACTCCATCTCAAAAAAAAAAAAAAAAAAAGAGTTGAAATTTAAAGTTATTTCTTGATCCATGGGCTGGGGCTGCAGAATGGATGTTGTGTTAGCAGGCATGAAAACAACATTCATCTCCTTGTAATATTTCCATAAGAGCTCTTGGGTGACCAGGTGTGTGGTCAATGAGCAGAAATATGTTTAAAGGAATCTTTCTTTTTTAAAGCAGTAGATCTCAACAGTGGGCTTAAAATATTCAGTAAACCATACTAAAGACAAATGTACTGAGATTCAGGCTTTGTTGTTCTATTTATAGAGCACAAGTGGAGTACATTTAGCATAATTATTAAGGGACCTAAAATTTTGGCATGGTAAATGAGGGCTGGCTTTAACACAAAGTCACCAGCACAGATACTGATAGACTTGCTCGATCCAAGGTTCCCACAAACCTCCAATTGTCTCCTAACAAGAGAGTCAGCCTGTCCTTTGAAGTTTTGAAGCCAGACATTGACTTCTCTCTAGCTATGAAAGTCTCAGATGGCATCTTCTTCCAACATAAGGCTGTTGGTCTACATTGAAAATCTTTGTTTAGTGTAGGTACCTCATCAATAATCTTAGCTAGATCTTCTAAATAACTTGCTGCAGCTCCTCTGTTAGCATTTATTGCTTCACCCTGAACTTTTATATTACAGAGACTGCTTCTTTCTTTAAACCTCATGAACCAACATCTGCTAGGTTCAAACTTTTCTTTTGAAGCTTTCTCACCTCTCTCAGACTTCATAGAATTGAAAAGAGTTAGGACCTTATTCTGGATTAGTCTTTCATTTAGGGGAATGCTGTGGCTGGTTTGATCTTCCATCCAGACCACTCAAACTTTCTTCATATCAGCAATAAAGTTGTTTCTTTTTTTATCATTTGTGTGTTCACTGGAGTAGCACTTATAATTTCCATCAAGCACCTTTCCTTTGCATTCACAACTTGGCTAACTGTTTGGCACAAGAGGCCTAGCTTTCAACCTATCTCAGCTTTCAACATGCCTTCCTCACTAAGCTTAATTATTTCTAGCTTTTGATTTAAACTGAGATATGCAAGACTCTTTATTTCATTTTGTTTCACTAAGTGGCCATTATAGGATTATTAATTGGCCTAATTTCAACACTGTGGCATCTCAAGGTAGAGGGAGAGAGACAGGATCGGTCAGTGGAATAGTCAGAACATATATAACATTTATCTAATTGGTTTGCCCCATCTTATATGGGTGCAGTTCATGACACTCCAAAACAATTACAATAGTGACATCAAAGATCGCCGATTAAAGATTGTCATAACAGATACAATAATGATAAAATAAAAAAGTTTGAAATATTGCGAGAATTATTAAAATGTGATGCAGAGACAAGAAATGAACATGTGCCACTGGAAAAATGGCACTGACAGACTTGCTTAATGCAAGGTTCCCACAAACCTCCACATTATAAAAAATGCAATATCAGTAAAGCACAATAAAGTAACATACATGAGGTATGCCTGTACTAAAAATCTCTTGCATACTCATGTTCATAGCAGCATTATTCTGAATATCCACAAAGTGGAAGCAACCCAAATGTCCATCGTGGAGAAGTGGACAAACAAAATGTGGTATATAAATACCATGGTATATGATTCAGCCTTAAAAAGGAAGAAAATTCTGACATATGCTATAACATGGAAAAACATTGAAGACATTATGCTAATTAAAAGAAGCCAATCACAAAAAGATAAACAGGCCAAGGGTAGTGGCTCACGCCCGTAATTCCAGCACATTGGGAGGGTGAGGTGGGAGAATCGCTTGAGGCCAAGAGTTCATGACCAGCCTGGGCAACATAGCAAAACCCTGTCTCTACAAAAAAATATAAAAAATTAGCCCTGTGTGGTGGAGCAAGTCTGTAATCTCAGCTACTAGGGAGGCAGGAAAATCACTTGAGCCTGGGAGGCAGAGGCTGCAGTGAGCCGAAATTACATCACTGCACTCCAGCCTGGGCAACAAAGCAAAACTCTGTCTCAAAACAAAACGAAAAGTAAGAATAATTTATCATTTTATGCATTATCTACAACATGTTGAATAAAACTAACAAAAATACAAATGTAGAGGGAAAGAGTTATAATTTAGATGAGTAATAAGAGCCTCTCTGACATTTTGGGATGGATGATTTAAAAAAAATTTACGTAAAAAATAAACAAAAATATCCTCCCTAGGAAATCAATTTGACATCAAGAGAGTTCTTATCTCTTCAAAATGAATATCAAGAAGCAGAGAAAATTTGTCATTTATTATAAATAATTGAGTACAGTTCCTACTGTGACTTTCACCTAACCTTGATTAATCAACAGATAAGTTGATCAGGTAAGTTGATTCTGCTTAGCTGCCTAGATATTAAATTTCTGTTTTCTTTAGATTTCTTGTCAATACAAACAAGTCAATTTATGGCCCAGTACATGAACAGACATTTAAGGCGCAAATTGTTTGCTTCTTTTTTTTCCCTATAATTAAAGCTCATTCTCTTCTTAAAGGGAAATTCATATTTCTACATTTATGTACCTCCTTTGCAAGAACGGCCCTATCATATTATTTTAAAGTTCTTGCTATACCTAATTCTCATTTAAAACAATTATATTGTTTTCTGGTATGAACTTCAGTGACACATTTTATATGAGAATTAGATAGGTATAGCAGGAACTTTAAAAACTGAAAACATTTTTCTTATCGATATTTTAGAATTTTTTTTCTTTTTTTTGTGAAACAGAGTCTCTCTCTCTGTTGCCCAGGCTGGAATGCAGTGTGACATGATCTCTGCTCACTGCCACCTCCACCTCCTGGATTCAAGCAATTCTCCTGCCTCAGCCTCCCAAGTAGCTGGGATTACAGGGGTGTGTCACCACGCCTGGATAACTTGTTTGTATTTTTAGTAGAGACAGGGTTTCACCATGTTGCCCAGGCTGGCCTTGAACTGCTGACCTCAGGTGATCCACCCACTTCGGCCTTCCAACGTGCTGGGATTACAGTCGTGAGCCACTGCTCCCGGCTATTTTACAATATTTTTCTAAAAAGCACACTTTTAAGAAATTATCTTCATCTATTAAAATCTTCAGACTTGGGTTTGTTTACACGTTCCAAAAAGCCTAGTCATCAGTCCTATGAGTCTACAAACCACACATGGCTCCATGCACTAATCCACCATGACATTATTCCTTTGCTACCTTGAGTACACAGACGAGGTGTTCTGCAAGCCAACAATGGTCTTTTCACAATTAGGTGCTGCTATTCACACACCATCAAGTTTTAACTGAAAATGGCTGACAATGTCAAGTACTAGCAAGGACACATTTCCTTTGTAAAAAAATTTTTTTAAATTATTATAACATTCTCACTTTTTAAAATTTTCACTGTTTAGTTTGAGATAAGGTCTTACTCTGTCACCCAGGCTGGAGTGCAGTGGTGTGACCATGGCTCACTGCAGCCTCAACTTCCCGTGCTCAATCAATTCTCCCACCTCAGCCTCCCATGCAGCTGGAATTACAGGCAACGACTATCACGTCCGGCTAATTTGGGGTTTTGCCATGTTGCCCAAGCTGATCTTGAACTCCTGGGCTCCAACAATCCTTCTCCCTCAGTCTCCCAAAGTGCTGGGATTTTTAATCATTATTTTAAGATGTTAATTTGCATTCAATATTGTCAAAGGCAGGCTGCTCTGATGGTAGTAGGTTATCAGAACTTACTAACATTAGTGTCACTAAAGTTGGTATACAACCCCCCACTGCTAAATTTGACTGGCTTTAATATATATATAGTCATATATATAGTCATATGTATAGTCATATACAGTCATATATATAGTCATATATATAGTCATATATAGTCAAAGTCATATATATATAGTCATATATAGTCAAAGACAAAGTATACTCTAAACCATTGTCATTCTTGATTTTAAGACCCATAAGTAACTTTGTGTCTCTGATTAAAGTTATGAAGCCTACACTCAGGAATTCTGAAAAATAGATAAATAATGAAGTTATGAAGCCCGTCTCAAGAAAAAATATATATGTAGCAGTAGTTCTCCCTTACCTTCAGGGCATATGTTCCAAGACCTCCAGCGGGTGCCCAAAACCGCAGATAGTACCAAACCTAATTGCTGTCAATCAGAACAGGTTTCTGTTCATGTCTTCCACCCACAAATGCAACGACTGTTTCATTTTAACTAAGCATTTATCAAAATTATGGCCCTGTGGCCATAATTTTGCAACTGAAGGTACAGCAGTAAAACTGGCATGAATTTCTTTTTCTTTCTTCGCAATTTCATGGATAGAAGATGGATTTGTACCACAGATCTTAGCAACCTCAGCTAACTTTTATTCTTAGCTTATTAAGCTGAGAACTTTCACCTTTTCACTTAAAGAAAGCACTTTATGGCTCTTTGGCATGTCCAAATTGCCTGCATCACTACTCTTGCACTTTGGAGCCATTATGAAGGGTTACTTGGATTCAAGTACTGCAATACCAAGACAGTCAATCAGATAACCCTGACAGCTACTAAGCCACTAACGGGTGGGGAGCGTCTGTAGCATGGCTAGGCTGGACAAAGGAATGATTCGTGTCCTAGGTTGGACAAAGCAAATGGCAAGAGATTTTATCATGCCACTCTGAATGGCACGCAATTTTAAACCCATAAATTGCTTTTTTTCTGGGATTTTCTATTTAATCTTTTTGGCCCATGAGAAACTGAAACAATGGAAGGTAAAATGGCAGAAAAGGTGGGACTACTCCTTCCAAATTTCTAAACCTTCTTTAATTAAAAATTGCATCCTGGTCCACAGTTTTCCTCAACTGCCCTGCCTCCAGCTAGATAGTAATGCCTGCAATGCCCCGCCTGAAAGAGTCAATATTCTTCTTGACAGCTTTTCATTCTAAATTTCTGTGTCTATATTCTGATGCACAATTAATTCCATGGACTACGTAAGGTGCAGTATACATTAGTAAATGTTATATTTAACTTCTATATATCTGCTTATCTGATGACAAATACATACAGTGAGAAGAAAAAAACGTAAAGAAATCTAGACAGGGCCAGAGCTCAATTTCCAAAATGTTCCAAAGAGACAATAGAGACAAATACATTTGAGTACATGGTGGAGAAATGTGGCTAGCTGTTATGGACTGAATTGTTTTCTGACAAAATTCATATGCTGAAGCTCTGACCCCTAATGTGACTGCATTAATTACCTCCTTAAAGTTTAGTTAAATTCAGCAGGGCACGGTGTCTCACGCCTTTCATCCCAGCACTTCGGGAGGCCGAGGTGGGCAGATCACCTGAGGTCAGGAGTTCGAGACCAACCTGGCCAACATGGCGAAACCTCATCTCTACTAAAAATACAAAAAATTAGCCAGGTGTGGTGGCAGGTGCCTGTAATCCCAGCTACTCGGGAGGCTAACACAGGAGAATCGCTTGAACCCAGGAGGCGGAGGTTGCAGTGAACTGAGATTGCACCATTGCACTCCAGCCTGGGAAATAAGAGTGAAACTTCATCTCAAAAAAAAAAAAAAAAAAAAGTTAAGTTAAATTAAGTCATAAGGATGAAGGATTAATTTGATAGAAATGATGTCCTTAGAAGAAGGAGAGATCCCCAGGATGTGTGCACACAGAGAAAAACCATCTGAAGACACAATAAGAAGGTGGCCATCTGCAAGCCAAGGAGAGATCACAAGAGAAACCAACCCTGCAAACAACTTGGTCTTGGATTTCTGACCTCCAGAACTGTGAAAAGTTCATTTCTGTTGTTTAAGCCACCCAGTTTGTGGTATTTTGTTATGGTAGCTCTAGGTGACTAAAATCCTGGCTATAGAACAGTGGATTGTACCTGACAAGCAGGGGAACCAAAAACAAGAGCTGAAGTGCAGGCAGCCTAGGCCATAAACAGGAAGCATCTAGGAAGCGATGTGTCCTGGAGCAAAAGCACTGGACCAGGAGATGGCCAACGTCATGCAAATCTCTACTCTCCCAAAGCCTCTATTTCTTCAACTGCAGTAATGTAAGGATTGGTTGGACAAGGTGGTCTCTAATGCCTTCCATTTCCTTTCATTGTGTAACTGAGAACCTGTAGCAATGCTCAGTGTTGCAGGACCCTGCTCTGAAAGAGGTGATCAGTGGGCTAAGGATACTTATTGTGCATCTGCTGTATTGAGCAGCATATGAAGTAGCACATGGTGAGAAGTTACAGGGGAAACAGAAGTGTCTACAACTTACAATCTCTTCAGAGAACTAGAACAGGGCTGGGCGCAGTGGCTCACGCCTGTAATGCCAGCACTTTGGGAGGCCAAGGCGGGCGGATCACTTGAGGTCAGGCATTCAAGACCAGCCTGGCCAACATGGTAAAACCCCATCTCTACTAAAAATACAAAAATCAGCTGAGCGTGGTGGCACGTGCCTGTAATCTCAGTTACTCAGGAGGCTGAAGCACGAGAATCGCTTGAACCCGGGAAGTGGAAGTTATAGTGAGGCGAGATTGGGCCATTGCGCTCCAGCCTGGGCGACAGAGGGAGACTCTGTCTCAAAAAAAAAGATAACCAGAACAAGCGCAGGTGATGAAAACTTCTGTGTATGTAAAAACCAACGTAAGGCCGGGCGCGGTGGCTCACGCCTGTATTCCCACCACTTTGGGAGGCTGAGGTGGGTGGATCACATGAGGTCGGGAGTTCAAGACCAGCCTGGCCAACATGGTGAAACCCTGTCTCCACTAAAAATACAAAAATTATCCAGGTGTGGTGGCAAGTGCCTGTAATCCCAGCTTCTCGGGAGGCTGAGGAAGGAGAATTGCTTGAACCTAGAAGGCAGAGGTTACTGTGAGCCGAGATCACACCATTGCACTTCACCCTGGGTAACAAGAGCAAAACTTCGTCTCAAAAAAAAACAAAAAAACAAACAAAAAAAAGGCAAAGTAAGAATATTGGGGTTCCATATGGAAAGGTTCTTAATGTAAAGGGAGGCACAGTAATCCCAAATGTACCGAATATACATAATCAGGATCTACTAGTTAGAATGGTGTCATCTGATCATCTTTTGGAACAAGGGTCACCCTTCAAAATGAAGCAGCATCTATTCAAACACAAGACAAATAATGATTCATCTGCCTGGCTTTTTCTACACAAAACATAAATTGAGGTAACCTCATCTGGAGAGATAACTCATTATGCTTTTATAAGGCAGTTCTTTAGTGCAAACCAACGTTCAGCTTAAGTATATTTCTATTCTGATTATCTATTTGATTTGAGTTGACATTTTATTCTTTTTTTTTCTAGTTCATTAAATTGTAGCAAGGTCCCATAGAAGAAACAGACCTCCAAAATTAAAAAATATATATTCATGTTTGTCTCTTTAATTACAACTTTTGAAGTCTCAAAGAACATATCACTAACAAGTACTAAAAGCTCACTTTATATAAATGTCAATTCCAGGAGGGGGGTTAAAAAAAATGTCAATTCCCTCTCAAATTGTTTTATAAATTCAGTAAAATACCCATCACTCAGAGCATTTCACAGCCATGTTAGAAACAAAGAATAAAATAAATTTAAAAAGAAAAAAAAATCAAAATCTCAAAATATTTTTCAGGGAACATGACAAGGTGATTCTAAAATTTATATTAAATCAGCTGGGCACAGTGGTTCACGCCTGTAATCCCAGCACTTTGGGAGGCTGAGGACGGCGGAACATTTAAGGTCGGGAGTTCAAAATCACACTGACCAACATGGTGAAACCCCATCTCTGCTAAAAATACAACAAATTAGCCAGGCGTGGTGGTGGGCGCCTGTAATCCCAGCTACTCGGGAGGCTGAGGCACGAGAATCGCTTGAACCTGGGAGGTGGAGGTTGTGGTGAGCCAAGATTGCGCCACTGCGCTCCAGCTTGGGTGACAGAGCTAGACTTTGTCTCAAAAAAAAAAAAAAAATATATATATATAATACATATATATATAATATATATATTACAGTCACTTATTGACAAGGAGATTTAGGATTATTTTTAAGTATTGCAATATAGTCCAGGTGCGGTGGCTCCCAGCACTTTGGGAGGCCGAGGCAGGAGGATCACTCAAGGCCAGGAGTTCTAGAACAGCCTGGGCAACATAGCAAGAACCCATCTCTATAAAAAATAAAAAACAAAAAAAATCAGCCAGACACAGTGGTACATGCCAGGAGGGGGGTAGCTACTCAGGAGGCTGAAGAGTGGGGATCACTTGAACCCAAGAGTTTGAGGTTGCAATGAGCTATGACTGTACCACCGCACTTCAGCCTGGGAGAAAGAGCAAGACCTTGCTTTTAAAAATTAGAATTTTTTTTTTTAATGATAGTATTGCAATGTAGCGGAACTACTTTTTAAAACATACTATTTTAAAGAAAATGTTTACTTTTTCTTTTTCTTTTTGAGACAGGATCTTGCTGCGTTGCCCAGGCTGAATGTGAACTCCTTGGCTCAAGCTATCCCCCAGCCTCAATCTCCTGAGTAGCTAGGACTACAAGCATGTGCCCACCACACTTAGCTAAAATTTTCTTTCAATAAAAAAAAAAAATTGTATAAATGCATAAAAGTGTCCCGCTCCCGCTCCCTCTCCCGCTCCCTCTCCCGCTCCCCCTCCTCCCTCTCCCTCTCCCTCTCCCTCTCCCTCTCCGTCTCCGTCTCCATGGTCTCCCTCTCCCCCTCTCTCCACGGTCTCCCTCTGATGCCTAGCCAAGGCGGACTGTGCCGCCACCATCTCGGCTCACTGCAACCTCCCTGCCTGATTCTCCTGCCTCAGCCTGCCGAGTGCCTGGGATTGCAGGCGCGCGCCGCCACGCCTGACTGGTTTTTGTATTTTTTGGTGGAGACGGGGTTTCGCAGTGTTGGCCGGACTTGTCTCCAGCTCCTGACCGCGAGTGATCTGCCCGCCTCGGCCTCCCGAGGTGCCGGGATTGCAGACGGAGTCTCGCTCACTCAGTGCTCAATGTTGCCCAGGCTGGAGTGCAGTGGTGTGATCTCGGCTCGCTACAACCTCCACCTCCCAGCCACCTGCTTTGGCCTCCCAAAGTGCCGAGATTGCAGCCTCTGCCCAGCAGCCACCCCGTCTGGGAAGTGAGGAGCATCTCTGCTTGGCCGCCCATCGTCTGGGATGTGAGGAGCCTCTCTGCCTGGCCGCCCAGTCTGGGAAGTGAGGAGCGTCTCTGCCCGGCCCCCCGTCGTCTGAGATGTGGGGAGCGCCTCTGCCCCGCCGCCCCGTCTGGGATGTGAGGAGCGCCTCTGCCCGGCCGCGACCCCGTCTGGGAACTGAGGAGTGTCTCTGCTCGACCGCCACCCCATCTGGGAGGTGAGCAGCGTCTCTGCCCGGCCGCCCCGTCTGAGAAGTGAGAAGCCCCTCCGCCCGGCAGCCGCCCCATCGGGGAAGTGAGGAGCCCCTCCGCCCGGCAGCCGCCCCGTCAGGGAAGTGAGGAGCGTCTCCGCCCGGCAGCCGCCCCATCCGGGAGGTTGGGGGGCGCCTCTGCCCGGCTGCCACCCCGTCTGGGAGGTGTACCCAACAGCTCATTGAGGGCGGGCCATGATGACGATGGCGGTTTTGTCAAATAGAAAAAGGGGGAAATGTGGGGAAAAGGAAGAGAAATCAGATTGTTACCGTGTCTGTGCGGAAATAAGTAGACATAGGAGACTCCATTTTGTTCTGTACTAAGAAAAATTCTTCTGCCTTGGGATGCTGTTAATCTATAACCTTACCCCCAACCCTGTGCTCTCTGAAACATGTGCTGTGTCCACTCAGGGTTAAATGGATTAAGGGCGGTGCAAGATGTGCTTTTTTAAACAGATGCTTGAAGGCAGCATGCTCGTTAAGAGTCATCGCCACTCCCTAATCTCAAGTACCCAGGGACACAAACACTGCGGAAGGCCGCAGGGTCCTCTGCCTAGGAAAACCAGAGACCCTTGTTCACATGTTTATCTGCTGAGCTTCCCTCCACTATTGTCCTATGACCCTGCCAAATCCCCCTCTCCGAGAAACACCCAAGAATGATCAATAAATACTAAAAAAATAAAATAAAATAAAATAAATGCATAAAAGTGTTTTGAAAAGTAAAAACAATTTTTAAAAGATAAATAAAGTATAGGAAACTTACCCTATCAGATATCAAGACATATATTACAAAACTATAATAATGAAACAGAGTGGCATTTGACAAGCATAGAAGTAGATCAAAATACTGAAAAGAAAGCTCAGAAACAAAGCCATAGATGGATGGAAATGTGGTATATAACACAGACAGCATCAGAAATGAGTGAGACTAGGAGAGACTGCTCAGTAACTCGTATTAGGACATTTGGCTCTCCCTATCAAAAAAATAAAACTAGTCTCATCTATGTGCAAAAATGACTAGTTTTTAACCATTTTTAATTTCTGAGAGGTATAAAAGTAGATGCTTTTCCAATATGTTCACGTTAGTTGTCTCTGAAGGTTGTGGGGTTGAGATTTTGGAGGACATTGAGAAGGAGAGTTTCTAAAGAATATAGTAGAAACTAGGTAGAATATATGAGGTCTTTTCTTTTTATTATATTCTTATTTTGCTTTGCATTTTATTAGGTTTATGCAAAATTAATTGTGGTCTTCACCATTACTTTCAGTAGCAAACACCGCAATTACGTTTGCACCAAGCTAAGAGCAAAATTTTAAATAATTACTAAAAGGAAAGAAAAAAATTGAGGAAAAAGTGAGAGGTCAGCCAAGTAGAAATTCTTCCTCCAGCAACCTCCTCCTTCTTCTCGTTCCATATCTGTGGATGCTGGTTTCCTCTCCCCATGATTTGCTAAACTGAGGGTTCCAATTTTTTATTTTATTTTATTTTTTATTTGAGACAGGGTCTCACTCTGCCACCCAGGTGGGAGTGCAGTGGCGTAATCACAGCTCACTGAAGCCTTGACCTCCCAAGTTCAAGCAATCCTCTCACCTCAGCTTTCCAAGTAGCTGAGTATACAGGCACACACCAACAAGTCCCGCTACAATTTTTTGGGTTTTGTTTTTGCTTTTGTACGTCGAGACAGGGTTTTACCATGTTGTCCAAACTGGCCTCAAATCAGAGCTCAAGCAGTCCATCCACCTTGGCCTCCCAGAATCCTGGGATAACAGGTGTGAGTGACTGTGCCTAGTCCCAAATGTTTTTTTCCAAGAATAAATTTAACTTTGGTTCAATCCATTATATAAACTTCAGGCTATGATCAGAATTAAGAAAATTTCATTTCCTTCTACTTACAAAAGAGAAAGGTAAAAACGGTCACATAGTTTAAAATGCAAATCACTGTTAAAATTTGTATTGCACTAAACAGCTTTTTGCCCATAAGCTTAGTATGCATACAAGGCACCTGCAATTCATACATCAATTACAGTCCCGTATGCGCATGCAGCATCTTCATTATCCAAATGTGATCATAAAACTAAAATGTAATGCTTTACAAGTGTTTCCCTTGGTAGAAATTCTTGTCGAAGGCCCTTAGCCAATTTACATGTCTCAGTAATTCAAGTAGTCTATTACGTTCGAATACTCACTCTCCATCAAAAACATCTTTTTAAAACTTCCCTTGGAAAGGTAAATGGCATGCACCATTTACTGAGTACATTCAAGATATGAGGAAACTGTCCCAGTGAATTTTAAATAGGGTGCCTAAAAGCTAAAAGGAATCTTGCTTATCTAAGTCTTACCTGATTAAATTCTGGCAGACTTGGCATACTGGAGTACATCTAAATTAAAGAAATAAAACCTCTGTTAGTTTGTTGGTGTATCTGAAAATACATTTAATGCTTGTACAGTAAATATCTATTATTTTCCATGATCTAGAAATCAAGGTTTGCTGAAATTCATATATCATGTTCCAAATATTCCATTATGGCATTTACCACATATAATTACTGCAGCAACTGTGATCTAATTAATACAACATTCAGTTTAGAACCAAAATACCTCAATTTAAATCTCATTGATTTAACAATTACTCTAAGCCCCAGTTTTTATATCTGAAAATAATATCTGCTTCATAAGGTTATTAAAATAATTATCAGAGATAATAATATGTAATGTGTCTTATGGTACCTGGTAAAGACAGTGTGTACAATAATGGTAGCTACTATTATTATTAAACTATGAAGATAACACAGATTTCTTGAGAATCAAGAAAATAGATATATGTAAACCACTTTAAAACCATAAAGCACTATCAAATAAGGGACATTTGGTATAATTACAAATTATCCTTTATTAATCTTTCTTTTTTATTATTCAGAAGAACCTTATAGATTTAGGGGTTAGCACTGTTGTCATCAGTTATATTTTTGGGCCAGGCACAGTGGCTTATGCCTGTAATCCCAGCACTTTGTGAGGCTGAGGTGAGAGGATTGCTTGAGTTCAGGAGTCCAAGACTAGCCTGGGCAACATAATGAGACCTTGACTCTTATAAAAATTCAAAAAATTAGCCCTGTGTGCTGATATGTGCCTGTGGTCCCAGCTACTTGGGAGGCTAAGATGGGAGGGTTGTTTGAGTCCAGGAGGTCGAGGCTTCAGTAAGCCAAGATCATGCCACTGTACTGCAACGTGGGGGACACAGCAAGATCCTGTCTCAAAATATGTGTGTGTGTGTGTGTGTGTCTGTGTGTGTGTGTGTGTGTGTGAAGAAGTATTAACAGGGAAGTCTAGTTAAAATAATGGAAGAAAAGGTAATGTTCCTAAAATAAGGGCCGCTCTAAGTTATTCAGAAACTAATATTCAGGACTTTTATTTCTTCCTGTCCCAGCCTTTTGGGAATGCCTTTTCTCAGAAGCTTTCCTTCAACAGTAAATTGAAAATGAGAAGGAAAAAGATGTTATAATCAAGTGTATCAGATTTGTTTCTTATTGGGAGCTACAAAAATAATAAAACAAACTTTTATCGATATTTTAAAAAGTGAATTATCACCCACTTCCTGTGCACCAATAATGAAGAAAACTGCAAAAAAGCCTCAATTCTGAGAATTTTACTAGGATCTAAAAAAAAGGCTGGCTAGAAGAAATAGCCATAATCATACCTTAACTTTTATCTACAATCCCACAATATAGAGACAGTTTTTTCACTTGCTAAAAGTACATCATGCCTTGGAACATTCATGGAATTACAATCGTTGATACTCTTCTTGAGTCTATGGGCTAGTAAAAGACTCAGTAATTTCATCACTTTTTTTTTGAGATTCAAGATTATTGTAAAAATGATTTTTTTATTCACAGACACAAAATGAGCCACCTGAATCAACTTGCATTCCATTGCAGTCACCACCACATGATGTCATAAAAAATGAAGGGGAAAAACAAGGTTATCTTGGCATACTATAAACCTTTCTTAAGCAGGTAAAAAGAGAATTTCCAATCACAAGACTTACAAATCATAGGTAATTCAATAAGGGTGGGACTAGTAAATATTTAACAAAGGCAAAGAACACTATTTCAGTCATCTCCAAAGAACTAGAATTTCAAAAACCTTACCTTGCTACCCTTCATAACACATAGTTATGAGTTCTAAACCTTAAAGGCATATAAGGACAAATGCCCAAAAAAATCTAAAAATAGGTTGGTTCCTTTACTTAAAATATTACTCTTCTATTTTCCTTTTAATTAATTTTTCCAAGGGCAATGTCAATCTTAATTTCACAGACCTGATTACCCAGAGGAATTTTCCATAGCCCTTTCTTCCCCTATCTTTCACTAGTTGCTTTTTTGACCTTTGTTTTACAAGTAGAGCTTCCAAAGCATTGTCAAGAACTCAGTAGTCAAACTCAAATTATTCCATTCTGCTACCGATTATCTGCTCAATCCAAAAGCCTATGGGCGCTCACTTCGGTAGCACACATATTAAAATTGGAATGATACAGAGAAGATTAGCATGGCCCCTGCTCAAGGATGACATGCAAATTCATAAAGCATTCCATAAAAATAAAGTCTATGGAAGGAAAACGGAACTGAAATTACCTGTTCATCTAATCTGGGCACAGTGTACTTAAATATACCAGTCACTATTTTCCACAGATACTTTAGTTGGGGATAAGAAACATTCACAATATTTTGAATATTCAGTATTCAGAAAATGTAATTTATTGATTCCAACCCACTGAAATGGATGTAACACTAGATATTTCTGTAACGTCTATCCTCCCATCAAGAGGAACAGAAGAATCAAGTAGAATGAAATCCACGACAATATTAACAGTGACGGCATTAAGAATAACTTCTTTGTACTTCATTAAATTCCTTAAACAGATATTTATCGCTCGGTGGCTCACGCCTGTAATCCCAGCACTTTGGGAGGCCGAGGTGGGTGGATCACGAGGTCAGGAGATTGAGACCATCCTGGCTAACACGGTGAAACCCTGTCTCTACTAAAAATACTAAAATTAGCCGGACGTGGTGGCAGGTGCCTGTAATCCCAGCTACTCGGGAGGTTGAGGCAGGAGAATCACTTGAACCCAGGAGGTGGAGGTTGCAGTGAGCTGAGATTGCGCCACTGCACTCCAGCCTGGAGGACAAGAGCGAGACTTCGTCTCAAAAAAACAAAAACACAGATATTTATCAAGAGCCTACTATGTGGCAGGCACTGTCACAGACACTGGAGTAAGAGTAAGGTAAAAATGGACAAGGTCCCTGTTCTTCCCAGATTTTCTACAATAATCATGTATTATTTTTATAAAGTGAAAGAAATAAACATTGAAAATTCTAACTTTATAGATATGATCAAAACTTCTAAACAAGTCATATTTCTAAGTTTCTATAAATAGTCCATCAGGTAGTGTTGCTTTTAAAAGAAGAAGGTAATTGAAAATTTTACCTGTGAGGATTTTTTGAGCTGGGTATGATTGTGCTACATTCTCTCTTGTCAAATACTCCTTTAATCCAGGATTTCTGGGACTAAAAAGAAAGTGTCATTATTTTATACTCTAATTATGTGACAAAACAATGTAACCATAGTAGTTCCTGCAGGTAAGAAATACTCAAGTATCATGAATGCTAATTAAAATGCCAAGACCAACCCCACACAGGCTAAGCATTTACCAGTTTCTATTACAGATAACATAGGCACAAATAAGCCAAATGTGAACATTAAACGACACGCAAAGTGAATATGCCCATAATCTCACTTTGAGTAACAAAAGCCCTACATGAACAAACCCCTAGCAAGGAAGTAAAGATGTAACTGATATATCCTCTTAAATCTGCCAAAAGTCACTTTTATATCTTGTACCATAATCCTATGGAATAAATACCAAGCTCCCGAAACTTCAAAATTTTTACCCATCAAGTCCCACTTTGGCTAAGATTTCACAGGAAGCTGGAAAGAGTGTCAGAGAAGAGATGTGACTCAGCAAGATTCGATACACATTCTGCAAGCATAGTTTTACCATTGGGTGTGTTGTTTCAGGTTGCACAGCCTAGAACTGTCCCTAAATCCAAGTGAGATGTTGATACTCACTCTTCCTCCTAATAAACTCTCTCCCATTCTACAGAATCCATATCATAGCCAAGCTCCTCCATAAGCTATATTACAAGTCCAGTGGCAGAGGACACTGGATGGACTATACATCCCAGCTACTTGTGAGTAGTTCTAATATAAAAATATTTTGGCTGTAAATGGTATAAGAATACGTGTCCTAGCTGGGCGTGGTGGCTCATGCCTGTAATCCCAACACTTTGGGAGGCCAAGGCGGGTGGACCACTTGAAGTCAGGAGTTCGAGACCAGCCTGGCCATCATGGTGAAACCCCGTCTCTACTAAAAATACAAAAAATTAGCTGGGCATGGTGGCAGGCAACTATAATCCCAGCTACTCAGGAGGCTGAGGCATGAGAATCGCTTGAACCTGGCAGGCAGAGATTGCAGTGAGCCGAGATTGCACCACTGCACTCTGGCCTGGGTGGCAGAGCGAGACTCTGTCTCAAAAAAAAAAAAAAAAGAATATGTGTCCATATTACTTTATACACACATAGATATTAGAACAGAGATGAAAGGAAGGCTTTCTAAAAGGGAGCTTTTTCAAACTCCACGTCAGTGCAGTCCCCACCTCACTCATATCTACTCCCATTCTACTGTGGAAGGAAATGCACTGGGCCAGAAAATATGCTACAAATCCAGCTGTGGTACCTCATTATCACACTATCCTCAAAAAAAGCTCAGTGGATCTTGTCCAACATGCACCAATCCTAAACGTAAGTGTTCATCACTGAACAGAACTGTAGATAATGGAAGTCCAGACTTTTTTAAGTAAAATAGAAAGGAGAAAAACAGAGATTAGTTGATGGGTTCCTGTGTATTTAAATCTTACCTATAAACAAGGAAAACTTCCCAGATCAAGGCCAGAGTCATCTTAAATCATTTTACTCTCTTATTCTTTTTGCATGCTCAGCAGCATTTTCTATGTATTAAAAGACATTCACTAAATTGGCAAAACACTAAAAAACTTGGGAAAACCCAGTCATACAATGTAATTATTTATTTATTTATTTATTTTTATTTTTTTATTTTTTTTGAGACGGAGTCTTGCTCTGTTGCCCAGGCATTCCAGCCTGGCTCACTGCAATCTGGCGCAATCTCGGCTCACTGAAACCACTGCCTCTAGGTTTCAAGCGATTCTCCTGCCTCAGCCTCCTGAGTAGGTGGGATGATAGGCATGCACCAGCATGCCTGGCTAATTTTTGTATTTTTAGTAGCAACAGGGTTTCACCACGTTGGTCAGACTGGTCTCAAACTCCTGAACTCAAGTTGTCTGCTTGCCTTGGCCTCCCAAAGTGCTGGGATAACAGGCATGAGCCACCACACCCAACCCAGAATCACAGAACTTAAAAGGAACTAAATGAACAGGGAATTCAAAATCTATATTTCAATAAGAAATGACACAATCCGGCTGAGCGCAGTGGCCAACACCTGTAATCCCAGCACTTTGTGAGGCCGAGGCAGGTGGATCACTTGAGCCCAGGACTTCCAGACCAGCCTGGGCAACATGGTGAAACCCTGTCTCTACAAAATACAGGAATAAAAACAGCCGTGCATGGTGGCATGTGCCTATAATTCCCAGCAACCCAGAAGGCTGAGGTGGGAGGATTGCTTAAGCCCAAGGAAGTCGAGGCTGCAGTGAGCCATGATTGTGCCACTGCACTCTAGCCTGGGCGACAGAGTGAGACCTTGTCACAAAAAAAAGAAAGAAAGAAAGAAAGAAATGACACTATCTTTTTGAATCAGTCAGCCCTGTCCCCTATTCAAAAACGTTAACAATTTCATTTATTCATTCTCCAAACATTTATTAAATACCTAATTTTTGCAAAGCACTGACAAACATGTTACAAAAAGTCAGTATGTCCTCAAAGAATTCTTCATTCTGAATTTCAAAATACCTGAATCTATGAATTCATTCAACAAATATTTTGAATAGGCCCCCACGCTGCATGCTGGGACTTCTATTGCAAACGAGACAAAGTTCCTGCTCTCAAGGAAGTTAGAATAAAAAGGAGGAAACAGATAAGAAACTGATATCATTAAACTTTATGTGCACCAATTAACTATTTTTTTAATTTTTTGTATTTTTCATGCCTCTGGGACAAGTTCAAGGCCAATTAACTATTAAAAACAGATGCTAAAAGGGTATCTAATGTAGAAGCCTGTATAGACAAAATAGGCAAGCTGTGCTCAACCATTCACTTCTTTCAAAATGCTGAATGGCAGCTTTGTAGTAGGACTACCTGAACAAATTATTCGATTTCTTCATGCCTGTTTGTCTATCAAAATGGGGATAATAATAGTACCTCATAGAACTATTGAAAGGATTAGATAAAGGTTTAGAATTCTTCCTGGGACTTATTAAGTCTGAATAAAGCTCAGGTATTATTACTAGCAATATTAAAAGTAAAAACTGGCTTTGGGTTAATGGTCTGGGAACTTAACTTTGATGTATTTTTTTTTTCATAGAATAATGCCTCCTGACCTCCAAATTTCCCTCACAGTTCCTCTCATACTATGATTTAATGACCTTTACAGGCTCACATCTTCCCTGGACTCCAACTCCTATAGGCCCCATGCCAGTCATTTCTATTGCCCCAGGGCCTAACCCAATGATTGTTGAATGAGCAACAAACATGCTGAAAATAGAACTTCAGGAACCCATGTATACTATTTTCCCTCCAAAGGTGTAAACAGGAAGCCCGTGTCATAACAAGAATGTGGAAACTTTCCTCCTTCAACTCCGGTTATCTTATCTCAAAACTACCAGAAAAAAAAAAAAAAAAAAAAAGCAGCCTTTAGCTTGAAAATGTTTCAAATAATTCTCAATTTAGAACTTTACTTCCCACCCTGCCAACCTCGTAATAGTTCCTTTGCAATATACTCTCCAGCACACTTCCGAGAGGCCTCCATGTTCAGTTCAACAGAGAACCAAATGTTTGTTGGTTCTGATAGGACAAACACCAAGTGTGCTAGCTTCTGCCACTAGAGCAGCAAATTTGTTGTGGTCGTGGTAGTTGAGAGTAAGGATTTTGACATTTCTGCAGCTATCATGGCAGTCTTCATCGACTGGATGTTTTTTGCTTTTTAATTGTTGTAATTTAGGGGAGGGAAAGGCAAAGGAGAAAGAAGGGAAATGGTGTGTTGGTCTCAATTTGTGTCATCCTAAAACATAATCAGATTTTATATCTAATCTTTGGCCTGAGGTCAGGCTGGGGAATTGCAAAGAAATGTTCACAGACTAACATAGTGAGATACCTTGGGGAGGGATCCAAGTCTGAATGTGAAATTCATTTATGTTTCATATACATCTTATATGCACAGACAAAAGGTAATTTTACACAATATTTTTTAAAAATTTATACATAAAATTGTCCGGGTGTGGTGGCTCACGCCTGTAATCCCGGCACTTTGGGAGGCCAAGGCGAGCAAGTCACTTGAGGTCAGGAGTTCGAGACCAGCCTGGACAACATGGCAAAACCCCATCTCTACTAAAGATACAAAAATTAGCTGACGTGGTGTCGGGCGCCTATAGTCCCAGTTACTCAGGAGGCTGAGGCATGAGAATCACTTGAACCCAGGAGGCAGAGGTTGCAGTGAGCCGAGATCATGCCACTGCACTCCAGCCTGGGTGACAGAACAGGACTCTGTCTCTAAATAAATAAATAAATAGTTTTATGCATGAAACAAAGTTTTTTTGTTTTGTTTTGTTTTTTGTTTGGTTTTGTTTTGTTTTTTTGAGACGGAGTTTCTCTCGTTGCCCAGACTGGAGTGCAATGGCACGATCTCGGCTCACTGCAACCTCTGCCTCCCAGGTTCAAGTGATTCTCCTGCCTCAGTCTCCCAAGTAGCTGGGATTACAGGTTCCTGCCACCACATCGAGCTAATTTTTGTATTTTTAGTAGAGATGGGGTTTCACCATGTTGGCCAGGCTGGTCTCAAACTCCTGACCTCAAGTGATCCACCCGCCTCGGCCTCCCAAAGTGCTAGGATTACAGGCGTGAGCCACTGTGCATGACTGAAACAAAGTTTTAACTGCATTTCAACTGCCACCTGCCACATGAAGTCAGATGTGAAATTTCCCGCTTATGGCACTCAAAAAGTTTCAGATTTTAGAGCATTTCACATTTCAGATTTTCAGAGTAGGGATGTTCAAACTGTATTTCCACTTTATGGCTTTTTAGGGTTCCCAGATAAATTATCTTGGGGTACTCTCTGAGAAGGCATAATTTCACAGATGTTCCTTAATCTTCAAAAAAGTGACTTTTTTTTTGAGACGGAGTCTCGCTCTGTCTCCCAGGCTGGAGTGCAATGGCGCGATCTCGGCTCACTGCGAGCTCCGCCTCCCGGGTTTTACGCCATTCTCCTGCCTCAGCCTCCTGAGTAGCTGGGACTACAGGCATGCACCACCTACGCCCGGCTAATTTTTTTTTGTATTTTTGGTAGAGATGGGGTTTCACCGTGTTAGCCAGGGTGGTCTCGAACTCCTGACCTTGTTATCCGCCCAACTCGGCCTCCCAAAGTGCTGGGATTACAGGCATGAGCCACCGCGCCCGGCAACCTTTTTTTTTTTAAAAAAACATCCACAAGTTTGCATGATTGGAGGTAAAGGGAGACAAAGATAACAGGTCATTTGTTTTCTTTCTACAACTTTTTTGCACCTTAAAAAAAATCTATCATCTAACAACTACTTCTTCAGTGGAACTGATAACTGACTCCGATTTTGATTTCCTGCATTCTCTCTTACACACATCACAGCACTAACAATGTTTACTTGCATTCACTGGACCATCTCTCTCTCTCTCTTAACCTTATTGTAATCCACTTCAAAAGAGAGCATTATTTTATTTATCTTGGAATTCACAACACTAGAATGGGTCAAATAGACAATATTTTCAGACTCCAGATCAACATTTGTTATTTTTTCTTCAGAGTGCCTCCCTTGAAGCAAGAATCCCTTCAAAGTGCCAGGTAGATGGACATCAGGATGTACCATCAATCAATCTGTTGGCTCAGGGAATCCATCAGTGCAAAGCCAGCCCATCCACTTTCAAGTGTCAGCTCAGGGCCTTCTATCTGTCCAAATTCTGCAAGGATACCTACCTGACACTTGATCCGAGAGGGGCAGTCTCAGAAAAACAGCATCCAGGCTAAAAATATCTAAAAACCAAGTTCCTGTTCCACCAACACTACCAGAAAGTGTGTTGACTGATTTTCCACTAAATAGTCTGTCCAGGAGGCAGAGAACACAAAGTAACCTTACACCTTCATCTCACTTTGGTGGTAAAAGGTGAGCACTATTTAGCTGGTAGTAATTTATTTTTGGTAACATCTCTAAAAATTGAATGTCAACTAAATAATTCACAATTCCCTAAAACGCCATTTCTCCTGAGTAGTTGAGAAATTTTACTAACATTTTCACATAGTGCTTTGCTAAGCAAAGGCATTTAGAACCTTGGAATGAGGCCTGGTGCAGTGGCTCATGCCTGAATCCCTGTACTTTGGGAGGCTGAGGTGGGTGGATCACCTGAGGTCAGGAGTTCGAGACCAGCCTGGCCAACATGATGAAACCCTGTCTCTACTAAAAATACAAAAAATTAGCCACGCGCAGTCGTGGGCGCCTGTAATCCCAGCTACTCAGGAGGCTGAGGCAAGAGAATCGCTTGAACCCAGGAGGTGGAAGTTGCAGTGGGCTGAGATCGTGCCACTGCACTCCAGCCTGGGCAATGAGAGAGAAATTCCCTCTCAAAAAAAAAAAAAAAATGGAACGTCAGAATGAATTTCTAGATTATATAAACTCAAGAGTTAAGGAGTAAAACATTTATAAATCTTCCTGGAGCCAAATAGGGGATTAGAGGAACTCAACAGTAACCTTCCAAGTAAAGTGCATCAGAAAGGTGAAAAGTGAAGTGATATCATACCCCTTCCTTCCTCTTTCCAAATTGGTTGAAGCCCTCATTATTTCAGCCCCAAAACCCAATTTCAAAATAGCAGCGAAAGACATCCTTTTCCTCAGTTGTCACTCACGCTTCAGGGTTTAACCAGTCTCCTGGGGAATAAAACATGCAAATGAAACATTTATAATTTCAGATCTTGTTAAATCATTCTGATAAAAAGGGAAGAGGAAATGGAAGTCTCCTTTATGAGTGTACTTTACAACTGTCCCTCGATAGTAAAATACAGAGATTTAACCAAATGCTGGGCCTATTTGTAGTACAACCACTCTAATCTGGTTAGATTTTCCACCTACATGCACTCAATTCTCTCCAATTTCCAAGCTCCAAAATGCTCACAAATTTGTTATCTATGTACACAGATGGTCTTCATTTATGCTCCAAATATCTTGTTAAATTATCCAAAACTTTACTAGTACTACATGCAAATAAACTACATGACCTAAAATAAAGTCTTTTTTGGAGTGGCTCATGAAACTATGCTTTTATTTTTGTTTTAATACAGAGTCTTGCTATGTTGCCCAGGCTGAAGTGCAGTGGCTATTCACAGGCGTGATCACAGCACACTGTGGCCTTGAACTCCTAGGATCAAGTGATATTCCTGCCTCAGCCCCCTGAGAATCTGGGACTACAGATATGTACCACCATGACTGGGGAAAATATACTGTTAAATAATTGACTTTTAGGAAACTTACCAACCTCTCAGACAATAAAGCCTTTATTAGAAGTTACATGTTTGGCCAGGCATGGTGGCTCACGCCTAGAATCCCAGCACTTTGGGAGGCCATGGCTAGAGAATCATTGAGCCCAGGAGATCAAGGCCAGCCTGGGCAACATATCGAGACCCCGTGTCTACGTCCAATAATATAAAAAATAGAAACATTTTTAAAAAGAAGTTACAGGTTAAATTTTATTTATGACATTCATAGTAAGGTTTATATAGACAATGGAGATTATTTGTCTTATTTTTTTCAGTATAGCACAGCACAAAGAAGACACAACTGGATTTTGCTCCTTAAAATTTGGGGGACACTCATACCACGTGTGTAACTTAGACAAATTCAAAAGCTTTGCTAAAAGAATGAGAGAAGGCTAGAAGGTGAAAAATAAGACAGAGAGAAAAACAGTTTTAATAGTGTGGGCAGTTTCACTGTCATTCCACTATCAGTAGGTTTGATTTTTTTGGGGGGGTTTTTTGTTTTTTGTTTTTTTGTTTTTGAGACAGAGTTTCACTCTTGTTGCCCAGGCTAGAGTGCAATGGCGTGATCTCGGCTCACTGCAACCTCAACCTCCCAGATTCAAGCGATTCTCCTGCCTCAGCCTCTTGAGTAGCTGGGATTACAGGCATGCCCCACCACACCCGGCTAATTTTGTATTTTCAGTAGAGACAGGGTTTTACCATGTTGGCCAGGCTGGTCTTGAACTCCTGACCTCAGGTGATACACCCACCTCAGTCTCCCAAAGTGCAGGGATTACAGGCGTGAGCCACCGCATCCAGCCTCAGGAGTATCTTATTTCCAAAAGCAGCAGTTCTGAAACTTCTTGAGCTTAGGATCCTTTCATAATCATAAAAACTACCAAGTACTCCAAAAAGTATTTTGTTTATTTAAATTATGTCTACCAATATTTACCACATATGAAATTAAAACTGAGACATTTAAAAATATTTACTTATTAGTTCATTTTAACCTGTTACATGCTAACACAAAAATTTTCCAAAAAAGTTCATAAACAGAGCACTGTCTTATGTTTTTGCAAATCTCTTTCATGTCTGGCTAAAGATGGCTAAATTCTCATGTTTGCTTCTGCACTCAATCCTTTGCAATAAGTGGTTTTGCTTGAAGTATACAAAGAAAATCTGCCTCACAGAGACATGTAGTTGAAAAGGGAGAGTATTTTAATGGCCTTTTTAGATCATTGTGTATTCATCATGTACCCTTGGGAAAACTCCACTGTACACTCATGAGAAAATATGTCAAAAGGGCAAATAGCATCTTAGTACCATTATGAAAATAATTTTGACTCTGAGGACCCTCTGAAAAGGTCTTAGAGACCTCTAGGAGTCCTTGGACCACATACAGAGAACTACTGCACACAAGTGACTGTGTGTAGACACTAGAGTGGAGTCTGTGAGAGCAAGAATATACCATTCCCCAGATGGTCTCAGTTCCCACATGCATATCTTAGTCTGCATACCTCATCTTAATGAGTAGATTCTAGATCCCCTGTTTAATCTGGTACTCAACTGAAGAAAGTTCCAACACAAGATAAAATCTTCATGTACTGTATTTTATGCTCAATGAAAGGGACTTTTCAAGGGTAGTTTGGAATGCATTCAATTTCTAAACTTACAGCCAACTTTAATGCCTACCACACCCACCCTCCAGAAGATGTCGTTAAATTCAGTGACCTTGGGAAGCTTGCGAAGTGTGGAACCAGCCCTTTACAATCCATAGGCAGGATACATCCTATCAGTTTATCCACCTCTTTTAAAACATTGAAACCTCGAAAGGAAGAAACAAATGAAAAGAAAAATTGATACCTCTAAGAATAATAGGTTTATTCATTCATTTAAAAAAAAATACTTTGATGGCCAGACGCAGTGGCTCACGCCTGTAATCCCAGCACTTTGGGAGGCCGATGCACAGGGTCACGTGAGGTCAGGAGTTCCAGACCAGCCTGGCCAACATGGCGAAACCCCAACTCTATTAAAAACAAAAAAAATTAGCTGGGCATGGTGGCACAGGCCTGTAATCCCAGCTACTCAGGAGGCTGAGGCAGGAGAATCACTTGAATCCGGGAGACAGAGGTTGCAGTAGGCTGAGATTGCACCCCTGTACTCCAGCCTGACAGAGCGAGACTCCGCAAAAAAAAAAAAAACTTTGACACCTCATGTTATTCTAATTAAAATAAATAAAACAAAAAAGTGTCCCGCCGGGTGTGGTGGCTCACGCCTGTAATCCCAACACTTAGGGAGGCCGAGGCAGGTGGATCACCTGAGGTCAGGAGTTTGAGACCAGCCTGGCCAACATGATGAAACCCCATCTCTACTGAAAATACAAAAATTAGCTGGGCATGGTGGTGCATGCCTGTAATCCCAGCTACTCGGGAGGCTGAGGCAGGAGAATCATTTGAACCCAGGAGGTGGAGGTTGCAGTGAGCTGAGATCATGCCACTGCACTCCAGCCTGGTCGACAGAGCGAGACTCCATCTCAAAAAATAAAATAAAATAAAATAAAATAAAAAGTG
The DNA here is from genome assembly GCF_000001405.40 of Homo sapiens. NCBI lineage: Eukaryota > Metazoa > Chordata > Mammalia > Primates > Hominidae > Homo > Homo sapiens. The sequence continues at coordinate 74,868,530 of NC_000009.12, forward strand.
TCCCAAATGCCACCAGCAAATGAGAAGCACTTATGTTAACAAATGGATACTAAGTAAGGAAGTGGGTCATAAATGTTACAATCGTAGGCAACAGGACACTAGTGAAGGAGAAATTCCTTCTGCCTGTAGATACTTGAGATGTTTTCATGGAAGACATGGAATTTATGAAAGTTCTTGAAAGACAACAAAGGTTTTAAAAGGTGGCGAGGGTGTCCATGGTGGTTAGAAACGTGGAGATTTCAGCCTAGAGGAAAATTTAGAAGAGGTTCACTTTAAGGTGATGACAAAAGCCATGAGGTCACTGAAGGACAGATAATAGAGACGATCAAAGGGTCAAGAACTTTCAGAAACATCTAAACAAGGATGCAGAAGAAAGAGTTTGGGGGATAGAGAATAGAGACTTACTAGCCAGGATGGTGGTTTGATACCTGAATTAGGGAAGGGAGACAGTTTCTCAGTTTAGTAAAATGTTTGCATCATTATCAAAGTAGAAAATTTCAAAGAAAAACTGATAAGACATACTTAATACTAAAAAGAAGATAAGAAGAATGGCAATTTTGTCCACGATGAACAAATCAATTTCAAGAGATTCAGGAAAAAGGTTGTAAAACAGAGGAGATAGGTAGTTAGTGTAAGATTCTCTTGGGAGAAGCAATACTAAAAACAACAGTCAGGGCCGGCCTGTAATCCCAGCACTTTGGGAGGCCGAGGCAGGCAGATCACAAGGTCAGGAGATCGAGACCATCCTGACTAACATGGTGAAACCCCGTCACTACTAAAAATACAAAAAATTAGCCAGGCATGGTGGCACGCACCTGTAGTCCCAGCTACTCGGGAAGCTGAGGCAGGAGAATCACTTGAACCCAGGAGGCGGAGGTAACGCCACTGCACTCCAGCCTGGGCAACAGAGCGAGACTCCATCTCAAAAAAAAAAAAAAAAGAAACTGTCATAAATGGACGATATAAAGCAAAAGCCAACACTAAAGTAGTCTGTCGTATCTGCCAAAGGCTGGGAGGGCTAAATGTCTTAGGTGCTTTAGCTAAAGCAATATTCACAATTCTGTGGCTCATCACAGTACTATTTATTCCCTCTTCACCGAGAAGGAGCAGGTTCTAATGCTAGTGCCAGAGATCTTTTACATGACATTTTATAGGCACAGTTTATTTTATGTTGAGAAAACAGGACTTTGTAGACTAAGGGAGAAGTCAACAAAAAGAGAGAGAATGAAGATGCAATGAGCGAATGGAAATGACTGTAGAGATCTCGGAGAGCGGTGGGGAGGGAAGGAAGGAAGGAAATGGTATGGACAGCTGAAGAGGAAGGCTCTGCCTTGAAGTAATCTTATATCTCTGATAGATATCAGAAAGAATGACAAATTTTCCTTCTTGGTAAATTTGCCCAAGACCTTATTATCCATGTTCTATAGAAACTGATAGCCTGTTTAGCTCTGGAGGTTGCCAACTTCAGCATTTATTTTTGCCCCTCTTACCCAGAGAGAAAGGATGGTAGGAAACACCCATGTGCATTCACAGACCCCCTTTTTATTACCCACACTTCCCAGTATAGCAGCACAGTATAGGACATTTCCCAAAGTAGGTTCTACGGATCACAAAGCATATGAAATCCTCTCTCACCAAAGTATCTGCTAAATTTAAAATAGTTGAAAAAATAATGAATTCAATTAAATACCTAGGATACACCTACAGTATCTCATTGGATGCCCCATGGGGAATATAATATTCCTGAAACACAGCATTGCAGGAATTTCCCTAATAAGCTAATAACCTAAAAACATGTACCTTTGAATACGTGGGTCTGCAGACATCTACACTAAGGGAATAGGAGTTTGGGATAAAGGATAAGAGTAAATGTAACTGGGGATCATGGGCATTCAATAAATCATGTCAAGCTATAATGAAAGGAAAAAAGAAAGGGAGGAAAAACAAGATAACACTGTTTTCTTCTGTAGCCTGTAGGTAATCTCTACCAGCAAACTAGAGAAATCTTGTTCTCCCTGGGTGAGTGACCCCAGGAATTGTTAATTTCCAGCTGTCCAGCTATAAAGTTTCATGAACATTCCTTTAGCTGCACTTAGAAATAGGCACTCCACGGGCTGGGCGCAGTGGCTCACGCCTGTAATCCCTGCACTTTGGGAGGCCGAGGTGGGTGGATCACCTGAGGTCAGGAGTTCAAGACAAGCCTGGCCAACATGGTGAAACCCCATCTCTACTAAAAATACAAAAATTAGCTGGGTGTGGTGGTGTGTGCCTGTAATCCCAGCTACTCAGGAGGCTGAGGCAGGAGACTTGCTTGAATTCGGGAGGCTTGAATTTGGGAGGTTGCAGTGAGCCAAGATAGTGCCACGGCACTCCAGCCTAGGTGACAGAGAGATACTCCGTCTCAAAAAAAAAGAAAAGAAAAGAAAAAGAAAAGAAAAGAAATAGGCATTCCACTTCTATTTTTAAAAAATAATAATAATTACAATAGCTTCAAGTAAACCCTCTATAACTGTGTGCCTAAATTGCCACATAGCAAAAAACAACCAAAACAGATAGTTACAATGTTATAACTGTGACAAAGCTGCACTTAGTTCTTATCTAAGTCCTCACTGTATCATCCATGGGATATGCTAAACCAGCTCCTGGCAATTTTTTTCTAATAGATAATATTGCAAATGGTATAAAATCCGGGAAGTACATCAGGTGATACAGGGAAAAGTTAAATTTCCCTCCCACCCCTGTTCCCCAGCCATCCAGTTTCCCTCTCAAAAGTTAACCTCTATTACAGTTTGTTGTGCATTCCTCTAAAGATAGTCAATGTGTTTACAGGTATATCCCCCAAAAAATTCTTACATAGATATAGGCAAATTATACATGCTGTTCTGCACCTTGTTTTTTTTCTGATTAATAATGATATGTAATAACCTTATATATAGAATTGCTTCATTTTATGAGGCTGACCAGTATTCCCTAATATGGAAGTCCCATAATTGACTTAGCTAAGCACCTGGTCATGTATATATATGTTATTTTTCATCTTACACAACATACATACAGCATAGCTTTCATGTTCATGTAGATCTTCAGAATATACACCTGCAAGTAAAATTTCTAAGTCAACTCAGATTTCCACATTCCCCTCCATAGAGAGGTACCAATTTATAAGCACAATAGATGACTTACGAGCAACTTTTTTTTTGAGAGGGGGTCTCACTATATTGCCCAGGTTGGCCTTGAACTCTTGGGCTCAAGCAGTCCTCCCACCCTCACCTCCCGAGTATCTAGGATTACAAGCATGTGCGACCATACCCAACTCAGTAGTAACTTTTTTTTTTTTTTTTGAGACAGAGTTTTGCTCTTTTGCCCAGACTGGAGTGAAGTGGCACAATCTCGGCTCACTGCAACCTCTGCCTCCTGGGTTCCAGCAATTCTCCTGCCTCAGCCTCCTGAGTAGCTGGGATTACTGGTGTGTGCCACCATGCCCAGCTAATTTTTGTATTTTTAGTAGAGACAGAGTTTCACTATGTTGGCCAGGCTGGTCTCAAACTCCTGACCTCAAGTGATCCACCTGCCCCGGCCTCCTAAAGTGCTAGGATTACAGGTGTCAGCCACCATGCCTGGCTGCAACTTTTTAAAAATAGTGACAGGGTCTTGTTATGTTGGCCAGGGTAGCCTTGAACTCCTGGCCTCAAGCAATCATCCTGCCTTGTCCTCCCAAAGTGCTGGAATTACAGGCATGAGCCACCACACTCAGCCAACAGTAGCAATTTTTAAGCATTAAGGAATACACTGAGATGGGATCTTGCTTTGTTGGCCAGGCTGGTCTCAAACCCCTGGCCTCAAGCAATCCTCCCACTGCAGCCTCCCAAGTAGCTGGGGTTGCAGGCATGAGCTGCCATGCCTGTGAGCTCTTTTTGAGACAGGGTTTCTCATTCCTGTGCCCAAGCTGGAGTGCAGTGGCACAATCTTGGCTTACTGCAACCTCCGCCTCGCAATGCTCAAGCAATTCTCCTGCCTTATCCTCCCAAGTAGCTGGGACCACAGGTGCACACCACCGCGCCCAGCAAATTTTGTGTGTGTGTGTGTGTGTGTGTGCATGCGCGCACGTGTGTACATGTTTTGTAGAGACAGGGTTTCCCTGTCTTGGCCAGGCTGATTTCAAACTCCTGACCTCAAGTGATCTGCCAGCCTCAGCCTCTCAAAGTGCTGGAATTACAGGCGTGAGCCACTGCGCGGAACCTGATTCTATCTCTTAAACATCTCTTGTATCTGCCTACCTCTCTGCATCTATATTGCCACTGCCCTAGTTAAAGTCACCATAAACTTTTGCCTACATTGCCTCCCAGGCCTTTCTACCTCTAATTTTCTCTTCAATCCATTCTCTATAATAAAGCTTATAATCTTTTAAAATAAATAAAGTGAACAAGTCATTATCACATAAAACCTTCCAAGGGCTCGTCATTATTCTCAAGATAAAGTTGTAAAGTTCTTCACACGCTTTACAGAGCATTGCCTGCCACATCTTGGGTGCTCCAGCTCCTACCTGATCTCTTGCCCCTCCCTGCCTCCATCTCTACATTCTAAATATACTGAGCCATTTTGAACTGTCTGAATTCACCTACAGGTATTCTCTACACACTGTTCTCTCCACCTAGAATACTCTCCACTCCCTTCCTTTCTCCGCCAACTTAGACATCATGCCTCCTAGAAAACTTCTGGAAACTCTCAAGTCTGAATGAGGACCTCCTTCCCCATGCTCTCTCAGCCTGAGCCTTCTGTGCTTATCCCCTGCACTGTACTATCATGACCTAGTTAGACCCACTGTACTCTATGTCTCCAAAGACAGGGAACTGTCTGAAGTACAGCCTGAAGAAGATACTGTATTTCATGGAAGAAAAACAAAATGTGCTTTCCTGGGCAGCACATATACTAAAATTGGAAAGGAAAATGTTTTGTGGCTGTATAAGCACATACGAGAATTATGATTGTCCAGAAGGGAAACACTGTCTGTTTCCCAAAATATATTTGATCAAGGATTTTCTCTGAGGATATTACAGACTTGTTTCCACAGGATGCAATTTCGGGAGACTCTTTTCTAAGAGATTTCCAACAATTATCAATTAAGAATATCCCCTCCCCTAAATCATTTACCTTAAGATTCTTATTTTAATCTTTGAGGGACTCATCTTAAATTATAAAGATTTTTTATCTTAACATTTAGAATTTTTAACTTTTTAACAGAAAAAAATCTTTTAATTTAAAAGATCTTAAAAATCTTTGAGACTTTTATTGTAACTTAAAGATTTAGGGTAGGGTACAGACAAGTTTTTTATTCAGAAAAAAAAAACCCTCACATTCAAAATAACTGATTCCCCTAAAATTTTTAGGAGGAAAAAGATGTTTTAATAGAATTAGGGCAGTCCAGGCTGGGCATGGTGGCTCACAACTGTAATGCTAGCACGTTGGGAGGCTGAGGCAGGCAGATCACCTGAGGTCAGGGGTTCAAGACCAGCCTGGACAACATGGAGAAACCCTGCCTCTACTAAAAATACAAAAATTAGCCGGGCATGGTGGTACATGCCTGTAATTCCAGCTACTCAGAAGGCAGAGTGAGAAGAATCACTTGAACCTAGGAGGCAGAGATTGCCATTAGCTGAGATTGTGCCACTGCACTCCAGCCTGGGTGACAGAGTGAGAATCTGTCTTAAAAACAAAAAAAAAAAAAAAACAAGAATTAGAGTTGTCCAGGAAATTGAGACTCAGAAGTCTGTCAGTGGGATACCAAGAATCTTATGAGTTAACAGAGGTTGACAGATAGGACACTATCATCTGCTAGGCTGAAATTTCCCAACTTCTCTTTCTTGCTGGAACACATGATATTAAAAGTTCCAGCGTTGTTGTTTAGAGACTGCCTGTACTTTCAGTGCAATTCAGGAAGGAAAGGAGAGCACAGTTACCCATATAATGCCTTTCTTTAAGTCACTGAGGACCGCAACTCCAGAACAGGTTTCCATTTTCACTGGGTTTTGATGCTGAAGATGCTTCTTCAGTATTTAATTTCTTCTGATATTGTAAAGTGAGAAGAAATATATTTTATCCATAGAAAGAGACTTTGAAATGACCCAAAAAGGCAATCATAAAAGAGGGATTAAACAAAAGCAAAGCAGTTTTTCTTTTTCTTTTTTTTTAAGAATGTGTCACTCAAATGCTCATAACATTTTGTAATTGTATTTTTTTTTTTTTTGAGACAATGTCTCACTGTGTCACCCAGGCCAGAGTGTAGTGGTGCAATCTTAGCTCACTGCAACCTCCACCTCCCGAGTTCAAGTGATTCTCCTGCCTCAGCCTCCACAGTAGCTGGGATTACAGGCATGCACCACCATGCCCAGCTAATTTTTTTTTTTTTTGCTACTTTTAGTAGAGACAAGTTTCGCCATATTGGCCAGGCTGGTCTCAAACTCCTGACCTCAGGTGATCTGCCCACCTCAGCCTCCCAAAATGCTGGGATTACAGGCATAAGCCACCATGCCTGGCCTGTAATTGTATTATAAGAAGGAATATTTTATCTTAGCCTCTTCCAGTTGCAAACCCAGGCCACTAAATAAGTAAATAATTTTTAAAACCACCATCATCATCTGCAGGTCAGACAACAAAACTGATAAAACACTGGAATTCAGAGATGTTGGCCTGCACCTTACAGCAACTCTTCCCTTCCATTAAACTTGAAGGAGGGCTGGGTGTGGTGACTCACGCCTGTAATCCCAGCAGTTTGGGAGACCGAGGTGGGTGGATCACCTCAGGTCAGGAGTTCGAGACCAGCCTGGCCAACAAGGTAAAACCCTGTCTCTACTAAAAATACAAAAATTAGCCAGACGTGGTGGCGCACGCCTATAGTTACAACTACTCAGGAGGCTGAGGCAGGAGAATTGCTCAAACCTGGGAAGTGGAGGTTGCAGTGAGCCAAGATCGTGCCACTGCACTCCAGCCTGGGCGACAGAGCTTGACTCTACCTCAAAAAATTAAAAATAATAATAATAATAATAAAGATGCAGTCTATAAAGCCTTATGTCAATTCATTATTCCCTCCTAGTTTGCCTTTCTTAAGGCTGTCCTAAAAATGATAGTTAATTTTAGAAAGATTTTAAAATTTGAGGACTTTGGACCCCATTCTCTCTACTTGCTTGACCTTGGGGTGAAAGAGCAAAAACTGCCTATTTGGAAGGTTGTTTCTCTGGGCCAGATAAGGACAAAGGCTAAAATACGTTTTCTTTTGTTTTAAAATCCCTCTAAAGCAGACACTAACAGTGGTGACAAAGGTTAGAAAGGATTAACTTAAACAGGCCAAGGATCTGTAAAGTACCCTGTAAACTTAAGCTTATCTAAGAAGATAATTCTCTTTCCTGAGAAGATTACAAGATTCAATTTGCAGAAACTTCTTGGCCCTTTCAAAGATCAATAGAAGATATCTACATTCCCCAAGAAAAGAAAGATGTTTTCATATTCAAAGGTCAACCTGGTCTGTCATATAATATTAACTGCAGGGTAACAATTTATTTATTTACTTATTTTTGGAGATGGATTTTCGCTCTTGTCGCCCAGGCTGGAATGCAATGGCATGATCACAGCTCACTGCAACCTCCACCTCTCAGGTTCAAGCAATTCTCTTGCCTCAGCTTCCCAAGTAGTTGGAATTACAGGCATGCGCCACCATGCCTGGTCAAATTTCATATTTTTAGTAGAGACGGGGTTTCATCATGCTGGTCAGGCTGGTCTCAAACTCCTGACCTCACGTGATCCACCCACCTCAGCCTCCCAAGTGCTGGGATTACAGGTGTGAGCCACCGCACCCAGCCAGGGTAACAATTTATTCAGCACTTTCTGTGTGCCCACCTGGACAATGCAAAACATTTTGTTTATTAACTCACTTAAATTGCTCAAGAGTACCTGGGTGCAGTTATTAAACTCATTTTATGAAAGAGGATACTGAATCTTAGAGAGGCTGAGTAATTTCCCTAAGGAACACAACAGCTCATAAAAGTGACACTAGGATTCATATACAGGCAGTCTGACTTGAGTTCATTCCCTTAGCAACTTCACTTTACTATCGCTTACCCACAACACTTGTGCTTATACCAATCCCTGAAGCACTATAGTGTTTTAGGGCTGGCCAGTCACTTTCCTGAATATCTGATCATCACACAAATCTGGTACATAATAATTATGGGTGAGACTAACTATATAAAACGCCCTGAAAAACATCTGCCACATAGCATGTGAGAAGCCTCAGGCCTTTACAGATACTGGGAGGGTCATGAACCCTTAGAAACTGTATACTAACTTTTGTGTGGATGTGCACATTTTCCGGAAGAAAATCTGAAGCACTGGATCAAAAATAAGTGCCACACAAAGGATCTAAATAGTTCTCCAAAGAACAAATGTCGAATAAACCCATGAAAAGATGCTCAAAATCATTAGTCATAAGGGAAATGCAAAACCATGCAGTCTTCATACCCGCTAGGATGGCTATAATCAAAAAGTCAGACAATACAAAAAATAGGGAGAAACTGGAATTATCATGGATTGCTGGTGATTATGTAAAATAATACAGTTGCTTTGAAACAAATTCTGGCACTTCCTCAAAAGGACAAACACAAGAGTTATCATATGACCCAGAAATTCCACTCCTAGGTATCGCCCCAAAAGAAATGAAAACACATGTCTATACAAAAACTTGTATACAAATGTTCATACCAGCATAATTCATAATTGTCAAAAAGTAGAAACAACACAAATATCCATCAACTGATTAATGGACAAATAATATACAATGCAGCCACAGGAAAAAAGCACCTGGACTCCAGTGGGCCCTGAGACTAACAGGGAGCTGCCTGGAGACCATGTGATGGCATTGCTCCAGGGAGGGAGCTCACACTGAGTTCCACGCACACTATGAATTCTAAGCAGCTACAGCAAGGTGCCATTTTTAGAGTCCAGCCACCACCAGACTGCATCCTATCCTGGGACCCAACAGCCCCACATCTCCATATCCCTGGAGTCCCATTGATATCCCCTGCCCACAGCCCACCTCCACTGTTTGCTGCTGCCTACAGGGCCAAACCATGAGCCATTGGCAGTGACCCCACCATGCTCCATATTGGGGTCACCACACATTTAAAAATGCCCTGAGGAAAGGCAGCCTCATTTAAAGCCACCAGCTGGAGCCAAGCTAGCTTTCCCCTGCTGCCTGTTTACAGCTTCTGCCACTGAAACAACTCTGCCCTCCCCAGCAGCAGGGCCACAATGCAGCCGCTGCCACTCCAACTCAGGCATTCCACCAGGGGCCTGGGGATCACCTCACCCCTCCTACCACAGCCAGTGGCTACATGCACCATGAGGGGCCTGAGGAGAAGCCCACCCTGTCCAACTCCATCCCACCCAGTGCTGGAGCACACCATCCAGGGGCCTAGGGATCACCTGCCCCACCCACCACAGTTGGCACCTGAGCTCTCCTCCCAGAAACCTGAGAATGGGCTCACCCAACCTGCCACCAACACCACAGCTGGCACCCACACGCACACCACCTGCAGGCCTGGGGACTGACCCACCTAGTCCATCACAGTCAATTTCAACACCAGCATGGATCACTTGGGAACCAGAGGATTGTCTCACCACTGCTACTGTCATCATTCACACCACACCCACTGTCCAGGGGCTCAAGGACACACCTGCCTGCCCTTCCCACCATTGCCACTGACAGCACCCAAGAAAGTCACCTGCAGGCCCAAGAATCAGCTCACCTGGCCCTACTAACACCAGTGTCAGCATATGCCACCCAAGGGCCCAAAGACTGGCACATTCAGCTCACTGCTATCACCACTAGGGCCCAAGGACTGGCCCATCTTATGTCCCCATCCCCAGCAAAACCTCACCAAAGCCTCCACTAACAATCACACCTGAAGCCACTGAGCAAATCTCAGACACTACTGACACTGTTTATAGCTGAAGAAATCATAACGAGACTATACTACTGCACACACCCAGAATCAAAGCCAAAGTGCCCTACCTAAACACCGCCACATAAACGTCTTCAGAATACAATCCCCCCCGTGCAAGCAAATTCAAAAGATTGGAAGAAGCAATGGTTATGCCACATGCACAGATATCAATGTAAGGACACGAGAAACATGAAAAAGCAAGGAAATATGATACCTCCAAAGGAACATAATAATTCTCCAGCAATAGATTTCAATGAAGAAATTCATAAAACCCAGGAAAAAGAAATCAAACTAATGACATTAAAGAAGCTCAGCCAGGTGTGGTGGCTCATTCCTGTAATCTTAGTTACTTGAGAAGCTGATGCAGGAGGACCACTCAACCTCAGGAGTTCAGGAGTTCAATCTGCCATTGAGCTATGATTGTACCACTGGAATCCAGCCTTGGCAACAGAGTGAAACCTCATCTCAAAAAAAATTTCTTTTTAATTTTAAAAAAGTTTTATTTAAAAAGCTCAGTGAGATACAAGAGAACTTGAAAATACAATACAAAGAAATCAGAAAATTCAGGATACAAATGAAAAATTGACAAAAGACATAAATATCATTAAAAAAGAACCAAAAGAAATTCTAGAATTAAAGAATTCTCTGAATGAAATACAAAATATATTAGAAAGCTTCAACAATAGACTCAATCAAGCAGAAAGAATATGAGCACCTGAAAACAAGTGTGATGAAATAACCCAGTCAATGTGGTGTAATGATTTAAATACATATATTTGTATATGATTTATATATATATGATTTATATACATATATACATATATATATAACAAGGAACCATTTTATATATATAAAGGAACCATGGATATATATAGGGTTTTACCCATGGTTCCTTGTTAATAACTCCCATATCCTTTCTTTGAGTCTTTTGTTATAATGTCAGGTGTGTTAGGCCTCAGGGGAAGTTCTGAGGAAACAGAATTTGTCTCCTGCCTTTCTTATACCTGGCCCAATGCAGGATTCTAATCTTTCTGCTCCTTTCTGATTGTGGGCCTTAAGTCCCTTCCCAGAGAGGGTCCCACCCTATACCCTGGGAGAAGAAATTTTGACATCATGAAGCTTCCATAAAAATCCAAGAGGACCAGGTTTGGTGAGTTCCTGGATAGCTGAACACATAGAGGTTCCTGAAGGGTGATATGCCCAGGGAGGCATGGAAGCTGTGCAACCCTTCCCCCATACCTAGCCCTGTGCATCTCTTCATCTATATCCTTTGTAGTATCCTTTATAATTAACCAGCAAATGTGTTTCCCTAAGTTCTGTGAGCCGCCCCAGCAAAATTAATGAAATCCAAAGAGGAGGTCATGGGAACCCCAACTTGAAGCCAGTCAGTTAGAAGTTCCATCTGAAGGAGGCAGATGTAGTCTTGGGGAATGAGTCCCCAACTTGTGTGATCTGGCACTATCTTCAGGTAGATAGTGTCAGAACTGAATTGGAAGACACCTACCTGGCATCCGCTGCTTGATGTGATGGGAAAACTCCCACACACATATTTGTCACAGGAGTCCTCTGTGCTGATTGTTGTGGTGTAAAAGTAGAGGAGAAATGAGGATTTTTCCTGACACAGACAAAAATAAAGAAAAAATAATCTAAAGAATAAAGTCTATGTGACATATGAGGCACCATAAAGAAGCCAAATATTCAAAATTTTGGTGCTCTGGAAGGTGAAGAGAAAACAAAAGGAACAGAAAACCTATTTAATGAAATAATAACTGAAAACCTCCCAGGTCTAGCAAGAGATGTAGACGTCCGGAAACAGGAAGCTCAGAGATTGCCAGAAAGATACAATTCAAAAAGATCTTTTCCAGAGCACATTATAGTCAAACTGAAAGAATTCTAAATTCTAAAAACAGCAAAAGAAAAATGTCCAGTGATTTATACAGGAACCTCCATCAGACTAACAGCAAATTTCTCAATAGAAACTTTACAAGCCAGGAGAGAATGCAATGATATATTCAAAATACCGAAAAAAAAAGCACTGCCATCCAAGGATACTATTCCTAGCAATGTTATCCTTCATAAATAAATGAGAAGTGAAGTCTTTCCCAGATAAGCAAAAGCTGAAGAAATTCATCACCATTAAACCAGTCCTATAAGAAATGTTTCAGCAAGTCCTGCACATAGAAGCAAAAAGACAGTATCTACCATCATGAAAATACACGAAAGTATAAAACCCACTAATAGGACAAACACACAAATAAGGAAGTAAAAGTGCTTAAATGTTACCACTACAGAATACCACCAAACCACAATGATAAACAATAAGAGAGAAAGAAAAGAACCAAGGATATACAAAACAACGAGACATCAATTAATAAAATGGCAAGAATAAGTGCTCCCAGATCAATAATAACCGTGAAACTAAATGGATTAAATTTTCTACTTAACACATATAGATTGGCTGAATGGATTGGAAAAAAACAATGACCCTGGCTGGGCGTGGTAGCTTGCACCTGTAATCCTAGCACTTTGGGAGGCCCAAATGGGAGGATCACTTGAGGCCAGGAGTTCAAGACCAGCCTGGTCAACGTAGCGAGATCCCATCTCTACAAAAAAATTTTTTTAATTGAAAAAAAAGACCCAACTATATGCTACCTGTAAGAAACTCATCTCACCTATAAAGACAGATATAGACTGAAAGTAAAGGAATGGAAAAAGATATTCCACGCAAACAGAAACCAAACGCAAGCATAAATAACTATACTTATATCAGATGAAACAAACTTTAAGTAAAAAAAAAGTTAAAAGAGACAAAAAATGTAATTATATAATTATAATTATATAAGGCAATCAATTCAGCAAGAAAGTATAACAATTCTAAACATATATGCACCTAACAAAGCATGCACCCCAATATATAAAGCAAATATTATTCGATCAAACAGAACAAATAGACTCCAATACAGTAACGGTTGGGGACTTCAACACCCCACTCTCAGCATTACACAGATTATCTAAACAGAAAATTAAAATAATATTTAAATTGTACTTTAGACCAAATGGACCTAATAAATATTGACAGAACATCTCATCCAACAGTTCCAGAATACACATTTTTATCAGCATGTGGAACATTCTCCAGAATAGACTATATGGTAAAACACAAAACACATCTCAACTAATTTTTAAAAATCAAAATCATATCATGTATCTTCTCAGACCACAAGATAAAGTAAAACTAGAAATCAATAATAAGAGGAACTTTGGAAACTGTACAAAAGTATTCTTATAGCTATAGTAACCAAAACAGCATGCTATTGGTATAAAAAGACACATAGACCATTGAACAAAATAGAGAACACAGAAGTAATTCCACATTTTTACAGCTAACTGAATTTTGACAAAGGCATCAAGAACATACATTGGTTACAGGACATCATCTTCAATAAATCATGCTGGGAAAACTGGATATTTATATGCAGCAGAATGAAACTGAACTCCTATCTCTCACCATATACAAAAATCAACTCAAGATGCATTAAAGACATAAATGCAAGACTTCAACTATAAAGATACTAGAAGAAAATATAACGGAAACACTTCAGGACATTGATCTAAGCAAAGATTTTGCAGCTAAGACCTCATAAGCACAGACAACAAAAACAAAAGTACACAACTGATTCAGTGCTTCTTGGTTGGTTAAAAAGAAAAAAGAGAAACAAAAATACACAAATGAGACCATGTTAAACTAAAAAGTTTCTGCACAGTGAAGGAAACAATCAACAAAATGAAGAGACAATCTGTTGAGTTGGAGAAAATATCTGCAAACTATTTATTTGACAGGGGACTAATATCCAGAATATTAAAAGAACTCAAACAACTCAACAGTAAACACAAAACAAATAAGCCCACTGAAGAGTGGGCAAAGGACATGAATCAACGTTTCTCAAACGAATACATACAAACAGCCAACATGCATATGAAAATATGCTCAACATCACTAATCAGCAGTAAAATGCAAATCAAAACCACAATGAGATATCATCTCGCTCCAGTTAAAATGGTTATCATAAAGAAGACAAAAATTAACAAATACTGGCAAGGATGCAGAGAAAGGAGACCCTCATACACTGTTGATAGGAATGTAATTTAGTACAGCCGTTATGGAAAACAGTAATGGAGGTTCCTCCAAAAACTAAAAATGGAATTACCATTCAATCCTGCATTCCCACTACTGAGTATTCATCCAGCTGAAAGCAGATTCAACCACCTATTCAAAGTATAAGACAAAGCCCACTACAAAGGAGTCTGTGTGAGAATCTCTTTTTCCATTTTTGTTTTAATTGTGGTAAAATATATAATGTAAAATTTACCATCCTAACCATTTTTAAGTGTGTAGCTCAGTTTTGCTAAGTATATTCACATTGTTGTGCGGCCAATCTCCAGAACTTTTTCATCTCGAAAAACTGAAACTCTATACCCATTAAACAACTAAACATTTCCCCTCCCCTAGCCCTGCCAACCATAATTCCACTTTTTGTTTGTATGAATTTGATTTCTATAGATGCCTCATAAGTGGAATCATACAGTATTTATCTTTTTGTGACTGGTTTATTTTACTTAGCATTATGTCCTCAAGGTTCATCCATGTTGTAGCATGTGTCAGAATTTCCCTCCATTTTAAGGCTGAATAATATTCCCTTGTGTATATATGCCATATTTTGTTTATCCATCCAGAAAATCTATTTCTATGTCAGTGGTATTGTTCTGTTGGTCTGGTGGCACAACAGGTATTTAGCTCAATTTTTAATGATTGTGATTTTATACCAAGAGAAAAAGAGATGTGATTGTATATTTGCACTCTAGGAAAGGAAAACCAAATTAAAGCTGAAACTGAGCTCAGTTTCATCGAGAAGCATCTCACTATCCCTTTCTATCTCAAAAATAAAAGTTTTATTCACTGTATATTCCCAGATTCTGGAAGACAGTTTGGCACATAACACTCGGTCAGTATTTGTGACTGATTGTGAAGAGAAAATGCTATACCTATGATCTTGATCACTCCAGTTCATCTGAACATACTATTCAAGAAGGCACTAATGTGTATTGACATGGAAAAATCTACAGGAACTACTGTTAAGTGAAACAAGTTACAGATCAATATATACAATATGATTCAATTTATTTAAAAACACATGCAAAGCCAGGCACGGTGTCATGTGCCTGTAATCCCAGATACTTGAGAGGTTGAGGTAAGAGGATCCTTTGAGCTCAGGAGTTCAAGACTAGCGTGGGCAACATAGTAAGATTCCATCTCAATAAAATAAAATTAAATTAAAATAAATAGATCGGGTGCAGTGGCTCATGCCTGTAATCCCAGCACTTTGGAAGGCCGAGGTGGGTGGATCACCTGAGGTCGGGAGTTCGAGACCATCCTGACCAACATGGAGAAACCCTGTCTCTACTAAAAGTACAAAATTAGCTGGGCATGGTGGCACATGCCTGTAATCCCAGCTACTTGGGAGGCTGAGGCAGGAGAATCGCTTGAACCTGGGACGCAGAGGTTGTGGTGAGCCAAGATTGTGCCATTGCACTCCAGCCTGGGCAACAAGAGCAAAACTCCATCTCAAAAAATAAAGTAAATAAATAAATAAATGCACAAATCAAAATAATAAATACATATGTATGGCCAGGCACAGTGGCTCACACCTATAATCCCAGCACTCTGGGAGGCTGAGGTGGGCAGATCACGAGGTCAAGAAATCAAGACCATCCTGCATAACAGGTGAAACCCCGTCTCGACTAAAAATACAAAAAATGAGCCGGGCGTGGTGGCGGGTGCCTGTAGTCCCAGCTACTCGGGAGGCTGAGGCAGGAGAATGGTGTGAACCCAGCAGGCGGAGCTTGCACTGAGCTGAGATCGTGCCACTGCACTCCAGCCTGGGAGACAGAGCGAGACTCTGTCTCAAAAATAAATACATATATACATACATACATACATACATACATACATACATACATACGTATATAAAAGCACATCTAAATAATATGCTCCAAATCAACAGTTTGATTACCTCTGGGTCAGAGGGGGAGTAGTTGAGGGGTAGAAAGGGAACTTTCTATTTGGATTTCTATTTGTAGTATTTGAATTATTTACAACAAGAAATTATTTTTATATTGTTAGTGACAAAGTTTTTAAGGGAAAAACATCTGGAGAATTATTTTCTGTGATACACAATCAAGGAAAAAAACATATTCAATTCTGTTTACCTTACATGTACCTTTTCTTAGAAAGCTACTGGAGAATGTGCTCCATCAAAATGATAGAAGAAATCAAAAAAGACTAAGGTGTGGGATATAGGAAACAGGAGCCAGCATAACAGAGATGCAAAGTGAATCAGTCCCCAAATGATGGTGAAGAGAGAGCCCAAGGTAATAGCTGTGCATCAAACATCAAGAGCAACCAGTCTGGACTGGCAAAGCAGGTAAGAAAGCTGTGATAGAAATAAAATTGATTCAAATAGCTGTTGCATTGGACATCTTGAGGGAAGATTTAGACAACTAACAAAGAACTTGTGGTTAAATTGGTGAAAACTTTGCAAACACAGAGAGACAACTCTGGAAAAAAACAAGGAAGAAAGCTTTTAATAGCATGTAGGGAGGCATAATAATGTTGACCTAACTAAATATTGACCTAACCAAAAATTATGAGATAACTATATTCAGAGGATCTATGGAAGGAATAGGTAGGATGCATGTAAGTGGTAGTGGCAGGAAAACAGAAAAGAGTTAAATCCACACATTTCTTGCAGGAAAGTCAATGCATGATGACTAAACCTCAAAAACCAAGAAGGAGCAATTATAAGGAATATCTAGAGATACAGACAAATAGTAACTAGTTAAAAGAGATGAACATGATTACTTCTCTTAAAAAGCAGGAAGTGATGGAGGGTTCTACTGTTTTTAGATATTAACCCTATGGAATTAATTGATTCTGAACAATGAGAACGTAAAACTTCAATAAAACTAAGAAGTAAAGAAAAAAGGCACTAGTGAGACTCACATCATAATATCTTACCTAACAGTGATGGATTTTACAGAAAATAGTTGCCATGTAGACTTCTGATGTGTCACAAAGGAATAACTGAGTTATAGGTAGGATGGTCACTTTCAGTTCCAGCATGGTATTGATTCTACCAGAAGTATAATGAAAATCACTCAGATTATTTGGGCTGTTTATACTGAAAACTCATGATTTAAAACACAGTGAGGCCAGGCACAGTGGCTCAGGCCTGTAATCTTGGCACTTTGGGAGGCCAAAGAGGATTGCTTGAGCCCAGGAGTTCAAGACCAGTCTGGGCAACACAGCGAGACTCTGTCTCAAAAAAATAAAATAAAATAAAAAGTGAGAAATTTGAAAAAGAAGGAAAAAGAGAGAAGCCATATTTCAGGCACAGTATTTACCAAATGCTTGATAGTTTTGGCATAGATGTCCTATCCAAAAAATTAACTATGATAGATAATTGTAAATAGGCAAGATAAGACCAAAATTTGTGACAAATTGCAACATATTGCACGATTCTTTCCCTTCACCTCTGGTATAATGATCTCAAATGCTATTCATGCCCTTGTCTATCAAGACAAGTTTAACACTACCAAAGGGTACTAGTCTCCAGTTTTGGCCCAAAAAACAAAACTCATGCTAACTCCTACCCTAGATGGTTACCACTCCTGGTGGGAAACATAAGAAACAACCAGATTCTTAAAGTCAAGCCCAGATTCCAGTCTGGCCAAAATAGCTAACGCTTTATCAGTCCTGTAAGAACCCAAAGCAGATGACAGTGAAACATCAAAATCTGTATACAGGGGGAAAGAAATTGAATAACTCGTTTCCCACTTTAACAATTAAAGGTGATCATTTCTCCCTAGAACAAATAATCACAAATGATGTGTATGACTAGAACATCTATGTTCTCAGTGTCTTTTTTTCTCTTTTTTTTTTTTCTTTTTTATGTTCTCCGTGTCTTAAAGCACTGACCTGAGTTCAAATCTCAAATCTGCTTTTCTCCTTTGGTTTCATTTTCCTCACCTGTAAACCGGTGGAGATGGGAGAGACAGGATACTTGGACTTTATAGGATTACTGCCAGGATGAAATAGTTAAGAATCCCAAACTCTTACAACCTGCTAAATACGTCAGGCATTATTCTAAGTGCAAATGGCATGTAGCATTTCAATTCATCTTGAAACTACAAATCGTATTATCCCATTTTCCAGATGAGAAAGCCGAAGAACAGATGTTAACTCGCCCAAAATCACAGGTAGTGATGCAGCTGGGATGCTAATTCAGGCTACCTGGCTCCAGAGCATATGTTCTTATCAGAGCAGGCTGAAATGAGCTAACGTTTGCTAAGCTGCCTGGACTATTCCTGAAATACAATGTGCTCAATTATACTTATTTTTCATACACAGTGTGAGAAAGTCCAGACAAAATAGGCGAGACCAAGAAATTACCAGGATCTCCACTACTCTCCCAAGCGTCTCCAGTGCTCTCCCAACAGCCAGGAGCACCCTCCCTCTCCAAGCCCCCAGAACTTCCTGTTGCGCCATATGCCAGCGGTGGAGAGGAGCCAGCGGGGACTCCTGAGGTTGCAAGTCCGGGCGGCGCCGCGTTGGGGAAGGAAGCGGACTGCGGCGGGGCGGGTGTTTACCGTAACCGGCGCTGTCATCGCTCCGGGACTCCTGCACGGGGAACACTGGGCGCACGGGGACGCGCAGGGGCGCGGAGGGACGGCCGTCTGGGCACTTCTCCAGCCGCCTCGGAAAGCCGCGACCCCCGGCTAGTCAGCGTCCGGGTCTGAGATCTGTGCCCGTGGCAGCTCAAAACGCGCCTTCTCTCCTCCGGATTCTCAGCTCAAGCCACCTCCGAACTCCTCTCCCTCCGGCCCGGAGCGGAATCAGAGCTGCCTCCTCTCCCGGGGTGTTTCCCACCGCCCCGAGCTGAACCCCCGACCCCCGCTAGGTTTCCGCTCTGACACCACCTCCGCTATGGCCGCATCCCAGCTCTTGAAACGGGGGCTGCGGGACCTGCCCTGTAGTAGCGTACACTACCTTAGATAGGATAATCATCTTTGGGTGGAGACCAGAGAACTTGAAAGCCGGTATTTCATAAATCCTAGCTATTCTAGATCCTCGTTAGATGTAGTGTCCCTGGCCCCACCCACTTCTATCTAAGGCCGGGGGCGCAGATCTAGCGAATCGCCTAAGGTCCTTGTTCCCCGCCAGTCGAGCAGCCTGAGCTTACCTGCAAGCGCTCCAAGACAGGTTGTTCTTTCATCTTTGATTTGCAGGCCCTGCTCCCAAAGCCCTGTCTGAGCTTTTAACTGTGGAGGCAGAAACTCTGGGCTCCACCTCCACACGCTGCCTTTTACAGCCCAGTGGATCTGTCACAATACCTTTCGGCTTCAGTTACCTAACTGCCTAGAAAAGAAGGTGACTCTCAGTTTCCTTCGATAAAAGAAGAATAACGAGGATCAAATGGGATGGCCACTGTCATCACAGACATCCTTTGTAGTAATGTATTGTTACTGTTGAGTCAGTGTGGGGCGTGAGGAGATCAGAGATTTAAGCTAACGCACTGCTTTTACTACCTGTGACTTATTGGGCATGTCAAGCCTCAGTTTATTTATCTATGCAATGGGAATAATAGGGACAAAAATCCAGTTCCCTCACAAGGTTACAATGAACAAAGGAAATCACTTAATGTGCTTCATGTGTAACATACAATACAAATGTTTTGTTATTTCTGGTTTTTTTTTCATTTTTTTTGTTTGTTTTGTTTTGTTTTGGTGGATTCCTCTGGATAGGCATCTTCTCTTTCTTTCTTTCTTTCTTTCTTTCTTTCTTTCTTTCTTTCTTTCTTTCTTTCTCTCTTTCTTTCTTTCTTCTTTTTTTAGAGATGGAGTCTTGCTCTGTTGCCCAGGCTGGAGTGCAGTGGCAGGATCATGGCTCACTGCATCCTTGACCTCCCAGGCTCAAGTGATCCTTCCACTTCAGGCTCCAGAGAGTAGTTGGGACTACAGGCACACACCACAGTGCCTGGCTAATTTTATTTATTTATTTATTTATTTATTTATTTATTTATTTATTTATTTTAGAAATGGGGTCTCACTATGTTGCCCAGGCTGGTCTCAAACTCTGGACTCAAGCGATCTTCATGCCTCAGCCTTCCAGAGTGCTAGGATTACAGGCGTGAGCCACCATGCCCGGCCTAGGCAGTCTTGATTAAGGTTGTGGTCAGTGATTTGGGGTGGATCCCAGGGTGTTGGCAGAGGTGGCACAAAGCACACAGGCAAAATGATGCTCACATTATTACAAGTGTAATTAACAATGCTAGTCATTCATCCCTGACAACCGACTTAAAATTAGGGACACCTACTCATTTAGTTTATTATGAATTTTTGCCTGGTGAATTCACATTTGCAGACAGTTTACAGGTTTTTTCCCCTCATTTCTCAATGTGGTTTTAATAAGCATTTCTTTGTTTATTGGAAAATTGTAATCTCTCATATGTGTATTGGCATTTTGTTGTTTTTCTTTTTGTTGTTGTTGCTGTTGTTGTTGAGCCAGGGTCTCGCTCTGTCACCGGGCTGGAGTGCAGTGGCACTATGTCGGCTCACTGCAACCTCCACCTCCTGGGCTCAAGCAATCCTCCAGCCTCAGCCCCCGCAAGTAGCTAGGACTACATGTGCAAGCCACTACACCTGGCTAATTTTTGTAATTTTTGTAGATACGGAGTTTCACCATGTTGCCCAGGCTGGTCTCGAACTTCTGAACTCAAGCAATCCACCCACTTCAGCCTCCCTAAGTGCTAGGCATTTGTTGTTCTTCTATAAACACATTTAATCTCCTTTCCTCTCCTTAACCCATCTTCTTTAAAGCGTTAATCTGTAAACAGTTAACAGGTTCTGAAAGCTCTTCTAAGGCAAGTAAATCCTTCTCGATCTCTGTCTTCCATACAATTTCTTTGTTAGGTCTCTTACAGTGACTGGGTCAGAGAGTTCTCAGAAATCTTCAGACCCACCAAGAAGAGTAGCCATTTGGAACTCAAGATTTGTAAGAAGTCTACCATCTTCTAGTTTACCATCTTTGGTAAACCTACATGTTAGGATGATCATATATTCTTTTCAGATCAAGCTTCAAGGCATTTAGAGCCTGAAATACAAGGGCAATGTGAAGTGCTTAAAGCATTGAATGTACTAGTTTACAAGCTGCCTTTGGTTCCCAAGCTGTATCAGAAACATCTGAGGCATTTGTCAAAAGTGCAGATTCCCAGGCTCCAACCACCCTACCCAGATCTCTTGTATCAGGATTTATAGGGTGGGGCCCAGGAATCTGTATCTTTCACAAGCACTTTAATCAGTTGTCAAACTTGTATATAAAACTTCTTGTCCAGGCATGGTGGCTCATGCCTGTAATCCCAGCATTTAGGGAGGCCGAGGCAGGAGAATCACTTGAACTCATGATTTCGAGACCAGCCTGGTCAACATGGCAAAACCCCATCTGTACAAAAAAAAAAAACAAAAATTAGCCACGCGTGGTGGCTTACACTTGTGGTGCCAGCTACTTGGATGGCTGAGGTGAGAGGATTGCTTGAGCCCAGGAGGTCGGGGCTGCAGTGAGCTATGATGGCACCACTGCACTCCAGACTGGGCAACAGAGTAAGACCATATCTCAAAAAATAAATAAATAAAAAGAAAACTATTCTGGGCACAAACATACCTATGCCCAGGGTAGCTGTGAAAATTAAATTTTAAAATATTCATTAGTAGTCTAGTGTGGTTTGATTCAGGCCAACAAATATTTCCTGAACATAGACTGTTTGTCAGGCATCATGCTGGGCACCAGGAAAACAAAGATGAATAAGACATTGTCCAGTCTACAAGTAGCTCAAGTTTATAAGAGGAAGATGAACAATCAAAAATGAAACTGGGAAGAGGTGGAGCAAGAAGGTGGAATAGAAGGCCCCGATCATCCCCTTTGTAGGAAAACCAAATTCAACAACTATGTACGCACAAAAAAAGCACCTTTCTAAGAACCAAAAATCAGGTGAGCACTCACAGTAACTGGTTTTAACTTCATATTACTGGAAGAGGCACTGAAGAGGTAGGAAAGAGAGTCTTTTTTATTTTTAACTTTTATTTTAGGTTCAGGGGTACAGTGCAGGTTTGTTTTATAGGTAAAGTCATGTCATAACAATAGCCAATAGTTATTTTTTCTGATCCTCTCCCTCATCCCACCCTCCACTCTCAAGGAGGCCCTAGGGTCTGTTCTTCCCTCTTTGTGTCCATGTGTTCTCATCATTTAGCTCACAGTGAGCTTGTAAGTGAGAACATGCCATATCTGGTTTTCTGTTCCTGCATTTGCTAAGGATAATGGCCTCCAGCTCCATCCATTTCTTGCAAAATATATGATCTTGTTCTTTTTTATGGCTGTATGGTATTCCCCGGTGTATATGTACCACACTTTTTAAATCCAATCTGCCATTGATGAGATTTAGGTTGATTCTATGTCTTTGCTATTGTGAATAATGCTGGAGTGAACATACGTGTGCATGTGTCTTTATGGCACAACAATTTATGTTTCTTTGGGTATATACCCAGTAATGGGGTTGCTGGGTTTAGTGATTGTTCTGTTTTTAGCTCTTTGAGGAACCACCACACTGCTTTCCACAATGGCTGAACTAATTTACACTCCTACCAACAGTCTATAAGAGGAAAGTCAGTATTGAATTGTGGATGCTACCCCTTCCCCACCCATCCACAGCAGCCACTTGGCATGGAGAAATCTGTGTGATTGGGAGAGGGAGAAAGCAGCGGTTGTGAGGCTTTGCATTGAACTCAGTGCTGCCTTGTCACAGCAGAAAGCAAAACCAGGCTGAACTCAGCCAACGCCTGCCCACTGAGAGAACATTTAGACCAGCTCTAGATAGAGAGGAATCATCCATCCCAGCAGTCAGAACTCAAGTTCCAGCAAGCCTCGCCACACCACAGACTGGAGTGCTCTGAGGCTCTAAATATTCTTGAAAGGCAGTTTAGGCCACGGGAACTGTAAATCCTAGTGCTGAGCTGGGCTCAGACCAAGTGGACTTGGGGGGCGTGTTACCTACTGAGACACAAGCTAGGACAGCTAAGGGGGTGCTTGTGCCACCCCTCCCCCATCCCCAGGCAACACAGCTCCTGCCAAAAGAGACCTCCTTCTTCCACTTGAGGAGAGGAGAAGGAAGAGTAAAGAGGGCTTTGTCTTGCACCTTGGATACCAGCTCAACCACAGTAAGACAGGGCACCGGTCAGAGTCATGAGGCCCCCATTCCAGGCCCTAGGTCCCAGATGACATTTCCAGACACACCCTGGGCCAGAAAGGAACCCACTCCCTTGAAGGGAGGGACCCAATCCTGGCAGGAACCATCACCTGCTGGCTAAAGAGTGTTTGGGTCCTGAGTAGCCAGCAGTGATACCTAGGCAGTATGCCGTGGACCTTGGGTGAGACTCTGAGAGGTGCTGGCTTCAGGTGAGATCCAGCACATTCCCAGCTCTGGTAGCTACAGTGAGAGACTCCATCTACTTGAGAAAAGCAGAGGGAAAAGTAAAGGGGACTTTGTCTTGTACCTTAGGCACCAGCTAGCCACAGTAGGGTTGAGCACCAGGCAGGCTCTTGGGGTCCCTAATTCCAGACCTTGGCTCTTGGACAGCATTTCTGGACCTGCCCTGGACCAGAGGAGAGCCCACTGCCCTGAAGTATGAGTCCCAGGCCTGGCAGCGTTCACCACAAGCTGACTTCAGAGACCTTGGGCCTTAAGTGAACATCAGCAGTAACCTGGCAATACTCCTCATGGGCTTGTGGTGGTGGTGGCCATGGGATGAAGCTCCTCTGCCTGTGGCAAGTTGAAGGAAGAATGAGAAGGGCTGTGTCTCATGGTTTGAGGCCCAGCTTAGCCACAGTAGAATAGAACAGGTAAACTTCTAAGGTTTTCGACTCTAGTCTCTAGCTGCCAGTCAGCATCTCTGGACCCACCCAAGGCCTGGGGGAATTCACCACCCTGAAAGGAAGGACACAACCCTGGCTGGCTTCATCACCTGCTGATTGCACAGCCCTAGGATCATGAGTAAACATAAGCAGTAGCCAGGTAGTGGTTACAGTGGGACTCGGGCAAGACCCAGTGCTGTGCTGGCTTCTGGTCTGACCCAGAGCAGTCCCAGTGGTGGTGGCCACAAGGGTGCTTACATCACTCCATACCCAGCTCCAGGTAGCTCAGCACAGAGATAGAGAGACTCCATTTCTTTGGGAGAAAGTAAGAGAAGCTAACAGGAGTCTCTACCTGGTAATCCAGAGAATTCTTCCAGATCTTATCCAAGACCACCAAGGCAGTACTGTTAGGAGTCTGCAAGAACCACAGCATTACTGGGCCTTGAGTGCCTCCTAATGCAAATACAGCTTAGATTATAACACCCAAATCCTTTTGAATTCCTGGAAAGCCTTCCCAAGGACAAATACAAACAAGCCCAGACTGTGAAGACTACAATAAATACTTAACTCTTCAATGCCCAGACACTGATGAATATCATCCACAGGCATCAAGACCATCCAGGAAAACATGACCTCACCAAATTAACTAAGGCACCAACAACCAATCTTGGGAAAACAGAGATATGTGAGTTTTCAGACAGAGAATTCAAAATAGCTATTCTGGGAAACTCAAAGAAATTCAAGATAACACACAGAAGTAATTTAGAATTCTGTCAGATAAATTTAACAAAGAGATTGAAATAATTTTTAAAAAATCACTGACTGCAGTAGCTCATGCCTGTAATTCTAGCACTTTGAGAGGCCAAGATGGACATATTGCTTGAGCTCAGGAGTTCGAGACTAGCCTGGGCAACATAACAAAACCCTGTCTCTACAATAAATGCAAGAAATTAGCCAGGCATAGTGTGCATGCCTGTAGTCCCAGCTACCCAGGAGGCTGAGGTGGGAGATTGCCTGAGCCTGGGAAGTCAAGGCTGCAGTGAGCTGTGATCATACCACTGCACTCCAGCCTGAATGACAACATGACACCTTGTCTCAAAAAAAAAAAAAAAAAAGCAGAAATTGTGAAGTTGAAAATGCAATTGACATACTGAAGAATGCATGAAAATCACTTAATAGCAGAACTGATTAAGCAGAAAAATTAGTGAGCTTGAAGACAGACTACTTGAAAATACACAGTCAGAGAAGACAAAAGAAATAAGAATAAAAAACAATGAAGCATGCCTACAAGATCTAGAAAATAGCCTCAAAAGGGTAAATCTAAGAGTTATTTGACGTGAAGAGAAGGTAGAGAAAGAGATGTGGGTAAAAAGTTTATTAAAAGGAATAATATTAGAGAACTTCCCAAACCTAGAGAAAGATATCAGTATCCAAGTACAAGAAGGTTATAGAGCACCAAGCAGATTTAACCCAAACAAGACTACCACAAGGCATTTAATAAGCAAGCTCCCAAAAGTGAAAGATAAAGAAAGGATCCTAAAAGCAGCCAGAGAAAAGAAACAAATAACATACTATGGAGCTCCAATACATCGGGCAGTAGACTTTTCAGTGGAAACCTTAGAGATTGGGAAAGAGAGTCATGACATATTGAAAGTGCTGAAGGAAAAAACTTTTACTCTATGATAGTATATCTAGCAAAAAGGAGAAATGAAGACATTCCCAAACAATAGCAGAGGAATTTCATCAACATCAGGTTTGTCCTACAAGAAATGGTAAAAGGAGTACTTCAATCAGAAAGAAAAGGACATTAACGTGCAATAAGACATCATCTGAAGGTACAAAACTCATTGGCAATAGAAAGTATACAGAAAAACACAGAATATTATATTACTGTAATTGTGGTGTATAAACTACCCTTTCTTAAGTAGAAACACTGAAAGTGAACCCATTCAAAATATTAACTACAACAACTTTTCAAGACATAGTCAGTACAATAACATATAAACAGAAACAACAAAAAGTGTAAAAGCAGGCCAGGCATGGTGGCGCACGCCTGTAATCCCAGCGCTTTGGGAGGCCAAGGTGGGTGGATCTCCTGAGGTCAGAAGTACGAGACCAGCCTGGCCAACATAGCGAAACCCAATCTCCAATCTCTACAAAAATACAAAAATTAGCCAGACATGGTGGCACATGCCTGTAATCCCAGCTACTTGGAAGGCTGAGCCATGAGAATTGCTTGAATCTGGGAGATGGAGGTTGCAGTAAGCCACGATTGCACCATTGCACTCCAGCCTTGGCAACAGAGTGAGACTATGTCTCAAAAAAAAAAAAAAAAAGTGTACATATATATATGTGTGTGTGTATGGTACACAAAAAACAAAAAGCAAGAAATTAAATTATACCACCAGAGAAAATCACCTTCACTAAAAGGAGGACAGGAAGGAAGGAAAAGACCAGAAAATAAATAACAAAATGGAAGGAGTAAGTCCTTACATATCAACAATAACATTGGCTGTAAATGAACTAAACTCCCCCATTAAAAGACTTAGAGTGGCTGAATGGATAAAACAAAAAGACTCAAGGATTTGTTGCCTCCAAGAAGCAAACTTCACCCATAAAGACACACATAGACTGAAAATATCCCACGCCAATGGATACAAAAAAAGAGCAAGAGTAGCTATACTTATATTAGAACAAATAGACTTCAAGAAAAAAACTACAAGAAGATACAAAGAAAGTCATTATATAATAATAAAAGAGTCAACTCAGCAAGAGGATATAACAGTTGTAAATATATATGCACTCAACACTGGAGCATCCAGATACATAAAGCAAATATTTTTAGAGCTAATGAAAGACTTAGACTCCAATACAATAATAGCTGGAGACTTTAACACCCCACTTTCAGCACTGGAAAGATATTCCAGACAGAAATTCATCAAGGAAACATCAGACTTAATCCACAGTATAGACCAAATGGACCTAGTAGATATTTACAGAACATTTCATCCAACAGCTACACAATACACATTCTTTTCCTCAGCATATGGATTATTCTCAGGGATAGATCATATGTTCGGTCACAAAGCAAGTCTTCAAACATTCAAAAAACTGAAATAATATCAAGCATCTTCTCTGGCCACAGTGGAATAAAACTAGAAATCAATAAAGGAGGAATTTTGGAAACTATACAAACACATGGAGATTAAACAATATGCTCCTGAATGACTAGTGAGTCAATGAAAACATTAAGAAAAACAATTGAAAAATTTCTTGAAACAAATGATCATGGAAACATAACATACCAAAACCTATGGGATACAGCAAAAGAGGTACTAAGAGGGAAGTTTATAGCTATAAGCTTCTGTATCAGAAAAGAGAAACACTTCACATAAACAGCCTGTTGATGCATGTAAAGAACTAGAAAAGTAAGAGCAAATCAAACCCAAAATTAGTAGAAGAAAAGAGATAATAAAGATCACAGCAGAGATAAATGAGTTAGATTGAAATTTACTGACATGGAAAGGGGAAAATAGCAACTAGTAAAAGTAAATACAATCCCATTTTTAAAAATTTACATATGTAGAATGGAATATTCACAGGAAGGTTGTAGAAGAAAATATGCAGAATTGAACTGTTAACAAGGGAAGACATACTTATAATAAATACATTATTTGTTGCTTATCTGCAATTCAAATTTAACGGAGCATCTTGTCTTTTTTTTTTTTTTAATCCAGCCCCAAATTTCACATCCCGGTCACACAAGATTGTTATGCAAGCCTAGATTGGTAGCTTCAGACAGCTGTGGGTGCTTTGCTTTGACACCAAACCTAAGCTTCTTTTTTTTTTTTTTATTTTTTCTGAGATGGAGTCTCGCTCTGTCAGCCAGGCTGGAGTGCAGTGGCGTGATCTCGGCTCACCGCAACCTTTGCCTCCCAGGTTCAAGCAATTCTCCTGCCTCAGCCTCCCAAACTGCTGGGATTACAGGCGTGAGCCACTGTGCCCAGCCCATATTCAGCTTTGAATGATTCCTAAAGGGCAGAAAGGAGGGTCATTAAAATTAGATAACTGCCACCAACAAAGCGCTAGACAAGCTGATAGATAACCATCTTCTTCCGCTCTTTTAAATCAAAATTGACAATGTAGATTGTTTAATGGCCACAAACTTTTCCCATGCCAGTTGGCACATACATTTGCAACAGCCCTCCCATGCAAAGGCAGAGTTTCTATTCACTCACTTGAGCCTGAGCTGGATTTGTGGCCAATAAAAGTGGCAAAAGTGACATGGTTTAAGTTTCTGAGCCTCCTCAGGCAGCCCCTGCAGCTTCAGCCTTCCTTCCATTTCCCATTTTTGCCTTACCCAGCATTTACAAGGTCCAGCATGCAAGAAATGTTTACTTAGCCCAATTAAATTGAAGTAGTAGCCTTATTATCTTTACATTTTTCTCCCCAAATTCTAAAAACCTTGATATCTTTATCTTTAACGAACTATCATACCTGTTCAAAATTATAATCTCTTACTTTAAAAGTTACCAAAAATGGGTCGAGCATAGTGGCTTATGCCTGTAATCCCAGCAGTTTGGGAGGCCAAGGCGGGCAGATCATGAGGTCAGGAGTTCAAGACCAGCCTGGCCAATATGGTGAAACCCCATCTCTACTAAAAAAAAATAATAATAATACAAAAATTAGCCAGGTGTGGTGGTGCTCGCCTGTAGTCCCAGCTACTCAGGAGGCTGAGGCAGAAGAATCACTTGAACCTGGGAGGCAGAGGTTGCAGTGAGCTGAGATCATGCTACTGCACTCCAGCCTGGGTGACAGAGCAAGACTCCATCTCAAAAAAAAATTAAAATTAAAAAAAAAAAGTTACCAAAAATGGAGGCAAAGTGCTAAGCATTTATATTTAATAGAGCTCAGGAATTTATTTATTTATTTATTTATTTTGAAACAAGGTCTTGCTCTGTCACCAAGGCTGGAGTGCAGAGGTGTGAACACGGGTCATGGCAGCTTCAGCTTCCTGGGCTCGTATGATCCCCCCACCTCAGCCTCCCGAGTAGCTGGTACTACAGGCACTCACCACCATGGCTGGCTAATTTTTCTTTAATTTTTTGTAGAGATGAGGGGTGTCTCCATGTTGCCCAGTCTGGTCTAGAACTCCTATGCTCAAATGATCCTCTCGCCTCAGCCTCCCAAAGTGCTGGGATACAGGCATGAGCCACCATGCCCTGCCAGAAATTCTTATTTAAAAAAAAAAAAAAAAAAAGCATGAAGAATAAGCAATCTGAAGCATTGTAGTTTTCTATGGCATTAGTACACTTAGGCCAGCATGATTGTATCTACAGGGAGAAAAAGGACATATTGCACATGGATTCGTATCAAATTTCTCTAAAGTATTTTACAAAGTTGTATAGCATGGGAAAATCAAAAACCACAAAAGGAGAAAATGATTACTGCAAATAATGCAACTCATCATCAAGATAAGCAGAGATTAGAAGACAAACACTCTTATTTGGGCTGTAAACGCTATCTAAATGACATAGAGTAAGTATTTGTAAGTATTTATAGTCTTAAAGTCCCATCTAGAACAACACAGGACCCAGGAAACCAAGTCACTGCTGTGTCAAGCTCAGGACAGAAATGGAAATGGTTCTGTGACTATGATCATAGGACCAAGTTCACAATCAGGACCACCAGGAAAGCAAATGTATTTCAGGAAGACATTATTCAGAGATATCCGGATACTTCCCTTCTTTTTCCCCTTGCTGAGAATGAGCATTTAATATCAGGTCTGGTTCAAGAAGGAGGAGAACTGGATATTTGTCATCATTCCCTTAACAGAGGGCAAAGTTTTCAGTATAACTTCTTCTGGAATAGTAATATAATCCAAGAGTTTAAAGGATTTGTGGTCCATAAGGAATTGGGTTCTTTTTTTGACTCTGGCAAGACACTGTCTGAGGGTGTCAGTGGTGACTTTGCATCCCATTGAGGGAAACAAGGAAAGGGCAGAATTGGTTCTGTCGCTACATAGATACTCCTTCTCTGTGAAGTTCTGAATGTGTGCATGTGTGTCTGCTGCACTCAGAAGGTTCTCCTATGATGCTGCTGGACCTAGCAACAACCTCACCTCTACTATGAAGGAGCACATTGCTCCATATTCCACCTCCCTGCCTTCAACTAGTACTAGAAACTGCTTCCAAAAAGTTGCAAAGTTGCATGTGTCTCCGTCATTCCAGAAGCATTCTTATTTTTCTTTTTTTGTTTTTAATTTGTTTGTTTGTTTGTTTGTTTTGAGACAGAGTCTCACTCTGTCGCCCAGGCTGGAGTGCAGTGGCGTCATCTCAGCTCACTGCAACCTCCACCTCCTAGGAGGTTCAAGCAATTCTCCTGCCTCAGCCTCCCAGGTAGCTGGGATTACAGGGGGCTGCCACTACGCCGGGCTAATTTTTCTATGTTTAGTAGAGAAGGGGTTTCACCATGTCGGCCAGGCTGGTCTCGAACTCCTGACTTCAGGTGATCCGTCCGCCTCGGTCTCCCAAAGTGCTGGCATTACAAGCGTGAGCCACCACTCCCAGCCAGCATTCTTATTTTTCTGATTATAAAAGCAAAATGGATCAGCAAAAAGCAAAAAGTAACAAGAGTGAAACTCCATCTCAAAAAAAAAAAAAAAAAAAAAAAGCAAAATGCCCCCACGTGGTAGATCATGCCTGTAATGCCAACAGTTTACGAGGCTAAGGCAGGAGGATTGCTTGAGGCCAGGAGTTCAAGACCAGGGCAACAGTTCAGCCTGGGCAACATAGCAAGACTCCCATCTCTGCAAAAAAAAAATAGCTGGAATGGTGGTACGCACCTCTAGTCCTAGCTACTCAGGAGGATGAGGCAGGAGGATTTCAGGAACCCAAGAGTTTGAGGCTGCAGTGAGCTATAATCATGGCACTGCACACCAGCCTGGACAGCAAAGCAAGACTCTGTCTCTAAAAGAATAAATAAATAAGTACACCTTGGTTGTAGAGAACTGGGGAAATTCAAAAGGGTACACGGGAAAGGGAGAAAGAGTGGTCTCCCACCACAGAGGGAGAGAGAGAGAAAGTGAATCACTGGTAATTCTACCTCTTCCAGATAACAACTGTCATTATTCTAGTGTATTTCCTTCTAGAAGCTCTCTTTTCAGTATTTCTTTGCCCACTTCTCATCGGTTCCCTGTCTTGCACTTTTAATGTCATGTTTTTAATAGAATTGATAGTTAAATATGTAAATGCTTTAATTGGGAGAAATTTTATTTTGTGATGTTAAATGAAATGTATAGGAGGCCATTGGTTTGGACTGAGCTCCTGCACTAGACCTAATAGACCAAACCAAAATCGAGTCACTCGTGCTAAAGTTCCATACCACCAAGCTGAAACTAAGTTGTTTATCCTTCCTTCTAAGAAATTAGGACAGTGAAAGATAATAGCCAAATCCCCAAACAAGCCAGTTTTAGTGGGCATGATAAGGATGTTTCTTCTGCTTTAACTTTACAAGGAAAGTCACTTTATTTTTTGGGTTTTTTGTTTGTTTTTGAAACAGAGTCTCTGTCACTCAGGCTGGAGTGCAGTGGCATGGTCTTGGTTCACTACAGCCTCTGCCTCCTGGTTTCAAGCAATTCTCCTGCCTCAGCCTCCCGAGTAGCTGGGATTAAAGGCACGAGAGGTCTCGCCAAGGCTGGTGTATTTATATATATATAGCATATGTCAATAAATGTTGTTGTTGTTTTTTCCATAGGCTTTTTGGGGAACAGGTGGTATTTGGTTACACGTGTAAGTCCTTTCTTTCTTTTTTTTTTTTTTTTTTTGAGACAGAGAGTTTCACTCTTGTTGCCCACGCTGGAGTGCAACGGCGCAATCTCGGCTCACCACAACCTCCACCTCCCAGGTTCAAGCGATTCTCCTCCCTCAGCCTCCCGAGGAGCTGGGATTACAGGCATGTGCCACCATGCCTGGCTAATTTTGTATTTTTAGTAGAGACGGAGTTTCTCCATATTGGTCAGGCTGGTCTCAAACTCCCAACATCAGGTGATCTGCCTGCCTCGGCCTCCCAAAGTGCTGGGATTACAGATGTGAGCCATCGTGCCCAGCTGAGTAAGTTCTTTAGTGGTGATTTGTGAGGTTTTGGTGCACCCATCACACAAGCAGTATACACTTAACCCGAATGGTAGTCTTTTATCCCTCACCCCCAGTCAATATATGTTCTACATACATTGTGACTTAAACCCACAGACATATATAATACTGTCTTGTTTTCTAACTATGTGATATGGGTACATATGTTGAATCTCCTAAGACTGTAAGCACTAAATCTTTGTACTTCCTTCCTTTGTATCCCAGGGCACTGAGCATTGCTAACTCCTGGTAGGTACTCAGAAAATACTATTCAGGTACCTGAAAAAGTAAGAAATATTAAAGGAAATAAAGAGATAGTTAAAACACTTGGCCAAGTTGGTTTTTTAAAAAAACTCAATATAATCTGGTGCCTAGAAAATATTTACTGGCCCAAGATTACAGTTTAAAGGCTATAGAAGCCTGTACATCTGTCTCCTTTGATCCTAATTATTATCAGAAACAGGCCATTATCAACAAAGAAGCACAAAGGTTAGTCACCAGTGTGTTGTTTTAACACTTGCCATAAAATATCTCTGAGAGTTCATCCAGGGAAATGCTGAAAAAGCAGTTTACTAACTCTACCATCCACCCTTCCCCCAGGTAATCTTGTCTGAATCAAAGTGTGAGCAGGTTTGTTTAAGCTGAGGACTTAAAGGGGAGGAAAAAGAACAGGTAAATTTTAAATTTTATGAGAAATGTGTACCTTCAAAATGAATGTGCATGCTATCTCTATATTGAGACATCTTCTGATTTAATGGAATACATTCTTAGGAAAAACTACCCACTTATTTAAACTGTTATATGTAAGTTAAAATATATTGGTTTTAACCTAGAAATTGAGACTGAATTCTTATCCCATTTGGCCCTATTTGGTACAGAATGATCTACAAAATAAAATATTCAGTAAAATAAGCAAAGAACAGAATATATGCATGGTATTGTAATTCTACCATTCATGCTTTTGAAATGAGAGAGGGAATTTTATACACACACACCTTGAATATTTTACTACATTCATGTATTATCTTCAGATATGTTGTTTTTTATTTTTTATTGTAAAACTAAAACACAGATCCAGAAAAATCCCATAATTCTAATTAATGTCTTAGTGAATTATTGCCAGGTAAACACTCTTGTAACTATCTACCAGGCCGAGAAATAAAACTGCCAGCCACCCAGAGGCCTCTCTCCATGTGCCACATCTCAATCACTGTCTTGTCCATCCCTCAAAAAGTAACCATGATCTTGACTTTTATAGAAATAATTTCCTTCCACTATTCAGACTTTTATACCTTCCTTGCATTTCTTTATGATTATATCAACAAAGTATGCACTCCTCGCTTCTGGAATTAGTCTTGACTATTTTTTTTTTAAACTGGGGCCGGGCGCAGTGGTTCACACCTGTAATCCCAGCACTTTGGGAAGCCGAGGCAGGTGGATCACGAGTTCAGGAGTTCAAGACCAGCCTGGCCAAGATGGTGAAACCCTGCCTTTGCTAAGAACTGCAAAAATTAGCCAGGCACAGTGGCAAGCGCCTGTAATCCGGGCTACCCGGGAGGCTGAGGCAGGAGAATTGCTTGAACCCCGGCAGCAGAGGTTGCAGTGAGCCAAGATAGCGCCACTGCACTCCAGCCTGGGCAATAGAGTGAGACTCCATCTAAAAAAAAAAAAAAAGAAAAGAAAAGAAAAAAATTGGTCTTTTCTGTTTCTTTTAATGTCCGGGTTCCCTCCATCCTTACACTTTTTCTATTGAATAACCCAAGCCATTTGGCCTATAGAGATTCTCTCCAGTATGGATTTTGCTGATTGCACATTTGGGGAATAGTGCAATACGTTCCTCCTACCTCTCTTCCTGCAAGTTGACAACTGAATCCAGA
This sequence comes from Homo sapiens, assembly GCF_000001405.40. Taxonomy (NCBI): domain Eukaryota; kingdom Metazoa; phylum Chordata; class Mammalia; order Primates; family Hominidae; genus Homo; species Homo sapiens. The sequence goes on from NC_000009.12 coordinate 74,902,554, forward strand.
GGCTTCATCAGACAAGTTCAGTCTGTTTGGCAGGATCTAGTGGGTGATCTGTTCTTTCATCAGATGGCACTTAATGTCTGGTTTCTGTTCCTTATCATTAGCAACAACATTTGATGCTTAGTACCTAGATTCATTAATTTATAGGTGGCTTGTAATAGGAAATTCTAATACTGTTATTTAATTTTCATTAGCTGAAATAATTTTTTGTTGTTTTTTTTTTTTTTGAGACAGAGTCTCGCTCTGTCACCCAGGCCGGAGTGCAGTGGCGCAATCTCGGCTCACTGCAAGCTCCGCCTCCCGGGTTCACACCATTCTCCTGCCTCAGTCTCCTGAGTAACTGGGACTACAGGCGCCTGCCACCAAGCCCAGCTAATTTTTCTGTATTTTTAGTAGAGACAGGGGTTTCACCATGTTAGCCAGGATGGTCTCGATCTCCTGACCTCGTGATCCACCCACCTCAGCCTCCCAAAGTGCTGGGATTACAGGCGTGAGCCACCGTACCTGGCCAAACATTATTAGCCTCCCCGTTGGGGAATCGAACCCCGGTCTCCCGCGTGACAGGCAGGGATACTCACCACCATACTAACGAGGACCGCCTTTTTTTCTTTTTTTTTTTTTTTTTCTTTTTTGAGATGGAATCTCACTCTGTCACCCAGGCTGGAGTGCAGTGGTGCAATCTCGGCTCACTGCAACCTCTGCCTCCCGGGTTCAAGCAATTCTCCTGCCTCAGCCTCCCAGGTAGCTGGGACTACAGGTGCATGCCACCATGCCCAGCTAATTTTTTGTTTTGTTTTGTTTTTGTATTTTTTTTTAAGTAGAGATGGGGTTTCACCGTGTTAGCCAGGATGATCTCAATCTCCTTACCTTGTGATCTGCCCACCTCGGCCTCCCAAAGTGCTGAGATTACAGGCATGAGCCACCATGCCTGGCCCAGCTGAGATAATTTTATAAAGAGAAACGTTTACTCATCTATTATTTGGTTTTTGCTGTTGTTGTTTTGTTTCTTGTTTTTTTGAGATGAAGTCTCACTCTGTTGCCCAGGCTGGAGTGCAATGGCACAATTTTGGCTCACTGCAACTTCCGCCTCCCAGGTTCAAGCGATTCTCCTGCCTCAGCCTCCTGGGTAGCTGGGACTACAGGTGCATGCCACCATGCCCAGCTTATTTTTTGTATTTTTAGTAGAGACAGGGTTTCAGCGTGTTAGCCAGGATGGTCTCAATCTCCTGACCTCGTGATCTACCCACCTCGGCCTCCCAAAGTGCTGAGATTACAGGTGTGAGCCACCGTGCCCAGCCTAGCTGAAATAATTTTATAAAGAGAAACTTTTACTCATCTATTCTTTGGTTTTTGCTGTTGTTGGTTTTTTTTGTTTTTGTTTTTTTGAGACGAAGTCTCACTCCGTTGCCCAGGCTGGAGTGCAATGGCACAATCTCGGCTCACTGCAACCTCCACCTCCCGGGTTCAAGCGATTCTCTTGCCTCAGCCTCCCAAGGAGCTGGGATCACAGGTGCGCACCATCATGCCTGGCTAATTTTTTGTATACAGATGGGATTTCACCATGTTGGTCAGGCTGGTCTTGAACTCCTGACCTCATGATCAGCCCAAAGTGCTGAGATTACAGGCATAAGCTGCGCCCAGCCTATTTCCCCTGGTTTTTTGTTTGTTTGTTTGTTTGTTTGAGACGGAGTCTTGCTCTGTCTCCCAGGCTGGAGTGCGGTGGCACGATCTCAGCTCACTGCAAGCTCTGCCTCCCGGGTTCACGCCATTCTCCTGCCTCAGCCTCCCAAGTAGCTGGGATTACAGGGGCCCACCACCACGCCTGGCTAATATTTTTGTATTTTAAGTAGAGACGGGGTTTCACCGTGTTAGCTAGGATGGTCTCATTCTCCTGACCTCGTGATCCGCCCGCCTCGGCCTCCCAAAGTGCTGGGATTACAGGCGTGAGCCACCGCACTATTTCCCCAGTTTTTAAGATAACATATGGTTCTCTGTCATCCTTAGAAGAACAACTTTGTTTGCTTGTTTGCTTGTTTTTAGAGATGGAGTCAGCTATATTGCCCAGGCGGGAGTGCAATGGCTATTTACAGGCACCATCATAGCACACTACAGCCCCAAACCCCTGGGCTCAAAGAATCCTCCTTCCTCAACCTCCTGAATAGCTGGGACTATAGGCGCTGGCCACCGTGCCCAGCTGTTTGTTTTAAATATTATTGTGAACTCATAGATTAAAGCATATCTGAAGGGTTTCGGACTGTGAGAGTCAGTTTCCAAGACGGTCCCCAGTGACCCCTGTCTTATAATATTCACAGTTATAGAGTTCCCTCCCACATTGTACAAGCATTGGTCTGTATAACCAGTAAAATATAGCAGAAATGATGGCGTGTCACTTCTGAGATTAGGTGCGCACTCGCTGGACAACTCCCACTTTCTCTGTATACCCACTCTGCGGGGAACCATGTTATAAACAGCCATGTGAAGAAGCACACATCATAAGGAACCAAAGTCTCCTGCCAAAAGCTACATAAGTGAGTTTGAAAGCAGATCTTTCAGACCCAGATTCAGATTAATGTATCCCCAGCTGGCAGCCTAACTACAGTGTCATTAGAGACCTTGAGACAGAACCACCAGTTAAGCTGCTCCTAGGTTCCTGATTCTCAGAAACTGTGTAATACAATAAACGTGTTGTTGGCTTTAAGCAAAGCCCTGTGGTAATTTGTTATACAGCAATAGATAACTAATTGACAGTCTGTTGCAATTCTCATTGTTATTGAAATGTGATTTGTCCCATCTCTGGTCAGTGGGAGCCTTTTCAAATTGTCTTCTGAGGCTGGGCGAGGTGGCTGGCCCTGGAGGCCCAGTGGTACTGAGGTCTCAGGAATACAACCTGATGGTGCCTCTTGCCATCCCGAATGGCAGAGCAACTCCCCTCAAGGGAGCATGGAGAGAGTCACTGTGGCAAGGACTTCTCAGAGGTCAAAGAATATGGCGCCATGACATTGACACAGTCAAGAGCTCAGTTCTCAGCAATAAAGGACAAGCGAGGTCAACAGGTCACCAGCCTTAGGGTCTTACCAGAAGACCTGGCCTGGTTCTGGATGCCAGTGACAAAGAGGGCTGCCCCAGGACCCAGAGAGCTGGAGAAGTGCGTGGGGCTGAGCACAAGGGTCTGAGCTGGGGTTGGATGCAGGCTGGGAGTGAACAGATTCCGCAATGGGGGCAAGATGGTGCCCCATGGAGAATCTGGGGAGGTGGCCCTGCCTGGACTTCCCTCCAGTTTCCTTGCAATCTATTCAAATTCTGGTAGTCTCTGTGTCACCAGGTTAGGGGAGGAGCGGTGTAAGGGAGACAAAGGGACCTGGAGACAGGAGGGCCCCACTAGGCCAACATGGATAAGAAGAGCAGGAGGCAGCCGCTGGGCGGCAGGATACCCTGGAAGGAGGCTGGGTCAGCACTGGTAAGTGCAGGCAGTGAGGAAAACACACCTGTTGGGTGTCTGAGCCACGGCTCAGGTAAGCTCCCATGGTCAGGTCTGGGGTCTTCTGCTGCCCAGCCCTGGCCCACCCTTAGCTTGCAAAGCCAGAGCCTCCAGGCTCTCAGATTCCACTCCAGGGTGCAGGAGGAGCTGGCCACCTGTTGGCCCCTTTGAGTCTCTCCTGTTCTCAGTCCACCTGACACCCCATTGCTTCCTTCTGCTGTGTCCCAAATAGATGATAATAACATTTAGCCTGTGATCGTTGGTGATTGTAGTTTATAGGCACTTTTTGGTTGGTTGCAGGGGTTGGGGAGCAGAGAAGTAAAATATGTGTGTAGACTAGCACTTCCATTCAGCAGAGGAACATGGTACCTCTTACTCATAGTAAACAAACATATGCTCTGTGATCCAGCAATGCCATTCCTGGATCTAGAGTCCAAATAAATTCTCACACTAGATCTATGAAGAGACAGTATGAGGAAGTTCATCATAGTTTGTAGTACAGGGAATTGGAGGTAATATTAATTTCTATCACTGGAGGTGTAAATAGGTACAATGAATGAATTCACACCGTGGAGTGTATACATTATGTAGCAATTCAAAATAATAGATCTATACCACAGCAATATATATAGATCCTAAAATCCTTAATGTTTAGTGAAAAAGGTAAAAAGCAGATTAAGATCCATAACATATGAACATATTTATACAAATTGTACAATACCTGTTAAAAAAACAAAGCTACAGATTTTACAAAACCACATACATGAAGAGGATGCACATTAACCACATTAGAATGGTTGCTGTGGGAATAAGAAGGAATGACAATAGAGAATAAAGATAAAGAGGATTATATAAACAAATGAACAAAAAGATACACAAATAAAAACAAGAAGATAAATTGCAAAGATCAAGAAGATAAATTGCAAAGATCAAGAAGATAAATTGCAAAGATCAATGAACATGAAGTGCCCTAAACTCAGAAGTAGTTAACTCACTTGTCCACATCTGAGTTCCTACTTTAAATATTTTTCCTTAAAACTTAACTTTTTGGAATATCTCTAACTGCAAAGTGAAAATTATCTTCCCTGTCCTATTAGCATCTTCTCTATTTATTTTCCATTTTCTGACTTCCTTTTTCAGCAGTGTTTTCAATCTTATAACATTTTATTCATCTGACTCATTCATTCATTTATTCAATAAGTGCTTAAGTGTTTACTCAAATATTAAGTGTACATAAAGTATTATTCTGGGGACTAAGAGGATATGAAGGAAAAGTCTTATGATCCCTATTTCTGGGAACCTACAATGTAACGGTGGATGCAAAGCATTAACCCAGGAAACATTTCAAAATCGTCCGAGGCAGCATTGATTCCATGTCTAAAAAAAGTGGATGGGCCAGGCTCAGTGGCTCACAACTGTAATCCCAGCACTTTGGGAGGCCAAGGCAGGTGGATCACCTGAGGTCAGGAGTTCGAGACCAGACTGGCCAACATGGTGAAACCTCGTCTCTACTAAAAATAGAAACATTAGGCAGGTATGGTGGCGGGTGCCTGTAATCCCAGCTACTCAAGAGGCTGAGACAAGATAATCACTTGAACCTGGGAGGTGAGGTTGCAGTGAGCCGAGATTGCGCCACTGCACTCCAGCCTGGGCAACAGAGTGAGACTCTGCCTCAAAAAAAAAAAAAAAAAAAAAAAAAAGAGAGAGAAAGAAAGAAAAAAGAAAGAAAAGGGAGGGAACATGTTGCAAAAAGTAGAGACAGGGTTTCACCATGTTGGCCAGGCTGGTCTCGAACTCCTGACCTCAGATGATCCATCTGCCTTGCAAAGTGCTGGGATTACAGGCGTGAGGCACCGCGCCCAGGATTACAGGCGTGAGCCACCTCTCCTGAGGTCAGGAGTTTGAGATCAGCCTGGCCAACATGGTGAAACTCCATCTCTACTAAAAATACCAAAAAAATTAGCCGGGTGTGGTGGTGCACACCTGTAGTCCCAGCTATTCAGGAGGCTGAAGCAGGAGAATCACTTGAACCCACGAGGTGGAGGTTGCAGTGAGCCAAGATTGTGCCACTGCATTCCAGCTTGAGCAACAGAGTGAGACTCCATCTCAAATAAATAAATAAATAAACAAACAAATCAAGATCTGAATTTGAGAACTGACTTTAGGATTCATGCAACCTTTAGCACATTCCTAACCTTCTTGAATGTCAGTATCCATCCCTGCCAAGCAGGAACAACAATTCTCATTTCACAAAACAACACCTTCACCTCATGTGGGGCTCATGTGTTGCAGAATATTTTGTCATAAAATGTTCTATTTTTACCTTTCATTTCTGAGCCTCACATTAAAAGATGGATTATCACTTACACACTTTCTTAAAATTCCAGAGGTTTATAAGTAACATTAGCAGGATCTCTGTGTTCCCTCAGCCTTGTTTGTCTTCCCAACTATGCTCATTTCTAAAAACTTCAATGCTCTTTTGAATTGCGAGTAAGTACTCTTCTGCAGACCAAGGGTATGAAAAAAAGGGGAAGGACAAATTAATGGGTATACATAACTTGGAGGCACTAAAAAGTCATCAAATGATTATTATGTTTTCTTTAAATGGTTGTTATGAATGGCAATTATTATACTACACCATCAGTTCTTCATAAATGCATCTCAAAGAAAAAAAAAAACTCACCCAGGACAGAGGAATGGCAGATTTATTGTATTTAGATAAATTTCTGTCTAGCATCCTGTGAATAGGAGCTTGAGATGATATTGTAAATACATGGCTTCTCTTAGGACATACCGTGGCGTTCCACGCCACCAATAGGGTGAAGTGGATTGTGCATTTCCTGCCAAGCAGCCAATGAGAGTCAAAACTGGGTCTAAAATACTGTGCTGTAAAAAGAACTTAAGAGCTAGTTGTCAGTTGTGTTTATTATGCTATAAACTTTTAAACATCACTTTCCTGATCGCCCTTAGATTGCTAGTTTAGAAGTAGATTGATGATTCAGAGTTCTTATCATCCTTCCTGAGATATTCACCATGAATTGCCAAGTTATTTTTAAGAAATCAATGTGTGGCAGGTGCGGTGGCTCATGCCTGTATTCCCAGCACTTTGGGGCACTTTGGGAGGCCAATGCAGGCAAATCACTTGAGGCCAGAAGTTCAAGACTATCCTGGCCAACATGGTGAAACCCCGTCTCAACTAAAAATACAAAAAATTAGCCGGGCGCGGTGGCGGGCGCCTGTAGTCCCAGCTACTCGGGAGGCTGAGGCAGGAGAATGGCGTGAACCCGGGAAGCGGAGCTTGCAGTGAGCCGAGATTGCGCCACTGCAGTCCGCAGTCCGGCCTGGGCGACAGAGCGAGACTCCGTCTCAAAAAAAAAAAAAAAAAAAAAAAAAAAAAATTAGCTGGGCATGGTGGTATGTGCCTTTAATCCCAACTACTCAGGAGGCTGAGACATGAGAATCGCTTGAACCTGGAAAGCGGAGGTTGCAGTGAGCTGAGATCACGCCACTGCACTCCAGCCTGTGCAATAGAGCAAGATTCTGTCCCCCCCTCAAAAAAAAAAAAAAGAAGAAGAAAAAGAAAAAAATCAATGGATCTTTCTTTCCCTACCTCACTTCCCCTCATCAAAGAAAACAAATTTTAACTATTCTAGTGTTGTAAAACTATTCTAAGTAATTCAGCTAGTTCCTCTCTCTACACCCACATACTGCTTTTGTCTGTAAAATACAACAAGTGTTCTGGGTCAGTTTCCAATGTTCTATGCAGTGCCTAAAATGGTGGGCACTAGAAGGAGAAACTGAGTGATATGACTGACTAGAAGACCCTAGCATTCATCCCTTCCACAAAGAGAGACAAAACAACAAATAAACAACTACATTTTAAGAAAAATAATCAAAGGAGCGTGCTGGAATATGTCAAAACAGCAAGAGAAACCTTGGAGAGCATAGAAGCTCATGATATCCACATAGAGAATGGAAGGATGCACTGGACCCCACCACCCCATTCTCCAGCCAGGATCAGCCAGGAATCAGGAGGAACTTCTCCCTAAAGCAAAAAGGGAGGCAAGAGGATCCCAGTAGCTCTCACCAATATCTTGGATACCTACAGTTTTCCTTGTTGGGATCCCCTACAGCCCTCACAGGCCCAGCTGAGGGAGCTGCCTAGAGGCCACATAGCGGCACTCCCCCAGAAAAGGAGCCAATACTGTGCCCCACCCCCTGTGGCCTGCACAGCTACTGCACTATGCCATCTTGAAACTAGAAATACTGCTGGAGTGTGTCTTGCTCCAGAGTTGAGTAGCCGTGGCTCCTTTTCATCCTTGAGTCTAAGGAGCCACTGAATCACCTCAGCCTGGTGGCCTGACATCCCAGAGCCAAGCTGTGAGCAACTGCTATACCCTTCCTCATGGGGCCATGCAGTGACAGAACTGTTTCATTATCCCTCTGCCTACCCTCTGGACTGAGCTGAATCTGTAGAGTCCCTCCTGAAGAAATGGTACTTTGGCAGAACAACTCCATCTTCTGAATTCCAGAACCTGAGCTGCTGGGGAAGGGGACGTGCCTCAAAGACATAGATCCTGGTGCTGTTTACCTACATCCAACCCTGCACAGAACACAAACCTACCAAGACCCAGGTGACACAATAGGTTCATGAGACCCTGAGTCTAGGACCCCACAGCCACCCTAAGCACCTTGCACCTAGAACAGAGCACCACAGCAGCTGCTTGTAAACAATGGCAGACCTAATACCAAGAGGGATCCCCTTAGCTAAATCTCCCTATTGTGGGGAAAATGAGAATAGGAGAATCCCAAAAGTCCTTGCCACCAAGGACATTAACTACCTATAGTGATGATAATGATTACCCTACAAAAACTTCTGCAGCCTAGTCTTCGGAGGCACCCACAGTTGTTAGTGACATTGAATGCAGCTGAAAATCTGCATGGAGACTATACCACTGCACCTACCCATAAACAGAGTCACCACACCCTTCCCAACTGACACACTGAGACCCAATTGCAGGTGAAACTCTTCCTCTACAAAAGCCACTCTGGAAAGTTGGGAAGAAGTAATTCTTCCACCAGATGCACAGACATCGATTCAGGGACACAAGAAACATAAAAAAGCAAGGAAATGTGACACTACCAAGGGAACATAATAACTCTCTAGTTACAGATCCCAATGAAATGGAAATCAATAAATTGCTACAAAAGGAACTCAAAGTAATGGTCTTGAGGAAAATCAATGTAATGCAGGAAATACAGATAGACAATTCAATGAAATCTGGAAAACAATTCATGGGTATGAATGAGAAATTCAGCAAAGAGATAGATATCATTAAAAAAAAAACCTCAGAAATCCTGCAACTGAAGAATTCAATGAATGAAATAAAAATACAATACAGAGCTCCAGTAGCAGACCTAATCAAGGAGAAGAAAGAATCTCTGAATTTGAAGATGGGTTGTTTAAAATTACTGGGCGCAGTGGTTCACACCTGTAATACCAGCACTTTGGGAGACCGAGGTGAGAGGATTGCTTGAGCCCAGGAGTTCAAGATCAGCCTGGGCAATATAATGAGACCTCATCTCTAAAAAATAAATAAATAAAATAAAATTATCCAGTTAGAGAATCAAAAAAGAAATAAGAGAAAAAGAGAGTGAAGAAAGGCTACTTATAGGACTTATAGGACACTATTATTAAGTGAACAAATATTCAAATTTTGTGTATTCCAGAGGGAGAAAATATGGGAAAAGCCATAGAAAACCAATTTAAAGAATTAATAGCTGAACACTTCCCAAGTCTAGGGAACAGTATGGATGTCTACATCCAGAAATCTAAAAAGTCTCAAATAAATTCAACTCAAAGGGTCCCCCAACTTCAGACATATTAATAGTCAGCAGTTAAAAATCAAAGACAAGGAGATAATTCTAAAAACAGCAATAGGAAAGTGTTAAATCACATATGAGAGAATTCCCATTCGACTAACAGCAGAATTCTCAGCAGAAACCTTCAGGCCAGGCAAAAAAGAGATATATTCAAAGTATTGAAAGAAAAAATTTGCTAGTCATGAATACTATACCCAGCAAAGCTACTCTTCAGAAACTGGGGAGAAATACTCTTTCCCAGATAAGCAAGAACTGAGAGAATTCATCACCACTAGATTGGACTTACGACAAATGTTCAAGGGAGGCCTGCATCTAGAAGTAAAAAGATAATAACCATCATAAAAATGTGAAAAAGTATAAAACTCACTGGTAGAGTCGATACACAAAGGAGAAAGAGAAAAGAATCAAACCTTATCACTGTAGAAAACTACCAAACTGAAATTATAAAAATTAAGAGAGGAAGAAAGAAACAAAGAATATACAAAACAACTAGAAAACAATTAACAAAATGAAATAAGTATTTACCTCTCAATAATAACCTTGGGCCAGGTGCAGTGGCTCACGCCTGTAATCCCAGCACTTTGGGAAGCCAAGGTGGGTGAATTGCTTGAGCCTAAGAGTTTGAGACCAGCCTGGAAACATGGCAAAACCCCATTTCTACTAAAAATACAAAAATTAGCCAGATGTGGTAGTGTGTGCCTGTAGTCCCAGCTACACAGGAGGCTGAAATGGGAGGATCGATTGAGCCTGAGATGCAGAGGTTGCAGTAAGCCAAGACTGCACCACTGCACTTCAGCCTGAGTGGCAGACTGAGATCCCATCTCAAAATAATAATAATAATAAACAACTTTGAATGGAAGTGGATTAGATTCTCCATTTAAAAGATATAGCCTAAGCAAGGTACAGTGTTGCATGCCTGTAGTCCCAGCTACTTAGGAGACTGAGGCAGGAGGATCTCTTGAGCCCAGGAGTTTGAGGCCAGCTTGGGCAACATAGCGACATCCTGTCTCCAAATTAATCAATTAATTAATTTAATAAAAAGATATAGACTGGCTGAATAGATTTTTTTTTAAATGACCCAACTACTTGCTGTCTACAAGAAACTAATTTTTCACTTTTAAAGACATATAGACTGAAAGTGGAGGGATGGGAAAAAGAAATTCCACACAAACAGAAACCAAAAGCAAGCAGGAATAACTATATTTATATCAGATAAAACAGACTTTAAGTCAAAAATTGTAAAAAGAGACAAATAAGGCCATTATAATGATAAAGGCATAAATTCAGCAATAGGATATAACAATTGTAAACATATATGACCCAACGTTGGAGCACCCACATATAGAAAAGCCAATATTATTACATTTAAAGGGAGGTATAGACTCCAATACATCAATAGTTGGACATTTTAACACCCTACTCTCAACATTTAACAGATTATCTAGACAGAAAAATCAGCAAAAACCATTGGATTTAAACTGCACTTTAGAACAAATTGACCTAACAAACATTTATAGAACATTTCATCTGACAGCTGCAGAATATATATTCTTTTCAGTAGCACATGAGACATTCTCTGGGATAGATCATGTTAGGCCACAAAATAAGACTCATCAAATTTAATATAATTAATATCACATCAAGTATTTTTTCTGACTAGAAAGGAATTCTTATTCTTACTGGAATAATACTAGAAATAAACAACAAGAAAAAGTTTTGAAATGGTACAAACATATAAAAATTAAACATCATGTTTTTGAACAACCAATGGATCAATGAAAACATTAAGAAGGAAATTTTGGCCAGATGTGGTGGCTCACACTTGTAATCCCAGCACTTTGGGAGGCCAAGGCAAGAAAATTGCTTGAGCTCAGACGTTTGAGAATAGCCTGGGAAACATAATGAGACCTCATCTGTACTAAAATTCAAAAAAATTTAGCCAAGTGCGGTGGTGCAAGCCTGTGGTCCCAGCTACTTGAAGGGCTGAAGTGGGAGGATCACTTGAGCCTAGGAGGTTGAGGTCACAGTGAACCCTGATCATGCCACAGCACTCCAGCATGGGCGACAGGGTGCACCTCTGACTCAAAAATAAAAATAAGAAGGAGATTTAAAAATTTCTTAAACGAAAATAGAAACACAGCCTACCAAAAGTTATGGGATACAGCAAAAGCAGTATTAGAGAGAAGTTTACAGCAATAAATACCTACATGAAAAATATTCAAGTCTGGGCGTGGTGGCTTACGCCTGTAATCCCAGCACTTTGGGACACAAAGGCGGGCAGATCTCCTGAGGTCAGGAGTTCCCAGCCTGACCAACACGAAGAAACCCTGTCTCTACTAAAAATACAAAAATTAGTCGGGCGTGGTAGCACATGCCTGTAATCCCAGCTACTCGGGAGGCTGAGGCAGGAGAATTGCTTGAACCCTGGAGGCAGAGGTTGCAGTGAGCTGAGATCACACCACTGTACTCCAGCGTGGGCAACAAGAGTGAAACTCCATCTCAAAAAAAAAAAAAGATTTCAAATAAGCAACATAAAAATGCATCTCAAGGAACTAGGAAAGCAAGAAAAAATCAAACACAAAATCAGTAAAAGGAAAGAAATAATAAAGATAAGAGCAGAAAAAAAACAATGAAATGAAAAGTTAGTTTTTTGAAAAGATAATCAAACAACCATTAGCTGGACTAACCAAGAAAAAAATCCAAGTAAATAAAATCAGATATGAAAAAGTAGACATTGCAACTAATACCACAGACATACAAAAATTCATTAGAGACTATTACGAACAACTATATGCCAACAAATTGGAAAACTTAGTGGTAATAGATAAATTCCCAGACATATACAACCTACCAAGATTGAACCAAGAAAAAGTAGAAAACCAGAACAGACAAATAATGAGTAAAAAAATTGAATCAGTAATGAAAAGTCTCCCATAATTTTTTTTTAAAACCCAGGACCTGATGGTTTAACTGCCAAACATTTTAAAAATAACTATTAATACCAATTAGTCTCAAACTCTCCCAGGAAATTGAAGAAGAGAGGATTCTTTTTTTTGAGAGAGAGAGACTTGCTCTCTCGCCCAGGCTGGAGTGCAATGGCGCGTTCTCGGCTCACTGCAAGCTCCGTCTCCTGGGTTCACGCCATTCTCCTGCCTCAGCCTCCTGGGTAGCTAGGACTACAGGCGCCAGCCACCACGCCCGGCTAATTTTTTTATATTTTTAGTAGAGATGGGGTTTCACCGTGTTAGCCAGGATGGTCTCGATCTCTTGGCCTCGTGATCCGCCCACCTCGGCCTCCCAGAGTGCTGGGATTACAGGCGTGAGCCACCGCACCCGGCGGGAATTCTCCTATACCCATTCTACAAGGCCAGCATAACCCTGATACCAAAACCAGATAAGGACATAACAAAAAGAGAAATCTATAGGTCAATATTCCTGGTGAACATAGATTGAAAAAAAATCCACAAAAACATACTAGCAAATCAAATCCAGCAGCACATTAAAAAGATCACTCACCATGGTCAAGTGGGATTTATCTCAGAGATGCAAGAATGGTATGACATACACAAATCAAAAAGTGTGATATATCGCAACAACAGAATGAAGGACAAAAACCACATGATCATCTCAACAAACACAGAAAAAGCATTTGATAAAATTCAACATACCTTCATGATAAAATGTCTTCACCAACTAGGTATAGAAGGAACATACCTCAACACAATAAAAGCCATGTAGGACAAACCCTCAGCTAGCTAGCACTATACTAAATGTGGGAAAGCTAAAAGCTTTTCCTCTAAGAACTGGAACAAGAGAAGGATGCCCACTTCCACCACTTTTATTCAACATAGTACTGGAAGTTCTAGCCAGAGCAATTAGGCAAGAGAAAGAAAAAAAGGGGCTCCAAATTGGATAGGAAGAAGTCATATTTGCATATGTCCCTATTTGCATATGGCATGCTCTTATATATAGAAAACTCTAAAAGCACCATCAAAAAACTCTTAGAACTGATAAAGAAATTTAGTAAAGTTTCAGGGTACAAAATAAACATGCAAAAATTAGTAGCATCTGGCTGGGCACAGTGGCTTACTTATGTAACCCCAGTACTTTGGGAGGCCAAGGGAGGAGGATCACTTGAGGCCAGAAGTTTGAGACCAGGCTGGGCAACATAACGAGATCACATCTCTACAAACAAATTGAAAAATCAGTAGCATATTTATACATCAACAATGAACTACTGGAAAAATAAATCAAGAAAGCAATCCCATTTGTGATAGCTTAAAAAAAAATACCTAGGAATAAATTTAACCAAGGAGGTGAAAAATCTCTATGAGGAAAACTATAAGACACTGATGAAAGAAATTGAAGAGTTCACAAAAAAATGAAGACGTTCCATGTTCATAGATTGAAAGAATTAATGTTATGAAAGTGACCATACTACCAAAAGCGATCTATGGATTCAATGTAACTCCTATCAAAATATCTGTGATATTCTTCACAAGAATATAAAAAAAAATCCTGAAATTCAAATGGAATTATAGAAGACCCCTGAATAGCCAAAGAAATACTGAGCAAAAGAACAAATCTGGGAGCATCACACTACTTGACTTCAAAATACATGAGAAAGGCATAGTAGCCAAAACAGCATCATACTGGCATAAAAACAGACACATAGACCAGTGGAACAAGATAAAAGACACATAAATAAATTCACATATTTACAGCCAACTGATTTTCGACAAAGGTGCCAAGAACATTCAGTGGTAAGGGATAGTTTCTTCAATAAATGGTGCCAGGAAAACTGGATGCCCATATGCAGAAAAATGAAACTAGATTCCTATCTCTCACCATATACAAAAATGAAATAAAAATGGATTAAACACTTATATGTAAGACCTGAAACTGTGAAACTACTAGAAGAAAACATCAAGGAAATGCTTCAAGACTTTGATCTGGGCAAAGATTTTTGGGTAATAGCTGAAAAGCATGGCAACAAAAGCAAAAACAGACAAATGGGATTACATCAGGCTAAAAAGCTTATGCACCACAAAGGAGAGTGAAGAGACAACCTACAGAATGGGAGAAAATGTATGTAAACTATCTATCCAACAAGGGATTAATAACCAGAAAATATAAAGAACTCAATTCATTAGGAAAACAATTCAATTTAAAAACAGGCAAAAGGTCAGTCTCACTGGCTCACACCTGTGATCCCAAGAATTTGGGAGGCCAAAGAGGGAAGACTGCTTGAGCCCAGGGGTTTGAGACCAGCCTAGGCAACATAATGAGGCTTTGTCTCTACTAAAAATTAAAATTAAAAAATTAGCTAGGCATGGTGGCAAGTGCCTGTAGTCCCAACTACTCAGGAGGCTGAGGTGGGAGGATCACTTGAGCCAATGAGTTCGAGGTTGCAGTGAGCCATGATCACACCACTGCACTCCAACCTAGGCAACAGAGCGAGACCCTGTCTTTTAAATAAATTTTTAAAATTAAAAAAAATTAATGGGCAAGTGATCTCAACAGACATTTCTCAAAAGACGTACAAATGGCCAATAGGCCTATGAGAAAATGCTCAACATCAATAATCATCAGGGAAATGCAAATCAAAACCACAATGAGATATTATCTCACTCCAGTTAAAATAGCTATCATCAAAAAGACAAAAAGTATGCATTTCACTGCTATCTAAATAAATAAACTAAAACCAAACAAAAATGACAAAAAATAAATACTGCAGAGAAAGGGGAACCCCCATTCACTGCTGATAGGAAGATAAATTAGTATAGCCACTGTGGAAAATAGTATGGAGGTTCCCCAAGAAACTAAAAATAGGGCCGGGGGCGATGGCTTATGCCTGTAATCCCAGCACTCTGGGAGGCAGAGGCAGGCGGATCATCTGAGGTCGGGAGTTTGACACCAGCCTGGCCAACATGGTGAAACCTTGTCTCTACTAAATATAGAAAAAAAAAAAAGTTAGCTGGGTGTGGTGGTGCCTGCCTGTGATCCCAGCTACTCGGGAGGCTGAGGCAGGGGAATCACTTGAACCTGGGAGGCGGGAGGTTGCAGTGAGCCAAGATCGCACCACTGGACTCCAGCCTGGGCGATAGAGCAAGACTCAGTCTCGGAAAAAAAAAAACAAAACTGACAATAAATCTATTACATGATCTAGCAATCCACTACTGGGTTATATCCAAAAGAACGGAAATCAGTGTATTGAAGAGATATCTGCACAACCATGTTTATTGCAGCACCATTCACAATAGCCAAATCAAACTAAGTGTCCATCGACAGATTAATTCAGTCATAAATTAATTCGCAAGAATGAAATCCTGTCATTTGCCACAACGTGGATGGAATCAGAAGTCATTATATAGTGAAATAAGCTAGGCAAATATCACATGTTCTCACTCACATCAATTTCATTAAAAAGCTGATCTCATGGAGATAGAGAGTAGAATGGTGGTTATCAGAGGCTTGGAAAGGTAGGTGGGGAGAGGGTGAAGAGAGGCTGGTTGGCTGGAAGCAGTGGCTCACGCCTGTAATCCCAGCACTTTTTGAGACCAAGGTGGGTGGATCACTTGAGCTCAGGAGTTTGAGACCAGCCTAGACAACATGGCAAAACCCTATGTCTACAAAAAAATACAAAAATTAGCTTGGCATGGTGGTGTGTACCTGTAATCCTGTCTACTTGGCAGGCTGAGGTAAGAGAATCACTTGAGCCCAGGAGGTGGAGGTTCCAGTGAGCCAAGATGGCGCCACTGCACTCCACCCTGGGCGACAGAGAGAGACCCTGTCTCAAACAAAAAAGAAACAAAAAAAAAAAAAAAGAGAGAGAGAGAGGGAAGTTGGTTAATGGGTACAAAAATACGGTTAAATAGAAGAAATACATTCTGGCATTTGTTAACACAGTAAGATGACGAAAGTAATTTCTTGTGTATATTAATAGAACAAGAAAAAATATTTGAAATGTTCCTAATACAAAAAAAGTAATAGATGTTTAAGATGATGTATATCCTAATTACTCTGGTTTGAGCAATACACATCAGATGCATGTATCAAAATATCATATGGACCCCAAAATATGTACAATTATTATGTATCAATAAAAATGGGGGTACTTTATACATGTAACTATGTTCTCATTTCTTTTTGTTGGGCTACGTCAATTAGCTAAAAAGTTTGAGAAAAGTCACACACACACACACACACACACACACACACAGGAGCTTTAAGTCAACCTCATTGTTCAACGTTATAAGTGTCTGGCACATTGTAGGCACTGAATAATTAGTTTCCATTACAGTTGTCCCTCCAAATCTACAAGGGATAAGTTACAGGAACTCCCACGGATACCAAAATCCTTTTATGTTAAGGTCCCCTATATAAAATGGCATTGTGTTTACATAAAATCCATGCACATTTGCCCATATACTTTAAATTATCTCTAGATTACTTATAATACTTAATACAATGTAAGTGCTATGTAGTAGTTGTTATACTGTGTTATCTGTACTATTTTTTGTCTTATTTTTTCTTTTTTTAACATTTTCAATCTGTGATTGGTTGAATCTATGAACAAGGATCCTGTGGATATGGAGGGCCAATTTAATTATTCAGTTATCTAAAGGTTGGTGTCTACATAAGCACATGAAAAAAAGCAAAAAAATAAAATTTTCTGGAAAGGGAGTTTTCAATCTAGATTTTAAGGGGACCAAGGGTTCTGTGAACACCCTGAAATTGTATGTAAAATATGTGCTTGTGGCCAAGCGCGGTGGCTCACACCTGTAATCCCAACACTTTCGGAGGCCGAGGTGGGCAGATCACTTGAGGCCAGGAGTTCCAGATCAGCCTGGCCAACATGGTGAAACCCTGTCTCTACTAAAAATATAAAAATTAGCTGGATGTGGTGGTGCAAGCCTGTAGTCCCAGCTACTTGGGAGGCTGAGGCAGAAGAATGTCTGGAACCCGGAAGGTGGAGGTTACAGTGAGCTGAGATTGAGCCACTGCACTCCAGCCTGGGTGACAGAGCGAGACTCCGTCTCAAGAAAAAAAAAATTAAAAAAATTTTAAAAAATTATGTAGTTCCTGGGGATAAGCTTGGGAAGTACAGTCTAGACTTGGATTGCAACTTTCAGGGAAAGATTATATATTATCTCCATAATATGGCAAAGATCAATATTAACTATTTTGAGTGCAATATTACTCTTCTGCTTTTTGTTTTGTTTTGTTTTGTTTTGAGATGGAGTTTCACTCTTGCTGCCCAGGCCGGAGTGCAATGGCGCGATCTCGGCTCACTGCAACCTCTGCCTCCAGGATTCAAGCGATTCTCCTGCCTCAGCCTCCGGAATAGCTGGGATTACAGGCTTGCGCCACCAAGCCCGGCTAATTTTGTATTTTTAGTAGAGACAGAGTTTCACCACGTTGGTCAGGCTGGTCTTGAACTCCTGACCTCAGGTGATCTGGCCGCCTCGGCCTCCCAAAGTGCTGGGATTACAGGCGTGAGCCACTGCGCATGGCCTGTTTTTTTTTTTCAATTACAAACATTATAAGGTGACTAGTGTTATAGCATAATAAACACACATGAACAGATGATCGTGGTGCATGTTTAACTGAATCAGAGTCAATTAATGATAGCCACACTCACAGTGTTACAAGGTAATTAGACAGAGAGGATAATAAAATGTAAATGCCTGAAACCTCTGTTACTTTTACATGGTCGAATCAGATATCGCTCTTCATACTTTAATTTTTGTAATAGCTGCAGGTCCCCCTCTGTGAGAAACACCCAAGAATTATCAATAAAAAAATAAAAAAAAAAATAGCTGCAGGTAACCCTAATGCCAACAGTCCTACCTAAGATGATGTTGTCCTCACCCAGACAGGGAAATTGGTGTCAGGGAGCAGAGAAGTCCCAAAGAAAAGAACTCTATATACCTGGTATTTAAGGAGAGGAAGGAATTCCTTCCGGGTCCAAAAGATTATCCAGGGAGGGCAGAACATCAGGACAGGGAATGGAGGCCTGGAGCTGGCAGACAAAACTTAAGCAGGGAATGTCTTGTGCTAGAACAAACACTGCTCCATGTACCCCCACAGTGGCTGGGTAACCACAGATCCTTGTGGAACGGGGTGTCTGGAAGAGGGTAGGGAGTGTTTCTTCTCTCATGTCCTCCCTCCCTTCCTAGAGAGACTCCATCAGGTTTATCAGCTTCCACCTACCTGCACACACCCAAAATTCCTCCAACAGAAAAGAAAGCAGGTGTGGTCCTCCCCAGCACATGCTGCAAAGGGGAGAATCTGTATGAAGAGCCTAATCACCATCATTTATTGAGCAGCTATTAAACATGGGGCACTTGCTTTACCTTCGTTTTCTTATTTAATCCTCACAACAACACTATAAGGTAGGCACTATGATTATTCCCATTTAATAGGCTGTATCTTCTCAGGCTCAAAAGTAGTGCAGTTTGAAGAGAACTACACTAGAGCTCTGTAATTTTTATGAGTCAATCTTAATGACTCATCTATAAGTTCTTATTTATCCTCCTTTGGTGTAAATCTTTATTTCTTCACTTCTGAACTACTAGACTGTGCCTACCTGGTCTTCTATCCTCCATCGTGTACATCCAATTCATCCTCATCCTCCACACAGAGCCACTGAAGCATAAGGTGAGCCAGCCTAGAGGCCTCACCACTGCTGCAAGGGGTTGGAGTAGCCAAAAACAAACACTTCTGTAGCTTAATACAAAAAACTGGGATTGAGAACACTCTAATAGTCATGCTTCATTCATATTTTCAGTCAAATTTTCAGGTTTTTAAAAGGGAAAATGTGTTTTGGCATATTTAATCTTTAGAACACATTGAATATTGTCAACTACTTACTTAGAATAACTTAAATCTACTATGATTGTGATTATGGTTGACTGTAACATATGAGTGATTTTTCCTGCCAGGAAGACTGCTCTAGAAGCCTTCTTATGACTTGGCATCACTGAGTGACATTTGGTCAATTGAGGCCATAAACACTGTCATGTGATGGCCATTTTCTGAGGGATAGTTTGTTTCATAGCACTATCAGTACTCCACAGTAATGGAGTCATAGGCGGAGTAACACTTGATAAACAGCAAAGATGAGCTTTAAAAAAATTATCTTACACTTAATGACCAGCAATTAAAATAATAAAACAAGATCCATAGCAACATTGTGCACAGGTCAGAGAAAATGTGACAAATAAAATTCTCATAATATTTTGTGAAAAAAACAAATAGGACTATATCTGGTCTCAAGTTTGACTTTTCTCTAGAATTTTCAAATCTTAGAACCATGCATATATCAATATAATATGTTGATGGGTTAAACACAAAAACGAATATGAATCGGTGGTTGAGACATACCTAAGAGTGAGGATTCTGTTTCCTGATCACCTATCTCTATGAACCTCTGGCTTTCATTCTAGAAAAAAAAAAAAAAATCATTCCTTTTTTTTCTTGGAGAAATAAGCCAATACAAACAAATAAAGAAAAAAGAAAAAATCATTATTGAAATACAGAAAAGTCATTCTTAAAATCAATAACTTAATTTGACTTTTGCTAGGACAAATCTTTCCAATCTTCCTTGATTTCTCTTGACCTCTATGACATGTGTCCAAGTAGAAATTCTCCCCCTGCACCCCCGCACCTTGGTTTTAGAGATGTTGCCCTCTCTTCTTTCCTCTCTGACCACTCTTCTGCCTCCTACCATTTCTGTAACTTAAATGAGGTATTGGTCCTAGGTATGTGATAATAGTTTTCTTTCTCTCTTCTCCTTTAATAGCTCAAAAACTCCCCTTGCTTCAGTGGACATGTCCAGGCTAATAACTCTAAAATAAATATATTATTTCAGCCCCAAGACTTCTCCAGCCTGAGAGTCCTATGTGCTAAACATTTGCAACAACCACTGAGTCCAGTTCGATAATTCTAAGCTTGCCTATGATTATTCTCACCAAATTATCTTCCCATTCTCGTGTCCCTATTTCTAGTAATGATCCAATTACCCACCATCTTACCAAAACTTGAAACTTCAATATCATATTTTATTCAACTCTCTGTGTCATGGCCCCTTCCCAATCACTAGCATATCTTTTTTTTTTTTTTTAGACGGAGTCTCACGCTGTCGCCCAGGCTGGAGTGCAATGGCACGATCTCAGCTCACTGTAACCTCCACCTCCCAGGTTCAAGCGATTCCCCTGCCTCAGCCTCCCGAGTAGGTGGAATTACAGGTGCCCACCACCACACCTGGCTAATTGTTATGTTTTTAGTAGAGATGGGTTTTCGCCATGTTGGTCAGGCTGGTCTCGAACTCCTGACCTCAGGTGATCCGCCCGCCTCGACCTCCCAAAATGCTGGGATTACAGGCGAGAGCCATCACACCCTTCCTAGTATATCTACTAATAATCATTGCCAAACTTCAATGGATTTTTTTCCTGCATTAGAAAGCCTTTTCTTGCCAGCCATGGTGATTCACACCTGTAATCCCAGCACTTTGGGAGGGAGAAGCAGGAGGATCTCTTGAGCCCAGGAGTTCAAGATACAGCCTCGGCAATATAGTGAGACCTTGTCTCCACAAAAACCTTAAAAAATTAGCAGAGCATGGTGTTATGTGCCCGTGGTCCCAGCTAGTGGGGAGGATGAGACACGAGGATCACTTAAGCCTGGGAGGCGGAGGTTACAGTGAGCCAAGATTGCACCACTGCACTCCAGCCCGAGTGACAAGAGACCCTGCCGAAGGAGAAGGAGAAGGAGAAACAAAAAGAAAAGAAAAAAAAAGGCTTTTCTTGCATTCCTTCATTTTCAATTTTTTTTTTCATTCCTATTCTAGTTATCCTACTTCTGCCATTCAGCCCAAAATTTCTGGGTTACCATTATTTTCTCATAGATGGCATCCTTTGCTTTTCTCTATTTTTTGTTTGTTTGTTTGTTGTTACCAAATGCAATTTTCTTAGAGCACCACTTTGATAGTATCCTTCCTCTGATCCATAAGCTTCAACGACAGTATTATCATAAAGGTTTAGACTGGGGCTTCTCACATTTTAACATGGATACAAGTCAGCTGGGGCTCTTCCTAAAATGCAGATTGGGATTCCACTGGCCTGTGGTGAGTCCTGAGGGTCTGCATTCCCAGCTCCATGGGGGTGGGGGGTGGGGGTGATGTTGATACTGCTGGTTATGGGCCACGTGTTGAAGATTTATGACCTTGGTCATGTTCAAGTCTCGTTTTCCTCATCTATCAAATGGGGAGAACAATAGCTGATAACAGGCCTCTTGCCCTCACCTTTGCTGTCATTCAATCTATTCTCAATATAGCAGATAGAATGATTTTGTTAATGTGTAAGTCTGGTCATGTCCCTCCTCTGATCAAAGACTCCAGTGCCTTCATTCTCACTCAAGTAAAGCGAAGTACTTACTTTGGCCTGCAAGGCCTATACGATCTGATCTATCCTTTACCTCCCTGACTGCAACTCCTAACATCCTCTTTCTTGCTTATTCCACTCCACCCTCACTGCCTTCTTTGCTGTTTTTAAAACAACAACAAGCTTCTTCCTTTAGGGTTTCCTCTTGCCTTTTATTATGTCTAAAATGCTCTTCCTCCAGATAGTTGCATGGTATGCTCCCTCACTTTCTTTAAACTTGGACTTGAAGGTCATTTTCTCAGTCATATCTTCCTTAGCCATGCTATCTAAAACTGCAAACATCCCTCCTTCACCACCAGGTCCTCACATCCTCTTCCTTGCTTTATTTTTCTCGGTAACATTTATCCATATCTAATATAGCAAATATTTTGCTTAGAGAATATAAGCTCCAGGAGGGCACAGATTCTTGTTTCATTTAGTTATTCATACATTTCCATTTGTTTTATTTAGCTGATCCCTCAAGAACTAGAAAAGTGCCTGGTACATAAATAAATGTTTGTTAACTGAGAAATAAATGAAGCATAATACCTACCTCAAATGATTATTATGAGGATAATAAGATAGCACACATAAAGCATTTAACACAGTACTTTAAATAAAGTACCAAAATTATTTGATTCTAATTTAGTTATTTTTCAATAATAAGATGGATGAATACATTGTGGTAAATTCATACTGTAGAATTCTATGAAGCCGTGGAAATAAATATTTATATGAATTAATATGGATACATCTCAGTAACATAATGTTGGGTAAAAGAAGCAATGCAAAATAAAATTATATATATATATATTTGTGTGTGTGTATGAGTATATGTATATATTTAACACACAAAAACTAATCTAGACCAATGGACATCAGAATATTAATTACCTTTGTAGGTGGGAGGAGAGTGAGAGAATGCACGAAGCCGGCATCTGGGGTGCTCAAATGTTCAATTACTTAATCTGGGTGGTGCTTACACAACATTTTCACTGCTTAAGAATTCATTGAATTATATACCCATGATTTGTATGCTTTTTGTGTATACGTTATATTTCAATTAAAATGTTTTCTTTAAAAATGAGAAAATGGTCTTTATGCTAGGAAACACTAAGCATAATTGAGGAGAGAGAAATTAATTGAAAGTTTATGTAATAAATGTCAAAACTACCAGTCTTCCTTTTTTTTTTTTTTTTTTTTTTTAAATGGAGTCTCACCCTGTTACCCAGGCTGGGGTGCAGTGGTGCAATCTTGGCTCATTGCAACCTCCGCCTCCTGGGTTCAAGAGATCCTCCTGCTTCAGCCTCCCGAGTAGCTGGGACACAGGCACATGCCATTATGCCCAGCTAATTTTTTGTATTTTTAGTGGAGACGAGGTTTCACCATGTTAGTCAGGATGGTCTTGATTTCCTGACCTCGTGATCTGCCCGCCTCAGCCTCCCAAAGTGCAGGGATTACAGGCGTGAGCCACCGCGCCCGGCCCAGGCTTCCTTTTACTTGAATCCCAGAACTTAGTCAGCCAGGGCTTTCCCCTCCAGACAGGTTAGGTGATTCTTCTCTGGAGACTTTGACAAACTAGGAAAAAAGATTTGATATTACGGTCAGGCGCTGTGGCTCACACCTGTAATCCCAGCGCTTTGGGAGACCGAGGTGGGCGGATCACCTGAGGTCAGGAGTTTGAGACCAACTCAGCCAACATGGTGAAACCCCATCTCTACTAAAAATACAAACATTAGTCAGGCATGGTGGCAGGCACCTATAATCCCAGCTACTCAGGAGGCTGAGACAGGAGAATTGCTTGAACCCAGGAGGCAGAGGTTGCAGTGAGCTGAGATCGCGCCATTGCACTCCAGCCTGGGCAACAAGAGCAAGACTCTGTCTCAAAAAAAAAAATAAAAGACTTGATATTAGGAGAGGAGTTCTCCAACATAAGGCTTAGCAGATCACTCTGTAATGAAGGCTCCAGCTGACAAGCCTCACACATGCACACAGCATTAATTAGCTTTTGTTTTTTGTTTTCTGTTTTTGCTTTTTTGACACAGACTCACTCTGTTGCCCAGGCTGGAGTGCTTGAGTGGGGTGATCTCAGCTTAATGCAACCTCTGTCTCCCAGGTTCAGGTGAGTCTTGTGCCTCAGCCTCCGGAGTAGCTAGGACTATAGGAATGCACCACCACGCCGGGCTAATTTTTTTTTTTTTTTGTATTTTTAGTAGAGACGGGGTTTTGCACTGTTGGCCAGGCTGGTCTCGAACTCCTGGCCTCAAGTGATCCACCCACCCTGGCCTTCCAAATAATTTGCTTTTTAATGTGCAAATCTTAAATATGCTCAGATAGCCAAAGGCTACTGGATATTTTAGAAAAAATTTAATATGAAGTAAAGAAAACAAAGCAGGGAGGAAAAAATTGTCAAAAAATACATCATTCCTGTGAGACTACATCAAACAAAAAGCTTCTGCAGAGCAAAGGAAACAATCAACAAAATGAAAAGGTAACCTATTGATCAGGAGAAAATATGTGTGAACCATATATCTGATGAGTTAATATCCAAAATATATAAGGAACCCACACAACTCAATAGCAAAATAATAATAATCATAACCTAATTTAAAAATGGGCAAAGACCTGAATAGACATTTCTCCAATGAAGACGTAAAAATGTCCAACAGGTAGGAAAATGCAAATCAAAACCACAATGAGATATCACTTCACACCTGTTAAGATGGTCATTACCAAAAAGGCAAAAGATAACAAGTGTTGGTGAGGATGAGGAAGTAAGGGACCGCTTCCACACTGTTGATAAGAATGTAAACTGTAAAAATGTAAATTTTTACATTTTACATAAAAATGTAAAAATGTAAATTTTTAAGTAGTTTTGTAGAGACTCGATCTCACTATGTTGCCCAGGCTTGTTTCAAACTCCCGTCCTCAAGGGATCCTCTCACTTCTGCATCCCAAAGTGTTAGGATTGGAGGCGTGAGCCAAGTGCTCAGCCTATGTGGAATCTCAAAAGAGTTGAATACATAGAAACACAGAGTAGAACGGTGGTTCCCAGGGGCAGAGGAAGTAGACTGGAAATAGGGTGATGTCGATTGTTTTGAAAACACTCCCGAACCGGTTTTCCCTCTGCTCTCCCCCGACAACAATCAACACAGACGAGTTCTGTGACCCCAAAACATGCGGAGATTTCTCCCCACCTGCAAGCAAGCAAGCAAGCAAGCAAGCAAGCAATCATTTCAGCAGCAGACACCAGCTGGGTGTCCCCCAGTTGAGTTCTGACACGGTCTTCCTGGAGATAGCGTCAGATCCCACAGGTTGAGGGCTCTCCCCGCAAGACTGTCCGTCCCCTCCTTCCCTCCAGTTACAAGTCCGGGCCTTCGGAACTTCTGACTGACTAGCTTCAAGTTGGAGTTCCTATGAGTCCCTCTTTGGGTTAATTTGCTAGAGCGACTCACAGAACTCAGGGAAATACTTACCTTCACCAGTTTATTACAAAGTAGATTTTAAAAGATACAAATAAACAGCCAGATAACGACATACACAGGGCCAGCTCTGAAAGGGTCCTGAGTGCAAGAGCTTCTGTCCCTGTGGAGTTGGGGTGTGCCACCCTCCCAGCACACGAATGAGTTCTTCTTCACCTTCCTGTTGGCCTCCAAGTGTTCAGTTCCCCGGAAGCTCTCTGAACTCCCTCGTTTGGGCCTATTACGGAGACTTCATTGGTTGTTCATGGTTGAAGCACGAACAATCGTGGCGAAATGTGATTGGATAGCCGGGCGCGGTGGCTCAGGCCTGTAATCCCAGCACTTTGGGAGGCCGAGGCGGGTGGATTGCTTGAGGTGAGTAGTTTGAAACTGGCCTAACATGGTGAAACCCTGTCTCAACTAAAAATATAAAAATTAGCTGGGCATAGTGGCTGGCGCCTGTAATCCCAGCTACTCGGGAGGCTGAGGCAGGAGAATCGCTTGAACCCGGGAAGCAGAGGTTGTAGTGAGCTGAGACCACGCCACTGCACTCCAGCCCAGCAACAAAGCAAGATTTCGTCTAAAAAAAAAATTAAAAAATAAAAATAATTGATTGCACAAAAAGGGTGTGATCTAAACCCAGCAAGGTCTGTCTGTTCAGTTCAGATTCTTCTTGCTCTCCGTGCAGCATTCCTTCCTCCAGAGTATGCAGCAAGACCGTATCTGGAATGAGGGTCTTACGACCCACAATCAGATTCGAGTGCTGCCTTGGGACTCTAATGAAAAGAGGGCAGGAGAAGGTCAGAGGGAGTGATTCTGTCACTTGAGGCCTACTTATGAGTCTTAACAAAAGACCGTAACAAGGGCTATGGGAGTTATGAGCCAGGAACTGTGGATGAAAACATATATACATATTAGGCTGGTGCAAAAGTAATTGCAGTGTTTAAGTTCTGTGAGCTGCACAGTGGCTTGCACCTATATTCCCAGTGCTTTGGGAGGCCAAGGTGAAAGGCTTACTTGAGGCCAGGAATTCGAGACTAGCCTGGGCAACATAGCGAGACTCCTGTCTCCACGGATAATGAAAAAATTAGCCAGACATGGTGGTTTGCACCTGTAGTCCTAGCTACTCAGCAGGCTGAGGCAGGAGGACTGCTTGAGTCCAGGAGTTCAAGGTTGCAGTGAGCTATGATTGTGCCATTGCACTTTAGCCTGGGTGATGGCATGACCCTGTCTTAAAAAAAAAATTAATTAATTTAATTAATTAATCTTCCAGAAAAATCTTCCAGAAAGTAGGGCAAAAGACAATAATTTGAAAAATAAATGGAAAAGCTATGAAAACTTGTAGACCAGCCCAAGAGTCCTAAGATAGAGAGAAGGGAAAAAACAGAGTCAAGGATATTATCAAGAAATTGATTCAAGAAAATTTCCCAGCATATAAGTCTAAATTCTAAATTGAGCATCCATCACAATGGATGAAAAGGAATTCAAATTATTGTGAAAGTCTACAACAGTGGGAAAAAAAAAAGCCCCTATAAGCTTTTGTGATAAAAATGTCATACAAAACTGAAGAATCAGAAAAGTATTGGATAACTCAATGGCAACATTGGAAACTAGGAGACAATGGTCCAGTGGCATCAAAAGTTTGAGGAAAAATTATTTCCAATGTAGAGTAACACATTCAGCTAGACAATAAAATGCAAAAGTGAATAAAAATATTTTCAGGTGTTCAGAACCTGAGATTTTCCTAACATTCTCACCTCTTAAGATTTACTAGAGGACTGGCTCCACAAAAACAATGGAATAAACTGAAAATGGAAAGTATGGTGTTCAGGGAACAGGGGAGCCAATATGAGAAAAAGTAAAAAGAATCCACAGGGTGAGAGGGAAAGGAGGCCCCAAAACAAGGGCTGTGCAGTAGGTGCAATGAGCAACTAGACAGAATTGAGCAGGCATGGAGAATGTGGGGAGATTTTCTTCAATAAGTTGCAAATGATAAAATACCTAGAACATGTTGAAAATAATTTACTAATCGGGGTGGGGGGAGATTGGGCTTGAAATACTAGAAAATACATAGACAACTAAGCAAGTTAAAAAAAAAAAAAACTAATTCCAGGAAAAGAATAATCATGGTGATATGGGTTGGCTGTGTCCCCACCCAAATCTCATCTTGAATTGTAGTTCCCATAATCCCCACATATCGTGGGAGGGACACAGTGGGAGATAATTGAATTACGGGGGCGGTTACCTCCATGGTGTTCTTGTGAGAGTGAGTGGGTTCTCAAAAGATCTGATGGTTTTATAAGGGTTTTCCCCTCTTTTGCTTGGCACTTCTTGCTGCCACCATGTGAAGAAGGACATGTTTGCTTCCCTTCCACCATGATAGTGAGTTTCCTGAGACCTCCCCAGCTCTGTGGAACTGTGAGTCAATTAAACCTCTTTCTTTTATAAATTACCCAGCCTCAGGTATGTCTGTAACGGCATGATAACAGACTAATACACATAGTATATTACAATTTCCTATTCTGTGCGGATAAGGAATCTTAGTATACTACGTATTCTCCTGTGAGTAGCATTTTCATAATACTGAAAATCCTGAATACGGAACTAGCCAAGGTTACAATATATCTATATGGAGAAATGTATGTGTGCGTATGTGTGGTGGGGGTGGCAAAAGGAGCTAAATTCTCAGCTTCCATGGTGAGTTATCAAAACAAAATACCTGAAGCTAACCAAGAAATAACAATAAAAACATGTTATTGAGGGATATAGAGCCATAAAATAAAATAATCAGCTGAAGGAATTGAACCTTGAACAAGCCAAGCAACACATATAAAAATGAACTTTAAAAAATAACAGTGAGCCGGGTGCAGTGGCTCACGCCTGTAATCCCAGCACTTTGGGAGGCTGAGGCAGGTGGGTCACGAGGTCAAGAGATTGAGACCATCCTGGCCAAAATGGTGAAACCCCGTCTCTACTGAAAACACAAAAATTAGCCGGGCGTGGTGGCAAGTGCCTGTAGTCCCAGCTACTCGGGAAGCTGAGGCAGGAGAATCACTTGAACCCGGGAGGCAGAGGTTGCAGTGAGCTGAGATTGCACCACTGCACTCCAGCCTGGTGACAGAGTGAGACTCCGTCTCAAAAAAAAACAAACAAAAAAAACTACACAGCAATGAAATCAGCCAGCCAGGAGATGAATTTTTTAAAATTGTGGGCCGGGTGTGGTGGCTCACACCTGTAATCCCAGCACTTTGGGAGGCCAAGGCGGGTGGATCATCTGAGATCAGGAGTTTGAGACCAGTCTGACCAACATGGAGAAATCCCATCTTTACTAAAAATACAAAATTAGTCAGGCATGGTGGTGCATGCCTGTAATCCCAGCTACTCGGGAGGCTGAGGCAGGAGAATGATTTGAACCCAGGAGGAGGAGGTTGCAGTGAGCCAAGATCACACCGCTGCACTCCAGCCTGGGCGACAGAGTAAGACTCTGTCTCAAAAAAAAAAAAAAAAAAAGTGTTTAAAAAAGAAACATCCTTGGAACACTAGAGGGCATTGGAAAATAAGAAATAAATACAAATTTAAAAGAGAAACATCTTGAGGTTTAGCAGTTTCTTCTATTTTATTTCAATTTCTTACCTTCTATTAAATTCAAGTAAAATTGCATGTAATACCTTTTATTTTAAGTGGCTTATTGCATGATAAGCCAATAAGCATTTTACAAAATTCTTTCTGTCTACCTTTCCTCTATGCATCTATATATTTCAATTCACCAATCCCTCTGTCCATCAAGAAGTTCTAGATGTGATGCTCATCTAGTGTTACTAAACATTACTTCTAAATTACAGTGATATCATAAAATTCTTTTTTGTATTTATCTGTGTTGCTTAAATTTTTACAAGTATGTTTCTTTTCAGTAAAGTCAAAGCCATTCTATTTTAAAATATTAAGAGATTTCAAGCTCACAAAAGGTCACAAGAGTATGTTAAAACAACACAAGAGTGTTCTAAACAACGTCATACTGAACAGGCAAAAACTGGAAGCATTCCACCTGAGAACTGGAACAAGGCAAGGATGCCCACTCTCATCACTCCTATTTCAAGTAGTACTAGAAGTGCTAGCCAGAGCAATAAGGCAAGAGAAAGATAAAAGGCATTCAAATAGGAAAAGAATTCAAACCATCTCTCTTTATGGAAAATGTGATCCTATAGCTAGAAAATCCTGAAGATTCTGCCAAAAGGCTCCTGGAACTGATAAAAACTTCAGTAAAGTTTCAGGATACAAAATCAATGTACAAAATAAATAGCATTTCTATATACCAGTTACGTTCAAGCTGAGAGCCAGAGGAAGAATGCAATCCCATTTAAAATAGCCACAGGCACAAAATAAAATACCTAGGGACACATCTAACCAAGGAGGTGAAAGATCTCTCCAAGGAGAACTAGAAAACACTGCTGAAAGATGTAAAACGTGGCATAAACAAATGGAAAAACACTTCATTTCTAATGAATTGGAAGAATTAGTATCATTAAAATAGCTGTATTGCCCAGAGCAATCTACAAATTCAACACTATTCCTATCAAACTACCAACATCTTTTTGCAGAACTAGAAAAAACTATTCTCAAATTCACAAGGAACCAAAAAAGTCCCCAAATAACCATAGCAATCCTAAGCAAAAAGAACAAAGCTGGAGGCATCACATTACCCATCTTCAAAGTACACTATAAGGATTAGGTAAACAAAACAGCGTGGTACTGGTACAAAAACAGACACATAGACCAATTGAACAGCATAGAAAACCTAGAAATAAAGCCACAACATTGGATCTTTGATAAAGCTGACCAAAATAAGCAATGGGGAAAGGACTTCCTATTTAATAAATGGTGCTGGGATAGTGGGCTAGCTACATGCAGAATGAAACTGGACCCCTACCTTTTACCATATACAAAAATTAACTCAAGATAGATTAAGATTTAAATGTAAGACCTCAAACTATAAGAATCCTAGAAAAAAACATAGGAAACACCATTCTAGACATCAGCCTTGGGAAAGAATTTATGGTGACTAAGTCTTCAAAAGCAATTGCAACAAAAACAAAAATTGACAGGTGGAACCTAATTAAACTAAAGAGCTTCTGCAGAGCAAAAGAAACTATCAACAGAGTAAACAGACAACCTACTGAATGGGACAAAATATTCACAAACTATGCATCCAACAGAGGTGTAATATCCAGAATCTATAAGGAACTTAATTGAACAAACAAAAAACAAATAAACCCATTTAAAAATGTGCAAAAGACATGAACAGACGTTTCTCAAAAGAAGACACACAAGTGGCCAACAAACATGAAAAAATGCTCCACATCACTAATCATCAGAGAAATTCAAATCAAAACCACAATGAGATACCATCTCATGCCAGTCAGTAGGGCTATTATTAAAAAGTCAAGGTCAAGTTCAGTGGCTCACACCTGTAGTCCCAGCACTTTGGGAGGCCAAGGCAGGTGGATCACGAGGTCAAGAGATCGAGACCATCCTGGCCAACATGGTGAAACCCTGTGTCTACTAAAAATACAAAAATTAGCTGGGTGTGGTGGCACGCAGCTGTAGTCCCAGCTACTTGGGAGGCTGAGGCAGGAGAATCACTTGAAGCTGGGAGGCACAGGTTGCAGTGAGCCGAGATCACGCCACTGTACTCCAGCCTGGCGACACAGAGACTCCGTCTCAAAAAAAAAAAAAAAAAAGTCAAAAAACGACCTGGTGCAGTGGCTCACGCCTGTAATCCTAGCACTTCAGGAGGCCAAGGTGGGTGGATTGCCTGAGCTCAGGAGTTTGAGACTAGCCTGGGCAACATGGCGAAACCCTGTCTCTACTAAAAATACAAAAAATTAGGCAGGCATAGTGGCACATGCCTGTAGTCCCAGCTACTCGGGAGGCTGAGGCACAAGAACTGCTTGAACCTGGGAGGTTACAGTGAGCTGAGATCGTGCCACTGCACTCCAGCCTGGGCGACAGACAGAGCGAGACTCTGTCTCCACACACACACACACACACACACACACACACACACAAAAGTCAAAAAACAACAGATGCTTGGCAAGGCTGCAAAGAAAAGGGAACACATATACATTGCTGGTGGGAATGTAAATTAGTTCAGCCAGTGTAGAAAGCAATTTGGAGATTTCTCAAAGAACTCGGAACTACCAATCAGCCGAGCAATCTCATTAGGGTATATATCCAAAAGAAAACAAATCTGTCTACCAGACAGACACATGCACTTGCATGTTCTTTGCAGGACTATTCACAATAGCAAAGACACAGAATCAACCTAGGTGCCCATCAATAGTGACTTGGATAAAGAAAATGTGGTACATATACACCATGGAATACCATGCAGCCATAAAAAAGAATTAAATCATATCCTTTTCAGCAAGATGGATGCAGCTGGAGGCCATTATTCTAAGGGAATTAATGCAGGAACAGAAAACCAAATACCACGTTTTCACTTATAAGTGGGAGCTAAACACTGGGTACTTAGGGATATAAAGATGGCACAGTGGAAACTGAGGACCTCTTGGGGGAGGGGAGGCAAGGGGCAAGGGGCAAGAGTTGAATAACTGTTGGGTTATATGTTCAGTACCTGGGTGATGGACTCATTTGCACCCCAGATCTCAGCATCATGCAATATACCCAGGTAACCTGCACATGTAGCCCCTGAATCTAAAAAAAAAATTAAAGAAAAAAAAAGGAGTGCTCTAAAAATCATGTGAATTTGGAAAAAAATAAATACAGGTTTAGCCACTTTCAAATATTAGTTCGATTTAACAAAAAAAATGATGAATTCAAATATATGTGTATACCTGTAGGTAAGAAGCAATAAGCCAAAATAATAACTGTGGTTGTCTCTGGGAAATGAGATTTTGATTTTTTCTATATCGTTTTGTGCCTTTGTAAATTTCCACAATGGGCACATATCATTTAAATAATCATAAAAACAGTATTCATTATATAAAAAATTAATAAATAGATTAGTTAAGTACAGATAGAGAGTTATGTACTAGGTTAACAACTTTGCCTGCTAGACTTTACAAATGCTTGTTTAACAATGGAACACAGTAATCAAAGAATACCCAGAAAGCTTAGGGTGGGAATGCTTTTAGACACTATTGAATACACCCACACTTTTGCACCTGCAGTTTTACAGGCTCAAATGAGAAAACCTATCATGTTAATAAAAATAAAAATATTGGAGGGAGCGCCCTTCCAGGAGAGGGGGTGGCTGCCGTAGTGACAGCCTGGTGCTGCGGCTCTTTCCCTGCAGTCCTGCTGAGGAAGCGTGCATCCCTGGTGCTTCCTTCTCTTCAGGCGGAGAACTTGGGATGTGGTAATGCCAGCCATACTTCTCAGAGCCGTGGCCAGATCTCACCGTATATTATCAAAAGCACATCAGTGCAGAAGAATTGGTCATCTAATGTTAAAACCACTTAAGGAATTTGAAAATACCACATGCAGCACACTGACAATATGTCAAAACTTGGATTTGTTCCTTCCTGATAAAACAGCTGGTGGTTTGAATAAATCTCAGATCCTCGAAATGAACCAAAAAAAAAAAAAAAAAGATCAAATACTAGCATGCTCTCTCCATTAAATGCTGCTTGTTGCCAAGATGAAAAAGCACACCTTCCAACCAGGAAATCCTTTGGTACTCACAGGAGAGTGACCCACAAACCAAATCTATTGGGTTCTAAATGGTTTATTAAAATATTAAAGAGGCATTTCTTATCTGTATCAATGGAAACATTTGTTCCAAAACAAGACTTTCCACAGATCAAGAGACCACTAAAAGCATCCAGGACCAGGCAGCCATCCAGGACCAACCTTCCCGTTCTGTCTGTGAACGAGGTAAAGTGGGGGTGGCCGCGGCTCTTGTGCTTAGTGATCATTGCCCACGCTAAACCAGTGTGCGTTTGCACCCCAGCCTTACCACCAACATAAGAGAAATGGCAGTCAACTCAGACTTCTTCATCAAGATCTTTGAAGCATAATAAATATTCAAAGGGATTCAAAATCTTAATTTTTAAGAATTAATGATACATATAAAAACAAAATACAGGCAATAAAACATGAAAATATAGTTTATAAAAGATTTAGTTATTGGTCTAAGGAAACTGAAAAAGAGGACTAGTATTAAGTCCAGTCTAAGAATGGAACTGTAAAAAAACAACACAAAACCCATTAGAAAAAAAAAAACTAGAAATTCTTCATCAAATTTAAAAAAAAAATAGTAACTCTGCAGACAGATAAGCCTTTATTAGCCTGTGGCAACTGTGTGTGAGGCGGTGAAATGACACACTAGGATAGACTCCAAAAGCAGCAGGGGAAGAGGGCCTTGCTTTTTTATCCTCTTAAGGTTTAAGGGGGTATTTTTTATTCATCTGCAAGGGGTTTATGGGAATTTTTCTGCTACAATTTGCATTTCTCCTTTAATAGTAATTTAAGGGTCAAAATCAAGCCCCTGGTAACCTTTGTATCTTGCATAATACCTAGAACTGTGCCTTGTACTTAAATGTTTATTAAATTGGAAAAGATCGGAAAGAGGCAAGAGGATCTTTAATGTCGATAGTCATCAACATTAAAGATATTTTAAACTTGATGAAGACTTCTGAATCTATCAGAAAACAGGTTAGAATGTCTGTCTTCAAGTCTTGATTCTGAAACGTAACCCCTGAGCCTGTTTAATTTTGGCTGTGTTTTTATTATGGTGTAGCTGACACCCCTTAGAAAGGTATACATACGTTTACTCATCCTCAGATCCTGAAGCTAGGAATTAACAAATGGTTTTTGTGTTGGATTCTGGAATGGTTTCAATTCTTGTATGGTTTCTGTGAACCCAGGATGTGAAGGATGGAAGCATTGTGCAAGTATTGTTCCCCCTTTCCTTTTGCTGGAGCTTTGGGGTAACCTGGGAAATTCAGTATTTAAGTGTCCAAGATGACATTAAGTGTAAAAACCTGAATTTATGGCAGATCCAAAAAAGAGAAAGCTCAACTCATTTTGTTCTTTTGTTACATCTAGCAGCACAGTGCATCAGGTTTCTTAGGAAGGAGCTGATACAGCCAGAGAATTCCCTAGGCTCTGTTTCTTTGGGCCATCCCTTAGACTTGGAAGCAATTTTCCTAAATACCATTTCTTATTTTTCTTTAGGATTTTTTTTTTCTACTTCCTTCCAGGAAAGGATTTGAAGTAATTTTCAACATTCAACATAGTTTCAAATGAGATAATAAATACTATCACATATTAGTCAAAGCAAATAGTTGACATGAACAGAGAAATAAATGTTATAAAATACCTGAAATGAATAATCTAGTCGAATGTTTTGTTTTGAGAGGCCCAGTAATTAAAAGAGGAAATCGTCCTGGGATTTATTGTTTGCTGTTTATTGTTGTGGGGGAGGGCAGAGTAAAAACATAAAAATATCTTAAGAGAAATAATTTTTTCCGGCGCTGAAATTAAGGAGTCAGTTATTTCGTGGGTCCTGTTATAGAAGATATTATATAACACGATAGACAATGACTTCAGTCGGAGTTTGGCAAAAAGAAGCCTATGCTGTCTTTCGGAAAGCACAGGAAAATAATAGAAAATCATATGTTTCTGGCTGGGTGGTGGCTCACGCCTGTAATCCCAACACTTTGGGAGGCCGAAGCAGATTACTTGAGGTCAGGAGTTCAAGACCAGCCTGGCCAACATGTTGAAACCCCATCTCTACAAAAATACAAAAATTAGCCAGGCATGGTGGTGGTGTGTGTCTGTAATCCCAGCTGTTTGGGAGGCTGAGGCAGGAGAATCTCTTGAACCCAGGAGGCAGAGGTTGCAGTGAGCCAAGATCAGGCCACTGCACTCTAGCCTGGGTGACAGAGCGAGACTCTGTCAAAGAAGAAGGAGAAGGAGGAGAAGGAGAGGGACATATGTTTCTAAAGTGACCTGAGATAACTTGAAGATTTTACTTTTCATAGAGAAAGCAGTCTTGGCATGACTAGGTAATATGTCCCCAGGACCAAGACTGACTTTCATCTGCCCCAAATTGAGGGCCACTCCATTTTCATACGGCCACCATAGTGCTGGTAAATCCTTTATACAACTCTTGACTGAGACAAGGAAAAGACTCTGCTTTGTGTCAGAAAGCATGTGGACTTTGTTTTGTTCCCATAGTTGCACCAAACTCATTTTGTTTAGCCCTGCAGAACAGCATGCATCTGGAGTTGGCTGAATGAGGTTTCAGTGATGCTCTCTGTCAAAATTAAATCTTTACCTGGCCTCATTTTCAGAGATCATAAACTGAGATATTCAACCCACATCCCATTGGCTTACAATTCCTAAAAGCAATAGTGGGTGCAGTGGCTCATGCCTATAATTTCAGTGCTTTGGGAGGCTGATGCAGGAGCACCGCTTGAGGCCAGGAGTTGAAGACCAGCCTGGCAACACAGCAAGACTCCCGTTTCTAAAAGACTTTTTTAAAAAAAATTAGCTGGGTGTGGTGGTGTGCACCTATAGTCCTAGCTACTCAAGAGGCTGAGGTGGGAGGATCGCTTGAACTCAGGGGTTCCAAGCTGCAGTGAGCCATGACTGTACCTAACTCCATCCAGCCTGGGCAACAGAGTGAGACTCTATCACTAAACAAACAAACAAAAAAACAATAATAGCAGTACTTCTTGTTAATGTCTAGTCTTTGAAGAGAACAGCAGAGGATGGGAAAGGCAGGTCTGAGTGGCGTAGAGCCTGACACCAGGGAGAGAGTTTCCAGGCTAATAGCACAGGGTGTTACAAAATCACTAGTGAATTGTTAACCATTTTTTTGAAAAATGAAATAGAATAGAAAATAACAGAATACACTGCTCATGATAAAGGTAAATATTGGTTTGTGAAGCTTTTGTGGCAATTATTGGTGTGTAAGCATATATGTGTATATGTACTGTATATAATTATTTCTTATCATAGGTTGTAGTAAAAAAAACTTACAAGGTAAAGCATAATACTGGTAATGTAAAAATATAAAAAATAAAAATATTGTCTTCAATTTTTAATAAGCATTACAGAATTTTGTATTAATGCTCTCTGTAATTCTGATAGTCACCATCTTTCATTTAAAGAGCAAGCCAATGTATTTTAATCAGTTGATTAAAAATATGAACTACTAGATGGAATAAGCTATGAATTCAATTGTTAAAATAAACATAGGACTGTTTAGGTTATCATTTGTTTCTTTAATATGTCTTGGCAGTTTCCACCTTTAAAAAAATTTGTCCACTTGATCTAAGTACTCAAATACTATTTTTAAAATTCTAAATGTTAAAAGCAATACTATTTTTAAAATTCTAAGTGTTCAAAAGACTCATTAAGCCTTAGAAATATTCTAATAAAATGTCCAGGAATAAGAAAATCTTGGACTAAAAACCAAAATGAGCAGGCAAACAAAAAACAGAATTAGCTTATTATAAGGACAAAATAATAATGTTTATATGTATTACACTTATTCTAGTAGTCCAGAGAGGGATACATATATTTTTATATACTGTCCTTTTCATATATTGTTAGATTTGTCAATATTTTGTAGAGGATCTGTGTGTTTATGTTCATGAGGGATATTGTATTGATCTATAGTCTTCTTCTTCTTCTTCTTCTCCTTCTCCTTTTTTTGAGACAGAGTCTCCCTCTGTCACCCAAGCTGGAGTGCAATGGCGCCCAAGCTGGAGTGCAATTGACTCAACCTCCGCCTCCCAGGTTCAAGCGATTCTCCTGCCTCAGCCTCCTGAGTAGCTGGGATTACAGGCACACGCCACCACGCCCAGCTAATTTTTGTATTTTTAGTTAGAGACGGGGTTTCACCATTTTGGTTAGGCTGGTCTCAAACTTCTGATCTCATGATCCGCCCGCCTTGGCCTCCCAAAGTGCTGGGATTACAGGAGTGAGCCACCGCGCCCGGCCGCTTTCTTCTTCTTGTAATATGTTTGTCTGGATTTGGTATCAAAGTAATGCTGGTTTCCCGAAGTGAACTAGAAAGTAATTCCTACTATTTTTCTGAGAAATAGTACATTTCCTCCTCAAATGTTTGGTGGAATTTTCCAGTGAAATTATATGAGTCTGGAGTTTTATTGTTAGAAGATTTTAAGCTATGAATTCAATTTTTAAAATAAACATAGGACTGTTCAAGTTATCTATTTGTTTCTTTAATAAGTCTTGGCAGTTTACACCTTTAAAGAAGTTTGTCCACTCAAATTTATAGGAATAAAGTTGTTTGTAATATCTGGGACACCAATGACATGAATATTGTACATTTTGATATTGTCTTAAAGGTTGATGAGGGTCTGTTCATTTTTAAATCTTTTTTCTTCCTGTTTTTCAAATGGTTTTCAAATAATTTCTACTGGCCTATTTTCAAGTTCACCGATTTTTCCTGTCTTCCTAATTCTGCTGTTTAGCACATGTACTGCATGTACTGAATCTTTTACCTATTGTAATTTTTTCTTCTCAAATTGCCATTTGATTTTTTCTTATAGTTGATTTTTCTGAAAAATCATATCTTTTCATTAAGTTTATTTTCTTTATGGATTATAAATCGCTTTAAAATCTTTGATAATTCTAACATTTGTGTCATCTTGAGTTTGGCATCTATTGATTGCCTTTTCCCTTGAAAACTAGTCACATTCTCCTAATTCTTTGTGTGTCAAGTATTTTGGATTTTGTCCTGGACATTTTGAATATTATGTTGTGAGAATCTGGGTCTTTTTAAAATCCTCTGGAGAATATCGATTTTTAAATGAGTAATCAGCCCAGTTAGGTTCAGGCTTTAAGTTCTGTCTGTTCTTCTGTGAACACGGTTCTAACGTCACTTAAGTTTTCAAAGCCTTGGCTATGCTGCCTTGGGACTGTCCCACACATGTATCACCCTCTGGCGTTAGTATGGAGCTTGGGCAGAAGTTTATATTGCAGTTTAGTTCTCAAAGGCTTTGCTAGGTGGCTTTCAATCTGTCTCCTGTATCTGTACCTCAGGGATGAGGCTGGGACCATTGCCAGTTTATAGACAGAATCATGGGACCCGTAATCCAGTCCTCTCTGCTCCAGAATTCCTCCTGCTCTCTCTTGCTCAAAGTAGTTCCCCCTTTCTTGGTCTCCTGGCCAAAAAAGATAGGTTTTTATCAATTTCTGCTGTTCATACTGCCCACTGCATTTCTGCTAGATGCTCACTCTTGCTTCAGAGCTGGGAGAGACAGGAAAAAAAATGAAACCAGAAAACTGAACTCTACATGAGTTTCTTTGCCCAGTTCGACTTCCATTCCCAATCCAATAATGCTTTCATTTACTTTTCAGAGACTACTGGTGTACTCTAGCCAGAGCTTTTACTTGTTTTTGTTGTTGTTGTTGTTGTTGTTGTTTGTTTGTTTGTTTTTATTGAGACAGAGTCTTGCTCTGTTGCCCTGGCTAGAGTGCAGTGGTGCAGTCTTGGCTCACTGCAACCACTGCCTCCTGGGTTCAAGTGATTCTCGTGCCTCAGCCTCCCAAGTAGCTGGGATTACAAGCTGCGCTACCACACCCGGCTAATTTTTGTAAGTTTAGTAGAGACAGAGTTTCACCATGTTAGCCAGGCTGGTCTTGAACTCCTGACCTCAAGTGATCCACCTACCCTGGCCTCCCAAAGTGCTGGGATTACAGGTTTGAGCCACTGTGCCCGGCCACTTTTACTTGTAAGTGGAGAGACACATGGGGTATAGTAACTTACTTGATCAACACTGAAAGTCCTTTTTTCACACTTATTTTTAAGCATTTTTCTATACCATTAAAATTTTTAAGAATACCATCTTATCATTTCATTATATTCCACTATATGTATTTTAATTATGCATCGATTCTCTTAAACCATTTTTGTTGTTGTTGTTTTTTGTTTGTTTTTGTTTTTTTGAGACCCAGTCTCACACTGTCACCCAGGCTGGAGTGCTATGGCACAATCACAACTCACTGCATCCCTGACCTTCTAGGCCCAAGTGATCCTCCCACCTCAGCCTCCCCAGTAGCTGGGACCACAGGCATGTGCCACCATGCCCAGCTAATTTATTATTATTATTATTTTGTAGAGACGGGGTTTCCCTATGTTGCTCAGGCTGGTTTCAAACTCCTGGGTTCAAGCAGTTGTCCCACCTCGGCCTCCCAAAGTGCTGGGATTACAGGAGGGAGCCACCATGCACAGCCCAAAAGCTATTTTTGTTTACTTCTAATATATTACTATTATATATAACACTGTGACATAAATTTGCATCTTGTTTTCTGATTATTTAACATATATTTTTAGATACAGAATTACTAGTTCAAAGATCACAAAGATGGGCTGGGTTCAGTGGTTTATGCCTGTAATCTCAGTGTTTGGGGAGGCTGAGGCAGGAGGATTACTTGAGGTCAGGAGTTTGAGACCAACCTGGGCCTGTCTACAGAAAAAAAAAAAAACATAGCCGGGCACGGTGGTGCATACCTGTGGTCCTGTGGCTACTCAGGAGGCTGAGGCAGGAGGATGGCTTGAGCCCAGGAGTTCCAGCTGCAGTGAGTTATGATGGGACCACTGCACTCGAGCTTAGGTGGCAGAGTGAAACTGTTTTTGTCTTTGATTTCCCTTGAGTTGGCCAGACTCTGTCTCTTAAGGAAAAAAAAGTCACAAAGCTGAAATTAAAGCACCAGCTAGTTTGTGTTCTTTTCTGGAGCCTCTTGAGAAGAATACACTTTCAAGTTCATTTATTTTATTGGCTGAATCTAGATCTTTGAAATTGTAGGGCTGAAGTTCCTGTTTCTTTGCTGACTGGCCGCTAGGAATCTCTCAGCTCCTAGAAACCACTCTCAGGTTTTTGTCCCCTGGCTCCTTCCATCTTCAAAGCCAGCAGGGGAATTACTTTCACATCAAATCCCTTGCACATTGTGCCTCTCCCTGTCTTCCTGTCTCTGACCACTCCATCCTTATTGAAAGGGCTCATGTGATTAGATTAGATCCACCTGGATAATCTCCCTATCTGAAGGTCAACTGGTTTGGGACAGTAGTTAGTCCATTCTTGCACTGCTATAACGAAATACCTGAGACTGGGTAATTTATAAGGAAAAGAGGTTTAATTGGCTCACAGTTCCACAGGGTATACAGGAAGCATAGCAGCTTCTGCTACTGGGGAGGCCTCAGGAAACTTATAGTCACGGCGGAAGGCAAAGGGGGAGTGAGTCATTTCACATGACAGGAGCAGAAGGAAGTGGGGTGGGAGGTGCCACACACTTTTAAACAACCAGATCTCATGAGAACTCACTATCATGACAGCTCCAAGGGGGATGGTGTTAAACCATGAAACCACCCCCATGATTTAATTACCTCCCACCAGGCCCCACCTCCAGCATTGGGGATTATATTTCAACATGAGATTTGGGTGGGGACACAGATCCAAACAGTATCAGGGACTTTAATTACATCTGCAAAATTCTTCACAGTAATGCCTCAACTAGCATTTGATTAAATAAGTGGATGTTACACCAGGGAAAGGGAATCATCCCTTAGGGACGATCTTAGGATTCTGCCACTACAGAGTCACATCAGAAAGACACAAGATACAACAATCAATACATATAAATTGCTAGAGTATTATTGTTTAGGTCTGTGGACTCA
This sequence comes from Homo sapiens, assembly GCF_000001405.40. Classification (NCBI taxonomy): domain Eukaryota; kingdom Metazoa; phylum Chordata; class Mammalia; order Primates; family Hominidae; genus Homo; species Homo sapiens. The sequence goes on from NC_000009.12 coordinate 74,943,471, forward strand.
AGAGACTCCAATAGCTAAACCTCTTTAAAAGTGACCTTAATCAGAATGTTTGCCTCGGTTCACATCAGGTTTTGCCAGACATCACTAATAGTTATCTGTCAATCATACATCTATCAGAGATATAGCAAATACATACATTCCAAGTGCTACAGAGAAGGAAGAGGGGCCTGAAATGTTATTTAGTGTCCACTGAGTTCCCAACAGCCATCAGGTCATTCCATCCCCATTCTGCTTCTAAGATGGGTATCAGTGTCCTCATTTTCTGAGAATTCCGAGGCTCAAATTGTTTAGTGAATGACAGTGTTGCACAGCCAATACTGATTTCCAGCCATGAAACATGTAAACATTAAAGTCCACTGTCAACGTTAACCAGTATTCACACAATAAATAATAAAATATATTGAAAAGTGGGGCAAGGAGGAACAAGAGGCAACTTGAAGGGCCTCCAACAGCTAAATCTGGGATCTGTGCCACAAAATGATAGCAATGGATAACTCAGAATAAATTATTGCCCATTAGTCTATATTGGTATCAATAAATACCTGAATAAAGAAATGGGTGAAAGGAAAGCTCTTCCTTTATAGCAGGGGTCCCGAACCCCTGGGCCACAGGCCACTACTAGTCCATGGCCTGTTAGAACCCGGGATGCACAGCAGGAGGTGAGTGGTGGGCAAGTGATCAAAGCTTCATCTGTATTTATAGCCGCTCTCCATCGCTTGCATTACTGCCTGAGCTCTGCTTCCTGTCAGATTAGCAGCAGCATTACGTTCTCATAGGATTGCTAACCCTATTGTGAACTGTGCATGCAAGGGATCTAGGTTGCAGGCTCCTTATGAGTATCTAATGCCTGATTATCTGTCACTGTCTCCCATCACCCCTAGATGGGACCATCTAGTTGCAGGAAAACAAGCTCAGGGCTCCCACTGATTCTACATTATAGTGAGTTGTATAATTTTTTCATTATATATTACAATGTAATAATAATAAAGTGCAAAATAAATATAATGCACTTGAATCATCCCAAAACCATCCCCCACCCCCAGGACTGTGGGAAAATTGTCTTCCATGAAACTGGTCTCTGGTGCCAGAAAGGTTGTAGACCACTGCTTTACAGAATTCCAATTAATGTAGAAGTCATAATAAAAATAAAAAATTTTTCCTGATTTCCTCCCTCCTCCCACCCTCCACCTTCCAATACACCTCTGTGCATCATTCCCCTCTGTGTCCATGTATTCTCATCATTTAGCTCCCACTTATAAGTAAGAACACGTGGTGTTTGGTTTTCTGTTCCTGTGTTAGTTTGCTAAGGATAATAGCCTCCAGCTCCTGGATACTAGGCTTAATACCTGGGTGAAATGAAGTAATTCTGTACAACAAACCCCTATGACCCGTGTTTACCTATGTAACAAACCTGCATATCCTGCACATGTACCCCTGCAATTAAAAGTTAAAAAAAAATTTTTTTTATCAGCATGCAAGAAGAATAGAGTATCTTTCTTTTCTCTTTTTTTTCTGAGATGGACTGTTGCTCTGTCACCCATGTTGAGGTGCAGTGGCACAATCTCAGCTCACTGCAACCTCTACCTCCCGGGTTCAAGCAATTCTCCTGCCTCAGCCTCCCAAGTAGCTGAGACTACAGGCACACACCACCACATCTGGCTAATTTTTGAGTTTTTAGTAGAAACGGGGTTTCACCATATTAGTCAGGCTGGTCTCAAACTCCTGACCTCAGGCGATCCACCTGCCTCAGCCTCCCAAAGTGCTGGGATTACAGGCATGAGCCACCACACCCGGCCAGAATAGAGTATCTTTCTATACTCCTATAGACAAAGATATTACAAAATTATCATCCTATGAAAAGATAATTAGAGAGTAATCAGCCAAAATAGGTAAGGAGAGAAAGCATTATAGAGATCTGTCAGGTAGTTATATAATTTTTAAGTAAGCTATTTTTCTAAATTAAAAAAAAAATAGGAAATTACCATTTGACATATACCAGAGCAGTAAGGCAGTAAGGCAAGACTCATCAATCCTAAAATTTGTGGGCAGAGTATAAGAAATGGAGTATTTACTGTCTCAAAATATTTTCCCAGAAGGTAATAATTAATTACAAAAGGGAAAACAGTAACTTTACAAAAGAGAAACCTGGCAGACACCATCTTAACCAAGTAATCAATGTTATGATTACTGATCAGACAAGCTGAGATTCTTGTGCCTGTTGACATGATGCACTGATACATCAACATCACTTCCATGGAGTTCTTACCAAAAGGCATATTTTTAAGAAATATCAGACAAACCAAAATCGAGGGCTATCCTATGAAATACCTGAGCAGTGCTCTTCAAAAGGTACCTAGGTCATGAAAAGCAAAGAAATTCTGTTTTTAGATTAAAGACGACTAAGGAGATATTATAACTAAATATAACATGTGAACCTGAATTTGACGCTGGGCTAGAAAAAGAATAGGACAATGGTGAAAGTCGAATAGTCCATACATTTTATAATTGTTTTAGGTTTTTGACATATATCCTCTAAGAGTTGTCTGAAGTCATTCTTTCCATGTCCTCAAAATCACACAAGAGAATTTTATCAATGTTAATTTCCTGATTTTCATAAGTGTACTGTGGTAATTTAAGATGTTACATTAGGGAATTGGGGTGAAGGGTTATAACACATTTAAAAACCCACATTTTACCTCAATTTATCCACAATGAAATTTTGCTGTTACCTCAAGTTTACTTAGTAAACAACTTTTTTAAAGGACGGAATTATTTTAACTCTTTCTGTTTTCTATATATAGACTGCCCCTGACTTGATGGTTTGACAGGATTTTTCAGCTTTACCACAGTGTGAAAGTGATATAAATTTAGTACATTTAACTAACCATGGGGTTATGTCCTGATAAACCCATCGTAAGTTGAAAATATCATAAGCTGAAAGTTTCAATTCCAATTTCTATCCTGAAACTTCTAGAGGCAGTTAAAACTTTAACTATAGGCAGCATGTTTATTCTAATGATTTTTTTTAACCTACCTTAAGGTTATTATGAGAACTAAACAAGATGATGCAAGTAAAGTACTTATAACATTGCTTGACAATAAACAGTCTCTCTGAGGTAGATACTATTTATTATTTCTCATTTTACAGGTGAGAAATTTGAGGCTTGGAGATGAAAAATAACTGGCTTAAAGATACATAGGTAGGAAGTGGCAGTACAAGACTTTGAACCATGTCTGACCACAATGCAATACAGTTTGTCTTCTGTTCTAAAGCATTCTTATTAATGTCAACCCATTCTTAAATCCTTCATTACACAAAAAAAATCAAGTTTTTCTCTTTCCCTCTCAATGGCATTTACCATTTGTCTTGAATTTTGGATCTAATGTCATCAACAACAAAAAATGCAAGCAAGAACCAGTTACTCAATTGCAAAACCAACATTCTGGATGCAGTACAAAAGTTAGTTAACTTAATCACTGATACTCACATCACAAATTGCTTACTTTATTTCTTTAACAATGAAATAGTAATAACACAATAATTCAGTTGTAACAAAGCCACCAACAGAGCAAAACAAAAACAAAGCTAATTAAGAAGCATTGCTTCAGCTCAAATTAGTTATCTCCTTTAAACAGGAAAAACGACCATTAGTCTACTGGTTCTCAACCCTGTCTGCACATGAGAGGAATGGAGGGAAACAGGACAGGTGTTTAAAAAAATAGTTATATCCAAGACCCACCTCAGAACTATTAAATGAGAATCTCTCAAGAGTGAGGCCCAGGCAAAGATTTTTAAAGTGCTGTCAGTGTTGAAAACTACAGGTCTAAAGTAATAAGGAATAAAACCATGCCTCGAAGCAATTCAAAACCAAGAAGCTGATTATACAATAAATTTTTTCCTCTAATCCTGGGAAAACAGGGGGAAGCAGGCACCGATTCAGTTTTCATTTTTCTTTATCCATCTTCAGTTGCCCATAGTAGAGCTTAACCAACATCAAATATTGGAAGCTTTGCAAACACGCTACCCAAATTGAAATTATCACTACTTTACATTTAGAAAGCTCTTTTAAAACAATAGCTTTTACAACAATCCCGCCCATCTTAAGTTTGCATAGATGTTCAAGTCAGCTATTTGTTCAACTAACAGAGTCAATAGAATGTATTAGAAAGTACTTTATTAACAAGTTATTATAAAACAATATTCATTTTATATACCACAAATAAACTTTTTGGTGCAGATAGGAGGAATATTTGAGTTTTTCCCACCTATTTCTAAAACTGCTAGAATTTCTTTTTATAAGATCAGTACCTTCAATTCTAGAATTTAAACAAAACTTTTTGCTCTAAGAATGCATACATAAAATACTTCCCCTACAACTGTACTCTATCCTTGACAAATCCTTATTAAGAGGTTCAGTAGTAACTGTAGGTATTTAATGTCAGAACAATCTTTCTTCATTTCTCAGGTTTGGAAATATAACTTCAAGTATGGAAAATAACTTTTCCCTTAAGAATACGAGAATTCACTTAGAGACATCTCCTCAAATCAGCCAATCCCACTGCTTCGGCTCCTTACATCAGGACTCCATGTCAACCTCAGCCCCTTCATTCCTGCCCTGAAGTGTTGCTTCTGTCAGGGTGTCTTCACTTAAATCTTCAATGTCTGCCAGATCAATAGGAGGCAAAGGATTCCTCCAGTACTGGAAGGTATTATACTGCCAAAATTCTTCATTGTGCTTTAGAGAAAAAAGAGAGATCAAAGAGCATCAATAGCTTAGAAAAAATTAAGTTTTTTTCAGAAAACAAATTTGTTTTAAAGGCAAACTCATATAAGATTTTGTAATCTTCTATTTTGTATTTTTAACAAATATACATTTTAAATTTTGTCTCATCTAAGTACTTCATGTACTCGATGAAATCTGTGCATTTTAATATTTACAATTTGTGAAAGTATTTGTTAAATTTAAAGGAATTTCCTCCAAGAGCATCTCTTTCCACAGTTTTTCTCCCATTTTTCACCTAAAGAAAATTATCTAAAAAGTCTTAAAATTTTTTATCTTTCAAGAAGGAAAAGAAGAATTTATTTTAAAAATACAAACACAGACACACTCCTTATAACTTACTTTTGGTCTTGTTCTTAAGGTCTGGTATTTTAGGAGATTTACTTTACATAGGCCAAAATATTTTGAAATCTTCCAAAAAGTATTAGGTTATAAACATGACGAATAGCAAGAAAATGTTAAACTGATCATTTTATTAAAGATAAAAAAAAAATCAATGCTCAGTAGCCACATGACCTAGTGGCTACTGTGCTGGACAGCACAGGTCTGTAAGAAAGTCTCATTAGGAAGTTCACTGTCTTCTATGCTGAGCCTTAAAGAATTAAGTTTTGGGGGAATTTCTTAATATTGGGATAAACACACAATAAGTCAAAAGATATTAAGAAAAATTTCACTTTAATATTTTGGAAAATCTACTGTACAAATTATCTACTTATAAACATGGACCAAAAAAAGGTCTTTTAATTATGTTAGTAAAACATAGTGACTAAGGGCACACAAACTTTGCCACCAGACAGACCTGGGTTTGCAAGATAACTCCACCGCCCACTAACTCTGATCTTGACCTTATTGATAAAATGGAGGACTGTTGTAAAAATTCAGGCTTGGCATAGTAATTGCTCAATATTGCTAGGTATTATATCCCAATAAGCCTATGAATCATTAATCACTGTCTCCTTAGAGCATTTCTGCTTACTTTCTGTTAAGAATATCTAACAGTTGGCTGGGCATGATTACACCTGTAATCCCAGCACTTTGGGAGGCAGAAGGATCGCTTGAGCCCCAGAGTTTGAGACCAGCCCTGGCAACAAAGCAAGACTCCATCTCAATTTATGAAAAACAAACAAATAAACAAGAAACTAACAGTTAACACTGACAGAGCAGTGAATCTACATAGTGACACTAACATGAAAAAAATACATGAATATTTAATGAATACCTGATTTTATTTCTGTAGTCAAAAAACATCTGAAACAGGAAATACCCTGAAGTTCCGGGACAGAAATGACGTAACATTATCCTGCCTAGATTGTATTCTCAATGTAGAAAAAAGGTATTTGAGGTAGTATTTCCTAAATGAAGTCCCAAGGGTGAGGGCTGGGACTTAAGCCCTATTCTGAGCACAAAAGAAACCAGGCATTTACTGTATTGAACTGTTTACTTCTTTTTGTTATATTCAATTTTCCCTTGGTAATCAGGTATAAAATCCTTAAAACAAAAAGCCTGTGTCTTTGGAGGCAGGAAGGAGAAACAGAAGCTGGAGAGAGCATGATTGTAAAAGAGAAGCGCCTCCAGAACAAATCTAACAAAAAGAAGGAATAGGAGTGTTACTGGGCTTTCCTCAAAAGAGGGCCTGACAGTGGCTCACGCCTGTAATCCCAGCTATTTGGTAGGCAGAGGCGGGAGGATCACTTGAGCCCAGCCTGGGTAACATGGCAAAACCCCATCTCCACAAAAAAAAAAAAATTAGTCCAGCGTGGTGGTGTGCACCTGCAGTCCCAACTATTCAGGAAGCTAAGGTTGCAGTGAGCTGGGATGGTGCCACTGCACTCCAGCCTGGGCATGGGAGCGAGACCCCAAGACCCTTTTTTAAAAAACAACAAAGAGAACAAGGGTAGTCTTGGTGAAGAAAGAACCCCTGGAGCCAACCTTTTTCCCTGTCATGCGCTTGCAGCGACTATAGGAAGTAGAGAGCTGCCAGATCTAGTTACTGCTGTGGGGGAAAAGAGTTGAGTCTAAGACTAAGCAAGCATCACCGTTTCAGGCTACTAGAGAACTCTTACGCTTTGCCTACTGCCATTTCCATATTTCCCTCTTATCACTGTGTGGCATAGTATAGACAGTGTATTCTGTATTCTGGTAGGAGACAAGCCTATGCATGAGTGGAGTACTAAAATGGTCTGAAGAGCTTTCAAAAAGTTTTCAAACTACACAGTCCCTAATCTCCATATCCATTATGGATGGATGGTTTAGAAGACTATCCATCTGTTTTCAGTTGATTTTGAATATCTGAGAGCAATCTGAAGAAAAAGTTTAAATAAGGCTCATGTTTCAACCATAGGAAAAAAAAAAAAAAAGTCTTTCCCAACTATAAAACTCTCGTTATTTTATTGGATTTTTCACATGAACAAGTCATGCCTAAGAAATTTCATTTATTTTTTTGGAAAGGTATTTGAAAACCCTGACATAAGATACTTGAGAAAATAGAAAAACGTTGGGAGGATGCTATCAGACAGCTGAAGAGAATTTGGTGAATTCTGAGAAACCTGTACTTGGTTCTTCATCTCCCAAGTCCCCTGCCATTCAGGATTGTGAAAAAGTAGTATGAATTCCTAAGTCTAGACCAAAGCTGTCCAATAAATATATAATGCTCCAAAAACATAATTTAAAATTTTCTAGTAGCTGTATTTAAAAAGTAAAAGAAACTTCTGGTATTAATTTTAATATATTTTCTTCAATATAGCCAAGTTATTTCATGTGTAATCAATATAAAATTGAGCTATTTTATCTTCATTTATTAAATCCACGAAATTTCGTGTATATTTTAAACTTAGAGCACATTTCCATTTGGACTAGTCACGTTTCAAGTGTTCTTACCGGCTAGCGGCCGGGCAGCAGAGATCTAGGCAAACCGAGGCATACCTAGATCTTCTCAGGATTCTTACATGCAGAGATGAGGCAGGCTCATGTCTTGAATAAAAACCCGCCAATGATTCTCATATACGCCTTAAGGCCCAAATTAATTTTCTTTTTTCTTTCTTTTCTTTTCTTTTTTTTTGAGACAGCGTCTCACTCTGTGGCCCAGGCTGGAGTGCACTGGCCCAATCTCAGCTCACTGCAACCGCCATCTCCCAGGTTAAAGTGATTCTTGTGCCTCAGCCTCCCGAGTAGCTGTGATTACGGGCATACACCACCACACCCAGCTAGTTTTTGTGTTTTAATAGAGACAGAGTTTCACCCTATTGGCCAGGCTGGTCTCGAACTCCCGACCTCAGGTGATCCACCCGCCGTGGCCTCCCAAAGTCCTGGGATTCCAGGCGTGAGACACCACGCCCCGCCCCCAAATTAATTTTCAATGATACTTTTGCCTAGGATCAGATTTAACACTATGAGTTAAAACAAAGCTTTGACCAAGGTACGGTGGTCCATCCTTTTCTCCAGAAGCTGTACCAGCCGGTAGGACGTTCAATTAATCAATGGCTACCACACTGGTCTCCCTCTAGAAAAAGAACTCTATCCCGAATTCTAGACTAATCATCGTTAAACCCAGGAAGGCCCTCTACACCTTTATCTGTCGTTTGTCTTTGGGCTGAACCTATGCCCTGACGGTCTGCGTTCTCGCCATGCTCACAGCCCGCCACGACCCACGGTCCCGTTTCCCTTTTACGGAGCGCGGCGCTGACGCCGCAAGGCCACTTCTATCGCTCCCGACCACGGTCTGTTTCCCCCTCGCCCAGCCCAGTGCTTTCTGCCCATCGGACTCTCGGGGTGTGCTTCTGGCGGTCGGCGTCCTCTCCCGGAGCGGTGACCCCTTCTTTCAACCCCCTCAGGCGTCTTAACCTACACAAGTCATGAGTGGGAACCGGGGCGTTTTGTGTGTGTGGGGAAAAGGCAAGCCCCTTCGCCCCTCAGCCCACCCGCCCCCAGCCCCTACCTGGCGCGATGCGACCCCCCAGTCTCCCCGCGGGGGTCCTGCGCGCCCCGCCCCGTCGTCGCCACCGCCCCCCGGGAGCCGGGCGCCCGGGAGCTCCTCCCCCGGCCCCGGCAGTACGGGCGGCGGCGGCAGCGGCGGATCGCCTGTCTCCAGACCGTGGTCCTCACGCTCCTGGCCGCTCGGGGCGCTGTTGTCCCCGCTGTCACGGCGCTTGCTGGGCGAAGCCGAGGGCTCTGCCATGGTCCCTGCGTCGATTTTGCGCTTTCGGTGCTGCTCTGGGACGCCGAGGAGCTGCCCAGCATGCGCGACCCCGGGCGGCCGGATCCAGAGAGGCGGTGGCGGCGGCTGCTCAGCGAAGTCGCAAAGCAGGAGCCGCTTCCAAGGCACGTGGAACGTCACCGGCTCGGCCGCACGCCGCTTGGCCATGGGCCCAGAGGCTCGGGCGGAGCCCGCCAGGCGCGGGAGACCGAGTGCCGATAGCTGCGGGGGGCGAAGAGCGAGGACTGAGCGCGTGAGAGAGGGACAGGCCGAAGTCGGGCGAGGAGGCGACAGGACGCTGGAGGGGGTAGGGCGGGGCAGCTCGCGCAGGGCCTAGGGCTGGGGCTCCGGCTCGGAGGCAGCTCCCGCGCTCAGCCCTCGCCGCCGCCGAGATGCGGCCCGGACGTTGAGAAGCAACCGCGAAGCGGCGGAGATTCGAACCTGCGCACAACGTGCGCGCGCGCACTCTGTCTGGCCAGGCGGAGCCGCTGGTTGGTGGAGGCTCGCGGGGCGCGCTCCCGAGCGCCCTCGCGACCGGAAGTGCGCGCTCGGGGGTAGGCGGGAAGGCCGCGGCGGGATTAATTAAAGACCCGATCAAGCGGCCCGCAGAGGGGCGTGACCTTGTTTCCTCAGGAGTGTGGCGGTGGTCTTACTACTATGTTCGTTATAGCGCGGTACGTTCTAGACCCTTCTATAGGAAATTTAAAACCTTTAAAATGTGTATTTCCTTCCTCCAGTCAGTGACCACGGGGGCGTCTCCATGAGATTAAGACAAAGATTATAATAGAGTTCCAGACTATCCTGGGCAACATAGCAAGACCTCGTCTCTACAAAAAATCAAAAATAGGCCAGGCTTGTTGGCCTGCCCCTGTGGTCCCAGCTACTCGGGAGGCTGAGGAGGAAGATTCACTTGAGCCTGGGAGGTGGAGGCTGTAGTGAGCCAGAGATCGCACCACTACACTGCAGCCTGGGCAACAGAGCGAGATGCCGTCTCAAAAAAAAAAAAAAAAAAAAGGAAAAGGATAATACAAGCTTTAAATAAAACTAGTGTTTAAGAAGCTTCACAGTAGGTTGTTATTCAAAACAAAAGACTGAAGGGAGTCTGGGCTGAGGGAAGTAGCTAAAGCTAACAGAAAACACAAATCGAAGTGTATGTTTTGCATGTTTTGCGCAGCTGCTGTGGAAGGTGAAGCAGGCCCTACATTCCTGGAAGATCTCTTGATTAAAAACTTATGGAGGAAGTTACAGACAAAATGTGCAGCTCATCCAAAATAGCTGAGTAGTTGGCAAGAACCAAGCCTGAAGCGCAGCTGTCCTTTCTAACTGAAACCTAAAATTGTTGGGCTCTTAATTAATGTTGGAAGGCTGAGTTCCCTGCTTACTATGGGCGGTGGTCAGATCAAGATTCTATGGCCATTACAGCAAAATAGTGTTGTCAGGTGAAGTGAGGTGGAGACAATTGCAGTATATTTACTATTTTATTATTTTTATTTTTTATTTTGTTTGAGACAGGGTCTCTCTCGGCCACCTAGGCGGGAGTGCAGTGGTGCCATCACGGCTCACTGCAGCCGGGCCCCACTGAGCTCAAGCGATCTCCTGTCTGGGCCTCCCAAAGTGCTTGGTTTATAGGTGTGAGCCACCGCATCTGGTCGTATTTACTATTTTAATAGTTTGATAAAGACAGTAACCAAGTAAGCAGAAATGGAAGGAAGAAAATAAGACTATTACCAGTGCTTTGAAGGGAAAAACTATCATCCTCTGTAGAAAAAGTGTGCAAGAAAGATAATTCTATTTTAGTGCTAGGTACTATCTCAGTACTAATTTACCCTGTACCCCTGCATCTCAAGGTGGTTGTGAGAGGACAAGTTAATTATTAGTTATTAACAAGCACAGAAATGTACCAAGTTAGGGTAGTAAGCAATAGCTTTTCTGTTTGGTTTTTACTTTTCTTGTTTGAAATTGGTAACCGGCCGGGTGCGGTGGCTCACGTCTTTAATCCCAGCACTTTTGGGAAGATGAGGTGCACAGATCACCTGAGCCCAGGAGTTCCATACCAGCCTGGCCAACATGGTGAAACCCCATCTCTACAGAAAATACAAAAATTAGCCAGAGGTGGTGCCTTGCACCTGTAGTCCCAGGGAGGCTGAGGTGGGAGGATCGCTTGAACCCTGGAGGCAGAGGCCAAGATTGCACCACTGTACTTCCAGCCTGGGTGACAGTGTGAGACCCTGTCTCCAAAAAAAAAAAAATAAATTGAAAACCCGTCTGTCTCAAACAGAGGAAGAGTTTTGCCATTTTTAAATCAGCAGGAAAGATCTTAATCGTAGTCATCAAGTGCTGTTTGAAAGGTTTTGAGTACCCCCAAAATAATAAGTTTAGCTAATGGTTGGTTCTTTTGTGTTCCTCTTTACAAACGCTCATTTTTTCAAAATTGTGAAACTTATCATATATGCAAAAGGTTGTATAAAATACACATGTAGTTAAAAGAATGATAGTAAGACATACAGCATTCTGTTTCAGAAATAGAATACTACCTATACTAGAACATGACAAGCTCCCTATGCGTCCCTTCCCCACTGGCACATACCCTTCCCTTTCCCTCACTCCCGGTAATTACCGTTTTACATGTTGAGTTAATCATTCCTTTGCTTTTTAACTCTTCCATTTGTATGTCTGTATGTATATTGCTAAATAACTTTTTTTTTTTTTTTTTTGAAACGGGGCTTGCTCTGTTGCCCTGGCTGGAGAGCAGTGATATGATTACAGCTCACTGCAGCCCTGACCTCTCAGGGGCAAGCAGTCCTCCCACCTCAGCCTCCTGAGTAGCTGAGACTACAGGTGTACATCACCACACCCAGCTAATTTTTAAAATTTTTTTGTAGAGCCAGGGTTTTGCCACGTTGCCCAGACTTGTCTCAAAGTCCTGAACTCAAACAATCTGCCTGCCCTGGCCTCCCAAAGTGTTGGGATTACAGGCATGAGCCACCACACCCAGCTTAATATATTTTCTGAGACCAGGTCTTGCTCTGTTGCCCAGGCTGGAATGTAGTGGCGTGATCACTGCTCACTGCAGCTTCAACTTCCTGGCCTCAAGCAATCCTCCTGCCTCAGCCTCCCAAGTAGCTGGGCCCATGGCTTGTGCCACCACACCCAGCTAATTTTTTATTTTTAGTAGCAACAAGGTCTCACTATGTTGCCCAGGCTTGTTTTGCCGGGCTTTTTTTTGTTTTTGTTTTTAAAACAGCTTTACCTAGGTCTAAATGACACACAATAATGTGCATATAAAGTGTACAATTTGACATTCATACACCTGTGAAACCATAACCACCATCAAGATGATCAAAGTTTTGAGAGCAGTCTTTGACATCTTGTTCTTTAGGAGTGTGTCAACTATACTTGGCCCTTTGTTCTTCCATAATAGCATCCTCTGTAACATTTAGTTACCCTTTTGGAATTTTGGTTATAATTGCATTGAGATTATAGATCAATTTGGGAAGAATTATTATCTTTACAATACCAAGCTCATTTCCTGTTCAAGAATATAACTATTTAAGTTTTTAAAAATCTTTCAATAAAGTTTTATATTTCTCAACATAAAGAGCTTATATCTTTGTTAAGTTTATCCCTAGGCACTTTATAATTTTTGTAGACAATATTCTTTTTCTTTTTAAATAACATTTTCTGAGTTTTTGTTGCTGCTCTGGGTTCTTTTTTTTTTAAGGCCCCAGAAGTAGAATTTGAAATTAGTTTACCCTAAGTTGTAAGTAGTACCAGATCCACTTGTTCAAGGAATTTGTCCATTTCATTCATCACATTTGTTGGAATATTTTCTTAGTTTCTCTTTTTCCCATTTCATTGGCTTCTACTAAATTTGGATTTACTTTGCTCTTCTTTCTCTAGCTTCTTCTAATAGAACCTAGGTCACTGATTGTAGTCTTTGTTAGTTTCTTTTTGGAGACAGAGTCACTCTGGCTGGAGTGAAGTGGCACGATCTTGGCTCACTGCAGCCTCTGCCTCCCAGGTTCAAGCGATTCTCCTGCCTCAGCCTCCCGAGTAGCTGGGACTACAGGTGCATGCCACCGCACCTGGCTAATTTTTGCATTTTTAGTAGAGGTGGGGTTTCACCATGCTAGCCAGCTTGGTCTCAAACTCCTGACTTCAGGTGATCCACCCACCTCGGCCTCCCAAAGTGCTGGGATTACAGGCGTGAGCCACCGTGCCCAGCCGTCTTTGTTAGTTTCTAAAATAAACACTTAAAGCTGTAACTTTCCCTGTAGCACTGCTTGGGCTACATCCTACAAATTTTGGTATGTTGTATTTTTATTATCTTTCAGTTTGAAATACTTTCAAAATTTCCTTTCTTGTTACTCTACCTCCTTCCTATCGTTATGAATTTCATTTTAAGTTAACCTATTGGTATTTACTTAGCTATACCTCTTTGAATTAATAATGTGGTTGCCATAAGGACTGTTCATATACATCTTTATTTTTTCACAGTCTAGTTCGAGCTAACATTGTACCACTTTATGTAAAACATAAATACCTTGCACCCCTCCCCCTGCCCTATCTAAATGCATTTTTTATTGATGTAATAGGATCTTCTACCTATTCTACATATCCCATAATTTTGTGGATAATAACTCAGAAGTCATTAGTTACAACAAAACAACAAAGAAGGGAAACTTTTTTTCTTCTTACTGAAAAAGGAATACACACAAACTTATTCTGCTTATCTTTAAACTTGTGTGTTTCAGACTAACTGAAGCCTCACAGCAGTGTAGGGTGGGGAAGTAGTTTAAAATTTTTTAATTGCCAGAACTTTTACATATCTCATTTGATCCCAAAAACTTTGGGGCAGATTATTGCCAGTTTAACAGATAAACCTCTCCTCTGAGCATCAGATCCATGTGACTTCTCATGAGTCTACCTTAACCACCTTATTTAAAATTGCAACTCACTCTACATTTCTCCTGACTCTTGATTCCCCTCTTTTCCCATAGCATGATTACTTTCTAATCTATTATATATTTCACTTACTTATTACTCTTATTGTCTCCCTTTCTAGAAAGTAAGCTTGTTGAAGGTAGGGTTCCAGTTTGTTTTTTGGGTTTTGTCCCCAGTCATATACTCAAAGTGACTAGCATGGTAGGTGCTCAGTAAATATTCGTTGCCTGAATGAGTGTCCATTATTTCCATCTGGGTGTTCTGTAGGCATCTCATATTCCATCCTCCAGTGTCATCAGTCATCTATACAGGTACCCATACCAGAAATATAACTGTATTCTTTCATAATCACATTCACTCAATTTATTCTTTGAATACATATTTTAAGCATCTGCTACAGACCAGGCACTGGGTTACAACAGTAAAACAAAAATCCCTACCCCATGACTGTCCAAGGAATCTTGGGGGAGACAGACAATAAATAAGCACATCTATCAGGTGGTGCTGAGGAAAAATAAAAATAAGGCAGGATAAAAGGTCAAGATGGGCATCTCTGACAAGACTTTTGGGCCAAGACCTGAGGAAAGTGAGGGGGGGCAAATCATGTGATCCTAGTCAGATGTAATAGCAAGTATGAATGTCCAAAAGTGTAAAATAGCAAAAGCATGAGCAAAGGATGGCAAAAAAACAAAAACAAAACAAAACAAAACAAAAACCCAGTGCTGCCTTTTCCTCAATGTTTTGTTTTGGGTAGTGTCTGTTTCTTCAAGTTCACTAGTTCGTTCTCTTGTACCTTATCTGCTGTTAACCCCACACACTATTTTTTCATCCTACACAATGTACTTTTCATCTCTAGTTCCATTTGGGTCTTTTTTTCTATCTTCCAAATCTAGGTAACTTTTTGAACATATGGAATACAGTTATTCTGTTTTAATGCTCTCTGCTAATTCTGACATCTGTGTCAGGTCTGGTTTGGGTTCACCTGATCTTTCTCCTCTCTATGGGTCGTGTTATCCAGCATACCTGGTATTGTGTTTGTCAGCATACCTGGTAGTTTCTGATCAGACACCAGATATTTTTTTACTTTGTTGGGTGCTATTTTTGTATTTCAATAAGTATTCTTGAGATTTATTCTAGGATGCTGTTAAGTACATAGACATAGTTTGACCCATTTGGATCTTGCTTACAAGATTTGTCAAGTGGGACCTGAGCTTTTTTAATCTAGGGCTAATGACTCCACATTACCAAGGCAAGACTTCTCTGTACCACACCTAGTGCCCTACACATTTTGAGGTTTTATAGTCTGGGTGTGAGAACAAACACTCTGGCCCTGTGTGGGCCCTGGCTACTGTTCTGATACTTCAGGTGCTTTTTTTCTCTGGCCATGGTTTGTTTTCTCACACATGCACTGATCAGTAGTACTCTGAAGATTACTCAAGGGGCACTGTCCTCATATCTCCAGTGTTCTATGTGCAGCTACCAATGTTTGTATCATATTGGTTATTAAAATTTTAATAAGTGATTTTGTGTGGATAAGGATATGCAGAAACAGATGCTCTCTTTGTTTTAAAGTGTAAGTTAGTATAACCTTTTAAGAGAGCAATCTGGGCAGGGTGTGGTGGCTCATGCCTGTAATCCCAGCACTTTGGGAGGCCAAGCCGGGTGGATCACTTGAGGTCAGGAGTTTGAGACCAGTCTGACCAATGTGGTGAAACCCCATCTCTACTAAAAAATACAAAATTAGCCAGGCGTGGGGGCATGCGGCTGTAATCCCAGCTACTTGGGAGACTGAGGCAGGAGAATTGCTTGAACCCGGGAGGCGGAGGTTGCAGTAAGCCAAGATCGCACCATTGCCACTACAGCCTGGGCAGCAACAAGAGCGAAATTCCATCTCAAAAAAAAAAAAAAAAGAGCAATCTGACAATATCTGTAAAAATTAAAAAATACACACACACATTCTGAAACTGTAACTCTAGGAACTTATACTCCAGATATACTACTGACAATAGACATAAACAACTATGTACAGGATTATTACATTGTGGCATAATGCTACATAGCAAAAGATTGAAAACAACCGAATGTTACTTATTAGTAAAGTATGGCCTATATTATGTATTATATTAATAATATTAGTATAATACATATAATATGGATTTTATGTATAATGGAATGCTTTTTTTTTTTTTTTTTTTGAGTCAGAGTCTTGCTCTGTCACCCAGGCTGGAGTGCAGTGGCGCGCGATCTCGGTTCACTGCAATCTCTGCCTCCTGGGTTCAAGCAATTCTCCTGCCTCAGCTTCCCAAATAGCTGGGATTACAGGCATGCACCTCCACGCCTGACTAATTTTTGTATTTTTAGTAGAGATGGGTTTCACCATGTTGGCCAGGCTGGTCTTGAACTCCTGACCTCAGGTGATCTGCCTGCCTCGGCCTCCTAAATTGTTGGGATTACAGGCGTGAGCCACCATGCCCAGCCTGTGCTTTTTAACTGAAGTAAATTTGTATTTATGGGTATAGAATAATTGTCAAAATGTAATAAAAAAGGTGCACAGTAGACTCTATTGGTCACAAATATATAGGCATTTCTCACAGATACTGCATGTTCAGTTCCAGACCAACACAATAAAGCAATTATCATAATAAAGTGAGTCTCACAAATTTTTTGGTTTCCCAGTGCAAATAAAAGTTATGCTGGCCGGGTACAGTAGCTTATGCCTGTAATCCCAGCATAAGGGAGGCTGAGGTGGGTGGATCAGTTGAGCTCAGGAGTTTGAGACCAGCCTGGGCAACACGGTGAAATCCTGTCTCTACTAAAATACAAAAAAAAAAAAAAAAAAAAAAAAGCCGGGCATGGCAGTGTGCACCTGTAATCCCAACTACTCAGGAGGCTGAGACAGGAGAATTCCTTGAACCCAGGAGGCGGAGGTTGCAGTGAGCCGAGATTGTGCCATTGCACTCCAGCCTAGGTGACAGAGCAAGACTCCATCTCAAACAAAACAAAACAAAAAAACACAAAAATTAGCTGGGCTTGGTGGTGCACACCTGTAATTTCAGCTACTCAGGAGGCTGAGGCAGGAGGATCGCTTTAACCCAGGAGGTAGAGACTGCAGTGAGCCGAGATGGTGCCACTGCACTCCAGCCTGGGCGCTAGAGCAAAATCCTGTCTCAAAAAATAAAAAGTGATGCTTACACTATACTATAGTCTATTAAGCGTATAATAGCATATCAAAAAAAGTATATACTGTAACTTACAAGTAACTTATTGCTACAAGATGCTAACAGTTATCTGAACCTGCAGTGAGCCGTAGTCTTTTTGCTCATGGAAGATGTTGCCTCAATGTTGATAGCTGTTGACTCATCAGGGTGGTGGCTGCTGAAGGTTGGAGTTGTTGTGCAATTTCTTAAGACAACAATGAAGTTTGCTGCATCAATTGATTCATCCTTTCACAGAAGTATCTGATGCTGTTTGATAGCATTCTACCCACAGAAGAACTTTTTCAAAACAGTAGTCAGTCTTCAAACCCTACCACTGCTTTATTGACTACATTTAAGTATTATTCTAAATTACTTGTTGTTATGTCAATAGTGTTCACAGCATCTTTATCAGGAATAGATTCCATCAAGAATTTCTTTGCTTAACTATAAGAAGCAACTCTTCACCTTTCAAGTTTTACCATAAGATTGTAGCAGTCCAGTCATATCTTCACTCGTAAGCTTTTTTCATGTCATTCCATTGGGTGCTCAAGAAGGGTGGGGGCATACATAGCAGGAGTCTGCTGTGATCCCCCCTGTAAAGCAAAGATATATAGTATAGCTGCCCCTGAGGTGGGGATAGGCACAAAAACCCACCTGTTTCCCTGGTTCATTTTCTGCCGAAAACGGAAGCCTTAAGCCACTGATGGAGGGTTAACAGACATTTTCTCAGGGCAGAAAATGCTTTTGTGGGAGGAACAGAGGCAAAACGTCTCTGCCTCAGAAGGAAGGACAAAGGCAAAGATCTTTCATTTAAGGAGAAAAAGTAGAAGCACAAATCTTAGTTTAGAGGAGAGAGACAGAAAATAGTTTGGGGCCTAGCATCCTCCACTGATACTACTGGGAGAGGAGTAGGAAATTCCTGCTGAAGACCAGTCATAAATACAGGGATAGGAATGCTAAGAAGGACACAATTCTGAGGCCAGGTGTGCAAAGCCTGCCTATGACTGAGGCTGAGCTAAGACAACAAAGATTCCTTATTGTCTCTACCATGAGCCTAGCACAGACTAACAAGAAAATGCAGTCTACCTCTGAGGGAGGGGCAAGAGCATGGAGAGAGAATGTCTTGGGAGCAAAGGCATACAGAGACAGCTGGAAGGTGGAGAGGGAGCTGAAACATTGAGGAAAATACCCTCTGGCATCCTGTCCTTTAAGCGCACAGGAAAAGCTCACTGCTAGAGGAATTTGAAATCTGTGATGTGCTGCAGATAACAGTAAGAAAACATAAACTCAGTTTCTTACAATACTGACTCAACCTCCCATACCAGCCTAACAGGCATGTATTTATAGCCAGACATAAATACTGTTTACCTCAGTTTCTGTTTTTTTCTACACACGATAAATGAAATTCAATATTATAAGACTCAAGGGAAAAAAAGAAAAAAAAAAACACCTTGTCAAGAGATAAAGCAATTAATAGAACAAGACTTGGAGGTGACTCAGATAAAATTTGAATTATCAGTTAAGGACTAACATTAATATACTATATTGAAGGATATAGTGAAATAGGTGGACAACACATTGACGCAGGGTGTTTTAGCAGAGATGAAAACTATAAAAAATAAATGGAAATGCTAGAAATAAAAAGCATGATATCAGAGATGAAAATCCCTTCAACAGGTTCATTAGTAGAATGGAGATAGCTGAGGAAAGATTCAATGTATTGGAAGATACATTTAAAAAGTCATTCTGAAACACTAAGAAAAAAATTACAAAAAAAAAAAAGCCCAGCGTGGTGGCTCACACCTGTAATCCCAGCACTTTGCGGGAGCAAGACGGGCAGATCACTTGAGGTCAGGAGTTGGAGACCAGCCTGGCCAACATGGCAAAACCCCATCTCTACTAAAAATACAAAAATGAGCCGGGCATGGTGGCAGGTGCTGGGAATCCCAGCTACTTGGGAGGCTGAGGCAGGAGAATTGCTTGAACCCAGGAGGCGGAGGTTGCAGTGAGCTGAGATCCCGCCATTGCGCTCCAGCCTGGGTGACAAGAGTGAAACTCCGCTTCCAAAACAAACAAAAACAAACAATAAAAACAGTGCCCAGGAGCTATGGAATAATAACAAGCAGTCTAACATACATGTAATAAAAGTCTCAGAAGGAGAAGAGAAAACAGGAAAGAATATTTTAGGAGATAATGGCAAGGAATTTTTCAGAAATAATAACAAAACATCAAACCACAGATCTAACCAGTTTAGAGAACCCCAAACAGGATAAATACCAAAACCAATTAAAGCAGCCAGAGGAAAAAAGAAACAGAAGGACAAAGTTAAGAATTATAGTGGAGTACTCATCAAAACAACAGTGACATTTAAATAAATAAATCAACCCCCAATTTTGTATTCTGTGAATAAATCTTTGAAAAATAAAAGAGAAATAAAGACTTTTTAGACAAAAGCTGAAAGAATTCACTGTCAGCAGACTATGATATAAAGTAAGTTCTCTAGGAAGAAGTGTGATGGCAGATAGAAACTTGGATGCGTACAAAGAAATGACTAGTGCTTTATAACAAGTTATCCCCAAACTTAAGTGAGTTAAAACAACATTTTCTCAAGTCTGTGGGTTAGAAATTCACCATCAGTTTGGCTGGGTGTTACAGTGTCGCTCATGTGGTTACAATTATGTGGTTGGCTGGGTGTGTGATTATAGGAAGGCTTGCCTGGGGTGGAGGATCCACTTCCAAGCTCATTCAATTCATATGACTCTTTGGAGGAGGCCTAACTTCTTCACCAAGTGGGATTCTCCATAGGGGTATTTCAGTATCTTCATGACATGTCATCTGACTTCCCCCAGTGCCAGAGATCTGAGAGAAAATGGAAGGTGCCATGTCCTTTATGACCTAGCCTTGGAATCACACATTTCTACGACATTCTATTCATTTAGTAAATTAGTACAGCCCACAATCAAGGGAACGGGAATTAGGCTGTTCCCAAGGTAGGAGTATCGAAGAATCTGTGGACATATTTTTAAAGCAACCCACACCAGAAACTATTCAAAAATGATGATAAATATAAAAGATTTTTTTTGTTAAAGAATTTAGTCTAAAGCAAAAATATTACCACTGTATTCTGGGGTTTATTACACACATAAAATTAAGATGTATGACAACAGCATAAATGATGCAAGAGAAATTGGAAGTATATTGTTGTAAGGTTCTTCTAACTATACATGAAGTGGTACACCATTTGAGGTTTGTATAAGTTGAACATGCATATTTTAAAACCTGGAGAAGCCACTGAAACCTTTTTTTAAATAAAGAGCTGTAACTAATAAGCCAATAATGGAGATAAAATCAAGAAAATACTCAATCCAAAAGAAAGTGAGAAAAAAGAAAATGGGACAAGTAGAAAATAGCAAAATGGCGAGATTACATTCAACCACATCCATAATTACTGTAAACTAATTTCCAATTAAAAGACATCAGATTGAATTAAAAAACAAGACCCATCGGTCTTCAAGATGGCTGATTAGAAGCATCTGGTACTCACCTTCTCCATAAAGAACCAAAATAGTGAATAGATAATCACAGTTCGAATAGATTATCTAGGAGAGAACACTAAAATTCAACAGAGAAGTGAACAGGAAACACCTAAAACAAGGAAGGAGAGGGAAGTGAGGCAGCCTGCTCAGCTGGGATTGGCTGGGAGCCTGTAGAGACTTCCCAATGAAGGGAAAGGGTAAGGGATAGACCCCCCAGCAGTCCACATTTTTATTGCAGACTCCTACAATCCTAACCACAGGAGAGCCCCCTCAATCCTTGTGGGCCCTGAGACTAACATAGGGAGCTGCTGGAAGACCATCTGATGGTATTGCTCCAGAAAGGGAGCTAAGGCTGAGTCTTGCATACCCTGAGTTCTAAGCAGCTACAGCAAGGTCCCATTTTGAGAGCCAGCACCTCCATGCGCCACCAGGCAGCCTGGGGACAGGTTTGCCTAGACTGGCTCTGTACCCCCTAGTCCCCGAGCACACTGTCAGGGGCCCTGGGGATTGCCCAGCTCAGCCCACCGCCATTGACGCCTGAGCACTCCTCCCAGGATCCTGAGGTCATCAGGCCCACCCAACCTGCCACTACCATCACAGATGTCACCCACCTGTATATGCCACCCTGTGAGCCTAGGGACTGGCCCTCCCAGCCTGTCACAGCCACTGCCAATGCTAGCATGGACCACTCGGGAACCAGAGAACTGTCCCACCAGTGCTACTGCCTTGGCTTATGCCATGCTGACTATCCAGGGGCCTGACAAACTGCCTACCTGCTCAGCCCACCATTGTCACTACCCAGCACCCAAGCAAGCCAACTGGAGGGCCAAGAATCTGCCCATCTGAACCTGCTAATATACCAGTGACAGCATACCCCACCCGGGGGCCCAAGGACAGGCATGCTCAGCCCACTCGTGCCATCACCGAGAACTGAGGACCAGCCCACCTATGTCCCTGTCCGCAGCAAAACTTCACCACAGCCTCCACTAAATGGACCCTAAGCCACTGAGAAAATCACAGACACCATTGACACTATTTATACCTAAAGAAAACATACAGAGACTACACTACTGCACACACTGAGAATCAAAGCCACAGTGCCCTACCCAACCAACACCACATATACATCTTCAGGAAAAAGTCCTCCACTATGAAAGCAAATCCAAAAAAATTCGAAGAAGTTACTGTTAGAACAGATGTGCCGAGAAAAATGTAAGGACACAACAAACATGAAAAAGCAGGGAAATATAACACCTTCAAGGGCACACAATAATTCTCCAGCAACAGATTCCAATGAAAAAGAAATTTATGAAGTACCAGAAAAAGAATTCAAAATAATGATATTAAAGAAGCTCAGTGAGATAGAAGAGCACACAACAAATACAAAAAATAATGAGAAATTTACCAAAGACGCAACGATCATGAAAAAAAAAAAACACCAAATTTTGGAACTGATGAATTCACTGAATGAAACACAATATACATTTAAAAGCTTCAAAAATAGATCAAGCAGAACAAAGAATTGCAGAACTTGCAGACAGGTCTTTTGAAATAACCCAGTCAGACAAAAATAAAGAAAAAAGAATGAACAAAGCCTACATGACATATGGGACACCATAAAATGACCAATATTCAAATTTTTGGTGTTCCAGAATGCAAAGAGAAAAGGGATAGAAAATCCATTTAATGAAACAGTAGCTGAAAACTTCCCTGGTCTAGTAAGAGATTTAAAGATCCAATACAGGAAGTTTAGAGATCCCCAAACAGATGCAATTCAAAGAGGTCTTCACGACACATGGTCGTCAAATTTCAAAGACAGAGAATTCCAAAAACAGCAAGAGGATAGTGTCTAGTCACTTATAAGGGATCCCCCAACTGACTAAGCAGAATTCTCAATGGAAACCCTACAGGCCAGGAAAGAATGGGATGGTATAGACAATGAGCTGAGAGAAAAAACTGCCAGCCAAGGACGCTACACCCAGCAAAGTTATCCATCATAAATGAATGAGAAGTAGTCTTTCCCAGACAAGCAACAGTTGAGGGAATTCATCACACTAGGTGAGCCCTACAAGAAATGTTTAAGAGAGTCCTGGAAGGAAAACAATGATACACACCACCACAAAAACACAAAATTACAAACCCCACTGGTAGAGCAAAGACACAAATGAGAAAGGACTCAAACACTACCACTACAGAAAACCACCAAATCACAATAATAAATAAGAGAGAAAGGGAGGAACAAGGGATATATAAAACAAGTAGCTATCAAGTAATAAAATGACAGGAATTAGCTCTTACGTATCAATAATAACCTTGAATGTAAACAGATTAAACTTTTCACTTGAAAGTTACAGGCTGGCCAAATGGATTTAAAAAAAAACGTGGCCCATCCGTAAGCTGCCTAAAAGAAACTCGTCTCACTTGTAAGAACATATACAGACAAATGAAAGACATGGAAAAAGAGATTCCAATCAAATGGTAATCAAAAAAAGCAGGGGTAGCTATACTAATGTTAGATAAAACAGACTTTAAGTCAAAAACTGTTAAAAGAGACAAAGAAGGTCACTATATAATGATAAGTGGATTAACAGAGCAAGAGGATATAACAATTATAAATAAATATGTACCCAACATTAGAGCACCCAGATATATAAAGCAAATATTAGATCTAAAGAGAGAGATGGACTGTAACATAGAGTTTGGGACTTCAACATACCACTTTCAGAATTAGACCAACTATATGGAAAATTAACAAACATTTACACTGCACTTTAGACCTAATGGACCTAAACAGAACATTTCATCCTACAGCTATAGAATACACTTTCTCCTAATCAGCACATGAAGCATTTTCCAGCACAGACCATATGTTAAGCCACAAAACAAGTCTCAACAAATTTTTAAAATAGAAATCACATCAATTATCTTCGCAGACCACCATGGGATAAAACAATAAATAAGTAGCATGGGCTGGGCGTGGTGGCTCATGCCTGTAATCTCAGCACTTTGGGAGGCCGAAGCAGGCGGATCACCTGAGGTCAGGAGTTCGAGACCAGCCTGGCCGGCATGGTGAAACCCCGTCTCTACTAAAAATACAAAAAATTGGCCGGGCATGGTTGCGTGCACCTGTAATCCCAGCCACTCGGGAGGCTGAGGCAGGAGAATTGCTTGAACCCAGGAGGCAGAGGTTGCAGTGAGCTGAGATGGTGCCACTGCACTCCAGCATAGGCGACAGAGTGAGACTCCGTCTCAGAAAAAAAAAAGAAGAAGAAAAAAAAAAGAAGTAGCATGAGGAACTTCGGAAACTGTACAAATACACAGATATTAAATAATATGTTCCTGAATGACCACTGGGCAAGGAAGGAGTTAATGAGGAAATTAAAAAGAAAACTTTTTTTGCAACAGGATCTCGCTCTGTTGCCTAGGCTGCAGAGCAGTAGTACGAACATAGCTCACTGCAGCCTCAACCTCCCAGGATCAAGTGGTTCTCCAGCATCAACCTCCTTAGTAGCTGGGACCACAGCTGTGTGTCACTATGCCCAGCTAATTTTTAATTTTTTGTAGAGATGGGGTGTTGCCATGTTGCTCAGCCTGGTCTCGGCTCCTGGGCTCAAGTGATCCTCTTGCCTCAGCTTCCCAAAGTGCTAGGACTATAGGCGTGAGCCACCACACATGGCCAAAAAGTCTCTCGAAACAAATAAAAATTAAAACACAACATATTGGCTGGACACAGTGGCTCATGCCTGTAATCCCAGTTCTTTGGGAGGCTGAGGCAGAGGATCACTTGAGGTCAGTAGTTTAAGATCAGCCTATGCAACATAGCAAGACTACATCTCTACAAACAACATTTTTTAAATTAGCTGGGCATGGTGGTGTGCACCTGTAGTCCTAGCTACTTGGGAGGCTGAGGCGGGAGTTCAAGGTTAAAGTGAGCTACAATCACACGACTGCACTCCAGCCAGAGTGATAGAGCAAGTCCCTGTCTCTAAAACAGCAACATACAAAAACCTATGAGATACAGCAAAAACAATGCTAAGAAGGGAGTTTATAGCAGTAAACACATCAAAAAAGTAGAAAGATTTCAAACAATCTATTGATGCACTTCAAGGAACCAGGAAGGCAACAAACCAAACCCCAAATTAGTAGAAGTTAAGAAATAATAAAGGTCAGAGGAGAACTAAACAAGCAGATAAAAGAGTAAGGCACAGTGGTGCAAGCCTGTATACCAGCTAATCTGGAGGCTGAGGAGGGAGGATTGTTTTCACTCAGGAGTTTGAGACCAGCCTGGGTAACATAGCAAGACCCCATCTTAAAAAACAAAACAAAACAAACAAACCTGGCCAGAGTAATCAGACAAGAGAAAGAAGTAAAGGGCATTGAAATTGGAAAAGAGAAAGTCAAACCATCGACGTTCATTGATGATATGATTGTATACCTAGAAAACCCTAAAGACTCATCCAAAAAGCTCCTAGATCTGATAAACAAACTCAGTAAAGTCTCAGGATACAAAATCAATGTACACCAATCCGTAGCACTGCTATATGCCAACAACGATCGAGCTGAGAATCAAATCAAGAACTCAATCCCTTTTAAAATAGCTGCAAAAAATAAAATAAAATACCTAGGAATATACTTAACCAAGGAGGTGAAAGATCTTTATAAGGAAGACTACAAAACACTGCTGAAAGAAATAATAGATGACACAAATGGAAACACATTCCATGATCATGGATGGGTAGAATCAATATTGTGAAAATGACTACACTGCCTAAAGCATTCTACAGATTCAATGCAATTCCCATAAAAATATCATCATCATTCTTCACAGAATGAGAAAAAACTCCTATAATTTATATGGAAGCCAAAGTGAGCCTGTGCAGCCAAAGCAATACTAAGCAAAAAGAACAAATCTGAAGGCATCACATTACCCCACTTTGACTGTACTATAAGGCTATAGCTACCAAAATAGCATGAGACCAGTATAAAAACAGGCACATAGACCAATGCAACAGAATAGAGAGCACAGAAATAAAACGAAATACTTACACCTACCTGATCGTTGACGAAGCATACAAAAACATAAATTGAGGAAGGGATACCCTATTCAATAACTGGTACTGGAAAAATTGGCAAGCCACATGTAGAAGAATGAAACTGGATCCTCATCTCTCACCTTATACAAAAATCAGCTTAAGATGGATCAAAGACTTAAATCTAAGACCTGAAACCATAAAAATTCTAGAACATCAGAAAAACTGTTCTGGACATTAGCTTAGGCAAACACTCATGACTAAGGCCCCAAAAGCAAATGCAACAAAAATAAAAATAAATAAATGGGACCTAATTAAACTAAAAAGCTTCTGCACAGCAAAAGAAATAGCAGAGATAACACACAGTGGGAGAAAATATTTGCAAACTATACATCTGAAAAAGGACTAATATCCAGAATCTACATTTGGATATTTGAACAAATTTGAACAAATCAGCAAGAAAAAAAAAACAAATAATCCCATCAAAAAGTGGGCAAAGGACACAAATAGACAATTTTCAACAGAAGATACACAGCCAACAAACATATGAAAAATGCTTAACATCATTAATTATCAGAGGAATGCAAATTAAAACCACAATGATACCACTTTACTCCTGCAAAAATAGTCGTAATTAAAAAGTCAAAAAACAATAGATATTGGTGTGGATTTGGTGAAAAGGGCATATTTTTACACTACTGGTGGGAATGTAAACTAGTACAACCACTATGGAAAACAGTATGGAGATTCCTAAAGGTAGAATTACCATCTGATCCAGCAATCCCACTATTTGGTATCTACCCAAAGGAAAAGAAGTTATTATATGAAAAAGACACGTGCACACACATGCATGTTTATAGCAGCACAGTTCACAATTGCAAAGATAATGGAACCAACCTAAGTAACCCACCAACCAACAAGTGGATAAAGAAAATGTGGTATATATACACCATGGAATACTACTCAGCCACAGAAAGGAAAAAAATAATGTCTTTTGCAGCAAGTTGAATGGAGCCGGAGGCCATTATTCTAAGTGAGGTCATCAGGAATGGAAAACCAAATATGGCATGTTCTCACTTATAAGTGGGAGCTAAGCTATGAGGATGCAAAGCAGAAGAATGATATAATGCACTTTGGGGATTTGGAGGGGGTGGTGAGGGATAAAAGACTACATATTGGGATAAAAGCAGTGTACATTGCTTGGGTGATGGGTGTGCCAAAATCTCAGAAATCACCACTGAAGAACTTATCCATGTAACCATGGATACTTTTGGTTACTTTTCCATGTAACCAAAAACCACCTGTACCCCAAAAACTATTGAAATAAAGAAAAGTTGGCTTTTAAAAGAGGATAAACAAAATGGATACTGTTAGCTAGACTAACCAAGAAAAAAAGAGACAACCTAAATAGAATAAGAAATGAAAAAGGAGACATTACAACTGATACCACAGAAATATAAAAGATTATCAGATATTATTAACAAGTAAACACTAATAAACTGAAAAACCTAGTGGAAATGAATAAATTCCTGAAAATATACAACCTACCAAGATTGAATAAAAAAGACAGAAAACCTAAACAGACCAGTAACAAGTAATGAAGCTGAAACAGTAATTTAAAAAATCTTCCAACAAAGAAATGTGCAAGACTGGATGGCTTAATTGCCAAATTCTACCAAACTTTCTAAGAACTAACACCAATTCTCCTCAAACTATTCCAAAAAATTAAAGAAGGAATTCTCCATAACTCATTTTATAAGGCCAGCATTACCTTGATACTAAAACCAGACAGAGACTCAAAAAAAAGTACAGGCCAACATCTCTGAAGAACATGCACACAAAACTCCTCAATAAGGCTGGGCGGGTGGCTCACACCTGTAATCCCAGCACTTTGGGAGGCCGAGGCGAGTGGATCATGAAGTTAGGAGATCAGGACCATCTTGGCCAATATGATGAAACCACGTCTCTACTAAAAATACAAAAATTAGCACCTGTAGTCCCAGCTACTCAGGAGGCTGAGGCAGGAGAATCACCTGAAGCCGGGAGGTGGAGGTTGCAGTGAGCCAAGATTGCACCACTGCACTCCATCCTGGGTGAAAGAGAGAGACTCCATCTCAAAAAAACAAACAAACAAACAAAAAACTCCTCAACAAATACTAGGAAACCCAATCCAACAGCATATCAATCCAACAGCATACCAACCATGATCAACTAAGATTTATCCCAGGGATTCAAGGATGATTCAACATATGCAAATCAATAAACGTGCTACATCACATCAACAGAATGAAGGACAAATACTGTATGACCATCTCAATAGATGCAGAAAAAGGATTTAATAAAATTCAACATCGCTTCATGATAAAAATTCTCAACTAGACATAGAAGAAATGTGTGTCAACATAGTAAAGGTCATATATAACACACAGTTAACATCATACAGAATGAGGAACAGCTGAACGCTTTTCCACTAAGAATTGGAACAAGACAGGGATGACTACTTTCAGCACTCCTAGTCAACACAGTACTGGAAATCCCAGCCACAGCAATCAAGTGAATGAAAGAAATAAAACACATCCAGCCTTATTGGCAATTTATATGCCTTATTGGCTCCATTAAACTTTTTAAAAACTTTAAATAAATAAATAAAAGCAATCCACATTGAAAAAGGGGAGGTCAAATTGTACCTCTTTGCAGATGATATAATCTTGTATCTAGAAGAACCTAAAGACTCCACCAAAAAAATGATTAGATCCGATGAATAAATTTGGTAAAGTTGTAAGATACAAAATCAGCATACAAAAATCAGTAGTGTTTTGGTTTTTTAAACTAGAGATGGGGTCTCGCTATGTTGCCTAGGCTGGTCTTGGACTTCTGGGCTCAAGTGATCCCCCCATCTTGGCCTCCCAAAGTGCTGGGATTACAGGCATGAGCCACAGTGCCCAGCCTCAAAAATCGGTAGTGTTTCTACACACCAATAATACACTAGCTGAGAAAGAAGTCAAGAAGGCAATCCCACTTAAAATAGTTACAAAAAAATTTAAATACCTAGGAATAAATTTAACCAAGGAAGTGAAAGACCTCTACAAGGAAAACTGCCAAACATTGATAAAAGAAACTGAAAAGGACACAAACTAATGGAAAGACATCCCAAGCATGTGGATCAGAAGAATTAATATTATTAAAATGACCATACTGCCCAAAGCATTCTACAGACTGAATACAACCTGTATCAAAATACCAATGCAATTTTTCACATAAATAGGAAAAAACACTCCTAAAATTCATATGGAACCAAAAAGAGCCCAAATAGCCAAAGGAATCCAGAGCAAAAAGAAAAGAGCTTGAGGCATCTGATTCTTCTCTTTTCGCCTTTATTAGTCTTGCTAGCGGTCTATCAATTTTGTTGATCTTTTCAAAAAACTAGCTCTGAGATTCACTGATATTTTTGAAGGGTTTTTTATGTCTCTTTCAGTTCTGCTTAGTTATTTCTTGCCTTCTGCTAGCTTTTGATTGTGTTTGCTCTTGCTTCTCTAGTTCTTTTAATTGTGATGTTAGGGTGTCAATTTTAGATCTTTCCTGCTTTCTCTTGTGGGCATTTAGTGCTATAAATTTCCCTCTACACACTGCTTTAAATGTGTCCCAGAGATTCTGGTACGGTCTTTGTTCTCATTGGTTTCAAAGAACATCTTTATTTCTGCCTTCATTTTGTTATTTACCCAGTACTCATGCAGGAGCAAGTTGTTCAGTTTCCATGTAGTTGTGCGGTTTTGAGTGAGTTTCTTAATCCTGAGTTCTAATTTGATTGCACTGTGGTCTGAGAGACAGTTTGTTGTGATTTCTGTTCTTTTACATTTGCTGAGGAGTGCTTTACTTCCAATTATGTGGTCAATTTTAGAATAAGTGCGATGTGGTGCTGAGAAGAATGTATATTCTGTTCATTTGGGGTGGAGAGTTCTGTAGATGTCTATGAACAGACATTTCTTAAAAGAAGACATACAAACGATCAACAGGAAATGTTCAACATCAGTAATCATCAGAGAAAAATCAAAATCATAATGAGGGGCTGGGCACGGTGGCTCAAGCCTGTAATCCCAGCACTTTGGGAGGCCAATGCGGGCGGATCACAAGGTCAGGAGTTTGAGACCAGCCTGACCAACATGGTGAACCCCCATCTCTACTAAAATTACACAAATAATTAGCTGGGTGTGGTGGCGTGGTGCCTGTAATCCCAGCTACGCAGGAGGCTGAGGCAGGAGAATCGCTTGAACCCCAGGAGGTGGAGGTTGCAGTGGGCTGAGGTCACACCACTGCACTCCGGCCTGGGCAACAAAGTGAGACTGTCTCAAAAAATATATATATTTTTAATATAATATGCAATATATTTTATATAAGCTATGTAATATAATCTATATTATATATAATCTATAAGTTATAATCTATACTATAATCTATAAATTATAATCTATATTAATCTATAATTATAACCTATATTATATAATCTATAATCTATATTATATAATCTATAGTTATATAATATATATAATTATATATAATATAGATAATATGTAACATACTATCTAGATTACTTTATAATATAGATTATATAATATATATATAGTGTGTGTGGTGTGTGGGAGTGGGGAGCAGACTTGTCTTGCTGTCTTTGTCAGAAATTCTAAGGGCTGTGTCTTTGTGGATTACCTTCTTTTGTTCTTCCTGCCAGAGATCATGTGAGGAGGATGTTGGGGGTAGGATTAGCTTGAATTTTTTTTTTTCATTACACTCTTCTCCTGTCTGCTCCCTGCTTAGCCCTCTGTTTTCTCATTCCTCTGGAGTTATCTTGGAGCAGCCCCTGTTGTTAGTTGGCTGGTCTTCAAAACTCTCATGTTTAGGGTTGACAATGTTGGGGGTAGGGGATCCAGCTTATTCTTTTATTTTCAAGTCCATTCTTGGGGCTGGTGGGGAGGCAGAATGCCCCTCCCTAAGCCCTTAGTGTGTGCTGAGCTTGCTTTTTGATGTTGGCAGTGGAGGGGGAACCTCCCCTCCAGTCTCCAGGGTGGTGACTGAGTTTCCTATATCAAACCCTTCAATGGGCACAAAATGGGAGTGCTTGATTTCAGGTTTTATTTTTTTCATGAATGTCCAAATCTGTGTTTCTCCCTGCCCTCCCAGACTGTGTGGTCAGTTGAAAGTGTCTGGTTTGTGTTCGTCTCTCCCTCATTTCCGGAGCAAGGCCTGAGACCCTGCCACATCTCCTATGCTCTGCATCCATGCCTCCTTTGGACATTAAAGGTTGACTGATGCAATAATAATAAATCATAATGAGGTCTCACTTTACATTAGAATACGTATTATTAAAAAGCAAAAAAAAATTACAGATGCTGGTGAGGATGTACAGAAAAGGGAACTCAAACTGTTGGTGGAAATGTAAATTAGTTCAGCCACTATGGAAAACAATAGAGAAAAAAACTAAAAATAGAACTACCATACCACCTAGCAATTCTTCTACTGGGCATTTATCCAAAGGAAATCAGTATACCAGAAGGATACATGCACTCCCATGTTTTTGACAGCTCTACTGACAGCAAAGATAAGGAATCAACCTAAGTGTCCATCAACAGATGAACAGACAAAGGAAATGTGGTCTAGATACACAATGGAGTACTATTCAGTCATAAAAGAGAGTGAAATCATGTCATTTACGGCAACATTGATGGATCTGGAGGACATTAAGTTAAATAAGCCAGGCAGAGAAAGACAAATACTGCATGTTCTCACTCATATGTGGGAGCTAAGAAAGTTGATCTCAGGGAGGTAGTGAGTAGAATGATAGCCATCAGAGGATGGGAAGGGCATATGGGTGGGAGTGGCTATGAAGAGAGGTTGGTTAATGGGTACAAACATACAGTTAGATAGAGTAAGTTCTAATGTTTGTTACAAAGTTGGGTGACTATAGTTAATAGTTAACAACAATGTATATTTCAAAATAACTAGAAAAGAGGACTTGGAATGTTCCTAATATATAGAAATAAATATTCAAGGTGATTGATACCCCAAATACCCTAAATTGATTATCACACATTCTATACATTTAACAATATCACATGTGCCCTATATAAATATGTACAAATACTATGCATTAATTAAAATTTAAAAAGCAAGACCAAGGTATGTGCTGTTAATAAGAAACCCATTTTAAATATTAAGGTAGGTTAAAAGTGAAAAAATAAGGGAAAAAAACAACAGTGCATGCAAATACTGGTAAACTCCAAACAAGGTCTGTCAGTAGTTTAGTAATAGTATTGTACCAATGTCAACTTCAAGGTTTTAATAATATGGTTACTTAAAATGCTATCTTTGGGGGAAGCTGGGTGAGAGTACACAGAACTCTCTGTATTATTTGTGTAATTTCTCATGTCTTTACTAGCATCTAGGAAACTGTAACAGACTAACTTATTAGATTGTAAATAGGGTAAACTCAAATAGCAGACTTAGCAATTTTGTTGAGAAAGGAAGGATGCTGATAGACATGGATTTCTGGATTAGGAAGGACAAGGCTCTGCAGGCCGGTTCAAGAAAATAAGACTCCCAAGATCCAGTAATGAATACGATTGCCCTACTTCTTCCCGTTTATATGCTGAGCTGCTAGAAGCAGGACTGAAAGAAGTCACCCAAATAATAACTTCATTGTTGCTCACTCTCTTCCAGGCAGAAAGAAGAAATGTTATGACAACAGAGCAGCAAGTCCCATGGTCCTAGCTAAAAGGCGGTACGGCTGTGACTGCTGAGATGGAGAGTCCTCAAAGGTAAATTAATGTGTCAGCAATGAAGGCTTTGCTATTTAATATAGAGCTTTGAGTGACCTGAAGACAGAAGTTAATTTGGTTGAATTGAGCATGGGTGGCCACTTAAAAGTGAGTGAAGGAAACACCTTGCCTAATAGTATAAAGGCAAACACCTGGTTCCTGTCAACAGTCCAACCTGGCTTATAATGAGGACAGGGCTCTGGGTGCCAGGGCAGCCAAGGCTGAAAGACTGCAGGGCAGAACACAGTGGGGTGAGCATGGACAGAAAGGAAGTTAGGATCATAATCCTGAAAAACAATTCTGAATGCCATAATCTCAAATATTGAAATACTGAAAGATCAAAGTCCCTGAAGTCTAAAAATCCAGAAAATTGCAATCCCAAAATTTCAAAATCTTGAAAACATAATGTAGGGAAAAATATCTTAAAAGTTATTTAAAAAGCATTTATTTACATTTTAAAAAGGGGATTTGAGAA
Organism: Homo sapiens; assembly: GCF_000001405.40. Classification (NCBI taxonomy): domain Eukaryota; kingdom Metazoa; phylum Chordata; class Mammalia; order Primates; family Hominidae; genus Homo; species Homo sapiens. The sequence goes on from NC_000009.12 coordinate 74,976,435, forward strand.
ACATAAAAACACTAGAGAACACTGTGTAGACCACTTCACACAATGAAATAGGCAATAACATACTTTTTGCAAGCATAAACACTCAGGCATACTAATGACAATTGCGTGGATGTAACAATTATGAGCAGATAAACTGTATTCATAAAGAAATGGGTGAAAAAGCTAAATATATAGAAGCATACACCCAGCTTTATAACTGCAGTCATCTGAAATACAGTGATAGACAACCTAAGTCTCCTGACGAGATCAATCAAAAACTTCAATGGGGGGGGCGGGCGTGGTGGCTCATGCCTGTAATCCCAGCACTTTGGGAGGCCGAGGCAGGCAGATCACTTCAGATCAGGAGTTCGAGACCAGCCTGACCAACATGGTGAAACCCTGTCTCTACCAAATATACAAAAATTAGTCGGGTGTGGTGGCAGGCATCTATGATCCCAGCTACTCAGGAGGCTGAGGCAGGAGAATTGCTTGAATCCAGTAGGTGATTACAGTGAGTCCAGATCACGCCACTGCACTCAAGCTGGGGCAACAGAGCAAGACTCCATCTCAAAAGGAAACAACAACAAAAAAACAAAAAACAAAAAACAAAACTTGGCTGGGCATGGTGGCTCACGTCTGCAATTCCAGCACTTTGGGAGGCCAACATGGGCGGATCACCTGGGGTCAGGAGTTCAAGACCAGCCTGGCCAATATGGTGAAACCCTGTCTCTACAAAAATACAAAAATTAGCCAGGCGCGGTGGTGGGCGCCTGTAGTCCCAGCTACTTGAGAGGCTGATGCAGGAGAATCGCTTGAACCCAGGGGGCGGAGGTTGCAGTGAGCTGAGATGGTGCCACTGCACTCCAGCCTGGGCGACAGAGCAAGACTCTGTCTTGAAAAAACAAACAAAAAAACCAAAAACCTTCAGTGGGTCACCACCACATACACATTAGCCCAAAGAGCCAAGATTTTCAGAAATTTTATCTTTGACAAATGCAGATGTACAAAGAGGACATCTCTTCCTTTACTGAGGAAGTTTCTACATTTTTACATACATGCATAATGCTTACACATGGTTAATGCTGTGATAATGTAGTTTGTGGTGTCAAATTTCTGATGTCGAAGGCAGCAGCAGAAAATTTGTCCCAGCTCTGAGAGGGACTAATTTGCCTTCTCTGTTCTCTATAGGCCCCTGGCTGATTGGACGGCTCCTGCCAACACTGAGGACAGATCTTTCCCACTTAGTCCACTGAGACTCACATACACGTCTCCCCTAGAAGGACTCTCACAGATACACTGAAAATAATGCCTTACTAGGTTTCTAGGTATTCCTTAATCCAGACAAGGTGACACCTAAAACTATGTCCATAAGTCCACTTCTTGTCAATTTGGCACCTATATGAATCCCCTTAAACTGTAATTTCCTAGTAGAGACAATAACAAGGTAATAGTTCTGCCTGTCGTGATGCAAGTACACTGCATACAACTGAAAACACATTAATCCCTTCCCCAGAATTTGTCTCACGGGATTTCAAAGATTTTAATCCATTGAAATTTTAGATGTTAGGGACTTTAGACCTTAAGGATTTTGGTATTTCAGGATTTCAACATTCAGGATTATGTATTTTGAGATTATGATCAGCACCAAAGTAAGGGGTCTTGGAAGCTGGACACTCATTGGATGCTGGAGATAGATGGGGGAAGAAGTAGCAGCAGTGCTCAGGTACTGAACCTGGAGACAGTGGTCAATGGAAAAAAATGCTGAGAATCAAATTTCTTTCCCACCACCACTGAGAAAAATAAAAACACAAGAGAACACTTTGCAGGCCACTCCACACATTGAAATAGGCAATAACATTTTTTTGCAAGCATAAACACTCAGGCATACTAATGACAATTGTGTGGATATAACAATTATGAGCAGATGAACTGTATGCCCCACCACCATTGCTCCTACTGTCATTGTAGACTAGCTTCCTCTGCCACCTGGAACTCCCAACTGGGGGATAACCTGATCTTTTGGAATCTGTGCTGTAGCACCTGATGCACATGTTAAACTTCTTGGTCTGTGTTCCTACAGGAAAAAAGGCACTTTAATTCAACTGACAGGGTTTGGACAGGGCTTGGAGTGGGGAAGGAAAACTGAAATTGTTAGGGGCCAGGGAGAGCTGAGCAGGCACGTCGAACAGTCAAAGCTTTAATCACTTACTGAAATAGCAAGAGGTTAAACTAGAGAAAGTGCCAACTCTCTTCTGTCCTATCCCAGCCCCCAAGTTTTTGATGAGGAGCTGGACCCCTCAAAAATAATGTCACCATGGTTCTTTGGACATATTCAATGTATGTATAATAGAATTCGTGGATTTTATGCCTGCACTTCTTGGTCTATATCTCATTCCATCTCACTTTCAAGGAATACGGCACAGACTGACCTCCCTCCCCAGGTGGTCCAGTATAAGTAATATAGGCCTCCAAGAGGAGAAGTTTCAAAGACTTAATGGCTGCCTGAGTACTCAGAGAGGCAACAGCTCAATACTAACAATCACAACAGCTGCCTGACCCAGCCACCACATACATCTTTATATGTTAACAAAAGAAGGCAGCTATTAATCTGCTAAGCTTTTGTTGAAACTTAATGTGACTTAACATGGGTCTTCTGACTCTTTGGCTTGACATCCCCATTTTGGGATGGGTCAACTTCGACTTGATGACTAACAAGGTGAAAAGTATCTAACAAGCCTTGCTAGTCAAAGAGAAATAGCATAGCTGGCCTGGCCCTAGCAGCTTTTTGGTCCTACATGAAAAAATGGCAGCTATCCTTTTGGAGGTAAACTGTACGGCCAACTCCACTGCATAAAGCAATCCCATTGGTTCAATGGGGCCCTTGACTTAGTTTCCCCTAAATTTCTGGGTCTACTTCATGAATTGTTTGGCTACAATGAAACATAATGGAGTCCAATGAGGAGCTGCTGCTGCTGTTCAGCTTCAGTGCCAGCTATGTAAATCCAAAAGCAGATGTGGCTGCTCCTCTCAATTACTAGAACTCAAGGCAGTCCTCATGGCTCTGGCCAATACTCTCCCTGATGAACCTCACTATGTTTTAATTAGGTTTGGAGCTGTTGCCAATGGCCTATCAGGTCTGCCACATGAAATCATATAGACTGTCAGATTAAAAACACTTCTCTTTGGCCATTAAACTCAGAGAAATTGCTTAACTGTCCCAATAATTAAGTAAATGAATATTCAAATTAGATAACACTTCTTATACAGGCATACCTTGGAGATACTGCAGACTCAGTTCCAGACCATCATGATAAAGTGAGTCACACACATTTTGAGGTTTCCCAGTGCATATAAAAGTATGTTTATACTATACTGTAGCGTATTAAATGTGCAATAACATTTTGTCTAAAAGAACAATGTACATACTTAATTTAAAAATACGTGATTGCAAAAAAATGCTGACACAGAGACATGACATGAGCACATGCTGTTGGAAAACGACACCAATACAGACTTGTTTGATGCAGGGTCGCCACAAACCTTCAATTTGTAAAAAATAAAAAAATTAAAAAAAAATACAGTATCTGCAAGGTGCAATAAAGCAAAGTAGAATAAAATGAGGTATGTCTGTACTGACAAAAATGAAAAGCTCAGCAATATCCAGTACTGGCCACAGAATGGATATACGTTACTTTTAAACACTGTTCCTGGCATGTAAATTGGTGCAGTCCTTCTGAAAGGCAACTTTTCACTGAAAATGCACATACACACTGACTGAAAGATCCCACATCTAAATAGGTATCAAAGAGAAAGAATCAAACATATATAAGAGGGATGTGCTAGCAGGTTAATAAAAGTGGGAGTAACATGCCATTAAATTTTACTTATGCCCTCACCCATTACCTACTATTATACTTCATTATAATTCCCAACAAACTTTTGGAATCTGTATCTGTACCTACCATTTTTTACTGTTTTCCCCAGGATTCCACGGAAATCTTTTTCAAAGGGTCACTGTAAGATAATTAAAACTAATGTCCTGTTAACAATCCTCATTTTTTCCATCACTATATAGCAGTCAACACAGACTGAAATTACATTTATGGTAATCGTCTATCATGTGCTTTCATACACACAAAAATATATATAAAAGCTCATATGACCTAATAAACCATCTGAAATAGATGGTATTAATCCTCTCTTACAGATGAGGAAATAAGCCAAAGAGTGGCTTGCCTGAGATCACAATCATTCAGGAAAATGAACCCAGAAGATCTAAGTGCTCATCCCACTGATGGCTGGTCCTAGAACTGTCTTCTACTAGTTCCTTTTATAGTTCTTTTTCCATTATTTAACAAAACTGAAAATCAAGATTATTCATTTTCCTCAATGGATTCTAACTTTATTACAGTGAACTTGAATGAAACAAAGTGAAAATAGTTAGTATAAGGCCTGGCATATTATAAGGCGAAGTATTCATGTTACTGACTTCTTAGAAGCATATAAAAATAGGCTAATCCAAGAGTTCAAAAGTATATATGCTCAACTCATTAAAATCCCCACATCTATAGTTACATTAATTTAGATGAAAACCAAGCAACTATCGTTTCATAGCAATTGGCAGACTTTAATATTCAAGAAAAATTAATTTCATCATACACATTAAAAATATAGGAAATTTCATGCAGACATGAAGCTTCCAATTCAGCTTTTGTGGCAACTTTTAGAATGAGAGTTACATATAAATACAGTACATTTTACAGTTACCAAACTTCATAATTTTATACTGTGATTTTTACAGCTTCTCCTTATATTGTACATGTTCCACCTTGCTCACTTGATTAGCATACCCTATATCTGCACTGCTTCAGAATATAGAAATTAAACAAAAAAACATAAGCACAGTGGACTATCTCCTCCCATTTCATAAAGTAAATGAAAATGTTTGTGTATAAAGCTAATTTAAGAAAAACATTTTAAACTTTAAGGCTTACATACTTTAGTAGCTAGGACTAAAATTAAGAAATACAAAGCTAAATAAATCCTCCAGTGATACTTCTATTATTGATTGATACCACATTTTCAAGTTTAGAATATATTAACTGCAAAAGCTGTAAGAAAAGAAGTGATGCAAATTTGTATAGAACATTTAAAAAACAATATTCATGATATGAGGGATAAATTAACAAATGAAGTAACTGATTTCAGAATTAACTAAAACATATGCTATAATTTAGAAATTTAACATTATTAAAGAAAACCTAATAGAAAAAAAATTAATTAATAAAGCCAACCCACCAGTGTCAACCTGTTTTTGCCTGTGACAAAAACAAAGATCATTTGTTTTGATACAAGTTGTAAAAAAGTGAATACTAGTCAGTGAATAAAAAGCATGTCTAAGCCATTGAAAAACAGCATGCATTCCTTTCTGTTCGATTGATTTTTAAAAAATACTTATGTACTTTGCAAGTTTTCTTCTTTTAAAACAATAATTTGAGTTTTTTTTTTCTTCCTTGCCACTAAATTCAAACTCATTCATGTAAGTAATAAGAATTTCCACCAAATGAACATCTGCTAAGTATTGAGGGACACAAAAAAGAGAAATCTTAAAAAAAAAAAAAAAAGGTTACAGTCTTCCCAATTTTGACATGTCAGATTAACTACATGAAACCCTCTATTGCATAGTGAGAGTAAAGGTCACAAAAGTCCCATCACTGTACACGGAAAAGGTCCCCCCAACTAGTAAGATGCCAAATAGGGTAGTGACTCCCCAGCCTAAGTGACAACAAAGGTCTAAAGATTTACAAGTAACTTTTCCTATTAAAACATGACATTTATGCGACCAGCACATTACTGAGATTAAATCCATCTAATTTAAATTGCCACAGAGGTCATTTAAAGCAATCACAATCATCTGTGAAAATATTCAAGAAGAGTTCTTCCTTTTCTCCAAGAAAAGGCTAAAACATTAGTCATCTCTACTTTCCAAGCTACTGGAAACAGAATATCATACATTAAAAAATACAAAGGAAAACTCCCTCCAATAAAGATCTGCTAGAGGTAGAAATTTAAAGCAGCATATACTGTTTAAGCTCCATCTATCAGGGAACAAAATTGGTATTAATCTGAAATTACATGATGGCTGCTGCTTACAATATTGAAGACACAGACCACGGGCAGTAATATATCCCTGAATTTCATAATCAAAATTCCCCACATTAATACTATTATGACAGTTTTTCCTAGTATATAATTTTTTTAATGAAAAAAGTGCTTGCTTTCATAATCCAGATATTCTAAAGAAAAGACATTATTGTAAACATCACACTGTCAAACTCTGTATTCATTTAGAGTCTGAAAATCACATATTTCAAATGGGTAAATTTTATTCTTATTTTCTCTGTTTCCTAGCACTACTTTTAATAAAGGCTTTTTATTTCTCACTTTGAATGTTGAGATCTCGTATATTTCAAAGTGATCCATGATGAGTATGCTTTCATAAAGTGTTCAGTTTATTGTGGCCAAAAGACTTTGATATTTCTGTTACTTGAATATATTTTACCGGCCTGTGATGCTATTAAATTTAACATTTCATAAAAAAGAAATGTTTGATGCTTCTTTAAGTTCATCTGAGCCAGAAAATACAAAATTAAATTAATCTGAATGATAAAATAGACACAGGCCAGGCGCGGTGGTACATGCCTACAGTCCTAGCTACTCAGGAGGCTAAGGCTAAGGCAGGAAGATCGCTTGAGTCCAGGAGTTTGAGGTTACAGTGAGCTATGATCGTGCCACTGCACTCCGGCCTGGGAGACAGAGCGGGATCCTGTCTCTGAAGAAAAAAAAAAAAAAAGACATATTTTACGCATAGTTTTCTTAGATTGAAAGTGAACAAAGTCCCAACTCCAGATGTTGAATATGACTGAGGATCCTTAGACTCTTCTAAAAGTTACATGTGCAATGCATACAAAACAACAAAAAAAGGAAGATTATTATGTACTTCAATACTATTAGTCATTAATTCGGCAGACTTGCAATGGACAGCATCATGAAGACACTGGAGATTAGGTTTTTTTCCTACTGAAACACAATTCTGGGCTTCAAGGAAAAAGTATACTTCAAGACATTTCCTCCATTTTTACTTGTGTAGTACAAATCTGCATGGCATAGTATATTTCTGAAAAAGCAATAGACATATTAAGAAAATAGACACTATTTCTAAATTTCGTTAGGAATAAGAAGGCACCACTGATTTGAGGTTGTGTCCTGTCATCACTGATAGTTGATTTTGAGTCGTTGATTTCAGCATTTGTTCTTACTAAACTTTTTTCCAGGTGGTATCACTTGAGACCATTATTGTGGCTTACGGACCACAAACAAGACACATTCATAGTAGTATTTCATCATAGAGAGATCATTCACAGTATATGTTGACAATACAGATTCTTTTTCCACCTGCAATGCAAACAATAATCATAATACTATGACAGTCATCATGACCACACCACTAACAAATTCTGAGCACATATGTATCAGTGGCAGGCACTATTTTAAGCATATTCATTTATTACATACAACTACCCCCATAAGAGAGGTACTATTAATATTAGTAGTCTCACTTTACAAAGAACAGTCACACTAGTAAGTGGTGGAACTGAGATTCAAACTCAGGCAGTCTTGAGCTCTGAACTACTATAATATGTTGCTTCTCGTCATTCTTAAAAACAAACCTATTGTTTCTAAAATGGAATGCTTCTAAATAAATGAACTGAAACACAATAGCCAAAATATCACAAAACTTTATAGTAATGCACATGATTAAAAAAAGATGAAGCAGTACACAAGGACATATTGTGAATATCCCTCTTACACCTGCCCTCCGACCCCCTTTTGTTTTCCCCAGAGCCTACTCTACTTTCTATCAGTGAGAGTCTGTAAGATCAGTATTATAATGATCGGCTACCATTTATTGAAAGGCTATTTCACCAGAAAGTAGTTTTCCCTTTATGTACACATTATCCCAAATCCTTATAATTCTGAAAACTAAGGAACACAGGTCAAGCATCCCTAATCTGAAAATCTGAAACGCTTCAAAATCCAAAATGTTTTGAGCGCCTACATAATGCCACAAGTGACAAATTCCACATCTGACTTCATGTGGCAGGTGGTCAAAATTTTAAAATATTGTATCAAATTACCTTCGGGCTATGCTTATAAGGCATATATAAAACATAAATGAATTTCACATTTAGACTTCAGTCCCCTCCCAAGATATGTCACGTATATGCATATATTGCAAAATTGGAAAAAAATCCAAAATCCCAAACATTTCTGGTCCCAAGCATTTTGAATAGGGGATACTCAACCTGTATTATCTTCCCTTTATAGATAAGAAAACAGAGAATTCAAATAGTCACTAACAGCCATGATATCAACACTTCTGTTGAGGTGCTTTGGGAGTTAAACTTTGGCAATATTTTATTCCATTCTTACCTCTACCTTGAATCCATACTGCAGAACAACGTTTTTTATATCCTCATAGCTCAATTCTATGGAAAGTTCATTTGCCAGATTTTCAAAGTGGTACAGCAGAGGACCTATGGTTTAAAGATACTATGAATTACTTGAATATAAACATACACTCATAGCTGTGTTACACTGAATTCCAAGTTGAGTAAGTTAGGTACTGGATGAGACAAACATAAAAAGTCTGGGCATTTGCTGAAAATGCCCAGACCTCTGAAAATTTGGCCTAGTATCTCAAGAGTTGGGCCTACACTCATGAGGAGTGAGTCCCTCTGGCATACCTGCCTTGCACTGTGATTCACACCATGGGCCTTCACCTTTAACTTGCAAGTTACTGAAGGAGTAGATGAATCAGAGAATGCTAAGTCCTCAAATTCCAAATGTATTCTGCAATTATAATTCCATAAGCAAATGCAAAACTGCAGTTACCAACTGTATATCATATGAAAACAAAGGAGGAGCCTCAAGTTAACCTAGGTAGTAAAAGGTGGACAGGAGTTATATGGAAGGTTTCCTGAAAGGAAGAAGTAACATTAGAGCTGGCTTTTATTTTTTTAAGTGCACTGTTCATATCCCAGCTCTAACATCTAATAATTGTGTGTCTGTGGGCAATTCAATAACTCCACTTCATCTACAATATGACTTTTTTTTTTTTTGAGACAATCTCACTCTGTTGCCCAGGAAGGGTGGGGTGCAGTGGCATGATCTGGGCTTACTGCAACCTCCACCTCCCAGGTTCAAGTGATTTTCCTGCCTCAGCCTCCTGAATAGCTGAGATTACAGGAACCTGTCGCCACGCCAGGCTAATTTTTATATTTTTAGTAGAGACAGCGTTTCACCATGTTGGCCAGGCTGGTCTTGAACTCCTGACCTCAAGTGATCCACCAGCCTTGGCCTCCCAAAGTGTTGCGATTACAGGCGTGAGCCACCGTGTGTGCCCTGTAGTATGACTTTAATGTGAGATAATATGTATTACACCTGTCATAAACAAGGCACTAAGTAAATGGCAGGTATTACACTGTTTATATGACATCCTCCCTTTACTATTTGCTCATTCTATACATTCAAGAAATGCACATATGATTTAAAGCATGATTTTCAAATCTTTCAATCTATCATTTTGCCCAATCCATCAACCTCATCCAGGAACCATTATCACTTAACACAGTTATATATACCTCAGGCTAATCTAGACAATCTTCTCTTTACCTTTCATTGGGTTAATTATAAATCCTGCAACCAGCTCTCTACTCCTACTCCCCATACAATGTGCTAATCATGGAAGACAGAAGTATTTAATAACAAGACAAAGGTTCTGCTACCAAGAGGCTTAACATTCTGTGGATCACAGGGTAAAAAAGTTTTTCTTTCTCTCTCCTTTCTGTATCCTACATAAACGACTAGAAAAAATGACCATGAATATAATGTATATGTTAGTGCTACTTACAAAAGATAACAATGGTTCCTTATCAAACTACTCTATCAAGCTGAAATTTGTTATATTAGTACCAGTAAAAATGATTGTTTTCTACCATTTCCTGAGCACTGCTGTTTCCTAGACTACCCAAAGCTTTTATAAGAATGCAGAGCCTCACAGCAGAGTCTTTCCAGCTTTTAAAGATTATGCTGTTCCTGTTCCATTAAGAGCCTCCAATAACATAGTTTTATTATCTCTACATACATACATATATTCCAATGATTTTTACATACTTAGACCATTTTTACCTCTAGTCATGGTGTGTTCCACCTAGAAAGCTCCAACCCTCCAACTCAAGCTTTAGCCGTGCTTCAAAACCTTGCTGAAATCCATCCAAGTCTTCATCCCTACTGCTCATTCTTCTTAATGTGGCATATTTTAACACTCATTTAATGCTGTGTTGCATTGCTCAGTGAAAATTTTTCAGGCAATTAGCACAGTTTTCTCACTAGATTACAAGTTATGTAAGTCAAGGAACACATCTTAAGTTGCTTTTGAACCCACCACAATGCCTAACTTAGTGCTGAATTTATAAATTTTACCAAAGACAACAGCTGGAGTGTATATTTTTAGTCTTCTAATACAATGGTACTTTGACAAATATCCTTGTGCATATTTTAGATTATCCCTTACAAAGATGTTTCTTGAAGGCCAGAGAATAAACATTTTTACTGACCTGATTCAGAATGCCAAAAATGCTTTCCCAAAGAGTTATAAGTTTTCACTCACAATTGCAATAAGTACTTATTTCAGCATCTTATATTAAATTGTGGGAATGCAATAGTACAGTCACTTTGGAAAACACCTTGCCAGTTTCTAAGTTATAGATACACTCACCATATGTGACCCAGCAATTCTGTTAGGTACGTATTTACGCAGGATAAATGGAAATTTGCAGCCACACAAAGATTTATACTCATATTTAATGCAACTTTATTCTTAATCATAATAATTTGGGAATAACCCAAACGTCCACCAACCAGTGAATGGATAAACAAAATGTAATATATCAAATGGAAAACTAGTCAACAATAAAAAAAGACCACCACAACAGTACATGCAACAAAATGATGAATCTCAAAAGTGTTATGCTAAGAAAGCCAGAGACAAAAAGCAGCATACTGTATGATTCTATTTATATGACATTCTAGAAAAGGGAAAACTATAGTAACAGAATCCAAAGTAGTGACAGCATGGTATTAGGAGTAAGAGGAGAGAATGGAGTACAAGGGGACATTTTGGGGTGATGGAAATGGGAAGATTCCCTGTCTTGATAGTGGCCATGGTTACACAATTATCCAGTTTTCAAAATGCATCAAACTGTACATTTGTAAAAAGGGTGAATTTTATTATATGTCAATTATATCTCCAAAAAAATCCAACTTAAAAAAAAAACACAACAAGAATTTTTATTAAACAAAATATTTGCTAATTTGATATGGGGAAAATTATATATAATTTGAATTTGCATCTCTTTGAGGCTGAGCAGTTTTTCATATTCACGACCTAGTTGCCCATTCTTTAAACAAATGTTTACCAAGCACCTAGCTAATGTCTGGCACTGGATATATATGAAGATGAATAACAGAGACACATTCCTCAAAGGGTTCTTTATTTTCTCAACTCTCATGTCTCTTCGTTCTTTTTTTCTTTTTTAATTTTTAATTATTTAACTTTTTTTTTAGAGACAGTGTCTTGTTATATTACCCAAGCTGGATTAGAATTCCTGGGCTCAAGCAATCCTCTTGCCTCAGTCTCCCAAATAGCTGGGACTACAGGCATGCAACACCACACGCAGCTTTCTTCATATTCTTTTAGTGGCCATAACAGAAGGAGCAAAGATATGTTTTTTTCTTTGATTATAAGATCAAAACTAGGAAGCTGAGATAACATGAAAAAGCATTAAAAAATTAAAAAATCACCTATAAGTCTAACATTCAGAGTAAGCACTTGAATATTTATCTCCTTGCAGTCTTTCCTTGATGTACAGTATATTCCATATACAGTTTTACATCTTATACTTCATTAGGAACATTTCTCTATTTCATTATTTCTAGAAAATAGTTTTACTGTATGAATGTCTTATGACTGTCCACTCCATTACTGTTAGAAATATAAGTTCACTCTAAGTTCTTGCTGAGTATGTCTGTCCATTTCATCAGTCTTTAGTCCGCCCATATCTGATTATTTGCCTCTGACAGACTTCTAGAAGTATAATTAATCTAATAAACATAGGTAATAGTGGATTAATTATGTAACAGGACAGATGGCAAATAGTTGAGGCTTTGTGTCCCACTTACAGTGTCTAGCATATATTCTTATTTGTGTTTTTCCCCATTACCCTTTAAGAATGTAAGAAATACTTGTAGTGGTAGGGCCATACAAAAATAGGCTACAGGCCAAATTGGGCTGTAGTTTGCCAACCCCTGACTAAATGTATGAATATTTAAGGTTTTCCCACACACTATTTTATAACATGTTACTGTTTTTCTAGAAGAAAGTCATATCATTTTACATCCCCACTAACAGAACAAGAGCATATCCCATCTCACTGTACTTACCTAAGCTTTAAGTAAGCAAATTTAAAAACTTAGTGAATATGATAGGTGAAAAATGGTAGCACATTTATGTTTATTTACTTAACAGTGAGAATGAACATTTTTTTCTGTATATAGGTTGTTTACATTTATTCTTTTTTTCATTTTTTTACTGAGTGTTGGAGTTTTGCTCTGTCACCCAGGTTGAAGTACAATGGCATAGGCATAGTTCACTGCAGCCTTGAATTTCTGGGCTCCAGTGATCCTCCCACCTCAGGTCCCAAGTAGCTGGGACTACAGGCACAGGCCACTACACCTGGCTAATTTTTAAACTTTTTTTTTAGAGATGAAGGGTCTTGCTGTGTTGCCCAGGCTGGTCTAGAAATCCTGGCCTCAAGTGATCTGCCTGGCTTGACCTCAGGAGTTGTCAGGATTACAGGCATGAGCTACGTCATCCAGTTTTTTTATTATTAAAATAACTTGCATATTTATGTTGTACAGCCTATTTCATTGCTGGGTAGTTTTCTCTTTGTTCCCCCTTTAAAGAATTTTTTTAATCTAAAAATATAGTTTACTGCTGATATGGTTTGCCTTTGTGCCTCCACCCAAATCTCATCTCAAATTATAATCCCACATGGAGGGAGGGACCTGGTGGGAGGTGACTGGATCATAGGGGTGGCTCCCCCCATGCTGTTCTCAGGATACTGAGTTCTTGCAAGATCTGATGCTTTAAAAGTGGCAAATGCAAATTCCTTTGGGGAAAAACACTTCAACCCAGGCCTTAAGAAATCCAAAGTGCGATTTCTCATGAACAATCCCCAATAAACACTCAAAGTCAACAGCACAGAGAAACAAGGAATCATGAACAAGAACCAAGAAAAGCAAGAGAAAGCAGAAAATGACCTGCAAAGACTTGAGATGTCAGAATTATCAGAAATAATATGCTCAGTATTTTCAAATAAAAGACTATCGGTCAGAAGAAACTATCCAGAGTGCAGCATGGCGAGAAAGATAGCAAGAGAAGTGGTTGAGATATATGAAAGCTACCATGAGAAGTTCTAAAATATATTTGATTGCATTTCCAGAAGAAACAGAGAAAAAGAATGAGGCAGAGGAAGTATGTGAAGAAATAATGGCTATTGTTACATATTTTAATGCTAAACCTATGATTGGTGAGAGGGGATCCCCCCGCAAAGCTGAGAATTTTTCACAACTGATAAGGTCAATTCATAGACTTAAGAAGCCTAACAAACTGTGCACAGTATTAAAAAGAGAACTCCACACCTAGATGTAATATTAGACCTGATAAAACTACAAGGTAAAAATCTTAAAAAAACAGAATACCTTCAGAGGAGCAACATTTTAAAAAGCTGAATTCTCAACAGCAAAGACGGAAACTAGAGGCCACTGGGTGTGATATATTCTAAGTGTTGAAAGCTACCTGCCACCTTAGTATTTTATACTGAGTGTTGCATTGGAACTAAAGTTATCAGTATGAACTTACGATTTTGTCTGTATGTTTGTGTGTATGTATGTGTGTGTGTTTAGTTTTTCTTAAGGCCCTCCTTTGATGATTTTTACATACACGCATATACATGATTTTTACAGACGGACATATACATATATTTCCTACCCTGTTTGCCAAAAAGGCCTAGACAAAATACCACTTCGGTGGTAGGAACTAGATTTTCCATTTCTACAAACCATTCCCCATTAAAAGGAACTAGGAATCCTTGGAAATAATGGCTGGTCAGACAAAGTACAAGATGGGCTTGGAATATCTGGTTGTTTCACAAAGGAGGTACCAAACAGTGACAGGGATATGTCGAAAGAACAGGAACTAGCTTAAAGGGGGTTGCCAAACCACTTGCCAAATCTGTGACAGGCGGATTTAAACCATTTACACCTGTAAGGCTCTAAAAGTTCTGGTTAAGAGAGAAAGATTGTTTGACTGGATAGTAAAAATGTACTGTAGGCTGTTTGTAAGAGACACACCTAAAACATAAAGATTGCCACAAAAAGGCTGAAAAATCTAAAAAGTTAGGCATAAAGATTTAAGAGACAGAAAAAGATACAAGAAACAGTTATTAATTTTAAAATAAGCTCATATAGTGATATTGACATGCCCACTCCAAGAAATGTGACTTGCATCTGTGCAAAACATCTGGAATTCAAACCTTGGTAAGTTTTTTTTTCTTTTTTTTTTTCCAGAGGGAGTCTCGCTCTGTCGCCAGGCTGGAGTGAAGTGGCACAATCTCAGATCACTGCAACCTCTGCCTCCCAAGTTCAAGCAATTCTCCTGCCTCAGCCTCCCGAGTAGCTGTGACTACAGGTGTGCGCCACCACACTCAGCTAATTTTTGTATTTTTAGTAGAGACGGGGTTTCACCATGTTGGCCAGGATGGTCTCAATTTCTTGACCTCGTGATCCGCCTGCCTCACCTCCCAAAGTGCTGGGATTACAGGTGTGAGCCACCATGCCCGGCCAAACCTTGGTACGTTTTATAGGCAGGGTAGGGGTTGGAGATGGCTTGGGCTGACGTTCACTGCTTGAGCATTTTCCAAAGTTTTTAATTAATCCCCTTCTTTTCTGCCCTACATTTCGCCCCCATTCTATATGAGGACACGCTTTCCTAAATCCTGCTCCTTTCCTATTTACTTTTTCTAGAGAATTAAACTTATGGTCTCTCACCTGAGCATGGAGTGGAAATGGGCATATAAGGTAGGCATCTTGATTATAGAGGAGTCAACTGTTCAATATATACAGATTTTCAAGTTAGGTTTTTCCATACAGCACCTCGTTTTCCAGAGTTATTCGGGTAAGGTGGCTCTCACATGTGTTTTTCTTCGCAAAACTTACCTATCTACCCCAACTTCTAAAAACTGGCACATTATTTTGTCCCCCAGTAACATGCCTGCCATTCTTTGTCCATGTGTTTTATATCTTTTTATATTTTTACTACTACTATAATGAGGAAAGGGCTGTATGTGTTCAGTCATCTATCTTTTAAAGGGAATCTCGTTTTAAAAAATTCTAGGCCAGGCACAGTGGCTCACGCTTGTAATCCCAGCACTTTGGGAGGCTGAGGCAGGTGGATCACCTGAGGTCGGCAGTTCAAGACCAGCCTGGCCAACATGGTGAAACCCCATCTCCACTTAAAATACAAAAAACAGCCAGGTGTGGTGGCGCACGCCTGTAACCCCAGCTACTTGAGAGGCTGAGGCATAAGAATCGCTTGAACCCAGGAGACAGAGGTTGCAGTGAGCCGAGATGGTACCACTGCACTCCAGCCTGGGTGACAGAGTGAGACTCCATCTAAAAAAAAAAAAGAAAAAAAAATTCTGTAGCTTCATAATGCTCTAAAATCTGATAAGACCTATCTTTCAGTACACTTTACAAAGATCTCCTTTGGTACTTTTACCAGATGTAGTTACATTTTAATTCTTCAGATGTAGTTAGATTCATTTTATTAATTCTTCCAGATGTAGCTAAATGCCTGCCCTCCACTACCTGACTCCCAAATTTATCAGTGGATACATACACACACACTTTCTTTTTAGAAGAAATTATAAATAAATGTGTTTAAGGAGTGCTGGTCAGGATGAAAAACTGAAAAAGGGAATTCACAGGCATTCTTTTGTTCTTTGCCAAAATCATAGCCTTACCCAAAGGACATATGCATAATAGTTCCCTTAAAAGGCTTACTAGCTTTCCTTAAACTGGGTAGTGTTAAAGAGTCCATCAAATCCTCCTTAATTAAAGCATTTGTAAATTAATGATCCCCACCAAATCTGATTTCATGCAGTTTGGGCAACATTTTCATATATAATTTTACCTCCAATGTCATTTGTTCCAGAATGGCTGGCCATTACATTTCCCATTATATATGAATATATTGATGTTCTAGTCTACCTAAGCAGGGTTAGGGTAAAATCATCCCCAAGAGGTTGATCTCTCAGTTTACAGGGTAAATTAAGCCTCCAGGTCTATATAATTAAAGCCAAAACCATAAGAATGTTATGAATTTACCAATATAGATGGCACTTCATCATCTCTTCGAGACATCTTAGTATGTTCCCTTTTTCAAATTTTGAAACAATACATTCATACATACATGTAACAGTCATTAATACCCATTGTTTGCCAGGCTTTGTACCAGGTGACTAGGAAGCATTAGATCTTTGCCCTTATGGAGCTTAGAGACTAGCAGTGGAAACAAAAGCATATGGGTGCTAATACCAAACTGAAGTATATGTTACAGCAGAGTCTCTTAGAACATAAGAAATACAGAATACTTAACCCAACCCGAAAGGATCACCTGAGCTAAGTGTTTAAGAACACATAAGGACTAACCAAGGGAAAACAGAAGAGAAAGAAAGGGCTAAGTCAAAGGACTGGCACTTGAGGTCAGAGAAGGGGTGGTAAAAAATAATCCTGAAGGTAAAAAACATAATCCTGAAGAGTTTAGGTTTTCCAGAAAGCTAGAATTTCATGCAGGGAGTCTTACAGGAACAGATTTGCATGTTAGGAAGGTCACTGATGATTATGTGGAGAAATGAAAAGGGCCGAAGACAACTTGAAGGCAGGGGCGTCCTTAAGGAAATTACTACAGTAATCCTAATGCTAATCCAGGCAAGAAACCATGAAATTGGAGCAATGGTTCTCAACTGGGGATGACTCTGCCAACACCCTCCACCCCCGGAGGGCAACATTTTTCAATATCTAAAGACATTTTGGTTGTCAAAACTGGGAGGTACTACTGGAGTCTTAGAGGCCAGGAAGGCTGTTAACCATCCTACACTATACAGGTCAGACCCCCACTTCCCTCACCACTCCCACTGAAGAATGATCCAGCCCAAATGTCAAAACCACAATCGAGAAACCCTGGAATAGAAGGATATTCAAGAGCGATTAAGTAGCTTTAGGAGATACAACTTTTAGACTGACTAGAGACAAACAGCGAGGAAAAAGAGAGGTCCTATTGACTGTTTGTGTCCCCCTGCCTCCAAATTCACATGTTGAAGCCCTAATCCCCAGTGTGGCTGTATTTGAAAGTAGGACTTCTAAGGAAGTAATTAAGGTAAATGAGGTCGTAAGGGTGGGGTCCTCATCCAATAGGATTAGTGTCCTTATAAGAAGAGACACACCAAAGAGCTCACTCATGCTCTCATTCACTCCTTCTCCCTCTATGCACAACCAAAGAAAGGCTATGTGAATACACAGCAAGAGGGTAACCCCTGCAAATCAAAGGAAGAGCCCTCACTAGACACCAACCTGGTGAGCACCTGGAATTCCAGTCATCAGAACTGTGAGAAAATAAACTTGTTATTTAAGCCACCCAATCTGTGGTATTGTTATGGTAGCCTGAGTGACCTAATAAAAGGGGTAACGAAAGGCTCCCAGTATTTTTCTTCAGGGTAACCTGAGTAGATGATTAATAGAAAAGATATTGGGAGGCATGGAATCATTTTCTGTTTTGTTTTGGCTTTTTTTTGAGATGGGGTCTCAGGGCATGTTGCCCAGGCTGGTCTTGAGACACAAGGATTTTGAAGTATCTGTGGTACACCCAAGTTGGACATACTGGCTTGGAGCACAAGAGAGATGTTTGGACCAGAGATACAGATTGGGAATCCAAAGAGTAGGAAAAGCCATGAGATTAGGTAGGAGGAATATGGAGTCAAAAATGAGTACATGGCATAAAAAATGAAAAACACAGATTAGATGCCCAGAACACAGTAACATTTAAAAGAAAGCTGATTCTGAGACTTTTTTTTTTACATTCTTTAACTTATACATGCAAAAGATGTGTAAGTTAATACTTTATAAAGTACTAACCTTCCAAATAACTATTTTTAAGGACTGTGTTTCTCCATTATTACAATTTTCAAAATTGTTTTGAGACTCCATAATGGAATTAGCTCTCCTAATTGACTTCCTGTTAACCAACATGCTCCATTACTTCTGATGCCCATGACAGATCATAAGTCACACTATAGTACATCTACTCTTATCAAACAGTATACTTATCAGGAGCCAACTTTATGTGCTTCAGGTAGTTACAATTATTGTATTATATAACTTAATAAAATATTCATAAACCAATAAAACAAATGTTAAAAAAAAAGCTGTTTCTATGAAAGTCACATGCTCTGGAAATACATAAAACCTTACCATAACTCAGTAATGGGGGTCAAAAAATTTAATTATATAAACACAGGGTCATGTTAATGCTAACTTACAAATTAACTGAGGGTAATCAAGAAATTGGCTCTGGGCTTCAAGCCTGTCTTTGCCACATGTAAGCTACAGGACTGTTCTGCTAGTTATTTAACCCAAGACTCTAAGTCTCTTCAACTATAACATAGTGCCATTTCAATATAGGGCTGCTTTGAGATTCCACAAGGTATTTATAAGGGACCAACACAGTACCTAACCCACAGTAAGCAAATACCCAGTAGGTAATATCTTTCCATTTTTCCTTGGGAAAAATTTCCCAAGGTAACTACTTTTAAAGAAGACTTACAGTTTGGGATATTTATTTTATTATGATTGCATTGTACAGCTGCTTTCATCTGGTCCTAAGGAATTCTTAAGAGAAGTTTGCAAAAGACTTACTACTACCTCCAGGGCTTAGTCCCAAATGGCAAAATTTCTGGTAAATTAAAATTAAAAAGAGAGTAGGTGTCAGAAATCAGTCACAAAACTAGACCCACCCGGAAGGCCAAGGGCTCAAGACCATGTACGTTATGTCCTTTTATGTAGTATAATAATCCTTATCTTGAAAACCTTTATGTTCTAGTCATGATGTCTTTCTGAACACAGATTATATATCTCACGAAAGAATACATGTATATCTACCTGAATATTATCATTATACCCCCTTTATTTTAAAAAGGAGTAAAATGGCAATTTCCTTTAGATTCTGGACTGGAGGGACCATGTTATAGTCAACATTTAATTTCTAACATCGAGTAGTAAGTAGAATGCAGTAAAAAAAAATTTTGCATAAAAAAAATTGTGTTTCTATTCTTTCTTAAACTCAAGGTAATCACAGAAGTTATCACACCTACACCCTTCCCAGTATATGGATGTACTAGGGAGGAAGATTCCATGGAAGAGGTAAAATCTCCCCGCATGCTTCATTATAGAAAGAAAAAGAGAACACTCTCTTCCTAACAGAACGGACCACTGTCTCAGCATGTGGGATGGTGATAATGAGGGAATGATTACCTACCATCAGATCAACAATTAGTATACACTGAAATTACAATGACTGTGAGACTGACCTAAGTGTGAATATACAACTTCTGAGCTTCCACTGCCTTTGGAGGGATCACCACCAGGATGCAGTCTAAAGGAAACTGTAGTGGTTTTAAAACATTTACAACATAATTCTAATGTTCATGCACATTTGAGACTGTGAAGTTAAATGTAATACAGCTGTAAGTACTCAGATTAATATACAAAATTTTAGTAAATACTAAAAAACTTACCTAGATTTATCCAAATTCCACCTGGCTTGAGTATTTTCCATATTGTATCAATATAATCAATTACATTGTGAGCTGTGTCTATGAAGAAACAGGTAGCAATACAGTCCCAGGTATCTAATGAAGAAAAATCAAATTACTGCATCTGTTATGTTATTTTGCTTTTTTCTTTTAATTAATTATTTAAATCTGCCAGTTACCTTTTACAGAGTATTAATATTTGACAGAGATACAGAAGCTAAACTTCTGATCAACATTATAATTACAGTAACCAAACAGTCATTTATGGGAAATACTGATATCAATAATCTGATTAAGTAATCAATTTGGAAATCATCCCCAATAACACTAATATTATAATCTAATCTCTACATATTATTACCAAATGGTATTTGTTAGAGTTTTGTTTATCCTCTATTCAACTTCTAGCCTTCATTTAAAATCACTTAAAACAAAATAATAGTCATTCAAATTTAAACTAGTGTTAACCACCAATTCTGGCAGGTTTCAGAAAGACTGCAGGCACCAGTTGCCAACTGAGAAATGAATGACATCCAAATACTTCAACATCTACCACAACTTCGAATAATTACCAGGGAAAAAGGGGAGCCAGGGGCAGGCAGAAGCAGTGGGTGGGAACCCAGTAGAGAACACCGTTTGCCTCTAGGAGGTATGGTGTCTATACAAATGCTGGTGCAATAAAGGCACTTGATCCCATGGAGGACTACCTTCATCATCTGTTCTCTCAAACCTTGCTCCAGAAAAAGGGGACTTTTACTTGCCTAAGTGATGTTTTCCATTATTTCATTCCTTATCCACAACACCTAACATCTTCCATCTCTCCCTTTCTTCCTTCAGAGTACAGGTTGTCCCAGTCTCAGAGTTCAGAGAAAAATAAACAAAAACTTTCTATGTTGTAAAATAAATAAATAAATAAAAACAATCTATGTTGTTGCTATCCCTGCTTTAAGCCCTCCAATGGCTTCCTGTTTCTCTGAGTACAATTCCAAGTCCTTGCTATGGCCTGCCAACAAGTTTGCCTCATCAAACCCTCTCGAGGCTGACCTCTCACCACTGTACCCATTGCTTACTACAGCCTAGCTCCTCCTTGAGCAGAGCAAGCACTCACTCTACTCCCTGATCCTCTTCCCTTGCCATTCCCCATCTGCAAAATTTTGCCTTCAAATATCTCAGTGGTTTGTCTGTGTACTCTTTCAAGGTTCTCTACTAGACATTTTTTTTTTTTAGTTTCTACTCTTAGAAAGGCTTTCCCTGACAACTCTATATAAAGCAGCAGCCTCTCCCCAGTCACTCTGTAACCCGTCTTCCCTGCCTTATTTTTTCTTCCTTACAATATTGTATTTGTTATTGCCTCACTTTCTCTATTGGAAGTTCTCTGTGGACAGGGATTTTGTTTTGTTCACTGTTCTCTTTTGACACCTAGAAAAATACCTAGTACTTAGTAGGTGCTCAACAAATACCTATTGACTCAATGATCTTGCTGAACCCTCGGTATTCTATTTTGCTTTCCTTTTAGTGCCAATCTCCCTCTCCACTTTCCCTATTACCATCTCCCTTTCTCTCCTGCCTAGCTCAGATTTCTTCAACAGTTTGCCAGGCTGAAGTCAACTGTGCAGCCTGACTATACAAGTCCTCCATGATCTGGAACAAATTCACTTTTCTAGCAATAGCTCCTATTAAATCTCATTAAATCTCCCATTAAATCTTTTCTTTCCCTGCCAGTACAGCTGTGCTGCCATCCCCAATCACCTTGTTCATATCTTTGTACTTCTGTCTGCCTCAAATGCTATTCTCTCAACCTTCAAGTCATAGCCTCACTATGAACAGCTTCCTTCTTACACTAATAACCTTTCATTTTTTTGGTATTCATTACTCATTTAACCTTTGTTTACATGGTATCTCTTAGTATTAATGGGCCCAACAGATTCTAAATTTCTTGACTGTAGATATCTTACACTTCTTATTTCCTATCACTGCCTTGTACACGACCTTGAAAACATTCTAAATTGACACTGACATATGCCTTATGTTCTACCATCAAAATGAATGATCTAAACCTTGGCTTAGGATAAAACTAGCTCATTAAATTTAGAATAAAGGACAAGACTTTTTAAACGCTTGATTTGGACTTACTGCATTCTGAATAAATCTCTTGAAAATCTCCTGCTGTCATAGAAAAGTTAGAACCAGGAGGAAGACTGTGGGGGTCAACATCAGGGAAAAAGATGGGTCGAATCTGATCAGCTGATCTCCGGTTATTGCTAAACTGATGGATCCAAGGATAAAGTTTATATTTATTAATTTCAGAACATCTGCAAAATATGAGTATAAAATCAGGTGTTAACTAAATATTTTACCAAGAAAATCCACTTTAAATACTAAAAATATACTGTTTAATTGAAGATTTGCATATATAATTAATATTTAAAGAGTCACTATTACAGCTTCCCTAATTATCTGAAAATGTACATATACATGTAGATGAGCAACCAATCAATGGATTAAAGACAGAAAAAAAAAGTAAATTCAGAGATATAAATGTGCTGTTCATTCAGATTTTTAAAAATGTATTTCTAAACTTCAAAACCAAGTAATAACAGTCCAACGAGGTTTTTTAAAATGGTACTGGTTTCAACTAAAACAGTTTGCTATTTTTTGTATAACCCTCTTCTTTTTTCCCTTTTTCACCAATCCCCTAAAACTCATACTGCCATCCGAGACAACATATTATTTAAACAAGGCAGCTACTCAATGTACATCTTCTGGCTTTAAAAATAACAATTGTTTTCCACTGCCTTCCAAAAGAGGCCACAGAAGTTCTGAGAGATCTTTCCAACTCAGTCATGAGAGCATACTTGGCCATTTTATAAGAACTTGATTAAGGAGAAAAAGTTATAATTGCTAAACTAAACTCTTATTTAACTAAAGAAACAAGGAAGTAAAGAAGCTTAAGGAATAAATTTAGAAATACTCCTTCCTGGTTCATACTTAGTCCTGAAGATTTTGTACAGAAATCATTTCATGGAATGCCCAGTCACTTTCTATAAAGTCACTTACCCATCTTGTTTCAACACTCTAATAACTAGGCAATTGGTTCAAGTGATAATTTGTGTAAGTACTTTGATTTTAACATAAGACACATTTGTGATATATATAATAATCAAATGCTATGTACTTATCTTCAAATTCAAAATTGTTCAAGAAAATAGGTAAGTCAATCTGATTCTGAGAAATTACTATTTCCAGCAAAAAATAAATTAAATACCTGTTGAGTACAAAGTTGGAAGAAAAGAGCATAAAAAAACTCCATTCATTTCCTTGACAAGCATAACCTAGCATAGCTATTTCCCAGGCCAGTCTTCCTAGTCCAGCACCAGGTACCAGAATATTTACTTTAGAAGGATCCCTGAAATGAAATAAGGCAATTATGTCCAACCCCTCAAAGAAAAAAAGGAAAAGACAAAATCCACATTAACAACTAAAAACTTACTCATTTACTCAATAAGAATAAGCTAAGACTCTGACTTCTCACAATCAAGAAATACTTCTAAATATCAAAAATAAAAGGTATAAGGAATTATTATGTATGTTCCGATATCAGATGAGGGTTTTACCCCTCAAAAATTATTTTTCAGAAAAAAGGAGTCCCCTTACATCTCAAGACTTATAAAGTCACTCATATTCCTAATAGCTGTCACCCTGAACAACTATCTTAGAAAGACAAATTATTCCAAAGGGATCCCAATTAAATATGAAGAGTTTGAACAAAAGTACTTCATCATATGGGACAATAAATACAACATAACTTTATTTCTAAATTTTATATGTAACTCAATTGTTTATGTTAGATTAAACAGATGTAGAGTTTAATGTGTCAGGTATATCTCTAAATCCCTATATATTTTAGTTGACAGAAGAATTTGGGGGAGGGGATATTTTCATGGGGAAAATGGGAAACGGCCCTCTAATTAAACATACATGATAACAAATATATTACACCAAACCAGAGGTTCACAACCAAACTGATCTCTACCTACTAGCACCACACTGCCATTACATATTTCCTTCACGTAAGATCCATCATTCCACTTTCAAACCACTAAAAGTTTTACCAAAACAAGGCTTTTTCTCAGGAATTTTGGCAAATCAATATAATCCCGAGGAAACTAAAATTGTAGTCTTATAAGAAGCCAAAGGAAAATGTATACAATCAGCTAATATCATGTCAGGAAGTAAAAAGAAACTTCACTACTGTATTTCCTAAATTTGGTTCACAAATCAAATCCAATTTCCAAATCTACTCCTACTAATGATTTTTTTATCTTTAACTATGTGGCCTTTAAGTTTGGCATGCTCCAAGCAGCAACAGGGCACTTTACTAGTAGCCCATATAACCTTTGCATGTCCCACTTCAAAATAAGAAAGAACACTATGGGGCTTTTGAAAACTCATAGCTCTAGGACTCTGTGCTATTCCTTATATAAGGGAACTGCCATGATGGCATCCTACTCAGACCTAACGCTCTCTCATTTCTCACTCCCTACCAGACCCACCGAAACCCCTACTCTGGAGAATTACCTTTCTTTTCTCAGTTCCCATCTGTCCAATCATAACATGCATTTCTACCCTTACCCCAGCAAGTGGCTGTTCTCAGTTTAGAATTTTTTTTTTAATTATCTGATCAAACTCATGCAACAGAAAGCAAAAGGATTTGGAAGTAAATTCATATAGTATTTAAATCTTTATATAAAAATAACCAGCAATCAATTTCCAAATGGCTGATGACCCCAGTAAAATATTACCATGCAGGAGTTAGAAATTATGCTACCCTGAAGGGAAAGCTGTGACATAATGTTAACAACAATTATTTTGCTAACTTACAGAAAGTTAACTTAATGACTGCTTTTATCAAATTCTCCTTAACTAAACAGAACCATAGAACTCTCCACCTCAACCTAATGGCAGAAAATATATTAACAGTACCTTGTATTAAAACTGCTATTGAAAGGCTACCCATCAAGTCACAGAATGAAGAATATATCAAAGTCCTATCTTAAGAGTTAACAGACACTAATATAGATGTAAATTACTGGCATTATGACAAAGAGGAAGTGGACATGTAAGAAATGCATTAAAACAAACCCTCTAGAACTGAAAAAATGATCAGGAACTATGCAATGAATGGGTAAGATGGAGAAAATTTTTCCCTAAATCTTTGTTCTTAGCTAGATTTTCTTCATTTGGTCTTTACACAAGGGATATTAACAGCATAATGAAAAGTTCCTCTAACTGTGATGTGCATGAAACTAACGCACTCTAAGTGGGAATTTCTGCTATGAATCCGTATGAAGTCTAGGGCATTTCTATGAGGTCATTTCTGTGGAGAAAAAGAAACACAAATCTAATACAGACCTTAATGGTGAGACAACCTTAAACCAGGCTGAATTTTTTTTTTAAAGCCAGAATAGAAAGGCATACAATATGTGGCTCAGTAATCAAATGGTGCCTACTTGAGATTCTTAGTGAAAACAAGCAAGCCAACAAGTTTACCTAGTTAATAAGGCCCAAATGTGGAGAAGCAGTAGTACATTTACTACAATGTGACCTCCCTAATAACAGGAGGAAAAGTTTCAACAGTTTATTCAAGACAAACAGGAACGGAGAAGGGATACATCTGTAAGGACAGAGTCCATGTGTCTAAAGAGGCCATAGATCACACTTCCATCAACCTTTCTGCTCCAGCTTTTTCACCAGCAGTAAACATTACTCTTGACAGAGGTTTCCTTTGTTACACACAGAACGATCTTTGCACTGCAGTTGTAAATTTTAAAACTCCAACACAAAATGCTGTCTTGTTGGGTCATTATGACACTTGGCTGACCCCTAGTGGTAGAAGTAAATACAACTTTTAAGTACCTACAGTGGTTCTCTTTGAATCATAGTACAGTACAGTAAAAGCCACTAACTACATGTGGCTACTGAACACTTAAAATGTGGCTATTGCAAATTGAGACGTGCTGTAAGTGTAAAATGAACACCAAATTTAAAGACAGTACAAAAAGGAATGAAAAACATCTCATTAATAATCTTTTATTACATTGAAATTTTCAAAATAAAAATAAAATTGCTTCTTTTAAAAAATATGGCTGCCCTGAGCACACTGCCTGTGGCATAGCCCTGCTCTGCAGAGGCAGTCAAAAAAAATTTTTTTTTAATATGAAAAAGAGATCTAAAGCAAATATGGCAAAATGTCAAGGTTTAACAGAGCTAGTATTGAATTTCTTTTTTTTAAATTTGAGACAGTCTTGCTCTGTTGCCCAGGCTGGAGTGCAATAGTGCCATCTCAGGTCACTGCAACCTCTGCCTCTCAGGCTCAGACGATCCTCCTGCCTCAGCCTCCCAAGTGGCTGGGACTACAGGTGTGTGCCACCATGCTCAGCTAATTTTTTTATTTTTAGAGATGGGGTTTCGCCGTGTTGCCCAGGCTGGTCTTGAACTCCTGGGCTCAAGTAACCTACCCACCTTGGCCTCCCAAAGTGCTGGGATTACAGGCATGAGCCACCACACCCAGCCAAAAATTTTTTTATTCATCATAGAAAATTGACTATAAATCAGGAGTGTTTAGCATCTCCTAACTTACCTCTTCATCAACTCCCAACAAAGAACTCTTTATTTCAGCCAGACAACTTCTCACTGATCCCAGAAGACTTTCTTTAGAGCTCTTACCCACAGAAACTCAATTACCTTATTATTATAAATTATCACTTCATCTATATTTCCTAAATATCCCAGGCAAAGTTCCCTGAACTCTCTTCTCTATGCTTTCAATAATTCATTCACAGTTCTATTATAGTTTACATACCAAGGTTCTTCACTTCGCGTCATTCACTTAACACAGGTACAGCAACTATGGCTTGCAGGCCAGTCACCTGTCATTGTAAATGAAGTTTTACTAAAACGCAGCCATACTCACTCATCTAAGAATTGTTTATGGCTGCATTCCTGCAACAAGGCGCTAAGCAGTCTCAACAGAGACGACATTGCCGGCAAAGCCTAACACATTTACTGTTTGGCACTTCAAGAAAACATTTGCCAACCCCTGATCTAATACAATACCCCTGAATCTCCTTCACAGCAGTACACAGAGCTTCCTTAACTCACTGCATGACTGTAACATAATTTATCAAAATCTCCTAATTAAGGATATTTATATTGTTTCCAATCTTTCACTATCATAATGTTAAAACGAATACCCTTAGCATGAATAACTTTTTATTTTGAAAAATTTTACTTCCCACACTACACTAATGTAGTGGCATAAATAACTTTCACATGCAGAAATATATATGTAGAACAGCTTCCCTTAAATTGAACTTCAAGAATCAAGATATGCATTTGTTTTTTGTTTTGTTTTGTTCTGTTTTGCTATGAGACGGAGTCTCGCTCTGTCGCCCAGGCTAGAGTGCAGTGGCACAATCTTGACTCACTGCAACCTCCGCCTCCAGGGTTAAAGCAATTCTCCTGCCTCAGCCTCCCAAATTGCTGGGACTACAGGCCCGTGCCACCACACCCAGCTAATTTTTGTATTTTTAGTAGAGACAGGTTTCACCATGTTAGCAAGGCTGGTCTTGAACTCCTGACCTCAGGTGATCCACCTACTTCAGCCTCCCAAAGTGTTGGGATTACAGGCGTGAGCCACGGCGCCTGGCCAAGATATGCATTTGAATTTTGACAAATAAGCCACATTGTTCTACATAATTTTTTGCTAATTTATTCTTCCACCAGCAACATATTTATGTTTCCTCACACCTGCACTAATAGTTATCTTTTAAATCTTTGCAATAAAATAAGTAAAAAATGGCATCTTAACGTGGTTTTTACATTTGCATTTCCCTATGAGATTGAGTGTCCTGTATTTCTTTTTCTGTGATCTATTTACAGGATTTGTCTACTGGGTTATGAATGCTGAGTGGTTTTTCTACTGTGTTATTCTTCTAGATCTGTAAGCACTTGAAATCTTGACTTGAAAGAAATATGAAACACATACCTGTCTTTGGTCTCAGGATGAGGGAGAAATCTATCTTTAGTCTCTGAACTACCACCTGCACTATTTGGCAGTCTACATTTTCTCCAATTTCCTCCATTTTCTTTTTAAAAATGAGTTCTCCTAGCTAAAAGAATCTTTTCATGAACTATAATTTACATTATTTATTTTATCTTAAGTGGAAAAAAAATGCTTCGTTAAAGCTCAGAGTATTTTTTTCCTAATGCCCAACTATATAAAAGAAAAAACGAATTCAACCAGTCAGTAGTGCATCAGTATCTTTTTGGAGTGTTTGTGTATATATATTAAAATGCAAAGACATAACAGATTTTCCCCCACAAATCACTTCAAAGTCTTCTAAAATTGAATGGGCTAATGAAATTAAGATCTAAAAAATATAGTCCAGCAACTTTTAGACTCAAAAAATGTGATTTTACATGTTAGCCTTCCTTCCAGATAGGATGCAAACTTAAGAATCTATATTTCCTTACCTACTATAAGCTTTACAGCACTGAATTCTTATATTTAAATTATTAGACATTCACTTGGAAAAATTTTTTTTTAAATTTCAATACATACAGGTCTGACCATCAATTAAGAAGAGTTATTACATTATGTTTATGTTCATACGTGAGAAAAAGGTTTAAACCCTAAGCTCATTCTTTAAATTAAAAACATATATATCATAAATTTCAATGAGCAACTGCTCACTAGAGTAGTGTTCAAATACTATTTAAAACAAAAACCAGAGGATACGAAAACAGCATTTCCTTAATTAACAAACAGACTCTATACAAAAGCAAGTCGATCTGTGGCTTCAAAGCTGCTTGTGCTTGCAAACTCAGGCATATTAAAAACTTGAAACATAGACAGATTGGAGAAACTGATATATGTGTTTCCTTAGGAAAAATATTTTAATGACCACAAATATAGTTAATTTTACACATATTTCATTAAGTATATGATCTTTTTTTTTTTTTTTTTGAGACGGAGTCTCGCTGTCACCCAGGCTGGAGTGCAGTGGCGCAATCTCGGCTCACTGCAAGCTCCGCCTCCCGGGTTCACACCATTCTCCTGCCTCAGCCTCCTGAGTAGCTGGGACTACAGGCACCTGTCACCACGCCCGGCTAATTTTTTTGTATTTTTAGTAGAGACAGGGTTTCACCGTGTTAGCCAGGATGATCTCGATCTCCTGATCTCGTGATCCACCCACCTCCGCCTCCCAAAGTGCTGGGATTACAGGCGTGAGCCACCGAGCCCGGCAAGTATATGATCTTCTATAGGCAGTTCAATTAGAAAAGGCCTTCAGTGAAATTAAAACACACACACACACACACACACACACACACACACACACACACACACAATAAAAGGCTAGCTGACATAAATTTGTGTTAACTCCAGCCTGAGTATAAAGACATTAAATTCCCCATGTACTTACTGTGGCATAAACAGAGTCCTAGAAATTTACCTGAAAGACACAAAGTTGACCAGAATTTATCTAGAATCAACCTGGATTCTGAAGGGCTACAATTAATGACCCTTTTCTTCCTTTTCTTTTTTTTTTGTGACAGAGTCTCCAGCTCAGGCTGGAGTGCAGTGGCTCTATCTCGGCTCACTGCAACCTCCACCTCCCGGGTTCAAGTGATTCTCCTGCCTTGGCCTCCCAGGTAGCTGGGATTACAAGTGCACGCCACCACACCCAGCAAATTTTTGTATTTTTAGTAGAGACGGGGCCTCACCATGTTGGCCAGGGTGGTCTTGAACTCCTGACTGCAAGTGATCCACCCACCTCAGCCTCCCAAAGTGCTGGGATTACAGGCATGAGCCACCACAGCTGGCCTAATGCCCCTTTTCCAGGCTCTAGGGTTTAATTTATTCTGACAAAGCTACGATTTTAATATTGATGCAGCCTTTACTGTGTTTTATTAGGTTTCCTGTTTAGGTTTTTTTGATAGCTCACCTTATCTACTATAAGGAAATCAATCTAAATCAAGTAAGTAAAACAAATAACATAGGAAGAAATGTAACAAAAAACAGTGTAATAGATATTACATTTCAGTGTACTTCATTTAAAGTTCATATATACCTATCCACTTTTATAACAATTACTTTCAGGAAAGGAAACTGGGTAACTGAGGAACAGTTATGAGGAACAGTTATGGAAAGGAGACTATATATCCCTTGAAACCTTTTAAGTTTTAAATCCTGCAAAATGTTTTAGTTATTCAGAACGGTTTTAAATTATTTTTATTTAAAAAATAACCTATTAGTACCATTTAGAGTTAACTCATCCTTTCCTCACCAGTTTACATTTTGTCAAGTAATAATAACAACGGAAAAGGAACAGTGTGTGCTAGTTCACTAATTATCTTATAATTATCTAATAATGCCATGCCTTTTTAGTATTGCTGACACTGTTATACTAATTAATGGTATCATACATGATTCTATAATCACTGAGTATAAACAAAGTCATGTTTTAAGTGCCAGAAATGATGTTGATATAAACATTTCACATTCAGCCTCCAACATTCACTCAAACTTTGGTACATTTCTATTAAAAGCCTTATCAATTAAAACCTACAGATATTTTGAATTTTGAGGTATACCTGGACTTTATAGAAAGTATTAAACTTGTATCTATTACTTTATAAAGCAGGGCACTGAATATATTGAGAGAGAATACCAGCTAGAAACTTTAAGAATATAACATCTTTTTGGAAACAACAATGTTTATTTAAACAATTATTTACCATGACCAAGTGGTATTTATCCCAGGAATGCAAGGGTGGTTCAACACAAGAAAATCAATTGATGAAATATATCACATTAATGGAAGAAAAAACATATATATCATCTCAACTGATGCAAAAAATATATTTGACAAAATTCAGCACTCTATCAGAAAAACCTTTAGAAAACTTTAAGAAAATTTGGCTGGGCGTGGTGGCTCACACCTGTAATCCCAGCACTTGGAGAGGCCAAGGTGGGTGGATCAATTGAGGTCAAGAGTTTGAGATCAGCCTGACCAACATGGTGAAACCCCGTCTCTACTGAAAATACAAAAATTAGCCAGGTGTGGTGTTGGGCGCCTGTAATCCCAGCTACTCGGGAGGCTGAGGCAGGAGAATCACTTGAACCGAGGAGGCAGAGGTTGCAGAGAGCCAAGATCATGCCACTGCACTCCAGCCTGGGTGACAGAGCGAGACCCTGTCTCAAAAAAATAAAAATAATAAAAAAAAAAAAACTAAGAAAATTCTTCAACACGATAAAGGGTATTTACGAAAGTCCCACAGCTACTCAATGGTGAAAGACTGAAAGCTTTCTCCCTAAGAACAGAAACAAGGAAACAAAAGGCATTCAAATTGGAAAAGAAAAGGTAAAAACTCTCTTTTTGCATAATGTGATCCACAAAGTATCCCTAAGAAAGCTAACAGAGCTAATAAAGCAAGATTGCAGGGTACAAGATCAACACACAAAATTCAGTTGTGCTTCTATTACATTAGCAACAAAAATTCTGAAAAGTAAATTAAGACAGCAATTCTATTTATAATAGCATCTAACACAGGGATGTCAAATCTTTTGGCTTCCCTGGGCCACACTGGAAGAATTGTCTTGGGCCACACATAAAATAACACTAAAAACAGCTGATGAGCTAAAAAAAAAAAAAAAAAAAAAAAAAAAACCCTCATAATGTTTTAAGAAAGTTTATGAATTTGTGCTGGGCCACATTCAAAGCTGTCCTGGGCCGCATGCAGCCCACTGGCCACGGGTTGGACAAGTTTGATTTAAAAGAATTAAATACATACAAATAAATCTTTATAAATTTTTTTTTCTTGAGACGGAGTCTCACTCTATTGCCCAGGCTGGAGTGCAATGGCACAATCTCAGCTCACTGCAACCTCTGCCTCCTGAGTTCAAGCAATTCTCCTGCCTCAGCCTTCCAAGTAGCTGGAATCACAGGTGCACTCCACCACGCCCAGCTACATTTTGTATTTGTTGGCCAGGCTGGTCTTGAACTCCTGATCTCGTGATCCACCTGCCTCGGCCCCCCAAAGTGCTGGGATTACAGGCATGAGCCACCACGCCTGGCCACATATGAATAAATCTAACCAAAGTGAAAGACCTATACACTGAAAACTACAAAACACTGCTGAGAGAAATTAAAGCTCTAAATAGATGGAAAGACATACTGTGATAATGTGTAAGATTTAACATTGTCAAGACCTCAGTACTACCCAAAGCAATCTATATATTCAGCACAATCCTTAATGAAAATTCCAACAAACTTTTTCGCAGAAATGAAAAAACCTGAAATTCACAAGAATTACAAGAGGCCCCCAAAATAATCTTGAAAAACAACAAACGAGGACTCACACTTCCTGACTTTGAAATTTATAAAACTATGGCAATTAAAATAGTATGTTATGGCATAAGGACAAACACACAGACCAATGAAACAGAATATAGAGTCCAGAAAAAACCCACATACATGGTCCACTAATTTTCAACGAGTCTACCAAGACCATTCAATCGGGAAAGGACAGTCTTTTTTTTTTTTTTTTTTTTTAACAAATGTATTGGGAAAACTGGATATCCATATGCAAAAGAATAAAGTTGGATTATTACCTTACCCACATATAAAAATTAACTCAAAATGGATCAAAGACCTAAACTTAGGAATTAAAACTATAAAAACCTTATTTTAAAAAGTTTTTTCTTTTTAACTTTAGAGGTAAGTCTTTGCAATGTTGCCCAGGCTGGGGTGCAGTGGCTATTACTAGAGGTGCAATCACAGCACACAGCACACTACACCCCTGAACTCCTGGGCTCAAGCAGTCCTCCTGACTCAGGGACTACTGGTGTTTGCCACCATGCCCAACCCAAGTATTTTTTTTTTCTTTTCGGTGTAAGTAAGTAACCCATACCAAGTATTTCTTAATGTTGCAAAGATATTCCTACTACTCTGATGCAGGAAAAATATTAAAATCATCAAACATAAAATAAAAGGTGAGAAGCATATGAAACTTCAGAAAGCAGTAATATTCCTATATTGCCATATTTCTAGATGCAAGGCTTATGGACAAATAAGTGATTAGTAGAAGCAGCTAATACATGCAAATATATTACAAATTAAAATCACTTAAATGATTCAGTCAGCACCACCCTTCTCCCCACCCCCCAGCCCACTAGTGGCCTAATAAGACTAAGGAGAAATGATTTTTTTCTGGTCATTAATATTACTTTATTGTCTACTATTCCTTTACATACAATGCCTGGCATTCAATAAAAAAAATTAAGAAACATGCAAAGAAGCAAGAAAATGTGGAACTTATTGTTATAAGGAAGCCTTCAAGAAAACAGTCGCACAAACAGAATGTAAGAATCATTAGGTAGGGATTTTAAAATAACCATGAAAAGTACGTTAAAGCACGTAGTGCAAAAGGTAGATCATGTATACAAAGAGATAGGGAATTTGGGTACAGACAGAGTATATGTGTAGGGGTGTGCATGTATATGTAAGTGCTAGAAATTTTTTAAAAAATCAAAAAATGAGTATAAGAGATAAAAAAAACTCTTTCTCTCTTATAAAAAAAGGAAGAAATTCTTTTTTTTTTTTTTTTTTTTTTTTCTGAGACGGAGTTTCGCTCTTGCTGCCCAGGCTAGAATGGCATGATCTCAGCTCACTGCAACCTCTGCCTCTTGAGTTCAAGGGATTCTCCTGCCTCAGCCTTCCAAGTAGCTGGGATTATAGGTGCCCACCACCACACCCAGCTAATTTTTTGTATTTTTAGTAGAGACAGGGTTTCACCATGTTGGCCAGGCTGGTCTTGAACTCCTGACCTCAAGTGATCCACTCACCTCAGCCTCCCAAAGTGCTGGGTTTATAGGTGTGAGCTATCACCCCAGGCCAAGAACTCTTTCAAAGGACTTATCAGCAGATTAGCATAGTAAATAATCAGTGAAGTTGAAGTTAGGTTAACAGAAATTATCCAAACTATACTATAAAGGGCTGGGAGGAGAAGGAGTGGGTAGAGTCATGTGAAACCTAAGAGACGACATGAAATGGTTTGATACTTAACATACATGTAACTGGAATACCAGAAGAGAAAGAAGTAGAGGAAATGATAGAGAAATAATGTGAAGAGACATAGCAAAGAATTTCTGAATTGATGATATAGATCTACCTAAACCCCAAGACATTAGCAAATCTTAACCAAGATAAATACAAAGGAAACCACATTTAAGACACCTCACAGTCAAACTGCTAAATAATAAAGGTAGAGGCAGGGTGGGGAGAATGGTGGGGAGAATGGGGAGTAACTGCTTAATGGGTATGAGGTTTTATTCTGGGTTGATGAAATGTTTTGGATCTACACAGTGGTGACAGATGTACAATACTGTGAAGTACTGAATGTCCCTGAATTATTTAAAATGATTACTTTTGTTATATGCAATTCACCTCAATAAAAAACTGAGGGCAAAAGACATAAATATATAATTCTCAAAAAAAAAAACATGTAACATGACCCTTTAACATATGAAGATGTTCAGTTTCACTCATCATAAGAGAAATGCAAATTAAGACTATGCCAACATATAATTTCCCACCCATCAGGTTGGCAAAAGGTCAAAGGCTTAAAACTACAGTATTTGTCAGGGCTGTGCATAAACAGGCACTTTGATACACTGCCAGTAGACAGACAAAACAGTGCAACCCTTATAGAAGAACATAGTAATGACTGTGGCAGACAGACCCTGTAGTGGTGCTCCCACGCTCCCTACCTCCTGGTCCCCATGTCTTGTTTCTACCCAACAGAATATGGCAAAGGTGATGAGATGTCCCTCCTGTGATTGTCATTATTATTATTATTATTGAGACAGGGTCTTGCTCTGTTGCCCAGGCTGGAATGCAGTAATCTTATCACTGCAACTTTGAATTCCTGGGCTCAAATGATCCCCTTGCCAGGCATCCACCTCCAGAGTAGCCAGGACTATACAAGTGCATGCCACCTCACCTAATATTCAAATTTTTAGTAGAGATGAGGTCTCACTACATTGCCCAAGTTGGTCTTGAATTCCTGGCCTCAAGTGATTCTCCCATCTCAGTCTCTCAAAGTACTGGGATTATAGACATGAGCCTTGACACCCAGCTCTGTGACTGTTCAACACTGTAAGACGGTTGACAGCTTGCTTGATCTAGACACCCTCCTTGCTGGCTTGATGAAGTGGTCCTTTTGGGAAAGACAAGGAACTGTGGGTTGCCTCTAGGAGATGAGGCAGGCTTCCAACTGACAAACAGAGAGCAGCTAAGACCCTCAGTCCTACAGCCACAGTGAAAACAATTCTGCCTCACTACTACAACTGCAATTAAACAAAATGAAATATGAGTGACAGATTCTTCCCCAGTCAAGTCTCCAGGTGAAAACACAGCCCGGCAGACACGTGGATTGCTGCCTTGTAAGCTCCTACACAGAAGAACCAGTTAAGCCAAGCCCAGACTCCTGACCCATAGCAACTGAAATCAATGTGTTATGCAGCAATCCCACTTCTAAGAATTTAAATTAAAGATACTCTCCTGCACACATACCCGATGAAAGGAACTGAGATTTTTCTGCTAGCAAATGTGAGCTTCAAGGTCTTGATGCCAAACACTATATATCCTTGACCATTTGAGATGTGACTGAATATCACTTATATCTGAGCTCTGAATGTACATTAATATGTTGGGTCAGTTAAGAGCCCAGGTACTGAGGGTCTTCAAGTTTTTGGTTTTTTTTTTTTTTTTTTCTTTGAGATAGCCTTGCTCTACTGGCCAGGCTGGAGTTCAGTGGCATGATCTTGACTCACTGCAACCTCTGCCTCCCAGGTTCAAACAATTCTCCTGCCTCAGACTCCTGAGTAGCTAGAATTACAGGTGTGCACCACCATGCCCAGCTAATTTTTGTATTTTTAGTAGAGACGGGGTTTCGCCATGTTAGCCAGGCTGATCTCGAACTCTTGACCTCAAGTGATCCATCCGGCTCAGCCTAAGTGCTGGGATTACAGGCGTGAGCCACCACACCTGGACAGGTCTTCAAGTTTTAAGAATTTTTTAAAAATTTGAGCTCCATTTTTCTTCAGAATGATCCATGCCCAAATACAGAACTATGTTGACAGTGGGTTACAGAGTTTGCACGGCAAAGTTCAAGTTGTTACACTGTGTTTTTAAAAAATCTTATCTACCCCGTCTCTACTAAAAATATAAAAAAAAAAATTAGCCAGGCGTCGTGGCGGGCGTCTGTAGTCCTAGCTACTCGGGAGGCTGAGGCAGCAGAATGGCGTGAACCCGGGAGGCGGAGGTTGCAGTGAGCCGAGATCGTGCCACTGCACTCCAGCCTGGGCGACTGAGCAAGACTCCGTCTCAAAAAAAAAAAAAAAATCTTATCTATATGTACTGTTAAATCAGAGACCATGAGATCTACTTATCAGAACCAGGAAGATAAATTCTTCAGAGCTATTTCAACTGATACTTCTTTTCCTCAAAACTTGGTGGACTGTCGGGGAAAGGGCCCCACAATTTTTTGTCTTTGATATTAGCTCCAATTCTCATAAGTATATACAGGCCCTATAATTGCAGCAGAAAAAGATGCATGATGGAAAATCTCCATAACCCATGCACGGAGACCTGAAAAATCATCCTTACTGGGTATAATTTATTATGGTGCAATTAAGTGCCAACTGATATTTCTCACCATGGACTGGTCAGGAACTGCTGCAAAGAAAAATAAACAGATCCTTCTGCATTATTTATATTCTAAAATGTGGTAAGGGGAAATCAGGAGAAATTTCTTCTGAAATTATATTATGGATTTTTTAAAAGATTATCAAATAAAGTTATTTTTAAATAAAAATTAAAGTTATACCTCCAATAATATAAAAATACATATGCATAAAGTTATTAATTTTAGCATTATGTATAATTGCTAGATACTGCCAACTACCTAAATAACCTAACGTAGGAGAAAGTTGGTTGAATAAACTATGATACATCCAAATAACAGAGTAATCTTCAGCTGGGAAAAAAAAAAATGACTGAAGATCTCTGTGAAATGACAGCATAGCTATTTCCAGGATACACTAAGTGAAAAAAGCAAGGTACAGAATACATGTATGCTATATTATCTTTTGTGGATGACCAAAGAGGGTAATTATAAAGAAAAACAAAAAGGCCAGGCACAGTGGTTTATGCCTGTAATCCCAATATTTTGGGAGGCAGAGGCAGGAGGATCACTTGAGGCCGGGAGTTCAAGACCAGCCTGTTCAACATAGCAAGACCCCTGCCTCTACAAAAAATACTAAAAAATTAGCTGGGAGGCTGAGGTGGGAGGAGTACTTGAGCCCAGGAGTTTAAGGCTACAGTGAGCTACGATAACACCACTGCACTACAGCCTGGATGACAGAGCAACACTTTGTGTCAAAAAAAAGAGAGAGAGAGAGAAAAAAAAAAAAACCACATCCACTTACTTAAAAAAAAAAAAAAAAAAAAACCCCAAGAATAAAAGGATGAATAAACAAGATGCCAATGATACTGATTATCCAAATGGGGTATAGAATAAAGGGAGGGAATAAAACACCAGGAGGCTGAAGATTAAAGGGAGAGCTAATTTGGGTAAACTGCAAAGAATAAATTCACTATACAACCTTAGTCTAAGGGAAAAATAACTATTAGCAAATCCCGAACTCCTTTTAGTAGGTTTCTTTTTCACAGAGGTATGGATGAAGCAATTCTGAAACCATTCTGTGTGTACTGTAGACAACTGGGCGAATAAGTAAACGTATTGATGTTGTTGGAAGTGAGGTAAACAGATACAGAAAAGAGGGAAAACCAAGGATAACCCTATAGAGTTGGGACTGGAATTAAGAGTTATCAGTATGAACCACAGTAAATTATGAAACTTGAATATAGACTGTAAATTACCTAACAGTATTCAGGGTTAAATTTTCTCAATGGTTTCAGACACACACATACATAATGCAAGGGAAAGAGGGAGGGAGGGAAGACGGAAGAGGAAACAATAAAAGCAAATGTGGCAAAATGTTAAAAACTGGTGAATTCAAGTAAAAAGTATAAGTGAATTCAGGAGGTCTCCATATAATTCATGCAATTTATCTGTAATTTTAAAGTTATTTCAAAATAGTTAAAATAGCCAGGCATAGTGGTAGGTGTCTGTAATCCCAGCTACTCGGGAGGCTGAGGAACAAGAATCACTTGAGCCCAGGAGGCGGAGGTTGCAGTAAGCAGCGCCACTGCACCCCAGCCTGGGCAACAGAGTGAAAAATAAAAATAATAAATAAATAAATAATAATCAATAAAATAAAATGTCCTAACAAAAAATAAAGAGAGAGAAGAGACACATATGTATTGAAATTTCTGAAAGCAAATACTCAAACGTAAAGTTGTCAATCAATACGGAGGCAAAGGAGAGGAGGAAAAGGAGCCTCTCTAAAAGATCTTTAAATAAGACTGAATTCCATCCAATAGCTTTCGTTAAATATATACCCCTAAATCAGGGGTTCCTAACCTGGGACAGAGGTTAGGTGGATTAAATTCTATCCATCAAGAGGTCTGTGGATAGAATTCACTGAGTCTCTGAAGGGAATGGGAAAAAATTACATTTTAATTTCAGAAACTGATTTTTTCCCCTCAATTACGGATGCAGGCAACAAACAATAGTTTTAGCAATACCTATGACTTTATCACGAAGAGAAATCACACATATTTTCACTTCACATTAGCTGAAGTTCTCAAAACAGTGTATATCCCATTCAGCATTTTCATAATACATTTCATAATTATACTTGCAGCTAAATTGTATTTAAAGTGATATATGATTTAAAAAAACATGCATCACAAATTTACTTTTTAAATATTTTGATAACTGTATTTCAAAATCAGTTTTCTTTGTAATCATATGCACTTAAATTTATTCACTTAAAATTGTTATTCTGGGCCAGGTGAGGTAGCTCACACCTGTAATCCCAGCACTTTGGGAGGAAGACACAGGCGGATCACTTGAGGTCAGGAGTTCGAGACCAGCCTGGCCAACATGGTGAGCCCATGTCTCTACCAAAAACACAAAAATTAGCCAGGCGTGGTGGTGTAAGCCTGCAGTCCCAGCTACTTCGGAGTCTGAGGCATGAGAATCACTTGAACCCAGGAGGCAGAGGTCGCAGTGAACCAAGACCACACCACTGCACTCCAGCCTGGTCAAGAGAGTGAGACTGTCTCAAAAAAATAAATAAATAAATAAATAAATAAATAAAATAAAAAAAAAATTATTCTGAAAAGCAGACCATGGGCTTCAGACTGAACAATGGTTCCAAGGCATAAAAAAGTTAAGAATCTCTGCTTGCTCAGAGGTACAGATCCCTCACTTGTTTACAACTATGTCATAATGAGGGGAATTAAAAGTTTAGTTTTTTTGCTTTGCCATAAAGCAAATTATAAAAAGATACACATCATTGATAATTTTCGACCTAACCTTATTATTTAATTTCTAAGTAATTTCCCCTAAGCACCAGCATAAAAATTATTCAAAATAACAACTGTAATCTCACACAGAGCATCCAATAACAAATGTTAACACTTACACATGTAAAACATACAGGCACACAGCAACTATAACAATGAAGCGAGACTGTGAAACATTTTATCAAGAAACTCAAGTGTTCATACACTTTAAAAACTTGGTTAAAAATGAGGTACTATTTACCATCTCTCTTTTGGAAAATTTTTTAAAATTTCTTTAATGATTGGCTGGTAACAGGCATCCCTTTCTGCTTTCCCAGTTTCACTCCAGTCTCTCACAAACTGTTTCAGCGTGGATTTTAACTTATCCATGTCAAATGTAGATGCTGGCATAATCTTTCCATTCCCCTGTTTAAAAAACAGACATCAATTAGCTTCTGAGAGAGTAATCCACTTATATTATGGTTAAATAGACATGCTACTAAGGGGCTATATAGGTGGTTTAGTGGATAAATCACTAGCCTCTCACCTCAACTGGGGTTCAAGTGCAGCTTGAGATCCTAAATGAAAAGAGTTTGGTGGTCTCACTGCTACCCTCAAAAGATTAAGGTCCATTAATCATAAAACCACCATATAATTAAGCAGTCTTTACTCAGGAGAGGACCAAACTGAGCTGCTATGGAGACCGAACATCCTCTCTAAGAGAGGGAAGAAAGTCCCTCCAGGTCATTGATGGGGCAGCATGGAGAGGCTCACACTGGAGTGGCCCAACTGTATCCATCCTGTGGATACAAAAAGAGGACTTCAGTTTCTATGTACTGCCAGTCCCTTGAGATTTATAAGTGAAAACAATTTCTTACAATAAAAGATGAACAGCAATAGATACAAGACACTGAAAAAATATGAGTTAAGCAAGGGAAATTAATTTCTAGCTAGTAAAGTTGCTTTTAAAAATTTAAGTCACTAACCCTGTATTCCAAAACAGAACATTATGTCAAAATGCATCAAAATCTCAACAGTTATATTAGTACTTAAAAAAGGAAAACAAGTGAACAGATCCAGTCTCTGGCTATTAAGCCTAATCAAATGACTGAACATTTAAGTTAAAACTTTCTGAGTAGAGCAAATAGCCTGTGCCAGATTATAAAAATGAAATCCAGAAAATAAAAGACCTCAAAATACAGAGGTTGACCCTAAAATAAACAGAAATAGAACAAACTTTCACATACATCTTCTCCATATTCTTTATTTTCAAACATATGTATGCAATCATTCACAATGGTCAGTAGTATTTCTTGATTATGATCAATGCATTTCCGGATCTTGTCCAAGTGAAGAAGAAACTGAGGAAGTAGTTTCTGTTGGTTAGCTGGAAGTGATCGAAACTGTCTTTCTGTTCGGTTCACCCGCTCATGCATACTGGTGCTAAAACATAAAAGGTGTTTTTTAAATTCACAAAAGAATTCTCACCAGAGGCCAATCTTACTTTAAGGTTGTCTTTCTGTACAATTATTTCCTTATTATGCTGGATACTGTCCTATCATTTACAATCTCTTGGCTTTAAAAAGGCATTAACTTATAAAGTTGTAAATGTTTTTACTTTATTACAAGTCCTTCTCTAAGCAACCAAAATACAAATGGTTTATCACTAGTAAAAGTAAACATATGCACCAATTAGAAGAGGAAAAAGAAGATTAATGTACAATTAATTTATTTTTGTGTTTTAAACTTAAAATTTTCAGCAAAACCAGCTTTAGATTTTTCCATCTTTAAGTAGCAAAATAAATACTGCTATGAAATTATAATACACACAAAATATGTCCTGAAATTAACTAAAAGCTAACCAGGTTGATTTTTTTTAAATATCATAGAAGATCTTATATACTACAAATTACTAAGCAAATAAAAAATTAAAATTCTATAGTGTTTTACTTAACAATACCCACAATTTGCATTCCAAAAACGAACCCAAAGGTCACTTTGGGGACTACTTATTCATAAAACCAGAAAATAGAACATAATTTTTACTTATATTTACTTATTATTATTATTTTTGAGAGGGATTTTCGCTCTTGTCGCCCAGGCTGGAATGCAGTGGCACAGTCTCGGCTCACTGCAACCTCTGTCTCCCAGGTTCAAGCCATCCTCCCACCTCAGCCTCCCAAGTAACTGGGACTACAGTCATGTGCCACCACACTTGGCTAATATTTTTGTATTTTTTTGTAGAGATGGGTTTCATCATGTTGCCCAGGCTGGTCTCAAACTCCGGGGCTCAAGCAATCTGCCTGCCCTGGTCGCCCAAAGTACTGGGATTACAGACATGAGCCACCATGCCTGGCCATAAGAACATCATTTTTTAAAGTTAAATATATACTCACAGTATATCATTTTTATATTGACAAGATGGCCAAAATTTAAAATCCTGACTATATCAAATTTTGGTGATTGGTGAAAATATGGTGTAATTAGGACATTTACACACTAATGGTAAGTGCATACATCAGCGCAACCACTTTGGAAAATTAAATTTAGAGCATTACCTAGTACAACTTAGCATGGTACTTGCCTTATGACCTAGCAATTATATCCTAGAAACTCTTGCAAATGGGCCCCATGAAACATGAACAATCTTTGTCATAGCACTGTTAGAGATAAGAAACAGGTGGGCGCAGTGGCTCATCCCTGTAATCCCTTGGCACTTTGGGAGGCCAATGTGGGCGGATCACTTGAGGTCAGAAGTTCAAGACCAGCCTGGCCAACACGGTGAAACCCCATCTCTACTAAAATATAAAAATTGGCTGGGCATGGTGGCGCCCACCAGTAATCCCAGCTACTTGGAAGGCTGAGGCAGGAGAATCGCTTGAACGCGGGAGGCAGAGGCTGCAGTGAGCCGAGATTGCACCACTGCGTTCCAGCCTGGGCGACAGAGTGAGACTCCATCTCATAAAAAAAAAAAAAAAAAAAAGGAATAAAATATCTGGAAACAACCCAAAGGTCTACTATCAGAAATTATCATATAGTTACTATAGAATGAAGAAATTACAGTATAGTTATACAGTGGAATGCAGCGAAATGAGTAAATTACAGCTCATACAATAATATGTGAAGACTAAACGCTGATCTTTTTTATATTTTCTCTC
Source organism: Homo sapiens (assembly GCF_000001405.40). Classification (NCBI taxonomy): domain Eukaryota; kingdom Metazoa; phylum Chordata; class Mammalia; order Primates; family Hominidae; genus Homo; species Homo sapiens. Next base: position 75,019,164 of record NC_000009.12, read on the forward strand.
TTCTCCAAGTTCTTCACTAAGAGGCCTGGGGAGTCATGCCTTACTAATTACGAAATCTCACTGGACAGGTTTTTATTAACCCTATATAATACGACTTACTTTCCAACCTGACTCTGGTATGGCATCTTATGACAAATAGCAGACTCAGAAGGAAATCAGAATATTTTACCCCAAAATATATTTGACATTTTGAAATGGCTGCCACATGGCCAACGGATTTCAATGGCCCCACAAAGCCATGTTTCCTAGGGGAAATATGCATCTGTCAAGAATCTCCATTAATGCAACCAGGCCTTCCTTTCTAGGCCTTTCCTGGATCCAGGAGAGATTAACTGAGAGCCTGATAACATTAAAGTCTAAAAAGTGACATTTAGTATCTCTTCCCTCTGAGGGCTGCTACCTAGGAGGCTTCAATTAACTTAACAAGAACCTTGGCCTTCACAAGCCCCTTAACTCAAGCATTCCTTTCTACTTACCATAGCTTACCTCTATCAACCAACTACCAGCTGAAGAATCCTTAAAACCCACCTATGACTTGTAACCCCCTCTTTAAGATGTCCTACCTTTTGAGTGAGATCAATGTATACCTTGCATGTAATTCCTGTATCTAAAATGTATAAAACCAAGCTGTAACCTGACCACCTGGGGTGCACTTTGTCAGGGTTGTTTGAGATCGTGTAACCACAGGCTGCAGTCACTATCATATTGGCCCAGAACAAACCTCTAAATATATTTTGGCAGAAATTGGTTACTCCCATCACCATCTGGATAACCTCAAGAACATATACATTTGTTGAAAACAATTGCAGTAAAATACATAATGTACAATTGCATTTCATAGAAAACTAAATATTATTTAGGGACTGAGCATATGTGGAAAAACTACACAGAAAGCAAAGAAGTAAAAATTCAGGTTAATGATTCTGAGGGTGAAAGAGACAGGATAATGTGTTTTAAAAACTAGGTGATTTATAAGTGTTCACTGTAATATTCCTTACATTTTATATCTATATATGTATGTGTATATGTTTAAATGTTCTTTGGTATTAATTCAATATTAAATGAAAATGGAAGTATTTTTCATTTTCTATTTCATTTTTCTTCTTTTTTTTTTTTTTTTTTGAGATGGAGTCTTGCTCTGTTGCCCAGGCTGGAATGCAGTAGCACGATCTCAGCTCACTGCAACCTCCCCCTCCCAGGTTCAAGCGACTCTCCTGCCTCAGCCTCCCGAGTAGCTGGGACTACAGGTGCGCGCCACCATGCCCAGCTGATTTTTGTATTTTTAGTAGAGACGGGGTTTCACCATACTGTCCAGGATGGTCTCGATCTCTTGACCTCGTGATCTGCCTGCCTCCGCCTTCCAAAGTGCTGGGATTATAGGCGTGAGCCACCGCACCCAGCCTTCATTTTCATTTTCAATTTCACTTTCATTTTCAATATCTTTGTCATTTGGTTTCTTAAATCTTCATTCATCCAAACAATTTTCTTATTTTTACCCTCTGCCAAATTATTCCAACTGCCAAACAGTAATGAACTTCAGAAGAAGCTCCTGACAAACAACCAAAAACCTGGCTGGTCGCGTTTTTACAAGCTTGTGTTTGGTGGCTTGGTGTGGGGGGCCCTTAGGGATAAGGTGAAGAGATCAAGTTGTCAGAAGCTCCACTGACATGCCCCTCTGGGGAGAGTATAATAATGAGCTTTGAAGTCAGAAAGATCAGGGATGAAATCCAGGTTATGACACCTATTTGCCACATGACACCAGGCAAATTACCGCCTTCCTTTGTCCAACTCTCTCATATACAGAAGCAAGATAAGAATGAACAATGATGATGATCATGGAAGCTGCCATTTGAGATTTAATAAATACCAGGGACTAAACCAAGTCAGTTAATACGGATTATTCTGAAAGATCTTCATAATTAGGTAGGTAGCATTACCTTCCTCTGCCTAGCAGACAGGGTTTCATTGGAAAAATAACGTACTCAAAAGATTTAGCCCAACAGCTGAAAACACAGCAAGCGCTCAAAATATATATACTATATATATACCTACTGTTCAATATACTATATAGAGTATATATACATAGTATATACATAGTATATATGTATATATACATAGTATATACATAGTATATATACTACTATATACATACCATATATATTATATATAGTATATATACTACTATACATACCATATATATTATATACATAGTATATATCTACTATATACAGTATATATACTATATACATACTATATATAGTATAAATAGTATATATAATATAAATAGTATATATAGGATAAATATATATACTATATATATATATCTACTGTTCAAAAAAGGAGTAGGTATATCTCATTTATATTACTAAAATGTTCAAAGCATGAACAATGTAGAAATTAGAAGTACTCAGGAAAGAAGGCCTAATAATTCCTCTTCTAGAGGGAACCACTTCTAACCTTTTGGCACATTTCCGTTTTGCTTAACACAAAGTTGCAGTGGCTCATGCCAGTAATCCCAGTATTTTGGGAGGCCAAGGTGGGAAGCCTGTTTGAGGCCAGGTGTTCAAAACCGGCCTGGGCAATATAGCAAGACCATCCTCTCTACAAAAAAATAAAAAAACAAAATGAGCCAGGCGTGGTGGTGCATGCCTGTAGTCTCACCTACTTGGGAGGCTGAGGTAGGAGAATTGCTTTAGCCCAGAAAGTCAAGGGGGCAGCGAGCTATGATTGTGTCACTGCACTACAGGCTGCGTAACAGAGCAAAAACCCTGTCTCCAAAAAAGAGAAGAAAAAAAAAAGTCATCTAGCATCTTACTTTTTTTAAGCTGAATACTGACAAATTATAATTGTCTATATTTGTGGGGTACAAAGTGGATGTTCATCATTCCATCTTAGGTAACCATCAGTGACTTAGCTATTTCCCAACTACTGGGCATTTAGACACTCACTTGTTTTTGTGATGAACATTTTGTGTTCAAAATCTGTCTATAATTTAGGAAAAAAATTAGCATAAACTCTCAAAACCAGAATTACCAGGTGAGAAGGAATACTTTTTTTTTTTTTTTTTTTTTTTTTTTGGAGATGGAGTCTCACTCTGTCACCTAGGCTGGAGTACAGTGGCATGATCTCAGCTCACTGCCAGCTCTGCCTCCCAGCTTCAAGCGCTTCTTCTGGTTCAGTCTCCCAAGTAGCTGGGACTACAGGTGCACACCACCATGCCCGGCTAATTTTTATATTTTTAGTAGAGATGGGGTTTCACCATGTTGGTCAGGCTGATCTTGAACTCCTGACCTGAAGTGATCTGCCAACCTTGGTCTCCAAAAATATTGGGATTATAGGCGTGAGCCCCTACACCTGGCCAGGAGTTAGTATTTTTAAGGCTCTTGATATAAAATGATGTGCAAAAAGACTCCATAAATTTACATTCCTAACAGCAGAGTATGACATTAAAGGAACTAAAATGGCCACATCAAGTTAGGCAAACAGCAGAGCTTCAACAGTTGAACAGCCTCACAGAGCTTTCTTCCTAGTGTTTACTCCCGGGCTCTGGATGCCCCACAACTTCCCTCTCACCATACTCAAAACTCATATCCAAAGTGAACTTAGCACATGCCCCACAAAAACCTGCCCTCCTTCCTTCATGGCTAAGATTAACAAATGCACCCAAGTTAGAAATTAAAGGAGTCATCAGCCGGGCATGGTGGCTCACGCCTGTAATCCCAGCACTTTGAGAGGCTGAGGTGGGCAGATCACTTCAGGTCAGGAGTTCGAGATCAAGAACATCCTGGCTAACACAGTGAAACCCTGTCTCTACTAAAAATACAAAAAATTAGCCAGGCATGGTGGCATGCGCCTGTAATCCCAGCTACTTGGGAGGCTGAGGCAGGAGAATCGCTTGAACCTGGGAGGCAGAGGTTGCAGTGAGTTGAGATTGTGCCACTGCACTCCAGCCTGGGTGACAGAGCAAGACTCAAAAAAAAAAAAAAAAAAGAAAAAGAAATTAAGGAGTCATCCTAAATGCCTCTTCTCCTAGTCCCACAATCAATAAACCCAGGATACTTTTCAATTCTACTTCCTAACTCCTCCCCTGCCCTTCCTGCCCCACCTCTAATCAGAAGAATTATTCTAAAACACAAGTGTCATCTTGGTCATTATTCAATATCTCCGTATTTCAGCATATGTAAAAAGCAATAAATGTTCAGTTATATTCCCACGGGTGCCACTTTTGGTTTTCCATGGAGACTACTTATCACCAAGTAATATCAAGGTTGCAAGGGTGAGTTGAGATAAGTTATAGATTGGTTACAAGAGCTGTCAATTTTTGATACAGAAGTAACTACACAGAGCAGGATGAGATCCTTAAACCCCTGGTTACTTAATGGTGTGCAAAGCTGCCATAACATACATCCACCAGTGACTCTTAAAATAGGTGGGATCTTACTAAAGTTGAGAATATAGTCCAATCCTTATTATACCCTTATAACTGGGGCTAACTTCACTATCCTGCACATGCTTACGCTATCAGAATTGCTTTAAGGCAGGGGCCCATTGGCTACCTGGTTTTTGTACAGTCTTATTGGTACAAAGCCACACTATTTGATTACACAAAGCCTAAGGCTCCTTCCATTCAAGGGCAGAGTTGATGAGTTGTAACAAGAGACCACTTGGCCTTCAGAGCTTAAAATATTTACTGCCTGGCCCTTTTAAGAAACTCTGCCAAACCTGCTTTGAAGGAGTATTTTACAAAAATCAGACTCTCCTTGGTTCTGAACTAAGTCAGCATCAGGAGGTGACATCCTCTTGCTGATAAGAGGAGAAAGTAAACTTAGTAGCCATTTTTCCCCAATGGTGGTATCTCTACCTCTAACTCTCTCTAGAAACCTGGTGTCAGCAGTGACCTCAACTCTGATTTAGTCACCTGTCATCAGGGTGAGCCCACACCAGGTCTGATCTAAAGGCCATGGTCACAGGCCCATTCCTCTGCACCTAGTTGAACTACTCTAGGAAATCCAAATAGAAAAAACATAACTTGTCAGAAACAAAGCCTGGCCTGTCTTGATTCATTTTAAATCTTTATTAAATACCTAACATTAAATTTGTGTTACTAGTATAACTCCTCATTAATGCACAGTAAAATTTTAGGTAACGATTTTGGATTTTAGGTCAGATTCTACCACAACTGGATTGTGTAACCCTGAGCAAGTTGCTTACCGCTTTGTGTCTATCCACATCCTCACCTGTAAAAATCAGTTCTAAATCTCAATATTAAAAAATCTCACCCCGTTATTTCTAAAAGTAAGAAGTTTCTGAAAAGACTTTCAGCTTTTCAACTCTAGTGTTTTCTATGTGCTGAGGTGCTTCATTCGTAACAAGACTGGGTTATAAAACTAACATTTTTGCTATTCAATACAAATGAGCTATATCCATTTTTACCTTAATGAGAATGTCATCTAAGCAAAATCTGTGGGAATCACAAAATTGAAACCCATTAGAAAGAGAAAATATTAATCAAAAGACATTCCTTGCTTTATGACCTTTTATCTAAATCTCCTACGTATTAACTAAAAGACATTTTGCAGTAAAATTGAACCCTGCAAAATCTGGACGTACAGCTGACCCTTGAACAATACTTGGGTTGGGGCACCAACCCCCTGTGCAGTCGAAAACCCACACCTAACTTTGATTCACCAAAAACTTAACTACTAATAGCCTACTACTGACCGAAAGCCGTACCAATAACATAAACAACTGACAGATATGTTGTATGTTAATATATTACGTACTATATTCTTACAATAAAGCTAAGAAAATATTAAGAAAGTCGTAGGAAAGGGAAAATACATTTACACTACTGCACTGCATTTATCAATACTATAAGTTTACATAATTTGATTACAAGATGAATCCTCTGTCTGAAATGGGGTTGGGGGGCAACCTCCAACTGCAGACCTCTATCTACAGTACATATCAAACAAATCAACTTTTTCTTGTAATGTCTTTTTTCTCTGCTTCTTGGGAGCACCTGCAGCATCACCAGTGGCACGTCATATGGGACCCATGGTGTTATTTAAGGTTTATGGTATTGCATTAAATTTGATGAAATCTGTTTACTGCTATATGCAATTTACTTGACAGACAAAAGCAGAGTGATTATTTTAAGAAGATACTGGTAACATCTGAGCTTACTGCAAAAGCAACAGGAAGTGGCTACAAAATTATTACAGTAGTACAGTATCTACTACAGATAATTTTATGCAACTAAGATTTAATGCTACATCTTTGCTTGTTTACATTTATCTCAATTGCAAATAGCTCCATGTAAGATCTGTGTTTGTGTAAGTTTTGATAAATTTTAACTTTTTATAATAGATTTGTGTATATTTTATGGTAGTAAATGATAAACTAGTATCTACACATATGCATTCATGGCATAATTTTTTCTTAATTTTTTCACTATTTCTAGGCTATGCAAGTTTGCTAAGTTTTTCAAATTGTTGCAAATGTCAAAACAATTTTCCAATATGTTTATTTCAAAAAATTTGTGTATAAGTGGACCCGTGCAGTTCAGATCCATATTGTTTAAGGGTCAACTGTACTTGCTAAATGTGTAGAACCGGATTGTCCATCACAACCTACTTCGATAATGGAAAAGCTTTTATTTGCACTGTCCAGTACAGCAGACTCTAGCCACATGTAGCTATTGAGCACCTGAAATATGGGTAGTGAAACTGAGCAACTAAATTTTAAAGCTTATTAAATACTAATTAATTTTAGCTTAAATTTATCCAGATATGATTAGTGGCTACAGTTTAAGTCTAGAAGATCACAAAATATTAGAATGTAACAATCCACTGTTCTCTGCTACATAAACTTTCTGTACCCCTAGGCTTTAAGTGACATTTTAAAAAGCATATTTTTGATGTTATACTATTTTCAGCCCAAGTATTTGAAGTGTTTCAAGAGAGTATATACAAATAAAAACTGTTTTTTTTAAAAAATGAAATGTCCTGAATCCAACATTACGCTGGTAAAGAAGAGAGTATAGGAAATAGTATCACAACCACTAGAATATTCACACAAGATCTCTTCTCTATATTGCCACACTTCAGTTCCTGATCAACCCCTACCCCAACAAAGTCCCATCCCATACTTACCCATAAATATCAATTTTAAATTGGTCCTAATATATTAAAAGTAAGTACAACTACGCACTTAACTAAATGGGTCCACCATATTCCCAAGACATTTCCCAATATTCTTTCTAGATTTTTCAAGAGCAAAATGTACCAGACTTTTCTGTATCTCCCACTCTTAGCTATCTGATGTTAGCTGCCTTTCCTAACTTTATGGTTCTTTCCGTCACAATTCCTGCATCAAATTCAATTCTCTGATGGTCTGACGCCTTGCTCCCTCTGTTACTACTAAACCTGGAGAAATAAAATATCCAAACTTCTCTTTTGGGCTCCGTAAAGTAATGCTGTCCCTGGTCCCTATTTCTGGGTTTAATCAGTAAATTATTTCATCAAGATCTTCGAAGTTCAAAAGTTCCTATCACATATACAATCAGATTCCAAATAACTTTAAGCTTTCACTAAGCAAGCTTCTAAATTCAGACTAGTAAACTAATTTAACTATCAGTCAAAAACTTGACAGACTATTTGGGAATGAGAAATGTATTTCTTTGCTACTATTTGTTTTGTTAAAAATAGAGCTTAAACAACATATGCCAAGCACTAGTGACATAAAAATAAAAAAGACTCAGCCCCTGCCCTTGAGGAGGTCACAGCAAAGCAAGAGATTTATAAAAACAACTATAATACATAAGATGAACAATATAAAAAAACTTTGCATAAAGCACAGCAGGAACCCACCTATGGGAACAGGTTTACCTGCGTAGGAGGTCATGTCTGTCTGATTCCAACTGCAGCCTCAGAACATAGTCACCGGTGGACTCATATCTCTTACGTGAATAAAAGTGTTATCTTCACCTGAAAATCCAGTTGATTTAAGTCCCTTTCAGCTCTTGGAATTATAATTTTGTGATTAAGCTACTTTAACATCTATCTAGAAGAAACGTGGAAGTTAGGGAGCTGTTTTTATGAATGAGGAGCATAAAGGTCCTACCACAGTGCCTAGCACACCAGGGAGAATTAGATACAGATTTGCAGAAAAAAAGAACGTAAAGGCAGCTCTTATTGTGACTTCTCTCATCTCTCCTAATAATTAGCAAATTTTAGAATATCCGGACCACTTCCGCCCTTAATCACCCACCAGTTAAAGACACTGAGCAGCATCATTCAATCGCTCACACAAAAGTGCAAGTGCGTTCACAGCGCCAAAGAGGGGTGGGTGGAAATCTTAAACTGCTCTTACAAGCACTGGTAACAGTTTGGGAAAATACGTCCTACAGCATCCCACGCGTAGGTGAACTTGGGCTCTCCGTGTGTTCAGTTTGGAGGACATCGACCACACACACCAATCAGCCCAGCAGTGGACGATTGTACCACCATCGTCTTCTATCTGAAATTGTTACAGCGCTTCTCTGGTCACCCCCATCGGCCTCAAAGCCAAACCTTTACGAGGACGGAGGCAGGAGAGCTAATCTGATCCTGAGGTCAGAAGACACGAGGCTGTGCAGCAGACGGCGCGGCGGACACGCGGGTGTGCAGGGCCGGGAGGGGCTGGGGTGGTGCGAGGTGACTCGGGGCCCGGAGGTCAGCTGCAGCAGCCGGGTCCCGACGCCTCGGAGGCGTGGCGGCGGGACGGCGAGCGCCCCCGTTCCGGCGGGTCCGCCGCCACCAGTGGGCGCCCCGACGGTCTGGGCCGGGGTCCGCCACGGGCTCCTTACCCGTAGTAGCGGAAGGCATTAATGATCTTCCAGAAGTGCTCACGCTCAAGCCTCTCCTCCTCCTCCTCGGTGCTGCGCGTGGCCGCCGCCGCTGCCGCCGAAACCGCCGCGGCCGAGCCCCAACGCCCGGCGGAAAACTGCACTTCCACCTCCTCGCTGCCACCGCCTCCTCCCCCGCAGCCCTCGGGCAGCCGGGAGGTGGGCGGCGGAGGGCGACGCCGTCGCTGCATCGCCGCCGCGGCCCTCGGCCTGGCTCGCTTGCGTCTCTCCGCGACCGACAGCGTGGTGGCGGCTGCTTGGCCTTCCTCTAGACGGCGCCCGCCGCGGACATGCCCCCAGCTCGCGGCGCGCTCCGCCCCCGCCACCCTCAGGCCTCCATCCGCGCTGGGCTCCGCCAGGTCTTCAGGGCTCCCAGAACCAATGCGCATGCGTGTGCCTTGGTACGCGGAGGGCCCGTGCGGTCTGCGCTCATTTGCTGCCGGGCTTCGGAGACAGCGCGCTGACGTCACAACCACGCTTCCAAGGGCGGGGCCAAGGCCCCTTGGTGGGAGGCGGAGGAGGAGCTCGTAGGTGGGGTGGGACTGGCACTGCCGTTACCTGTGCGCGGCCGCGTGGGTGGGACTTAAAAGCCGGCGAGTGCCGGATTGTTGAGCTGGAGGCTGAACGCGGTCCCAGGCACTAGCAAAGAAGGGAAAGGCAAAAAGGAAAAGTTCGGCTTTGATGATTTTATTCGGAATTTTTATTTCAGAAAGTCTAGAAGGAACGTCTTGTATCCACCCTAATTTAAGTTTTAATTCACTTCCTAAATGAATTCCTATTTTTAATTACTTAAGGGGGTCGGAAGTGGGCGCCATCATCTTTTCACTTTTTTTTTTTTCCCCACTCTGTCGCCCAGGCTGGAGTGCAGTGGTGCGATCTCGGCTCATTGCAACCTCTGCTTCCTGGGTTCAAGCGATTCTCCTGCTTCTGCCTCCCGAGTGGCTGGGATTACAGGCGCGCGCCACCACGCCCGGCTAATTTTAGTATTTTTAGTAGAGATGGGGTTTCACCATGTTGGCCAGGCTGGTCTGGAATTCCTGGCCTCAGGCGATCCACCCTCCTCGGCCTCCCAAATTGCTGGGATTACAGGCGTGAGCCATCGCGCCCGTCCCATCTTTCCAGTCTTTAGGGGCTTGCGGCAGTCCTAATTCCTCCTTTACTGAGGATGGCAACAGATGAGGAAAATGCAAGGACCTTCTATCCAGCACCTGGTCTTGGGAAGACCATTACACCTACCAGCATCTAAGGGTGGCTCTTGGGAAATAACTTATTCTGGGGCCGGGCGCGGTGAATCACGCTTGTAATCCCAGCACTTTGGAAGGCCTAGGTGGGCGGATGACGAGGTCAGGAGATCAAGACCATCCTGGCTTACATGGTGAAACCCCGTCTCTACTAAAAACACAAAAAATTAGCCGGGCTTGGTGGCTGGCGCCTGTAGTCGCAGCTGCTCTGGAGACTGAGGCAGGAGAATGGCGTGAACCCGGGAGGCGGAGCTTGCAGTGAGCCGAGATCGTGCCATCCAGCCTGGGCGACAGAGCGAGACAGCGTCTCAAAAAAAAAAAAAAAAGAAAAGAAAAAGAAATAACTTATTCTGTTCAATTTAATCCACCACCCAGCAAATGAGTCTTACAAAGTAATGATAAAAGGGAAAGATTGCTTTATTCGAGGGGTTAAATATGCCCAGTGACCACAAAGTCTGTTAAAAAGTTACAACCATATTGAAAGTGAAGTGGCTTCATATTTTCATAATTTAAATTAATAGTTGAAATAAAGGTAATGCTTAAAATGACAACATTTTTATATAAAAGTTTTCTAAAACGTGAGTCTATTAATAGTAATGCAGTAATACATGTTTCAAAATTCAAAAAGAAAGTGCAAAGGATTACAAATATGAATTGGAGACAGTCTCGCTCTGCTGCCCAGGCTGGAGTGCAGTGGCACGATCTCAGCTCACTGCAACCTCCCGGCCTTCCAGGCTCAAGCGATTCTCCTGCCTCAGCATCCCGAGTAGCTGGGATTACAGGCATGCGCCACCACACCTGGCTAATTTTTTGTATTTGAAAATACTAAAGTAGAGACGGGATTTCACCATGTTGCGCAGGTTAGTCTCCCTGAACTCAGGCAATCCACCTGCCTGGGCCTCCCAAAGTGCTGGGATTACAGGCGTGAGCCGCCACGCTCGGCCAAGTGTGAATAATTGTTTTACCTGTCCCTAGCCAGCTATGTTCCTCTCCAGACACAATATACCAATTCCTTGCCCATTCTTCCAGATTTTCTATCTAATGTCTATTTTTCCAAACACTAATTGTTCGGAAGTTATGTATAAACACTCATAGTAGTAGCTGTTTCTAATACTGTTCTCATGTACACATGCACAGAAGTTTTACATGTTGTAATTCATTAAATGTATTGATATAGGTCTGAATGACCTAATTGATAAAGGCCAGAATGTCATGGATAAAGATAATCAGCTCCATACTTTGAAATATCCTCGGAGGTAGAATAAACATTTTCAAATTAAAGTTATGTGCAGAGGCTTCCTTGACTCTGTCTCCTAACTTGGTGAGTCTTAGAGTCTGTGTCATGAAGGTGCTCAGCTTTAAACTCAGTTGTGATCTTACAGGTGAGGAAACCAGGGAATCAGAGATATTAAGTGATCTTCATACACCCACCCTCCTCTCATACCTATATTTATCAATATTTGTTTATGACTGTGACTGTACTTTTTAAATATTATGCTAGCTAACATTTGTTTAATTAATATTTTTCAAATTGTTTTCCCAGTTTATCACCTTATTTGTCCCTTAGCTCTGTGAACTAGATGTCATTATTATCTTGCTATAAGAAATGAAGAAATAGACTCAAAGAAATTAATTTTCCTGCCCAGGGACACATAAATAGCAGAGCTGAAGTTAAGTCACTCATTCATTTATTCTTTTTTTTTTTCAACAAACATGTTGATTGCCTTCTATGTTTCTTTGCCCTGAGCTGAAGGCAGCAGAAGCTACAAGTATGGGCCTCTCACTCTCACTTCACCACCTAGTAATTCCATAACCTGTATGAAACATTATGTAAAGCTTCAATTGCAATATTTCTTATATTTCTTTTTCTTTTCTTTCTTACTTTTTTTTGAGTGGGGTGGGGTACAGAGTCTGGCTCTGTCACCCAGGCTGGAGGGCAGTGATGTGATCATGGCTTACTGAAGCCTTGACCTCCTGGCCTTACGTGATCCTCCCACCTCAGCCTCCTGAGTAGCTGGGACAACAGGCATGCGCCACCACTCCTAGCTAATGTTTTTTTAAATTTTTAATAGAGATGAGGTCTCATTATTTTGCCCAGGCTGATCTTGAACTCCTGAGCTCAAGCGATATTTCTGCCTTGGCCTCCAAAGTACTAGGATTACAGGCATGGGCCACCAAGCTCGGCAATTGTAATATTTATGAAATAGACATATTACCCTTTTTACAGGGTCATTGGGAGGAATACATGAGATAAAGACTGAAAAATGCCTGGTATATAGGCTCAATAAATCTTAGTTACCTTCCCTACTCTCAGTTGTCTTTAGAATAAAGTTTTAGCCTTGTTTTAAAACACTTTTCTTAGGACTTCTTTGACTTAACTTCTTTGCAGTGAGTTTCTTCCACTGATATCTTCCCAAACCATAGAGTGATTTGAGCTGAAAGATTTGGAATGTTTTTATCAGAAGGAGACCAATTAATCTCCAGGAATTAATAAGTAAAAAGCACCATCGTGCTTTTGTTAGTTATTCTGAAGAACTGTTGGTTAAGCACTTAAACTGCTTACATACATTTGCACACTGCTGCTGGAAATGTAACACGGTGCAGCCACTCTGGAAAAGAGTGCAAAGCAGGTTTGCTGTGCACTGGTTACCAACTGAGTCTGGTGAGACAGAACACCCATGTGTACAAGTTACATGAAGTGAATTTATTATTTACAGCTAGGCAACAAGGGAAAACCGAAGCATAGGATTCACTGTGAGCCAATCTCCCGAGACTCAGGAAAGTTGCCCCGGAAGGATGGAGTCTCATTTGTGTGTACCCCATTTGTACCACAGCTGAGTGACCCTGGAAAGCAGACCATCTTGGGTTTTATATTCTGGAGGCAACATGACATGTTGGGCTAAAATGATGAAGGACATCCTGTTTCTAGGAGGGACTGGAACAGAGCCTGGGCTGTTTCAGCCAGTCCCTCCTTATCTCAGGATATTGCATTCCTAGCACATTCTACAGTTATTCTTGAGAACTATTAATACAAGTGAGAAACTGGGGAGAAGTTGATCAGTCCAAGGCCACTGGGAACTGTCATGCAAAGAGTATAGTGATTTTTTTTTACAAAACTGAACGTGCACTTACCATACAACCCAGCAATTACGCTCTTAGACATTTATCTCAGATAAATGAAAACATGTACACACAAAAACCTGTACATAAAAGTTCATAGCAGCTTTATTTGTAAAAGCCAGAAATTGAAAACAACCCAAATGTCCTTCAGCAGATGAATGGTTAAACAAACTGTAGCTACTCAGCAATACAAAGTAATGAACTCTTGATATATGTAATAATTTGGAAGAATCTCAAAGGGATTATGCTGAATGGAAAAAAGGGCAATCTCAAAGGGTTACATACTGTATGATTGTATTTATTTTACTTTATTTTTTTTTTTTTTAGAGACAGGGTCTCACTGTTTCACCCAGGCTGAAATGCAGTGGTGTGACAGTGGCCCAGTGCAGTCTTGAGCTCCTGGTTCAAGCGATGTTCCTGCCTCAGCCTCTGTGAGTAGCTGGGACTACAGATGTGCACCACCACACCTGGCTGATTTTTTTTTTCTTTTGTGAGACGGGCCCTTGCTTGGTTGCCCAGGCTTGTTTTGAACTCCTGGCTTCAAGTAATACGATTACATTTATGTAGCATTTTCAAAATGACAAAATTATAGGGATGGAGAACAGATGATTAGTCGCTTGGGGTTGGCGGTGGTGGGGAGTAAGGGCGGTGTCTATGTTTATGAAAGGGTAGCTCAAGGGAAACTTGTAGTAGAACTGTCCTGTATGTTGACTATAGCAGTGGTCACACAAATCTACACACGAGATACAATTGCATAAAAATTAGGGCGTTTCTCTCAGCCTACTTTGGCTCAGGAGACCGCCCCACAAAATATAAAATAAAATTTAAAAATTAATATACACACCAACCCACACGCAAATGAATACCACTCACAAATTCATCCATCTGGTGAATTTCAGATAAGGTCCATTAATTATATCAATGTTAACTCACCAAACTCCATGCTCTATTGTCTGAACCAGGAAGACTCAACTTGTTTTCCCAGTCATACCAACGAAGTTACTCCCTCATTATTTTCAAGGATGTTTCATAATCAATAAATGTTTGTAAATAAGGGCTTTGAAATGTGCAAGTCTTCTCATCTATTAATCCTAAGTATATATACATATTTTTAAACATTAACGTTTAGCAGCTACTAAATATATTTTTATTAGCCTCACATTTCCCAGCTAAATGCCTCATTGAAAGTTTGTAATATATATTATGTTGGTTTTAACTGACCTTTTAACTGCCTTGCCTAGTAGACTGTATGTCTGAGGGCAGAAGGCATATCTGTTTTGTTCATGCCTGTATCCCCAGCATCTAACAAAGTGAGATTTTTCTATAACCACTTTTTGAAATGAATAAATGAATTTACAAGTGCCAGACACTGCACTAAACCCTGTAATATATCATTACATATAACTTAATACAATAGTATCATCTTTTTTGTTTTTTGTTTGTTTTTAAACAAGGACTTGCTGTGTTGCCCAGGTTGGAATAGCTGGGACCCCCCCGACACACACTTTTTAAAAAACCAGTGAGCACACTATAATTAAGTACCTTGCTCAAAGTCATACAGCTGTTAATAAGTAAAGCCTCAATTTGAAAGCAAGCCCAGGAAATGATTAACCACTGGATCTACTGCCTCTGCTGAAGTTTGTCTTGTCTATCTTTAAATAAGTTTCATGAAGTTGTTTTACTTTTGGAAATCTTATTAATTTGTAAATAATTGTTTGCAGTGATTTAGCATTTTAGTTGGGTAAGAAAATATATATTTTGCTGACCAAAACTGAAAGACTAGATTGCCCACAGAGTATGTTTATAGAGAAAATAAACAATTTCTTATGCTTTATGTTAAAAATCTGGTTTATATATCAACAATGACTCAAACTACTGTTGAGCTAAAACCTCAAGGAAAAAGGCAAAGGCAAGTAGGGGCTTTTTTCACTTAATACAAGGGCTCCCTTATAATTCTCATCGTCATTCTAGGATTTATTATTTTTACTCTTGGGATTCCTCTATTAATTCTGTTCTTTATGCAAAACCTTTGCATAGAGTTCTAAGTCTTTGACTTAGATCTAGCTAGTTTTGTCTTTGTATTCTTTGTTCTAGTCCCTGGATCCACATGAAGGATATTATAATTTGCTCTTAAAATAATAAGAATGCTCTCCACTATGGAGCTAGGGATATGATTCCTGTAAATGGTCACTTTGTGCCTTTGGTGAGTTTTTTTATTTAAATATTTTGTACGATAATTAAATTGTTTTTTGTCTTATTACTCCTGGTAACTCACAGAACACCTTTAGTGAATTTTTATATTCTTTCTTAATCACAGGAACCAGAACCCAGTTGCAGTGTTTGTATGCACATAGTTTTAATGCTCTCAATGGTTATTCTCAAACTTGGAATGAAAATTCTATTATTGTTGTTAATTTTTGAGGGGGTGGTTAAAAAGTGAAGTGAAATGGATTTTGTGTAACTGATTAGTGCTAAGTTAGTTTACAGAAAAACATCACAGGGTATGTACTGCTAGGAATAAGTCTCTCTTTCTAGGGATCCTATAATGGTCCCTACAAAGATATCTTCCCATCCCATAACCTTTAAATCTTTTTGTTGCTGTTGGGGAACATTTCAAGTTAAAAGAATACACTGAACTGACGTTATTCAATGCTTTCTCATGCATGCTTAGGGTATTAGCCAAACAACTGCACCCAAATAAAACATTTTGGGAAGATATGTATGTATGTATGTATATATGTATATATGTATTTATGTATGTATTTGAGACCAGGTCTTGCTCTGTTGCCCAGCCTGGAGTGCAGTGGCATGAATATGGCTCATTGCAGCCTTTACCTCCTGGGTTCAAGCCATCCTCCAGCCTCAGCCTCCCAAGTAGCTGGGACCACAGGCATGCAACATGATGCCCTGCTAATTGTATTTATTTTTTGTAGAGGCAAGGTCTCACTATGTTGCCCAGGCTGGTCTCCAATTCCTGGACTCAAGTGATCCTCCCATCTTAGCCTCCCAAAATGCTGAGATTAAAGGTGTGAGCCACTGTGCTTGGCTGAATTATGTATTTATTACTTCCCCAAGAAGCATCAAAATAGTAATCATGGGGGGAAATATCAGAATTTGGTTGGACTTCCTCATATTTATCTTACAGATTATTTTTGTTATTTTAAGTTACTTTTAGTGGCAAAGATGGGAGTACCACAGGATGTTCAGAGCAAAAGATTTGTGTTTTGTCTGAGACCCTCACACAAGTAAGAAAGATACTTTCTACTTCCACCTTCACTGCAAAGCCAGTCTCCAAGATCTTGGCCTGTTTTTATCATCTGGCCCTGATGTTTTCTGAAATTATTAATAAAGGGTAAGATTGGGCTATCGTATTTGAATTAGCAGAATCACTCTAACACCCTATCGTGACTCCTGTCTCTCCATTTAAAATCCTTTCAGTCTCTGGAAGGTTCCCCTCTACCCAACGCTTAATGGGTGATACCTGCAGTCCACATTTGCTACTCAAAAGTATGGACCAGCTCATTTATATCTCCTGGGATACTGTTAGGAATGCAGTATCTCAGACCTCACCTACTGAATCTGAATCTGCATTTAAACAAGATCCCCAAGTGATTCACAGGCATGTTAAAGTTTTGAAAAGCACTGCTCCAGAAACAAAACAGAACATATACATCTCAATCCTTTTACTGATAGATTAAACCCTCATATGGGCCAGGCGCGGTGGCTCACGACTGTAATCCCAGAACTTTGGGAGGCCGAGGTGGGCGGATCACGAGGTCAGATGGAGACCATCCTGGCTAACACAGTGAAACCCCGTCTCTACTAAAAATAGAAAAAAAAATTAGCCAGGCATGGTGGCAGGTACCCATAGTCCCAGCTACTCAGGAGGCTAAGGCAGAAGAATGGCGTGAGCCCGGGAGGCGGAGCTTGCAGTGAGCCGAGATCGCGCCACTGCACTCCAGCCTGGGTGACAGACCGAGACTCCGTCTCAAAAAAAAAAAAAAAAAAAAAAAAAGGTGGGCTGGGCACAGTGTCTCACACCTGTAATCCTAGCACTTTGGAAGTCTGAGGTGGGAGGATTGCTCGGGGTCAGCAGTTTGAGACCAGCCTGGGCAACATGCAAGAAATTAAAAAATTAGCCCTAACTACTCTGGAGGCTTGAGGCAGGAGGATTACCTGAGCCCAAGAGTTCAAGGGTGCAGTGAGCTATGATTGTACTGCTGCACTCCAACCTAGGCAACAGAGAGAGACCCTGTCTTTAATAAAAAATTTAAAAATGAAAGAAGAAAGGCGAACAGTGGGGTAGAGATGGGAGAGTTTGCTTCTAAGAAGACAAGTGAAAATAACTTTATCTTCATGTTTAAACAGAAAAAAACCCAACTAAATCTTCTTCAAGGAATGCATTCTCTCTGATTTAATATATACCCACACTATAAACATAACTAACTAAATACGTGTATTTAATTAATGTTTGGCTTCAGTTTACTTTATTGTGTTCTATGCTGTATGCCAAACGAAATGCTAGTGTGTGCTTTACTTGCTAATCAATACGCTTACATAAAAATTATTTGGGGCAGGGCTTGGCATAGTACAGTCATTGGGCCAACACTTTTTAACTAATCTGCCAGCCTCCAGACTTTCCTCCAGTGCCACTAGATATAGAGTGACTTCAGATTATTCTTTTTTCAATAAATAACTTTTTTTTGTCCAATGGGAATTGATTATGTTACTCTTCTGATTCAAATCCCTCAATGGTGTTCCACTATTTATTGGACAGAGTCTTACGTTCCCTCACATAACATACAATGTCCTTCCCATGTGGGCCACGGGCCATCTTTCCAGTCAATCCCATGACTTCCCTCTCAACCCCTTACCTTATCATCCCCGAAAGAGTCACTCCTTCCTCAGTTACTAAGTTTCTCACACTGCTAAAATATCTGGTTTCCCAGTAGAATGTGAACTCATTTAAGGCATAGGTTGTCCCTGTTCATAGCACTGTCCCTTGCACAGTGAGGGCAATCTGTAAACCTACAATGAACATATATAGAGCAGGCATTGACAAACTTCTATAACAGGGATCCCTAACCCCCAGGCTATGGACCAATATCATTCGGTGGCCTGTTAGGAAATAGGCCACACAGGAGGTAAGTGGCAGGCAAGCAAGTGAAGCTTCATCTGAATTTACAGCCACTTCTCATCGTTCACATTGCCTCCTGAGCTCCACCTCCTCTCAGATCAGCTTTGGCATTACATTCTCATAGGAGCATGGACCCTATTGTGTACTGCGCATGTGAGGGATCTAGGTTGTGTGCTCCTTATGAGAATCTAATGCCTGATGATCTGCCATTGTCTCCCATCACCCCCAGATGGGACTGTCTAGTTGCAGGAAAACAAGCTCAGGGCTCCCATTGATTCCACATTATGGTGAGCTGTATAATTATTTCATTATATATTACAATGTAATAATAATAGAAAGGAAGTGCACAATAAATGTAATGCACTTGAATCATCCCAAAACCATCCCTCTGCAACCCGGGGTCCGTGGAAAAATTGTCTTTCACGAAACAAGTCCCTGATGCCAAAAACTTGGTAACCACTGTTCTACAGAGAATCAGTGCACAAATATTTTCAGCTTTGCAGGCCATGAGACCCTTACAACTACTCAAATCTGCTGTTATAGCATGCAAACAATCACAAAGAACACAAAAAGGAGTGATGTGACTGCGTTTCAACAAAAGTTTTTTTTTTTTTTAGATAGGGTCTCACTGTGTTACCCAGGCTGGAGTACAATGGCGTGACACTGGCTTACTGGAGCCTCAACCTCCCAGGCCCCGGCAATCCTCTTACTCAGCCTCCTGAGTAGCAGGGACCACAGGCATGCACCACCATGCCCAGCTAATTTTGCGTATTTTTTATAAAGATGAGGTTTTGCCAGGTTGCCAAGGTTGGTCTTGAACTCCTAGACTCAAGTGATCTGCTTGCCTCTGCCTCCCAAAGTGCTGGAATTACAGGCATGAGCCATAGTGCCCGGCCAATAAAACTTAAAACACAAAACAAAACAGGTGACTGATTGAATTTGGCCAATAGGACATAATTTGCTGACCCTAACATAGATGAATAAATGTTGACAGTAAACATGAATGCTACTGTAAATGACTTTCTCCTGTTTTCCCATACCACCTTGAGGCCTTTCTAGGCCTCAAATTTCATGTCTAGGTCATTCATTACTAACATATCTGCCAGATGATAGTTCCCCAGTGTCTGGGCCTATTGGCCCTTCCCCTCGCTCTTTCAAAAAAAAGTCTAAGTAGGAGAGTATGCAACCAAGAGCCATAGCAGGATATTTCCCACATACCAGAGAGTCTGAAAGTTCACCCTAAATTTTATAGTGTAGGAACCCACCTATGGACCCCTATGTGGGTTGAATAATTTCTCTTCTTCTGAACGTCAATTAGTTAAAACTCTGGATTTAAAATGTAAAACCTTGAAGCTGGAACCATAACTAGGAATGTGTCAGGATTTTATCTTCCGAAAATCTCTAGAAAAGTCAGTGTTTCTTGGTGTTGGTGGAGGGGGGTGGGCAGTGATATTTCTTTCTCATGTTTGAGGCTTCCACAGAAAGGGAGTTCAGTCAAGCGACAGTCCTTGGCTTCCTCTATTCTTTACTCATCCTGTTTGGGAAAGGTAGAGCAACTCGTCTGATTGGTACATCTGGAAAGAATAAACTAGGCTTGCTTGGCTCAGCCCCTGACCTTATTTTTTCCTCCTAGGATTACATTTGCTTATATCAAGCACAATTTCTTCTCTGTTACTCATTCCATAAAATTCTTCCTAGTTGTCCTCATTTAGTACTGCCTATCATGATGTGAGTAAGCCTGACTATTTCTGGATAGAGTTAGGAGGCTCATTTTACTCTCACATTAACATATTTCTTCCAGTGTAGCTTTATTGCCTGTGATTGAGCAGACATTTTGGCCACCATCAGTTTCTTCTTCGTCTTATTGTTTAATCTCTTCTGAGCCCAGTGGGAAAGAGGGGAGTGTATAAAGATATCTTCTTATATTCAGTATTCTTGATTCCCTGGCATCTGCAGCCTCACTGGCCAGGGAGAGATTGACTCTTCCCAGACTAGCTAGTTCCTAGAGATAGTCAACAACTCCTCTCTGCCTTTCATTGGCAAATTGAACAGTCCAGAACTCATATCCCCCAACCACCTCCTTTATCGAACTCTTATACACAAGCCAACTTTCCCCTGCCCTAATCAACCTAGGGTCAGGTACCACGCAACTCAGGACAGTCCCTACACCCCAGAGACAGCTGAAATTATTAAAACTAAGCAATCCTACATCTTCCTTGCCTTGCCTTTTTTCTTGCCTTGCTCCTTCCTTGCCTTGCCCCTCCCCTCTCCTTCCCTCCCTTCCCTTCCCTTCCTCTTCCCTCTCTTCCCCTTCCCTTCCCTCTCCTCCCTTGCCCTCCCCTCCCCTTCTCTTTCCTGTAGAAATGATGATAAAGGCTCATGCCCATGGTTTCCTCTTGCTTCTTCTGCCTCCTGACCGACACTGGTGCTTCCCCGTGTGGCCCTGTGTGGCTTGTTGTGCCCCTTCCCTCTTGGGAACTGTGAGTCACAAGCTGTCTCTTCATTGGCAGTCATCTCATCATCTGCTGGCCTCACCATACCTAAATAATAACATCTACATTTTAAAACAAACAGTTGTTACTGGGCCCCTCCAAAGGCCCAACAAATATCATTTTTCCCTTCGTTCCTGATGTGTTTCTTTTGAAATCAGGAAGATGGAACAGAATTACCTAAATATCTAGGTCCTGATTAGCAATAATTTGCCCAGTTTTCATTTGTTTTTGAGATTCTTACTACTGATTTCTTAAAGAAAAGTAACTTATCTTAAGAATTTATCAATCTGCATCTTAAGTATGAGACATTCTTAAGCTTTGAGAACTAAGAGAAATGTAATTCATGGTCCAAGCCCTCAGTAAACTTATGGCCCATTGGGAAAGCAAAACTAGAAAATGTTAGACAGTTGAGACAATTTAGTGTTAAAACAGTATGGATTAAGGAGGGTGTAGTGGGAATTAAGGAAAGGAAAGAACAGTTTGAAAGGGGCATGACAGCTAGATCTCAAAGAGTGAATTTAACTCAAAGAAGCAAAGAGGTAGGAGTACTCCTTGCAAGCCAATTCAAGTAGGTTTAAGCCAAAAGGCAGAAGGATTTATTGTTTGTAACTAAAAAGATCAGGCATAGATAGATCTAGAGGCTCAAATTATATCATCATCAGGAACTTCTCCCTTGCTATTTCTTGGCTTTCCCAAACACTATTCTTTTCTAAAAATTCTAACAGAAGCTCTAGGCAGGGCTGGATTGGACCAAGTTGCATCTTGTGCCCTTCACTCAAGTGCTGTAACCAAGGGACTGAGGTGCTCTGATTGGCCAGGTTTGGGTCACATGCTACCCTAGAGCTGGCTGTGGAGTCAGCCATATCCAAATTTATGGACTCTAAGTAAGGGTCTGATGGTTCCCCAAAAAATTCTGAGAAATATTACCAAAAGGTAAAACTGATTCTGGACAGCAAAATACAACAACCTTTGGTGTAGTGGAAGAACAATGACATGAGCAAGGAGTAAAGGAAAGTAAAGACCTGTCTGATTATAAACCATGTTAAGAAGCAGGAGAGACCACATTCAATAATTCAGGTGGTATAAAACTATTAGGAACTTTACAAGTCAAACCAAAAGTTTGGATAAATCACTAAGCAATGGAGATCGTTTTTTAGATTCTAAAGCACTAGAGTCATATGATGAAAGTAGTAGTATAGAATGATTCATTAGACAAGAGCCAGGGGATTAACTGTCATCAAGAAGACCAGATGAGAAAATTGTTTAAAGAATCCTGAAATGGCATGATAAAAGTTTAGGCTACACAATAATAGCAAAGGGAAGGGATTAAAGCAAAAATCCAGATAATATTTTCAAAGAAAAGACAGAGTTGAATATAGGGGATGAATAAGGGGAAAAATCAAAAGAGATGCCAGAGGATATAGCTAGAGTTACAAAGGCATTACTATTAGAAATTTATAAGGGAAGTAGGTTTCCCCTTCTTCTGATGCCTCCTGCCCCACAGGCCTGCTCTCTTATCCTCTGATTTCTATCAAATCTAGCAGACTGAATTAAGACTGCTAGGGGATCTAATGACTGAAAGATTATGGCCTCCCACCTCCATCACTGTATGTGATTCCAAATAAAAATACTAATTGTCAGGCCCGGCGTGGTGCCTCATGGCTGTATTCCCAAACCTTTGGGAGTCTGAAGTGAGAGGATCGCTTGAACTGAGAAGTTCAAGACCAGCCTGAACAACATAACAAGATCTCATCTCCACAAAAAGTTTAAAAAATTAGCCAGGCACTGTGACATGCATCTGTAATCCCAGCTACTTGGGAGACTGAGCATCCCTTAAGCCCAGGAGTTTGAGGTTGCAGTGAGTTCCGATGGCATCCCTGTACTCCAGCCTGGGTGACAGAGTGAGATTCTGCCTCTAAAAACAACAACAACAACAACAACAACAACTAAATGGTCAAGGAAGTCCAACAGGCCTGATTTCTCACATGATGCTACCATGATGCTTTGCTTACAGTTGCATATATGACATTTTACGATTTTTTTCTAACTAGAAATTGACTTGCTGCTGATACCCTAATTTAGGTAATCCATCACTACTTTTTTTTTTTTTTTTTGAGACAGAGTTTCACTCTTGTTGCCCAGGCTGAGTGCAATGGCACGATCTTGGTTCACCGCAACCTCCGCCTCCTGGGTTCAAGCGATTCTCCTGCTTCGGCCTCCCGAGTAGCTGGGATTACAGGCATGTGCCACCATGCCTGGCTAATTTTGTATTTTTAGTAGAGATGGGGTTTCTCCATGTTGGTCAGGCTGGTCTTGAACTCTCGATCTCAGGTGATCCGCCCGCCTCAGCCTCCCAAAGTGCTGGGATTACAGGCGTGAGCCACCGTGCCTGGCCATTACTTTATTTATTTATTTATTTTTTTGAGACACAGTCTCACTCTGTTGCCCAGGCTGGAGTGCAGTAGTGTGATCTCGGCTCAGTGCAACCTCCACCTCCCAGGTTCAAGTGATTCTCCTGCCTCAGCCTCCCGAGTAGCTGGGACTACAGGTGGGTGCCACCATACCTGGCTAATTTTTGTATTTTTAGTAGAAACAGGTTTTCACAACGTTGGCCAGGCTGGTCTCAAACTTCTGACCTCAGGTGATCCACCTGCCTTGGCCTCCCAAAGTGATGAAATTACAGCCGTGAGCCACCGTGCCCGGCCTCATCACTACTTTTATTGTAATAATTTTTCGCTCACAGGTTGGAAACATGTTTTTGGACTATAGATGTTCTCTGTGTGTGTGTGTGTGTGTGTGTGTGTGTGTGTGTGTGTTTTAAGGCAACTTTTAAAATGGTGCTTGAATACTACAGAATTTTTTTTTTTTTTGAGACAGGGTCACACTCCCATCACCCAGGCTGGAGTGCAGTGGTGCAATCATGGCTCACTCCAGCCTCGACTTCCCAAGTTCAGGTGATCCTCCCACCTCAGCCTCCTGAGTAGCCTCCCAGTGTACTACAGGCACTCACCACCACACCTAGCTAATTTTTAATGTTTTTAGTCTTGAACTCCTGGGCTCAAGCCATCCACCTGCCTTAGCCTCCCAAACTGCTGGGATTACAGGCATGAGCCACCACGTCCAGCCTATGGCTGAAATTATTTATAACTTCTGGCTGTTAAAAAAGTGTATCTAGGCTGGGCGTGGTGGCTAACACCTGTAATCCCAGCACTTTGGGAGGCTGAGGCAGGCAGATCACCTGAGGTCAAGAGATTGAGACCAACCTGGCCAACAGGGTGAAACCCTGTCTCTACTAAAAATACAAAAATTAGCTGGGCGTGGTGGTGCACACCTGTAGTCCCAGCTACTCAGGAGGCTGAGGCAAGAGAATCGCTTGAACCTGGGAGGCGGAGGTTGCAGTGCGCTGAGATTGTGCTACTGCACTCCAGCCTGGCGACAGAGCAAGACTCTGTCTCAGAAAAAAAAAAAAAAAAAAAAAAAAAAAAAGGTGTATCTATCTAGGTCGAGTGCAGTGGCTCATGCCTGTAATCCCAGCACTTTGGGAGGCTGAGGTGAGTAGATCACTTGAGGTTGGGAGATCGAGACCAGCTTGACCAACTTAGTGAAATCCCATCTCTACTAAAAATACAAAAATTAGCCAGGCATGGTGGTGCTCGTCTGTAATCCCAGCTACTAAGGAGGCTGAGGCAGGAGAATCACTTGAACCTGGAAGGCAGAGGTGGCAGGGAGCCAAGATCACACCACTGTACTCCAGCCTGGATGACAGAGTGACAGCCTGCCTGCCCCCCACACACATATATCTACCTAATTTTAGTAATTAAACTATTTGATAGGGATATCAATTATATAGAGGCAGAAGGAAGAGAAGAGAGAGAAAATGAAAGATGAAAAGTGCATCAGGTAAAGAAGTCTTCAGACTGGGAGAGGGCTGGCATTGGCACTCGGACAAATATATTCATCTTTCCTTCCTAGTTTCCCTTCTCTGGGCACTAGATCAGAAGGATAGATTCTTCATTTTAGGAAACTAGAGTGATTAGATGATTTGGTGGATAGAATGTAGAGAATGTAAGAGTGAGCAAAGAAGTAAAGTCTACAATGAAAAAGGAAAGCTGAGTGCCAGCTCACAATTTCAAAACCGTTGATTACTGGATTACTGGAACACACATTAGCGCAATATCCAAAGAACTATAAGCCAACAGCTGTACTTGAATGTCTTACCCTTAGCCTTCCACTGCTACAAATTTTAGACTTTTGTTTACATCTTTAAATAATAATAACTAATATGTAAAGGCCATGTGTCCTATGCCAGATTACTGTGATAAATGTAAAGTGTAGGATAAAAAATTTAATCTTCAAAGCAACTTTATAAAGCAAGTTTGTCATTATCTCTGTTTTATAGACAAGGTGACTAAGTCTCAAGACTTAGCTTCTTGAAATCACACAGCCAGATTTGATTCTGTTCTAAATGATGGACACCAAAGTTCTGCATTTTATTATTACATTATACCCTTTTCCAAATACACAGAGAAATACTGAAATTTCTTTTCTCAGGGAGACAATGTTCTAATCTGAAAACCAGGATTTTTATTGCTAAAGAAGAAGGGGCAGATGGAAATTGGGAGGGCTTCTCTGCCACATCCAATAAATTAGCACAATCATTTTTTCCTGTAGTGCTGGAACAGACCACTGTTTCTTCAGTTGAGTGCCAGATAAAGTAACTGACTTGCAATTAGGCATCACATTCTCTCAAGAGTTAAACCACATTTAGCACAGTGGGATGTTCATACTATATGTGCATTTGGGGGAGCTGATGGTTTGTCTTGTAAATTCACATCTCATCTCATGTACCTGCTAGACATGCGTTCATATTCTCTCCAACGCTCCCCACCCCTCTATCTGTCTCTCTTTCTCACTCTCTCTCTCTCTCTTTCCTCTAAGCCTATATAGTTGATTAGAATTTGATGCAATGGGATACACTTTTTTTTCCTGCTTTCTTTTCCATCACCTTGTGAAATAATTTCGGACTTTAGGATTTTCTAAGAGCAGTACAGAGGGTCTTCATATCATTTTCACCCAGCTTCCTCTGTCAACATTTTGCTTGATGATATACAATGATCAAAACTAAAACATTGGTACCATAGCACTACTACAGAATTTATTTGCACTTCACCAGTTTTCTCACTAAGGTTCATTTACTGTTCCAGAATCCAGTCCAGGATCTGGCATTGCCTTTAGTTGTTGTGCCTACTTAGTCTTCTCCAGTCTGTGACAGTTCTTCAGTCTTTTTCTTTCATGACCTTGACACTTTGGAAGAGTGCTGGTCATTTGTTTCATAGAATGTTTCTTAATTTGGGTTTATGTGCTGTTTTCTCATAATTAGATCAAGGGTACACATTTTCAGCAACAATACTATAAAAGTAGCGTACCCTTCCCAGCGTACACATTAGGGGGTACATGACAGAAATGGCATATTTTTAGTCAAATGAGTGGCACGATACAATTCACAATTTAAAATAAAAAGACAACTCAGGCAGCTATGTGCAGGGTAGGCTGGAGAGAGGAAGATTACTGTCAAAGCCACCAGTTAAGAGGCTGTTGTAATAAACTAGACAGGGAATGAGCAAAGGTGCTCTGAACAAAGGCTGTAGTTGCAGAGACAAATGAAAGTCTGAATATGAGATTTCTGAAGTAAAAATAATAGGATCTGGGGGCTGTTTCCATAAGTGGAGTGAAGAGAGAGAGGAAGTGAGGGTAATTACTAGGATATTAGGTAGATGGTTGACTCCATTGTCAATTGGTGGCCAAGATCTTTGTAATTTAGATTCCTTAGTAAGATTTTAAAATAATTTGCTAATGTGTGACTGCCTCCATGTTTGTGATAAAGAGAGGGGATGGGGCAGAGATGCTGAACAATTTATTGATTCTGTTTTCAAGTTCCAGGTTTGGAAATTAAGTATCTTTGGTTTATATCTATGAGTGAGGACCAGGCACAAGTACCAGCATCTCATCATTGCCCTCATTTTCTCTGGGTAAAAGATAACTTGACATGTACTTTAAAAATATTTGTTGAGCGCCTGTAGTCCCAGCTGCTCGGGAGGCTGAGGCAGGAGAATGGCGTGAACCCGGGAGGCGGAGATTGCAGTGAGCCGAGATCGTGCCACTGTACTCCAGCCTGGGCGACAGAGCGAGACTCCATCTCAAAAAAAAAAAAAAAAAAAAAAAAAAAAAAAAAAAATATATATATATATATATATATATATATATATATATATATATATATAAGTTGAATGTTGTATGAAAGAATTAGTACATCTGAGTCAGGGGCTGGCAACAGAATGTCATGGGAGCAGTTGTAAATTGTTCCACAGCCAAGGAGTCTTACACATAAATTACCTCTGGTGTTCCCCTGGAACACTGAAGCCAAGATGGATATTCAAGAGTAAAGTAATGAAAATTAATCTTTTTTGCTCATTGCTCTGTTAGAAATAGAGGGGAAATAAAACTCTTAAATTTCCCTAATTTTGGAGAAGCCTACCTGAGCTCCCATTGACCTAAAAACTGGACCTAAGGCTAACAATGTATCATGAAAGTAAGAAGGAAATTTAGCATTTGAAAGCAGTGGGTTATCATTATATGTTAAATATCTACATCCCCAAATAAAAGAGGTTTTTAACGTGGGGCTGCATATCAGAATCATCTGCAGAGCTTTTAAACCATACAGGTGCCCAGGACCCATCCCAAGCAATTCTGATACAGTAGGTGTGTTATTCAGAATTTCTTTGGTTAGGAGTGGCAGAGAGCAATTCAAATCAGCCTCAGCCAACAATTGGAAGGGAGTTGTGTATTAGTTATCTAATGCTGCCTGACAGGTTACCCAAAGCTTAGCAGCTTATAACACAGTCACCTTGTACTGTTTCTTTGGTCAGGAGTTTGGGAGTGACTTAGCTGGTGATTCTACCTCTGAGTCTCTCACAAAGTTGAAATCAAGGTGTCAGCTGAGCTTCAGTCATCTGAAGGCTTGACTGGAGTTGGAGGACCTACTTTTGAGATGGTGCCTGTCACATGGCTGGCAAGCTGGTGCTGGCTCTTGGCAGGTGGTCCTGCTGTTTTGCCATATGGGTTTTTGCGCAGAATAGCTTGAGTATTCTCACAATGGGTTGGCTGGTTTTTCCCAGAGCAAGCAATCCAAGAGAGCAAGGCAAAGCAGCTCAATACAATTTTACAGCTGGGATTCAGGGGTCCTCGAGTAGGAGAAGGTGGGTGGTATGCATAGGTTGGATGATCTAATGCCGCAAAGGCTGAGGGCCACCCTTATATGGAGTTTTAGGTACTAAGAGAAAATATACCACATGTTCCACTGTACCCATTTGTTTTTTAATAAGGTGAAAATAATTAAATAATTAAAATGAATATCAAGGGAAGCCTTGAAGAGGAAAGAATAATACTTTTTAAAACTCCAAGGTTATGGATGACCTCCTTTAGCCACAGTGATAGACTTAGCTCTGTCTTTTAACCTTTAACATCTTTAATATTTGCAGAACCCTTTAGAGTTTCTCAGGTGATTTCATAACTTGTTATTTGAATTTAAGAACAAATCTTAGGTTTGTAGGATGGAATGAGGAGAGTTGGGATTGAAAGATGGAGCTAATAATAGTGAACACCCACCAGGTGCCAGGCACTTGGCTAGATGCTCTATATTCATGAACTCTTTAAATAAAATACCATGAAGCAGAAACGAATAATTTTAATTTTGAGGGAAGCTCAGCTTCCTTAGGCTTAGGGAGGTTAAATGACATGCTCATGGCCAAGCATCGGAGTCAGGCTGAGAACCCAGCTTTCCCAGTCCCATGTGCTTTTCAACTCAGCTGCTTCATTTTTCAGCATGACCAGCCATTGCTGTCACTTCCCTTATGCTCCATCCCTGACTTCCTCTTCCTCTTCTGGCAGCAAAGGACTCCCCAAAAGACAGAGGACCCTACAAATGTAGACTGTTCCATGGTGGGCACGTCTATGCAAGTTTGCTGCCAAAGTCCAAGGAAGTTGGGAGGCCAAAGGAATAGGCTGACGAATTCCGTTTCTTAGAAAAAAAACATCTAGGCCGGGCGCGGTGGCTCACGCCTGTAATCCCAACACTTTGGGAGGCTGAGGTGGGTGGATCACCTGAGGTCAGGGGTTCAAGACCAGCCTGACCAACATGGTGAAACCTCCTTTCAACTAAAAATACAGAAAATTAGCTGGGTGTGATGGCGGGGGCCTGTAATCCCAGCTACTCAGGAGGCTGAGGCAGTAGAATCGCTTGAACCCGGAGGCAGAGGTTGCAGTGAACCGAGATCGCGCCATTGCACTCCAGCCTGGGCAACATGAGCAAAATTCCGTCTCAAAAAAAAAAAAAAAAGAAAAAAATGTATGTATTAAGGACTTAGGAACAGAAGGCATGTCTGTGTCTTGGGCAGAGGCAAAACAAGATGGTGGATCCCTGTGCAATTACCCCCCAGACCCAGAGCTCATATTCCCTAGGGAAAGAGTGGTTCAGAAGGGATGTGTAGGACAATCGAAGTATGACAACACCAAGATTGTTTGATCTAAGGGCAGGATCTATGGTATGTACCTGCTCTTACATAGGGACAGTAGATAAACTGAAAATCTTAGAGCCCTTCTTGGACCTGGGGTTAATCAGAAGCCAACATGGTGGATTAGACATTGAAGATGGAATTGCTTTGGCCTCCACACAGGTCCAGACTTATTATGCCCTAAAAAGTTTTTTTCCTTTTGTTTTGGTAACTGCTTTATTGCAAGCCTATTGGAAAGAAAAAAAGAGACAGAGAGAGAGAAGGAAGTATATTGGATTGGAAAGGATAAGTAGTTCACAATTTATACTGAAATAAACCAAACAAGTCTGGCTCTAACACTGACTACTTGAGTGGCCTCAAATAACATCTTGGTTCCTCATTTTCCTTTGTTGTCAAGTGTAGTAACACTTCTTAGGGTTGCCCTACCTTTCATGGATATAGTAGAATAGGTGGCATGAATGGTGGAAAGCGCTTTGTGTTCCTGTAGGTATTTGGGTGAAATAAATCATTTTCAGGCAGTTTATATTATCTCTATTACTAATGTCTCAAGCTTTTTAATCACTCTTTTACCTTACAAATATGCTTAAATGTGATTTGAGTCAAAGTTTCCAACTGCAAGAAGTAAACATTACTTCTTCACATGGTTTGTGGCTTACTAAAAGCAATAATAGTAATAGCTGGGCATGGTGGCTCACGCCTGTAATGCCAGCATTTTGGGAGGTCAAGGTGGGTGAATCACTTGAGGTTAGGAGTTTGAGACCAGCCTGGCCAACATGGTGAAACCCCATTCCTACTAAAAATACAAAATTAGCTGGGGGTGGCAGGGGGTGCCTGTAGTCCCAGCTACTTGGGAGGCTGAGGCACAAGAATCTCTTGAGCCCGGGAGGTGGAGGTTGCAGTGAGCTGAGATCGCACCACTGCATTCCAGCCTGGGCAACAGAGTGAAACTTCAACTCAAAAAGAAAAAAAAAGTAATAATAATAATACCTGAGATTATCCAATATAGATGTCAACTTTCAACTTTCCCACCAAATGAATCTGCTATTTCTAGCAGCTGTAGACCAGCTGAACAACACGTCCTAAATCCAGTATTATCAGGGTGATCATAGGCGAGAACAAGGGACCTTCTTTTCTGAGCCTTGCAACACCTCTGCAGGACAGTAAGGACCACATAAAAATAGAG
Source organism: Homo sapiens (assembly GCF_000001405.40). Taxonomy (NCBI): domain Eukaryota; kingdom Metazoa; phylum Chordata; class Mammalia; order Primates; family Hominidae; genus Homo; species Homo sapiens. Next base: position 75,049,794 of record NC_000009.12, read on the forward strand.
GTCTTGAGGAGCTCTCATCTTACATGCTCCACCTATCTAGGACTCCCAAACACTCAGCTAGTCATGTCCTTAGTGAAGTCTGTGGAGCCCTAATTAGGGAAAAGGAGTCAAGCTAGCGGGAGCAGAGGAAGGCAAAAAGAAAAAGCAGATAATCTCTAAGTCTGCCTTTCTTCACAGTCCAGGACACATAACCCTCCTGCGCAAATAACTCACAATCTTCCTGTGCCCAGACCCTTGGCTGATAGAAAAATGCAAGTTAGCTCACTGCAGCCTTGGCATTATCGGTACTGCATGTAACTCTCTCCAGCACAAGTACTATCCTATAAAATCCCCAGCAAGCCTTTGTCTCCTTGCAGTCAGCTCCTCTCTTGCTGACTTGCCCATTACTTCCTTGCAACATATTTTCATACTTTCTCTAATAAATCTAGCTTTCTTTATTTATAACTGTCTTGGTAAATTCTTCTTTACCACCCACACCACCAACCCCATAGTTGGCTTTCACTCACAACAAAATCTTATTCTTCTGACACTATCATTTTACTCCTGCCAATCTGATAGACAGTCACTTCTGCCAATAGAGTCCAGTGGTTAAGAGCACGGACTCTGAAGTCAAATTTGAATTTGGCTCTGCCAATACTTGTGTGGCCTCGGTCAAGTTACTTAACATCTTTGTGCCTCATTTTCCTCATCTGAAAAGTAAAAATATCTCCTATTAGAGGTTTTTTTTTGTTTGTTTTGTTTTTGTTTGTTTTTTGTTTTGTTTTGTTTTGTTTTTGAGAGGGAGTCTCACTCTGTCGCACAGGCTGGAGTGCAGTGGCACGATCCTAATAGAATTTTATGAGTATTAAATGAGATCTATGTAGGGAGCTTAGAATGGTGGCTGGTATATGATAAGCACTCTACAAGTTATAGCTATTTGAGGTATAACTTGAGATATAGCTACTTGAAGTATAATCTGAGTTACCTCCTCAGAACTTCAAGACTTAGGTAAATGGCTGTTTAAGTAGAAAGTCTAATAAGCATTCACAGGCCGGGTGTGGTGGCTCACGCCTGTAATCCCAGAACTTTGGGACGCCGAGGTGAGTAGATCACTCGAGGCCAGGAGTTCGAGACCAGCCTGGCCAACATGGCGAAACCCCATCTCTACTAAAAATACAAAAGTTAGCCGGGTGTGGTGGCATAAACCTGTAGTCCCAGCTACTTGGGAGGCTGAGGCACAAGAATTGCTTGAACCCAGGAGGCAGAGGTTGCAGTGAGCTGAGACTGGGCCATTGCACTCCAGCCTGGGCAACAGAGCGACACCGTCTCAAAAAAAAAAAAAAAAAAAAAAAAAAAAAAAGCAGCATAGATGGAGAAGACATGAAGATCAGCATAGACCTAAACCAAATAGCATTAAGTACTGATATCATCAATCTTTGATGCCTTTGTGCTTTATTCTACCATATCCATCCACCATTTGTAAAATAGGAAGAGGGACAAAAATGTGAGTATCAGGATAAGTGAGTCTCTGCAGAGTTCCTGCTGGGTCTCTCTTTTGCCTGGAGAAAGCACCAACTCACTCATGGAGATAAGTTCAAGGAGTGTCTTGAATTGAGTAGCTACAGATTCCAGGTACTCCTCAATCAGCCTCCTGTGATAATACAATTAAGTGAGCACAGCATGTTCCAAAGTTAAAGGGCTTCTTTGATTGGTTCTTGGATTCTGAACTGTGAAGCCTCTTCCTAGAATGTAGTGTGGGTAGCCAAGATAACAGAGGTGTAATTGCAAGCTACATGCATGATAGTGGCAAGCTAGGTCATAGAGTTTTGGGGCTAGCTTCATAATACAGTATAGCATGGTGGTTAAGAACTCACTATTTGGGCCATGCAAACTTGGGTTCCAAATCTGGCTCTGAAACTTGTAAGCCATGACATTTTGGGTAGTTACTTTACTACTCAAAGCTTCATGTTTATATAGTTGTTATAATGATTAAATAATGTATGTAAAGTATTGTCAAAATATACTTTCCAAAAGTTGAAAATATGACTCTCATACCAATATAAAGAGAACATGACTCAAAGATTTATTCACTTAGCCTGGTAAGATGGTAAATCTTGTTCAAAGAGAATTGGAGGCAGCAAAGTATTCGTGGTGGCTGAAAGAAGAGTGTTTGAATAAGATCATCAATTTGATATAAAACTGGTTAATGTGTAGAGCACTATAACAGTAACTTTTAGGATGATCTTTTCTACCAAAAAAATCATTTGCATCTCTACTGGACAAATTTAATTTGTATCACAATCAACAGTTCTCAAGTGGGGACGATTTTGCCCTCCAGGGGACAGTTGGCAATGTTTGAAGTTATTTTTGATTGTCACAACTCTGTTGGAGGTAGGGGAGGCGGGTGCTACTAGCATCTAGTGGGTAGAGAACAAGGATGATACTAAACATCCTTTGATGCACAGGACAGCCTCCCACAAAAGAACTATCCAGCCCCAAATGCCAACAGTGCTGAGGTTGAGAAACCCAGGCTGTCAGCTTCTGCAAGTTAATATCTACCTTTATGAGATTTAAAATATGCTAATTAAGAGAAAACACCAAGTGAAAGGTACACACTCATGAAGAATTTGATAACCATTGGGCAAGTTGGTTAGACAATGCTCAGATAACCCTGAAAGGACCTCTTTTGCTTATTTCCAAGTTTTAGAAAGTTTTCTTTTTTCTTTTTTTTTTTTTTTGAGATGGAGTCTTGCTCTGTCACCCAGGCTGAAGTACAGTGGCACCATCTCAGCTCACTGCAACCTCTGCCTCGTAGGTTCAAGACATTCTGCTGCCTCAGCCTTCTGAGTACCTGAGATTATAGGCACCTGCTACCACACCCAGCTAATTTTTTCTGTATTTTTAGTAGAGATGGGGTTTCTCCTGTTGGCCAGGCTGGTCTTGAACTCCTCACCTCAAGTGATCTGCCTGCCTTGGCCTCCCAAAGTGCTGGGATTACAGGCGTGAGCCACCACGCCAGACCCCAAGTTTTAGAAAATGTTCTTAACAGCACTTGACACAGTACCTAGTCCATGATAGGTGCTGAGTAAATGTTAGTTATTACTGTAAATTTACAGGCCACTAGGTAGAAGGTCAAATTTCCATTCAATAAAATAAGCACATTATTAGACTGGAGTCTGTGAAGAGCACTACAGTGGCCATAGCACTGTCGGAAATTATTTTTGTTAGATTATTCCATCATAGTTACTTTGAGGTTTTAAGAAAGTCCTTCAGTATAACCTTCAGACTAACAGATGGTAGATCATGTCTAAAAAGCAAGCCATATTTTAAAATTATCTTGAAATCCTGGACTCAAAAAAACCAAGCCCCTCTTTCTGCCTGAGAAACTGTACCCTCAAATTGAGGGTATCCAACGTATCCTTAGGAAACCCATTGACTGTCTGATGTAGAACAAGTATGGTAAGGTAAAATTTCAGGACTGCCGTCTGTGGCACTTGTGATTGGCCAAAATGTTTTTATTCTATGGGCAAATGGTATGTGCATTGAATCTGAGAAATAAGAGGTGGCAAAAGTTTCTTTTTTTAAAAGGAAAGGACAGCCACACAGTTGCCCAAGTCCATCTTCGATAAATCAGTTGGATAGTACACCCAGTAGTTGTCTTAGTCTGGGTCCAATCAGGAGAGAAAAGTCACTCAATAATAATGTGAACAGGAGGTTTAATATACAGAATTATATAGGCCGGGCAAGGTGGCTCACAGCTGTAATCCCAGCACTTTGGGAGGCCGAGGTGGGTGGATCACTTGAGGTCAGGAGTCTGAGACCAGCCTGGCCAACATGGCAAAACCCTGTCTCTACTCAAAATACAAAAATTAGCCATGCGTGGTGGCACACACCTGTAATCCCAGCTACTTGGGAGGCTGAGGCAGGAGAATCGCTTGAACCTGGGAGGCGGAGATTGCAGTGAGCCAAGATTGTGCTATTGCACTCCAGCTGGGGTGACAGAGTGATGACTCTGTCTCCAAAAAAAACGTAACAGCCACCGAAGGAAGAGCCTTGGTAGGAAGGAGAGCCAGACCTTGTTGGAGAGGGCACTAAAGAAAGTAGCTCTGGTGCCATGTTGGCATAATTTGCTGGAAATCTATTCTCTGGAATTTTGGGGAAATCTGCCCTCTGGGGTGCCATGGAAAAGCTGCTCATGGGGAGGTGTTTCTCTATAGGTACTCCACTGCAGCGGCTGGCTGTGGGGTGCTGCTCTCTGCCCTGCACTGCAGGAACTGAAAGCTGGGGAAGTCATGCTTGCTGCAGTCACCTGGCAAGCAAGCACACAGGAACCAAAAGGCAAAACCTTTTCCTCCTGCAGTGTGTCTCCAGAGCCTTCTACTGACAATGCTCAACATTATGCCACTTGGCAAAAGAAAAAATATTTAAAGGGCCCAGATTCATTTTCACAGATGAGGCAAAAAGGGAGAATTTGGAACTAAATGTCAGTAAAATCAATAACTGGTATAAGAGCGATTCTGCAATATTTTAGGGGCTGATAATACTGATAATTTCAGGCTTTTAGTATCCAAATAACAATTCAGTGTGGCCCCTTCAGAGCCTGGAAGCTGCTATTTGTCCACTATAGAGCCGGAATTCTGAAAATGTGGTCCGTGGGTAATGAATATCAGCATCTAGCTAGAAACATGCTAGAAATGCAAATTTTAGGGCCCTATCCCAAACCTACTGAATCAGAAACTCTGGCGTTGGGGACTAGCAATCTATGTTTTAATAAGCTCTCCAAGTGATTCTGACACATGCTAAGGTTTGGAAACCACTGCCATATGCGGGAAGTTCCAGGAATCTGCTTGTGCAAGCTTGACAGGAAGAGTCAATAGGATTTCTTTGTATGAGTTTTAGTTTCTCTCTTTCTTTTTTTTTTTTTTTTTTCCAGAGACAAGGTCACTGTCACCAAGGCTGGAGTGCAATGGCACAGTTGTAGCTCACTGCAGCCTCAAATTCCTGGGCTCCAGTGATCCTCCTGCCTCAGCCTCCCATGTAGCTAGGACTATAGACACAAGGCACCATGTGTAGCTAATTTTTATTTTTTTTGTAGAGACGGGGTCTCACTATATTGCCAGGCTAGTCTCAAACTCCTAGCCTCAAGTGATCCTCCCACCACCACCTCCCAAATCCTGGAATTACAGGCATGAGCCACCACCAGCAGCCTAGTCTCTATTTTTCTTCTTTTTTTTCATTTTTGAGACAAGGTCTTGCTCTGTCACCCAGGCTGGAGTGCAGTGGCACAAGCACAGCTCACTGCAGCCTTGACCTCCTGGGTTCAAGCAATTCTCTCATCTCAGCTTCCTGCACACCCAGCCTTGTCTTTATTTCTAATCTTGAAGAAGACAACCTAACTTTTCTAGGATCTGGAAGTGGAACGTATTACTTTGTCTCTACTTTTGCATTTCTGGACTCAGGAGCATGAATGCATCAGATATGCTCACTGTGGTAAGAAGTTTTGCTTTTGATGTTCTCTTATCTGCATGTCATGCTACCCTGATTAGGACCCAAAAGCTGCATTGCAATTTTCATCTATTTCTGTGTGGGCACTGGAGAGTAATGCCTTTTTTGCCTTGTCCATATATTTTCAGCTATATCACCTTTTATGACCTGGCCTAAGAAGTCACATAGCTCACTTCTACCATAGCTGTTTTTTTTTTTTTTTTTTTGAGACGGTATCTCACTCTGTTGCCCAGGCTGGAGTGCAGTGGCACGATCTCTGCTCACTGCAACCTCTGCCTCCCAGGTTCTGAGATTCTCCTGTCTCAGCCTCCTGAGTAGCTGGGACTACAGGTACATGCTGTCAAGCCTGGCTAATTTTTGTATATTTAGTAGAGATGGAGTTTCACCATATTGGGCAGGCTGGTCTTGAACTCCTGACCTCAGGTGATCCACCTACCTCAGCCTCCCAAGTGCTGGGATTACAGGCAAGAGCCACTGCAGCCAGCCTTTTTCTGAACTCCCCACCATTGATGGCATATTGAAAGAACAGCTAGAGCCACAAACCACAGGTCAACACAGCCAGATGGTGGCATGGAGCTCCAGGACCTCACCACTGTTTCTTACCCCATGGATAACCTGATGAAATGGCTTGCATCCTTGACTAGGCTCCAAAAGTGTGGAACAGAAAGCTTCATTTTGCCCTGACAGAGCTCTTGCCTTTCCAGGCTCCTTGATTTGCTCCCTTAAAATAGGGAAAGAGAGATGATGTATTCTAGCAGGCTATTTTTCTGCCATTCTTTGTGTTGGGAACAAGTCCCCTGAAATCTGGCCATAAACTGGCCCCAAAACTGGCCATAAACAAAATCTCTGCAGCACCGTGACATGTTCACGATGGCCATAAAGCGCACACTGGAAGGTTGTGGGTTTACTGGAATGAGGACAAGGAACACCTGGCCCACCCAGGGCAGAAAACCGCTTAAAGGCATTCTTAAGCCACAAACAATAGCATGAGCGATCTGTGCCTTAAGGACATGCTCCTGCTGCAGTTAACTAGCCCAACCTATTCCTTTAATTCGGCCCATCCCTTTGTTTCCCATAAGGGATACTTTTAGTTAATTTAATATCTATATGAACAATGCTGATGACTGGCTTGCTGTTAATAAATACGTGGGTAAATTCCTGTTCGTGGCTCTCAGCTCTGAAGGCTGTGAGACCTCTGATTTCCCACTGCACACCTCTATATTTCTATATGTGTGTCTTTAATTCCTCTAGCACCGCTGGGTTAGGGTCTCCCTGACCGAGCTGGTCTCGGCACTTTGTCTAAAATGAAAAATGTATGTGTGCATGCTTGTATGATGTCAGGATTGTGGACTTGTCCTGTCACCAGGTAGTTGCATGGTGTTGGACAGCTTTAGTTTCAATTTCAATACTAAGATATAGTGTTGGACTAATACCTCAACATTTTGTGACTGTCATATATCACAAGCATATACTTAAAAGATAAACCATTTGGCTTGAATCTCATCCTTTAGTGTAATGGTCTGTGCATCTTTCAAACCTTTGAAATCGAACTCATGTTTAATTTAATACTAAACACAATGAAGCCTTCCTACAGCAAACTCATCTTAAAGGGACTGGGGTTATTTATGCACAGAAAGTGAAGACTTCAGCACATGTGCTCCTTGTCAAATATGTATTGTATCTTTCTAAATAGATAACAGTACCACCATTAACTCCTGTAATAAAGAGTAACTGTAATGTGAATCAGTGCATACAGAAATGAAGCACTGGTATTCTTATTTCAAATTCCTATTTATTTCTCACTGATACTAGTGAGCAAAAATATACTTATTTCTTCCCAAAATTACTGGAATGTTTTCCTTTTTGATGCATTTTTTTCTCGCAAGATATATTTTCTCTGACCTTCATATGCTGAAATGGGGAGAAAACTGATGATTCTCAATTAGCAGGGCCGTGCCTCTGCAGTGGGAAGGGGGAGAAGAGGGCATCTCAGAAATTCTTAGAAGTGAAGTTTAATAATCATATCTATACTCTATTTTTATCCTAATAAAATAAAACAAAATTCTCCTAATGTATTAATAACACAAATTACAGCAACCCAAACTTGATAAAATCATGGCCAGGGAAGTTATGCAGAAAAAGGCCGTGGTAGGCATCTTCAGTGGCTTTCCTATTTCCTCACTAAAAGATCCTTGATGTTGATCAGTGGCAACATCCCAAGGCAGAGTCACAATTGGTCTGAAACTATCATGACATCTTCCCAGCCTCCCTTGCAGGGAGAAGTGACTATATGACCCAATTCTGATGGGAAATGAGGATAGAGAGGTACACAGAAGCCAGATCAGAGAAAGCCTTGGATGCCACATTAAAATATTTGAACTTTATCCTTATTCTACCCTACACCCATTCTAAATACTGTTGATATCCCTTATCTTAAAAAGAGAAAACCAAAACTTTAAATAGCTTGATTGAACTCATAGCTACTGAGTGGATGAACTATAATTTGAGCCTGGGTTTTGTTTTTGTTTGTATTTTTTGTAGTGTGTGGGATCCAAAGAACTGTCTGGTCATCACCAAGTGAGTGCAAGCTAGTTAGAAATAAAGAAATAATGAGAGTTGACTGAGTCTGTAGAGAATGGTTAATGTAACAATATATTTTAAAGATTGAGAAAGTTGGCTGGGCATGGTGGCTCACGCCTCTAATTCCAGCACTTTGGGAGGCCAAGGCTGGCGGATCACTAGGTCAGGAGATCAAGACTATCCTGAAACCCTGTCTCTACCAAAAATGCAAAGACTAACTGGGCATGGTAGCATGCGCCTGTAGTTCCAGCTACTCAGGAGGCTGAGGTGGGAGAATCGCTTGAACCCGGGAGGCCGAGACTGCGGTGACCGAGATCGCACCACTGCACTCCAGCCTGGCAACAGAGTGAGACTGTCTCAAAGTTGGCTACATCCCTGGGATGCAAGGCTGGTTCAACATATGCAAATCAATGAACGTAATCCATCACATAAACACAACCAATGACAAAAACCACATGATTATCTCAATAGATGCAGAAAAGGCCTTCGACAAAATTCAACAGCCCTTCATGCTAAAAACTCTCAATAAACTAGGTATTGATGGAATGTATCTCAACATAATAAGAGCTATTTATGACAAACCCACAGCCAATATCATACTGAATGGGCAAAAACTGGAAGCATTCCCTTTGAATACCTGCACAAGACAAGGATGCCCTCTCTCACCACTCCTATTCAACATAGTGTTGGAAGTTCTGGCCAGGGCAATCAGGCAAGAGAAAGAAATAAAGGATATTCGATTAGAAAACGAGGAAGTCAAATTGTCCCTGTTTGCAGATGACATGACTGTATACTTAGAAAACCCCATTGTCTCAGCCCAAAATCTCCTTAAGCTGTTAAGAAACTTCAGCAAAGTCTCAGGATATAAAATCAATGTGCAAAAATCACAAGCATTCCTATACACCAATGACAAACAGAGAGCCAAATCATGTGTGAACTCCCATTCACACTTGCTTCAAAGAGAATAAAATACCTAGGAATCCAACTTACAAGGGATGTGAAGGACCTCTTCAAGGAGAACTACAAACCACTGCTTAACAAAATAAAAGAGGACACAAACAAATGGAAGAACATTCCATGCTCATTGATAGGAAGAATCAATATAGTGAAAATGGCCATACTGCCCAAGATAATTTATAGATTCAATGCTATCCCCATTAAGCTACCAATGACTTTCTTCACAGAATTGGAAAAAACTACTTTAAAGTTCATATGGAACCAAAAAAGAGCCCGCATCGCCAAGACAATCCTAAGCAAAAGGAAAAAAGCTGGAGGCAGCACGCCACCTGACTTCAAACTATTCTACAAAGCTACAGTAACCAAAACAGCATGGTACTGGTACCAAAACAGATATATAGACCAATGGAACAAAACAGAGGCCTCAGAAATAACACCACACATCTACAACCATCTGATCTTTGACAAACCTGACAAAAACAAGCAATGGGGAAAGGATTCCCCATTTATAAATGGTGCCAGGAAAAGTGGCTAGCCATATGTAGAATGCTGAAACTAGACCTCTTCCTTACACCTTATACAAAAATTAATTCAAGATGGATTAAAGACTTAAATGTTAGACCTAAAACCACAAAAATCCTAGAAGAAAACCTAGGCAATACCATTCAGGACATAAGCATGGGCAAGGACTTCATGACTAAAACATCAAAAGCAATGGCAACAAAAGCCAAAATAGACAAATGGGATCTAATTAAACTAAAGAGCTTCTGCATGGCAAAAGAAACTACCATCAGAGTGAACAGGCAACCTACAGAATGGGAGAAAATTTTTGCGATCTACTCATCTGACAAAGGGCTAATATCCAGAATCTACAAAGAACTCAAACAAATTTACAAGAGAAAAACAAACAACCCCATCAAAAAGTGGGCAAAGGATATGAACAGACACTTCTCAAAAGAAGACTTCTATGTAGCCAACAGACACATGAAAAAATGCTCATTATCACTGGTCATCAGAGAAATGCAAATCAAAACCACAATGAGATACCATCTCACACCAGTTAGAATGGTGATCATTAAAAAGTCAGGAAACAATAGATGCTGGATAGGATATGGAGAAATAGGAACACTTTTACACTGTTGGTGGGACTGTAAACTAGTTCAACCATTGTGGAAGACAGTGTGGTGATTCCTCAAGGATCTAGAACTAGAAATACCATTTGACCCAGTGATCCCATTACTGGGTATATACCCAAAGGATTATAAATCATGCTACTATAAAGACACATGCACATTTATGCTTATTGCGGCACTATTCACAATAGTAAAGACTTGGAACCAACCCAAATGTCCATCAATGATAGACTGGATTAAGAAAATGTGGCACATATACACAATGGAATACTATGCAGCCATAAAAAAGGATGAGTTCATGTCGTTTACAGGGACATGGATGAAGCTGGAAGCCATCATTCTCAGCAAACTATCACAAAGATAGAAAACCAAACATTGAATGTTCTCACTCATAGGTGGGAATTGAACAATGAGATCACTTGGATACAGGGCTGGGAACATCACACACCAGGGTCTGTCGGGGGTGGGGGGCTGGGGGAGGGATAGCATTAGGAGAAATACCTAATGCAAATGATGAGTTGATGGGTGCAGCAAACCAACATGGCACATGCATAACTATGTATCAAACCTGCACATGGTACACATGTACCCTAGAACTTAAAGTATATATAAAAAAAAGATTGAGATGGTTGTGTGTAATCTTTTTATTAATAAGCAAAAGATTGTTCAGTACATAATTTAAATTCCAGCATTGAAAGCAGCCTCAAGAGATCACACAATTCAGATCTCCTTCTGTGCTTTCCAAAGATAGGTCCCCTGGATTCCACATGATTGAAGTAATTGCTTATTTCTGTGATTTTAGACCACTGGTTTGACAAAAACAAAATGAACCACGAGGGGGGAGAAAGAAACCAGAAACCCTATTTGTAACAAAGTCTCAACAATGAGATACAATGGTATTAGATACACGCCAACACACACACACACACACACACACACACACACACACACTCAACAAAATACACAAATAATCCTAGATCTTGTAGCGAATTGTTGATTTATTCATTGTGACTGCAGCTCCTAGTAATGCTATTATTTGCAGGTGGTGAGTGTTGGTATGGGATGGTATGGAGCAACATTTTCCAAATTGTGGTTGTGATCAATATGTTTTTTATAATTAAAGACGGAAAAACATCACAGTGCATAATATATAAGGTCAATGTCTTGTGATACTTGATGTATGTATGTATCACACACACACATACACACCTACACACAAATACATAAACATACACAATGAATTCCACAGATATTGGATTGTGATGTAATCTTTATTTCTTACTCTGAGCTCCAGTTAGAAAAGTTTGACAATCATTGTTATAGAGCTATGTTCAGAAAGTGGAGACTTTCTGACTCACTGTGAGCTCTGCTGTATCTATGCGCTCCCTGGAGAGGGAGCAACTTGCTAAGGTACAGTCCTGTCCATTGGCATGGATATTTATTGTTCCACATGTTGGGAAAACCATGTGCAATAAAAATCAAACATATGAAACAATGGCTGTCATTGTACCACAGTATACATTGTATCTTGGTGAAGGTTCTTAAATTACTCCTTGGAGTTTCCTAATTCACTTCAGGAAGGATTTGTTGTGTTCCGTCTTTATGCTGTCACTTGCAAACCTTGGGAATAAACATAAAAAGAAATTAATGGAGAATTCCAATTCTCATTTTATTAAATCTTTACATCAACAACAGTAAATCTAAGGATGTTTAAATTAGAGGGATTCTGGAGCCAAAAATGCTGGTTTCCTGTAAAGAACTAAATTGAGTCCAAGTCCCATTCTTTTAATCCCTGCATTAAATTTGAAGCATACCTTAAAATATCAGATAGATATCCAATATCACTTGTAGTTCGTATAGTAATCCTTGACTTCAGAGAATGATATAGTTTGAAGACTAGAATAAAACCACAAAGGGTAGTTGTCTGCAGTATAATCCTTGTTTTGGAGTGTTATCCTTGATGTGGGGAAAGTATTGTTACTTTAATCCCTTTTCTTAAACGAAGGAAGCCCAGTGGAATACTTGATTTGGCATAGAAATTCAATGATAAACCTACCACATTCTTATTACACAGCTGATGTTGCAAAGCACACATTTTTTGGGTAGTATTTCATTTTTGAAATATGTAAAATGTAAAAATGATTACATCCTTTGACTACATAAGTGACACTTCTGGGAATTTACTCCAGGGATATAATTCAAAAAGAAGACAACCAACAAAGAGTAGGTGTAGATATTTTTTATGGCATGTGATATATCCATGTGAAACACTTGTAACAACAGTAAATATCCAACAATTGGGAAATGGTTAAGTGATCTTATGTTAATTTGGACTACTGTACCAGATAATTATACTATAATTTTATAATGAGATTATATTTTATATTTAATGAGAAAAATACAAACATCTGATAATTAAATTTTATTTTGCAACTTCTTATTCTTTTGATTTGGAACTAGACATGTGACATGTTTCTTCTGTACTAAAGGGTCAATGTCAAGTCTTACATTTCTCTTCAGTGTACAAAACAGAACTCAGCCTTGATTTTTTTTTTAACTGGAAGAGCTACTTAGTTTCATTATATAATGAAATCTATAAAGCTGCATAAATATTAAATACTAATTTAAAAACAGAGATAAGCATGGCTGATTAACTACACTGTCCTTGCAGTCTTGTAAAAGACAGATTGATGTGAACAGCAAAAAGACTGGATGTGTACTCATTAAAATGTTAACACTAATGATTGGAGGGAACACAGGTAATTACTTCCTCCCTTTTGCTTTCTATTAAACATTTAAAAAGGCTGAGCATGGTGGCTGATGCCTGTAATCCCAGCACTATGGGAGGCCAAGGCAGACGGATTACCTGAGGTCAGGAGTTTGAGACCAGCCTGATCAACATAGCAAAACCCCGTCTTAACTAAAAATACAAAAATTAGCAGGGCGTGGTAGTGCGTACCTGTAATCCCAGCTACTTGGGAGGCTGAGGTAGGAGATCACCTGAACCCAGAAGGTGGAGGTTGCAGTGAGCTGAGATCGTGCCACTGCACTCCATCCTGGGCGACAGAACAACTCCATATTGGCTGGGCACAGTGGTTCACACCTGTAATCCCAGCATTTTGGGAGGCCGAGGCGGGCGGAGGTCAGGAGATTGAGATCACCCTGGCTAACATGGTGAAACCCCGTCTCTACTAAAAAAATATAAAAAATTAGCCAGGTGTGATGGCTGGCACCTGTGGTCTCAGTTACTCGGGAGGCTGAGGCAGGAGAATGGTGTGAACCCAGGAGGCGGAGCTTGCAGTGAGCCGAAATTGTGCCACTGCACTCCAGCCTGGGCGACAGAGCGAGACTCCATCTCAAAAAAAAAAAAAAAGAAAGAAAAAAAGACTCCATATGAGAAAAATAAAAAATAAAAATAAATAAAACAAAAAATAAAAAACCTTAAAAATAATGTTTTTATAATGAGGTGAAAATAAATGTTTTTAAAGGGAGTTTGAATGTTCCTGGTGGCTAGACTACTTTGTTTTAGTAAGAATAAGGAAATAATTAAATTTTGCCTCATACTTTGGATTTAAATAAGGATTAAATTAAATGTGTAACTCCATTCTCTTACTCTGTTGGATAATTTATTGTTTCATTAACAATTAAATTCAGTCTTTCTTGTTTCCCCTTCATTATTATTACCTTATCATAATTATGATTTTATGTACTTAAGACTGAAAAATTAGCTAAACAAGTTTATGAGATGTGAGAAAAAAAACCCTGAAGATTAGTCACTAGAAACACTGAAAGGCCTCCCCAGCTAGCTCAGTGTGTGTCATACTCAGGGTTAAACCAGGCTATGCTGAGGGTACCTTCAGGAAAGCTTTGCCAGGATACTGTGGATGGAAGAAATAGGAAAGGTGATAGGTTACTAGAAATAAAACAGTAACTTATTTATGTAACTGAGAAAAACCAGCATAAATGTTGGAGGTAAGAAAAGCTGATGTATTTCTGTTTTTATCCCTCTTTTAAGTTTTTTTTTTAAACTTTAACTAATATCTAGAAGCCTCAAATGGCATAGCTAAATACTTTCCTGCCTGCCTCTAGGATGTAGGGAAGGAAGGAGGGGCGTCACAACACAGGGAAATGCACTTTCTTGTGAGCTAGCAGCACCTGTCAAAACATGTCAGCTGTTCTTGGGCTTTGGAACAGATGGTGAAGACTGAATTTGGAATGGAGCTGGTTGCAATTTACCTGAGCTACATGACAAAGGCTACTTTCATCTTTATCAGTAGGTAGATCATAAGGCCAAACTCCAGTGTATCACTTAGTCATAAAGGAAAGCTGGACCCAAGCACTGGCCATTGCTGAGAAGACAAAGAGCTATAGGTGTCCAACAGCTGAAACACTCCTGGAAGTGCCTCATTAGGGACAGAAAGGGGAGCCAATAACTCTCAGAGAAGTGGCTCTGGCTCATGTGCTATCATTTATGAAGGCTGAGCCCCTCCCTTCACCCCACACCCTCTATATCCACTCATGTTGGTGCTCTGAGATTCATTATGGAAGGCCTGACTTTCATCAAAGTAACAGATGGCAGGAGTGGGCGGGCATATCTGGCAAGGATTCTAAATTCTACTTGCAAGAAGAAAATTTAAAATGGTCCTGAAATTCCTTCAAATGGGTTCATGCCTATATGATGGGCTGATCCTGAAATCAACAATGTTTAGGATCAATGAGCTGCCTAGTTGGGCTCAGTCTCCTAGTCAAAGAGGAATTTATTGAGGATGTAGGTAGGAAATCTAATTCTTACTGAGGAAGGACAACATTTGGACTAGGGCAATTGCTTCTCACCAAAAAAAACATATAATATTCTTCACTGCTGGAGTGAGTCATACTGTCTTCTCTGAGCCAGCTGATGATTGCATTTTGCTGGTGTTAGCCATGGAAGTTCTTTTAATTCAAATAGTTCAAATATAACAACAGCTACATCTACAGTTTTGTCCCTTAAGCATGTTTTTTCGACTTTCTTCTTCTGGTTTCTACCTCCTGCCCTGCTTTCTCTTTGGGAAATTTTTGATTTTTTAATTTTTAGAAATAGGGCTGTCTGTCTCCCAGGGTGGAGTGCAATGGCACATTCATGGCTCACTGCAGCCTTGACTTCCTGGGCTAAAGCCATCCTCCCACCTCAATACCCTGAGTAGCTGAGATTATAGGCACGTGCCACTATGCCCAGCTAATTTTTTATTTTTATTTTTTTGAGACAGAGTCTCACTCTGTCACCAGACTGGAGTGCAGTGGCGTGCAATCTTAGCTCACTGCAATGTCTGCCCCCGGAGTTCAAGAGATTCCCCTGCCTCAGCCTCCCGGGTAGCTGGGACTGCAGGCGCGCACCACCACACCTGGCTAATTTTTTGTATTTTAGTAGAGACGGGGTTTCACCATGTTGGCCAGGATGGTCTGGATCTCCTGACCATCATGATCTGTCTGCCTCGGCCTCCCAAAGTGCTGGGATTACAGATGTGAGCCACTGTGCTTGGTAGCTAATTTTTAAAAAATTTTAATTTTTGTAGAAATGGAGTCCCTCTCACTATGTTGCTCAGGCTGGTCTTGAACTCCTGGCCCCAAGCAATCCTCCCAATTTAGCCTCCCAAAGTGCTGGGATTATAAACGTGAGCCATTGCAACTGGCCAGAGAAATTTTTAAAATCAGAAGGTGTTAGGTGGGGTATTCAATTACAAGATGGGTTATGTGATGTAGGCCTGGCCAATCAGAGTATGCCATCTCCCTGGCCATAGTGATTGGTTTGGCAAGTCATGTGATCCAGCAGGACCAATCATCTGGGCTACAACAGAACATTGCTTTTTAGAAAACTATTTAAAATAAAGAATTTCAAATTTATGCAAAAGAAGTGAGAATAAATATGAACCTCCTTGTACTCAATATCCAGCTCCAACATTTATCAACTCGTTGTCAAATCTTGAAAAAGATATCTTTTTACCCTGGGACTGATGGACCTAGGAGGATGTTGTTGTCAACAGACATCAGGTCAGTGGAGAGCCTGACTTCAAAATAAACCCTAAATAGAAAGTAGAATAGAAGCAGAGTCCTGAGGACCTTATTTGAGTTCCTTAACCCATTAATGTTGGAGGTTGCAAATTATTTTTGTGAAAAACGAGACCTTGGTGATGACCTTCAGCAGTAGGATATAAATAACTCCTACAAGCTTAGAGTTCCAACAATGGAACACTAGGCATAAATGAGTTAATCCAGCTGAGCCTGAAGCCACCATTACCCCTGTACTGTCTTTCTGCTGTAGCCATATTTAGGCAGATCCCTGTCACTTGCAAACAGTGCCGTCCAATATGAAAACCTTAAACAAACACTTCATAATACTTTTTAAAATCTTTTGTTTATCTTTGAGGTATTTGGAAAGTAGAAATTTTACAGAAAGTCTTTAAGGGAATAAAAGAAAAGGGGAGCTCTGGACATACTAAAAAAAATCATCAGCATTTTAATTATACTGTGCCCAAAGGATACTTCCAGTCCCATTTGGTACAGCCATCTACTAAAAGTTTTAAAGTAAATCACATAAATAGCATTAAGAGATGTAACAAAGGGTACATGGTTTTACCCCTAAAAACAGACAAAATAATTGAGTCTCCAAACCCCCCCCCAGAATTTCTGATTCTGAATTATCCTCAAAGCAAAGAATGGATGAGCACAATCACTCCTACACTAGCATTCTGGTATTCCATTCTTTCATATGTAATGAATGATTTTCCTGGCTGTTTCTCCTCTACCATCCACTTTGTTAGCACAATACTTACACTTTTGCTTTGCTAGTTCTTGTATTAGATCTTCATATACTTGCAAAAAGAGGTCCTCTTCAGATTTTGTTCCATCCAGGTACACTACGAAGGGGAAAAGAGAGCAGTTCAAATGCTAACAGGCTTATTAATATACAATGTTTACTTTGACACCCAACATCTCTTGTAAATGCCAATAGGTTTAACCAAGGCACCCAGGACCATAACTTAAAAGGAAATTAATAGTGATTAAAGAAAGAAATAGATGCTAGCCAGCTATAATAGGTCAAAAATATTGGATTGTTACAGATAAATCCACACTGGCTTATGTGAAAATTATTTAATTAAAAGAGAAGAGAAAGAAAGAAGAAAGGAGGAAAGAAACAGAAGAAAGAAAGTGGTGTTGTGCATACGGCACTTTAGGTGCACTGAAGGTGTTCACCCAAAAGGGTCACTTAAGGAGTAATTCTTCAACATACTTATACATCAGGATCACCTGGGAAGCTTCTTAAACAATGCAGTGGTCTGGGATCTGCAACATATGTACAAACTCAGAATTCACCAGGCTCAGAAAATATGTATTGTGTGTGTGTGTATGTTTGTGTGTGTGTGTGTGTGTTTTCTGCTATCAGAGAAAAGACGTATTTTTAATAAAACTGGCATAAGCAGCTTTGGAGAAAAAGTAGAAGTTGTCTAGGTTAAAGGAAGGAAAGGGCCTTCTGGTCAGAAAACAGCATGAGTAGGGAGAGGCAAGAGCACTGATGCACCCTTTGGAATGGCTAGAATATGGGGAAGCTCCAGGAACAGCGTGAGATGAGATTTTAGAGCAAGGGTGTACCTCAGTACCTCAGTCGTTAGAGGCCTTGATGTCTGGCTGTTTGGATTGTATCTCAAAGATCTGGAGATGACTCAAGGTATTCAGCAGAGCAGGAGCCTGATTAGATTTGCATTTTAGGTAAAAGGGAGAGAAGGGAAGCAAGAGGATGTTCTTGCAACCAATGGTCCAAGTTGGACGTGGTGCAGCCAGAATCTCAGCATTGGCCCTGGGGGTACACTCTGTGTGCATTCCACATGGCTCTGACATAGCTGCCTATCCTGGAGGCCAACAGGCTTCTCACAACACAGACAAGTCCCCTTTATTGTGAAAAGCATACATCAGTTCTAACTCCTTTGCCTTATCCAACAGCCTTCTGCCATCTTCCCTGCATTGAGTGCCCTATTCCAGTGATCTGTTCTTAGCTCAAGCCCACAGATCCGGATGCTTACCTCCAAATTGCTACATATGTCTCCCAGGCACCTCAACCTCATTATGTGCAAAAGAGACATGCATTCCTCCCTTACAGGTCTGCAATGCCTTCACTTTTTTCTAACATCTGTCAGTTGCTGAGGCATCTGTCATCTTCCCGCCCCCTCCATAGCTGTTCTATCACCCAGTTCTACTGAGTGCGGGCGTCCAACATCACACCCTATAAATCTATCCTCCTCCATTCTCCACACAGCCAGAGGGGTCTTAACTAAAACAAGAATTTTTATCAATCATGCCCTTGTTTAAAACTTCTCTCTAGAGAGCTTCTTACTTCTCTGAGAACAATGATCAAAGTCCTTACCTAGATTATTGGCCTTATAGGGTCTGGACCCTGCCTGTATCACTAGCATCAATCCACTCCCCTGGTTTTCTTTACTAGAAAGCTTTCTCAACACCAGCTTTCTTTCAGGGGTTTCTCATTCCTTCCTGTCCCCTGGCCCTTTCGTGTGCCACACCCACTTTCTGGGGTAATCTTCTATCTCCCCAACCCATCTCCTTTGTTCAGTTAAACTCATTGAAGTTTGGTTAAATGTGACTTCCTCAAGGAAGCCTTTCCTGACTACCGGGATCTCGGCAGTCCCCTAGAACTTGGTGTCGCAGAACTTACAGCAGCTGGAAAGGACAGGCTTGGGCCGCTGGTATCTCTAGCACCTGTTTCCATGATAGAATGTTACCTGCATAAGAGCAGGGGCTGGGTCTGCCTCATTCCCCTCACCATCTCCAGGGCAGCACTGGAAGGCATTCATTCAATACTGGTTGAATGAATAACCATCCAGAAGCTGACAAGAGCCACAGAGAGAAACAGAAACCAGGAGAACCAGCTATGGAAAAGGAGAAGCCCAGAGTGTTCTTGCTTAAGCATCCCTTTATACTTTTCTATGAGTCCTTTCTTTTCTATACTTTGAGGCAAATGACAAGTAAAAGGCCTTGAACAGAAGGAGAAAAGGCACTTACCAACTTCCCATGTGATGTCCTGCATTTCTTGTCTGTACTTTAGATACATGGGCCACACATGGCCATCAAAGTATCCCGGAGAGTCTGGAGGCTGATAGACCCTTGTACTATCAAAACACGTAGGAAACTTTATGTTGACAGAAACACACAATTGATAAAGTAAAATATGAATGGTCAGGATAATGGGGAAATCACTCAGAGGCTGAATCTAAACAGGATTAGGACTACATGTACTACATGTTTTAACTCAATGGCAGTTAGAACGACAGTAACATGGATTTAGTTCTTTGATATTAAAATTAACTTTGTAATCCACTGACTATCATTCTTAATTATTCTTTTTCCTTCTAGTGCTTTATAAGAGAACTAAGAGACAAATAGTGTAAATAACAATGGAGAGACCACTATGTTGGATTAAGCTTTGAACTAATTGGTGTTCTTTGTAGCTGTGGCAGAACAGGCTCACTTACATTAAAATCCTAATCACCATGGGCTTGCTTTGTTTGAGGATTTAGGAGAAATGAGCCGAAAGCTTGATATAAGGCCCTTTTCTTAGAAAGTAATTTGCATTACTCCATGCGGATGACCATTTATGGAAAAGAGTTTTGCTCCTTTTGTAAAAGAGTTAAGGCTTCCTGTCTCTGAAAAATGACGTATACGCATTGCTCAATAATGTTGCTGTCCTCATTTTTCTTCTACATTTTTTGTTTTGAATTACAACTCACAAAGATGGCTTCAAAACTTACCTCCTCCTCCTTTTACATTCTTCATATGGAATAGTCAGGAAATAGCTTCTATTCCATATAGTGTCAAGGGGCCTAAAATAACAGCATACTTAGTTCACAAGGGTTTTTATCCCCCCATTCACTCAGAGACAATATTAGGGTGGAGATGCTTACTTATAATTAAAAAGAAGAAAACCTTCGATGATTAAAATGGGAATTTCCTCAGCACTTTCCTGGTCTGTTGATACCACAGAGTGTCTTGCGCTTTCCATCCAGCAGGAAATGGCTGACATCATTTTTTCCATGTTAAGTGCTTCAAGCACTTCAAACAAACACACAAAAATATGCAATCAATATAGCACAAAATTTTGTGATGTGACTTTTTGTGATGAGTATATCCAGGATTCTGTAAATATATACACCACCATTTTATTTCCCTTCAAAACTCCTAATAACAAATAATTTAGATAACATGTGGAAACTCTAATGCTGACAAACCACAGTGAAACATTTTTATTATGGAAAATTTCGAACATACAAAAAAGTAAAGTACAGTGAACTCCTAGGTCCCTATTACCAGCTCTGATAATCAGAAACCCATGGCTAACCTTGCTTTACTTATAACTTCGATTCTCTCCTGACTACACAAAAATTTAAAATTTTTAGAAGATGAAATATCTACAGATAAGTTTGAAAGATACATGACACATGGAGGGAAATATCTGTAATGTCTTTGGCAAAGAGTTAAGATATTTAATATACCAAAGAGCTCTTCTAGATAAATAACTAAAAGTCAGACTATTTGTAAAGAACACAAATATGTCATTGTCACACTCTAAAAATGTACATACTTCTCGAGTTAATTGTGATTTTAGAAAAGTAGCCTATAGCTTTTAAAAGTATGGTACTTAAACCAGTAGTATTAGCATCACCTGGGAACTTGTCAGAAATGCAAATTCTCAGCTCCACTCCAGAACTACTGAATTGAGCCAACAGCACTTAAGAGTGTTTTTTAGTGGAAGGTTTTTAAATGATGGATTAATTTATTTAATAGACATAGGACTATTAAGATTTTTTTCTTTGTTCTGGTGTTAGTTTTGGTAAGCGATGTCTTTCTAGGAAATTGTCAATTTCACCTAACTTTTCAAATTTATTTGTATAGCAAGAGTGTTCATAATATCCTTTTATCTCTTTAATGTCTGTAGGATCTACAGTGATATTACCTTTTTTGCTTTTGGTATTTGTAATCTGTTCCTTCTCTATTTTTTTTTTAATCAGACTTATTTAATCTGGGGATTGCTCAGATTCTTGAAGTTTTATGTCTTAAACCAAATTTGAGAAGTTTTTTTTTTAAACCATTACTTCTTTGAATACTTTTTTAGTCCCACACTTTCTCCTGAGACTCCAATGATATGAATATTAGATCTTTCATTATTGTTCCACATTTTTATTCATTTCTTTTCAGTCTATTCTCTGTTGTTCAGATTGAGTAATTTGTATTGTTCTGTCTTTAAGTTCACTAATTATTTTCTCTGTCATAGTTACTCTGCTAATGAGCCAATCCAGTGATTTTTCAAATTTTGGTTAATGTATTTTTTCCACTCTAAAATTTCCATCTGGTTCTTTTTTCAAATCTTCTATTTCTTTACTGAGGCAGTCTAGTTTTTCACTTGTTTCAAGCCTGTTTGCAATATTATGTTTACAGCCTTTTAATAATGCTGCTTTCAATTCTTTGTCAGATAATTTCAACATCTGTGTGATCATGGTATTGGTGTCTGTTGATTGGTTTTTCTTAGTCAAGTTGAGACTTTTCTGGTTCTTGGTATAATAAGTGATTCTCAGCTGTGTCCAGGACATTTTAGATCCTGTGTTATGAGGCTGTAGATCCTATTTAATCTTCTTTTGCAGGCAGTCACTCTGTTCTGGTATAGCTTGCAGGTTCAGGTGGGGGTGGATGCTCTGCTTCCTGCTAGGCCCTGCTGATGCTGTGTTGTGGGGGAAGTTGGTCCATTGTGAGAAGAGGGCGTCAAGGAGAGTGCTGGTTAAGTTTCATTGCTGCTAGTTGTGGGTAGAAGTTCAGCTTTCCACTGGGTTCTGCTGACAGGAGCTGACACGCCCTGAGTAAGGAAGGTGAAGTGCCAACCTGCTCCACTGCACACTGCCTCTTTCCACCTGAGTACTGCCAGGTGGAGGCGAAAGTGCAGCTTCCTGTTTGGTTCCACTGATCCAACCCCCATGGGTGACGTGGAGGGGTGACTCACCCTGCCTTGCTAATGCTGAATGGATCTTCTGGAAGTCTAGCTCCGCACCAAGCTAACAAAATGAAGGGAGGACAGTTTTGCCTTTTGTGTCTGGCTAGAGTAGGGTGGATATTATCAAAAAGTTTTTCTATTCTGGTAGGCCACCCTTTTCCTTGTCCCTTTTTTAGCCTGTGCCTATGGATGGTTCCATGTTGTATACTTCTCCTGTATATGTAGGAGGCAAAAAGAAAACCCATGGATCCCATAGCCATGTCATTCCTCCCGTCCTGGAATCTTTAGCCAGCATGCTTTCTTTTTTCCTTTCAGTCTTCCTTTGTCTGTTTGTTGCATTACGTCTAGGGTTTTTCATTGCAGTGGGGAGGAACAGTGAGCAATGGGACTAATCCATCTTGGCTGGAACCAGCAGTCTTACTACTTTTGATATATTTTTGTATCATTCAGTTAAAAATATTTTCTAATTTTCATTGTGATTTAGCTTTTGACCCAAGGAATAGATAAGTGTTTTGCTTCAGATAAACTACAATGATGTTTGGGATTTGCTTCAAAACAATATAGGTGAATAGAGTGGGTGAGGGTATAGATGAAATATAATTGGTCAAAATTTCATCATTATTAAAACTGGATGGCGAACTCAAGAGAGAGTTCATTATACTTTTCTGCTGACTTCTGCATATCTTTGAAATTTTCCATTAGAAAAAGTTTTTGAAAATCAGAAAAAAGGGTAATGCTTACTTTTCAAACATTTGGTTATTGATTTTTAATTTACTTCATGGTGATTATAGAGTATCTTTACATTTCTTCAATCCATAAAATGTATTAGGACTTACTCCATGCCCTTGCATATATGGACTGTTTGGGGTAATATATTCCATGTACTCAAGAAAAAAAAATATGTATTCTGCTGTTATTAGGTGCATGTTCTGTACATGTCAGTTTTTGGTCAAGTTAGTTAATTGTATTGTTCAAATCTGTTATATCATTAGCAATTTTTGTCTGTGAGTCTCATTAGTGGCTGTTATGAGTTGAATGCGTCCCCCTATGTTAAAGTCCTAATGCCCAGTTCTCCAGAATGTGACTGTTTGGAAATATGGTCATTACAGATACAATCAGTTAAGGTGAGGTCACACTGGAGTAGGGTGGGTACCTGATGCAATATGACTGGTTACAGAAGGAGAAAATTCAGACACACACAGGGAGAGCACCATGTGGAGATGTAGTCAGGGACTGGGGTGATGCAGCCGAAACCAAGGCTGCCGGAGATTTCAGCAAACACCAGAAGCCAGGAGAGGGGCACCGAAAAGAGTCTCCCTCACAGCCTCAGAGGGAACCCACCCTGCTGACACCTGGATCTCAGACTTCTGGCCTCTTGAATTGTGAGACAATAATTTTCTGTTGTTTAAGGCATTCTGTGGTACTTTGTTATGTTGCCCTAGCAAACTAATACACAAAGGAAGTTGTGTTAAAATCCCCCTCATCAGCTAGGCGTGGTGGCTCACACCTGTATCCCAGTACTTTGGGAGGCTGAGGTGGGCAGATCACCTAAGGTCAGGAGTTGGAGACCAGCCTGGCCAACATGGCAAAACCCCAAATCTACTTTAAAAAAAAAAATTAGTCAGGCGTGGTGGTGTGTGGCTGTAGTCCCAGCTACTCAGGAGGCTGAGGCATGAGAATTGTTTGAACCTGGGCAGCAGAGGTTGCAGTGAGCCAAGATCACACCACTGCACTGCAGCCTGGGTGACAGAGTGAGACTCCATCTCAATAAAAAATAAACAAACAAACAAAAAACTCCCACACCGATTGTGGATTTGTGTCTTTCTCTCCTCTTAGCTCTGTCAGTGTTTACTTAATGCATTTTAATGTTATGGTATTAGGTAGATAAAAATTTTAGGTTGTTTTATCTTCCTGTCGAAGTAACTCATTTCTCTCTCTCTCAGTAATACTCAGCCTTAAAGTTTACTTCGTTTGGTATTAGTATAGTTGCTAGAGTTATAACAGTTCTTTCAGTAGGTGTTTCCATCATGGATCTTTTTCTAGCCTTTTACGGCCTATATTTCTATGTCCTTATACATATCCTTTTTCTTTTTTTTCTTTTTTGAGACAGAGTCTCGCTCTGTTGCCCAGACTGGAGTGCAGTGGCACAACCTTGGCTCACTGCAACCTCAGCCTCCCAGGTTCAAGTGATTCTCCCGCTTCGGCTTCCTGAGTAGCTGGGACTATAGGCGTGAGTTACCGCACCTGGCCATTAAGTCTTTCTCTTTTAAGGAGCTTATTGTTGGCTTAAAAAAAAAAATACCAGTCTGACAATTTTTGGAGTATTTTAGTTCCTTTCACTTAATGTGGCTACTGGTATATTTGGGCTTAAATCTATCATCTTACTATTATTTTCTATTTTTCCACCATCTTTTGATTTATTTATTTATTTTTTTGAGACAGTCTCACTCTGTCACCTAAGCTGGAGTGCAGTGGCATATCTCGGCTCACTATAGCCTTTGCCTCCCGGGCTCAAGTGAGCCTCTCGCCTCAGTCTCCTTGGTAGCTGGGACCACAGGTGCGCACCACCACACCTGGCTAATTTTTGTATTTTTTGTAGAGACAGGGTTTTGCCATGTTGCTCAGGCTGGTCTTGAACCCCTTGGACTCAAGTAATCTACCCACCTTGGCCTCCCAAAGAGCTGGGCTTACAGGTGTGAGCCACCACACCCGGCCATCCCTTGATTTTTAATTTTTGTTTTGACTTCTTTCATATTAATCAACTATATTCCATTGAAAATGAATTATTTCCTCTACAAACTTGGTAGTTCCACATTTTAAAACTATCCTGTTTGTGCTCAGAAAGCCTTGACTAGTACTTTGATTTACCTTAAATTTGTACATTTACCTAAAATGTTCAAGTTTTTCCTTAAGATAGATTCCTGATGTGAGATGCTTGAAGTCATGGCATGAACATGCTAAGTTTGGGACACATGCTCAACCTCCTTTCCAGAAAGACTGTACCAATTTATCTATATACTTCCATCTAAAGTATATTAGGGCCTTTGTTTTACTGAGCCCATGCTATCACTGGCTAATTATCATTGCTTTAAACATCTTCGTTTACTTGGTAAGTGGGAAAAAAAGTAACTTGCAGTTCTTTAAGGTTGACTTTTATTGTACATTTATTAATCCAATAACTGACTGCTTCTATGAAGAGCTTATTCACATCCTTAGGCCCTTTTCCTACTGGGATATTAGTTTTTCTTATCAGTTTGTAAGAATTCATTAAAAATTAGAAATAGTAATTCTTTTCCAATTGTTGAAAACTGTTTTTCCTTGTTTTTCACCCTTACTTTGTAATGATTTTTCTCACTAACCTCTGGACGAGAGGAAGAGAAGAAAAAAAAAATGATCCTGGCTGCAACTCAAGATGCAAGAACAGAGAGTGAGTCAAGAATTTTGCCTCTCATAAAACTATTATGTGTCTGTAAGAACTGATTGATAACACTTTTCCTAAAAGGTTATCAGTTAAAAATAGAGAACATTATGACTTTTTAAAGAGAGCTCCCTCTGTCACTAGTTTGTGTAAGTATTCAATGATCATCTTTTTAATTATAAAAGTTAATAAGATAATCAAATATTAAACTGCCTATTAGCATGATATTCTCTACAAAAAATGTTTTATGATAGGCTGTAATCCTTTGGCTTCAAAACTGTGAGCTTGGAGTAAGGAATGAGGAGAATCCATCTAAAATATATTCACAAACCTTTCTGAACAGAGAAAAAAACAAAACCAAACCACAGTGGCCTAGTACTTTGGCCACCAAGAAGGAAAGCTGAAAGAATGAGAGAATATAGTTTGCTCCAGGCAAAATTCTCTCATGGGTGGTTGAGGGTGGCCAATGTAGCTACTTATACATCTTCAGAACAGGAATGGGCAGAGGGACAGCAAGCCTAACTTGCTTCAGAAGAAAACCCTGTGATTCCATGTGGAGAAAGGGGAACCATCATATACTATTGGAAGGAATGTAAATTAGTACAGCCACTATGGAGAAGTACAGAGATTCCTCAAAAAATTAAAAATAGAACTACCTCATGATCCAGCAATTCTATTACCAGGTATATATCCAAAATAAAAGAAATCAATATATCCAAGAAATAGCTGCACTCCCATGTTTATTGCAGCACTATTCACAAATAGCCAGAATATGAAATGAACCTAAATACCCATCGATGAATAAATGAACAAAGAAAGTATGGTGTGTATATGTAATGGAATATCATGCAGCCTTAAAAAGAATGAAGTCCTGTCATTTGCAGCAACATGGATGGAACGGGAGGCCATTATGTTAAATGAAATAAGTCAGGCATAGAAAGACAAATATCCCATGTCCTCATGCATATGTGGGAGCTAAAACAAGTGGATTTCATGAAGATAGAGAGTAGACTGGTGGTTACCAGAGACCCGGAAGGGGAGGCAGGTGGGGGGGAATGAAGGGAGAAAAAAAAGTATTTATTACAAATGAACTGTACACTTAAGATTGGTAAAGATAGTAAATTATATAGGCATATTTTACCTCAATGAAAAAGAAGAAAAATCTATCATTTCAGTGTTTTCAGTTTTATTATTTCATTTTAAAAAATATATATTTTTGAGACAGGGTCTCACTCTGTCACCCAGGGTGGAGTACAGTGGTGCGATCTCGGTTCACTGCAGACTCAGTGTCCTGGGCAAAGTGATCCTCCCACCTTAGCCTCCAAAGGAGCTGTGACTACAGGCATGCACCACCACACCTGGCTAATTTTTGTATTTTTTTGGGTAGAGATGGAATCTCCCTATGTTGCTCAGGCTGGTCTGAAACTCCTGAGCTTAAGTGATCTGCCTGCCTCGGCCTTCCAAAAGTGCTGGCATTACAGGTGTAAGCCTCCAAGCCTGGCCCCAGTGTTTTCAGTTTTAAATATAAAACTGGAAAAAGGTTTTAACTTATTTAAATAGTTCAACATAAATCAGAAACCTACAAATGCAGGCTTAAAGTACAACAATATATTTAAACACATTTTAAGACTGCCTTCACAGATATAGTGAAGTTCTTTTTTTAAATTTTTGTTCCACAGAACCATCAACTTCAACATAGTGAAGTTCTTTGGGTTTGAAAAAGAAAATGAACATAAGCATATAATATTTGACAAGTAAATCTACTTACCATCGTACTGCAAAAATCCATTTTTATCTGTCTCTATCTCAGACTCTGGCTGGAAAAATAATAAAGTACCCATCAAAACAGTGTGTAGGAAAGAAATAATACAATTATAGACTAAAAAGGAGAGAAGTCTTTAATAAATGCTTTGGATGATCAAAGAAAGATCAGCACTGATAGACAGTGCCATCTAGTGGATAAGTAACACCATTGCACTGAGCCTAATTTCAATACAAAACGTAAATCTCTAGCCAAAGACTTCTTGGATGTAATTCAATTAACGTGGTGGTTAAACATTTTTGTATTAAATAAATAATTTAAGAAGTTTTATAGATACCTTGAAGAAATCATCCTGAGATATGACACTGCAATTTGGGAGGTGTTTCTGCAAATTCTTAGCCAGTGTTGTTTTGCCACTGTTTGTCACACTGAAGCAAAGAAAAAAGAAAGTACCAAGAAGGAAAATGCATTAAAAATCATTAAACACTTTTTTTTTTTTGAGAGACAGGGTCTCGCTGTGTCACCAAGGCTGGAGTGCAGTGGTGCAATCTTGGCTCACTGCAACCTCCGATTCATGGGTTCAAGTGATTCTCCTGCCTCAGCCTCCCGAGGAGCTGGGATTACAGGTGCCCGCCACCATGCCCGGCTAATTTCTGTATTTTTAGTAGAGATGGGGTTTCGCCATGTTAGACAGGCTGGTCTGAAACTCCTGACCTCAGATGATCCACCTGCCTTGGCCTCCCAAAGTGCTTGGACGTGAGCCACCAGGCCTGGCCCAAAATTAAACACTTTAAAATAATTTTTTAAGAGGGTATTTAAAGCAATATTTACTATTTAAGAAAAAAATGATTTCTTTCATAGATAGTGCCTTAAACCACAGGCACTGGTAGATCTGATGTACTTAATAATAAGAAATAAGCTGGGAAAGATGAAGGAGAAAGGTAACTACCAAGTAAGGGAACTGAGTAACACTAACACTTAAAAATACAGACACTGTGTTGGAAGCAAAATTTTTTTTGCCTATGTCAAAATATTCACATGGTTCATATGCAACACAGAGAATATGAGTAGCACATTTTAGTGCAAGTGTATAAAACTGCATATGGTCACTGTGATTTTGCCTCAAGGCACAGTGGAAAAAACAGAGGAGTGGCTTATTACAAGCCCACCTACCATGAAATCACATTTCCTCTGCGATGCCTCCTTTTCCCCATCTCTCTCCACCTGGGGGCCAGCTGGGAGGTCTGCTGTAGCTTATCACAACAGGCCAGTTATTTGTCTCTTCTGACCGGACTGTGAAGTCCAGGAGAAGGGGCACTGAGTTACTCCTCTTTAGATCTAGTTTTGCAGCATCGAGGAGATCACACGGGAGGGAGGCACTTCTCGATTCAGTCATTTATTGAAAGCGTGTTTTAACCTGGGGCTCATGTCTGTGAACATAAGTCAGGGCATCTGTGAACTTGAATGAGAAAAAAATTATACCTTTATTTTCATTGAATTCTGACAGAAATTTAGCATCTCCTTTAATTATAAATGTAAGTGATATAAGTACCTCTGACATTCACCAAGAGAAATCACAGATGTTTTCATATTATGTTGCAGTTGGGGTGGATATCTTGAAGTATCATCGATGTTCATTATTGTTTCTGATTTATGGCATTGTTTAGACCCACTTCTGGCTATTGTTATTTAATATATTAACATAGAAGAGTATATATCACAATATCACAAATTTGTTTTTAAAAATATTTTTATAACTATATTTCAATATAACCAATTTCTTTTGTATTCCTGCATTTTATTTTGTACACTTAAAACTATTACTCTGAGGTCAAGATTTCACCATACCACCAAAATGTTCACAGCACAAAAACCTCCTGACTACACATCTATTTGTAAGAAACTTTGCTTAATCCCAGATGAGATCAATCCACAAATACTTATAATCTAGAAAAGGGAAAATGAACTAATATCCATTCATCAAAATGGCTTGTATATAACTCAATTACTACCTTATACCTCAAGGTAGAAGGAACCTGATTCACAAGATTTCTCATGTAACCTTACGATATACAATTGGGTAGGATATGGGCCATCTCTTTGAAAACGATGAAAAGTGAGTGGGTGCTACCCTATGTATCAAGAACATATTATGACTTTTCCCCTTCTTTAACAAAAATGTCTGTAAACCATACCAAATGTCCATAGTTTAGGTATTAAGTTTTGGTTTAAATGAGATAGTGAACAGGGGTGACTTTATTACAATATGAACAATCTGGCTAGAAAAATCTGTCATTTTTTAGACTTATCTCTGTTAAGATCACGCAGTCAAACCAACAGTAGTAATTAGATCCTTTCTCACTGACTTAGCTAAAGCTAATGAGAAATACACACCCCATTTTTGCACAAGCCTTGGAGGAGACAGATCGGCTAGAAGACAGTCTGAGATATGGAGAGGAGAGGGGAGAAAAAGTATTTAAACAAGCCTGCACCTAAGATCCACACTCAGACTGCAGACATCCTGGTCAGGTGACAGCTCAGGCCACCCAAAACATGGCGGAAAGGAATAGGAACCTTCCTTGGGGAAGGGAATAGGATGGGGGAAAGGGATAGGAATGGGGGAATAGGATGGGGTAAAGGAATAGGAAGGCCACCCAAAACATGTGGGAAAGGAATAGGAACATTTTCCTATGGCACGCCCACAACCACCACGTGTAGCTTGCGTGTGCTACCCAACCTGAGGAGAAGCGTGCCCAGCATGCATTCTGTCCTAGGATCTGAGGAAGGAAAAAGGGTGACTACTTGGTGCCACTCCCTTCTTTGCTCACAACACCCAAATAAATGCACAACTCCTGGCCCATTTATTTTTTATGTGCCAGGTAACAAGAGGGCTCATTGTATTTGGACATAACAGTGGGCTGGGGAGAAGTTAAAAGGCTGTCTGTAATTACTCAAACACGTGGAGAATACATTCTGCAACAGGTAGATGTTAATATTCCAATTTTCCAGTTGAGGAAACTAAGGATTGAGAAGTTGTATACTAATAAAACTAGTCCATGTTAAGTAATGGAGATGGGAAAGTCTAATGCCAGGATGGATTTAAACTTTTTTATGTTGTGGGACTCTGAGAGAATCCCATGAAGGTTATCATCTCTTTCCCCAGTGACTGAGTTTGGATGTTTGTCCCCTCCAGATCTCATATTGAAATGTGATCCCTGGCCGGGTACGGTGACTCACACCTGTAATCCCAGTACTTTGGGAGGTCGAGGTGGGTGGATCACCTGAGGTCAGGAGTTCAAGACCAGCCTGGTCAACATGGTGAAACCCCACCTCTATTAAAAATACAAAAATTAGCTGGGCGTGGTGGTGCATGCCTGTAGTCCCAGCAACTTGGGAGGCTGAGGCAGGAGAATCGCTTGAACCCAGGAGGCGGAGGCTGCAGTGAGCCGAGATTGCACCACTGCACTCCAGCCTGGGCGAGCAAGACTCTGTCTCAAAAAAGAAATGTGATCCCCAAGCTGGAGGTGGGGCCTGCTGGCAGGTGTTTGGCTCATGAGGGCAGATCGCTCATGAAGGGTTTGGTGCCATCCCCATGGTAATGAGTGAGTTTTTGCTCTGTTGGTTCACGTGAGAGCTGGTTGTTTAAAAAGTCTGAAACCTCCCTCTCACTCTCTCTTGCTCCTTCTTCCGCCATGTGACATGCTGGATCCCCTTCATCTTCCACCATGACTGTAAGCTTCCTGAGGCCCTCATCAGAAGCACATATCACCACCATGTTTCTTGTAGAGCCTGCAGAACAGTGAGCCAAATAAACCTCCTTTTCTTTATAAATTACTAAGCTTCAGGCATTCCTTTATAGCAAGACAAATGGACTAACACACCCAGAAAAATGACTGTCTTTACATTTGTGTTAAATTTCCAGGAAGTTCATGGATGCCCCCTGAATTCCTTCAGAACCCCTGTTATTTGCAATTGAATAATTACTAAGTTATTACTTCCCTATGAAGTAATTATTCGATTGAGGCTTATTGGACAATTACTTCCTAGGGAAGCAAGTGGCTAAGTTCATAAGATGCAAGGCAGGAACAAAAGTCGCCTTAACTGAATCCGGCATGGGCTTCACAGGTGCAGCAGCACTAAAATGAAACTGAGGCACTTGGCCAGGAGCAGTGGCTCATCCTTGTAATCCCAGCACTTTGGGAGGCCCAGATGGGAAGATTGTTTGAGGTCAGGAGTTCAAGACCAACCTGGATAACATAGTGAGACCCTGTTTCTTAAAAGAAAAAAATTAGAAATCATGGCACTTGCTAAATAAAAGATAGTGGAAAGAAGGCTTTCTTAGGGAGTTATGGATAGTACCTAGTACACAGGACAAGACAGAAGGTAGGTTTCTAGGTATACGGCCCTGTATTGGGACATTGAGAAGAGGGAAATCTTATTTACAGAGATGCCAGATGAAGGCTGGATTGGATCCTGTAGTGGACTTTGTAGTTGCCTCTCCAGGTTCCATGTCTGTTTTCTAGGTCCGGTTGGGACTGCTCCCACTCTCAATTCCAGAACAGAACCCACTGACCTAAACCAATCAGTGTAATCCCACCTCTTTTACCATGGTGGCTGAGTGTATGTGGACCAGGCTTATCCAGCAAAGGGAGACCTATGACCTAGGGGAAGAGAAGCATTTCCCCTTCTGCCCAGTGACAGGCTATGAAGAAACAAGTCACAGGGCTCCTAGTAGATCTTTGTGACCAAAAGGATAAGCCAATTCTAAGATGAACCCAAATGAAAGACACATAAAAGAGAGAAAAACTGCCTTTGGTGATACCACTGAGCTCCTGTATCAAATTTTTCCCGCAGCCTGCTACCCCTGAGGCTAATACATTTCCTTTATTACTTACAGATGGCCTTCATACATCATGATATTCAGATTTAATTCTCAATAACTCGGAACCACTGAATATCATTCATCAGGCAGATAATCAAAATGTTCTGTATGAAGATTAAACTGATAGAGGTGTGTAGGAAAGATTAGAAGGGAAAGATGGGGACTAGGGAATGACAGCCTGTATCAGGATGGTGGCAGTGAGGGTGAGAAGGAAGAGAAACACAAGAGAAGTACTGCAGAGAAAAACTGAACTTTTCTTCTGGTTAGATGGGAGGCAAAGCAGAGTTCTAACATTTAGTTCACTCAATTTTACTTCTGATTGATGACTTACTATGGTAATGTAATACCATAACACAATGATTTCCCCAAAATTACAAACAAAGTAGTCTCAGATATTTTATTAATTGGGTCACAAACAATGTGAATATACTTAGAGTAAAGGTGAACATAATATGGTAGCAAAACAAATAATGTCATTTTCAGTTGATGTTGATGTTTTATTTGCATGCCTGCCTATGGCACCACAGGTAGGATGACCATATAATTTAGAACATGTTTGAGAGAAAGAGAGGTGCATCCAGGGCCACAAGGATTAGCTTGGGCAACATGGGACATAAGGCCACCCAAAACATGGGGGAAAGGAATGGAGGTGAAGGTGTTCTGTATACCAAATGTCTGAAGCTGGGCACAGCTGGAAAGAAACTAAGTTTTCTCCTCCATCGTGATGAAGGAGAATGATATGGGGAATGATAAATCATCCTGAATGAAAGCAGTGCCCAATCAGACCTTGTCTCTGGTGTTAGCTCCACAAAATAAATGGGAAAGTGGGTAAATGTGGTTGACTGACTCTTCTGTTTCTCTGTTTATAGAAAACTCTTCCATCTCTTGTTGGCATTTATGAAGCCAGTGCTCCACTGATATTCCACAGTGGTCTGCTCTTCCCCAGGACTCTGGAATCCTCACTGCTTCTCCGTCCCCCACTCCATCCACACAGAAACACCATTTGGACATCCTCAGTATCTTAAAGAGCTGTTTGTAGCAAAATTACTCACCCACTGATTCCAATGATAAATGTTTTCATAATTAGCTTTGAAAATCACAGCTTCCTAATATTTCCTAAAAGTAAAAAAACAAACAAACAAATCAAATGCATTTCATTTAGATGTCTAGGGAGATAAAAGAATCCTAAATTAGG
Source organism: Homo sapiens (assembly GCF_000001405.40). NCBI lineage: Eukaryota > Metazoa > Chordata > Mammalia > Primates > Hominidae > Homo > Homo sapiens. The sequence continues at coordinate 75,083,230 of NC_000009.12, forward strand.
AGCACCAGCTGAGAGGGGAGGATGACAGTGACCTTTCAGCCCAGCCCCGCATTATCCACATTCCCGCCGCACTGGCTTCCCCTGCTACCACTGAGTGCCAACCACTGGGGTGTGCTCAGGACTGTCAAACAGTTCAACGTCAGGTGACCTGCCGGAGCACTCCCCCTTGAACGTCTGTTTTCTGGGCGTGGAAGAACTGCTAGGCCACAGCGTGGTATATGAAGTTTCATCCTCTCCTTAGCCAGGTTGCCTTCCACCTTCACGATTCAGTCGCCTGGGTATGACTCATTATCAGTGAGGGAGGGACCCCTGTGGGCTGGCCTCTTTCTCCCCTCATGAGACAAGGAAAAAGTCACTGCTGACCAGAGGCAAAAAGAAGCTAATGCCGTTTAAAGATACTGCCCTTATGAGACAAGAAGAAAGTTACTGCTGGCCAGAGGCAAAATGAAGCTAATGCCGTTTAAAGACACTATTTCTTCACCCAAAAGCCTAGGTCTTGGGCCTGGCTAGGTACATTTTTTTTGGAAACAGGCCAGACAGTAAATATTTGACACTATGTGGGCCAAGAGGCAAAATCTAGGTTGTTATGTATGGACTTATATAACAAGAGAAAAAACATTTTCACAATTTTTTTTGATGAAATTCAACATATAATCATAATTTTTTTAACAGGTCTACTAATGACAAGAATGAAATTCCCTTTTATTGGGCTATCATTTCTCTTAATTGGATTTCTGTTGTGCTTTCTACATGAAACTGCAAATGTTCAGGCAGAGGGCCAAGTTAAGCCACCGGCCACTGTTTTGTGGATTTTTGGTTTAGGGGATGGAGGGCAGTTTCATACATGCCTCCCTAACGTTCACTAAAGTAGTCCTTGGTTATTACAATGGGCCATTTTTCTCACTAAGTGAAAAGGTGAAGCACAGCTGGAGGGAATCTTAGAATAGTGGCTCCTGAAGGTCATCCCTGAAGGCCACTCTTCTTCCTTCCTATCTGCTCAGGGGGGTTGCCAGGGACCTAGGCCGTGTAGCCAGGGGCAAGCGGCTGCCTGCCAAGCTGGAGGCTCCCAGCAATGCTCCAGTTTCTATGATCTGTGTCCACACTCTCCCTGGGGAGGGGTTATGCAGAAAAAAGCCTGGTGGGAAGAGGGCTATTGTTGTCTGACTTCTTGGCTTATCTAAATATCCCACATTGAGTACAATTGCTTAAGACTGGGGTCCACTTCCATTAACAAGTCTATGTGAGACAAGAATCAATAATGACTGTGATAAAATAGCAGCAGGGCACTGTGGCTCATGCCTATAATCCCAGCACTTTGGGAGGCCAAGGCAGGCGGATTGCTTGAGCTCAGGAGGTTGAGACCAGCCTGGGCAACATGGCAAAACGCTACCTCTACCAAAAATACAAAAGATTATCCAGGCATGGTGGCATGCTCCTGTAGTCCCAGCTACTTCGGAGGCTGAGGTGGGAGGATTGCTTGAGCCTACAAGGTGGGGGTAGCAGTGAGTGGAGATTGAGCCGCTGCACTCCAGCCTGGGTGGCAGAGTGAGGCCCTGTCTTAAAAAATAAAATAAAATAGCAGACAAGTTGCATATTTAAGTTTCATCCAGAGTTATGTTGTTGAATACACATCTCCATCCAAATTTACAAGATGTATCGAGGGAATGACTGCATACAATGAATATTGTAAAATACATTTTTATGTTGTAATTTTTCTGCTTTTGAATTTTATTTTACCCTATTCTTATTTTTTTGGTATGTCGGTTCAATGCTGCCAATTAGCCTTTTTTTGGGAAGGGAGAGGCTGCTCTTTATCTCACTTTTGTGGTGATAAATGTTCTTTCTCTTACAAAACTATGTTGTCAGAAGATGTTAGTAGAGTGATATCCTCACTTTACCAAATAAAATAAAAATTCATAAAACCTTGTCATTCCTTGCCCCCATTATTTTTGGATAGCTCGCTGAAGCATAAATTCTCAAACTTGGAGAAGTATAGCTTTAGCGATTACTTGGTCTACCCCTTCATTTTGCATAAGTGGAAACTGGCTCAGACAATAGAGCAATTTGCCTAAGGTCACACAGACAGTAAGTGGAAAAGCCAGATATTAAACTAAACCAATTGAGCTGACTTCTTTCTATCACTCCAAGCTGCTAAAAAGCACTTTATTACTAACAGCAAAGAAAGGGTGTTAGGTATGTGCTAGCTTAATTGTCAGGCTCTGATGTATAATTGATGTCATTCTTACTGATGTATTATTGATGGGGCATCTATTTGCTGTGCACACAGAATGGAAAGGACTACTGGTCCCCGTCCTAAACTGCCACATCTGTGGTTACACGTGTGACCATTGCATCAATTACATGGCATGTAAATAACAAGTGAGCATGGTTGTGGCATGGGAAATAGGCTTGAGGGGGTTACTTGCATTCAGGAACCAGGAGTAAGATGGCATAAAAAACCTACTTATAAAATCTCTCAGATACAGTCAAATGTAAGTTTTTTTTTTTTTTTTTTTTTTTTTTTAACCAAAACAGGAACTCCCAGTTCTACATTAGTTAGCAGTCTGGGCCTGTCCAAGCCAGTGTTTGGGTAAATGCTGGGCATACCCTATCAGCTATGAGCAAGTGACAATGTGATGGGAAGGGTGGGTAACTGGAACATGCAGAGACAAGAGAGGCAACTGGGCTAAGTGACTAGGGCGGGGTGGGGGGTGGGCCTAGCAATCCCTGAAGGCATTTATTTCAAAAACAGTGTGGATGCACAGGGCAGCTTTAGGGGAGCTCCAAGTTCAGGCCTGGCACTGTCCACCTCCACATCACATTCTACTATTTCATTGCCTGTTGCCCCTATAAAAAAAATCACCAAGGCTGCAGTGAGCCATGACTGTGCCACTGCATTGCAGCCTTGGTGACACAGCGAGACCCTATCTTGAAAAAAACCAAAACAAACAGGCAAAAAACAACCCAAAAACTGCCTCCCATAAAACCAAAAACAAAACAAAAAATCAAATTTAAAAAGCTCGCAATTGAGTTGCCAGGCTTCATGAAGCAAATGCAAGCTTCGTACAAACTGTAAATCATGTGATGTGTCCAAAGAGTCATCATTTCAGGGCACGTCTATCACTAGAATCCACACCACCTTCAATCTCATGGAATATCTGTGTAGTTTATTTTCCCAGTGCGTGCAAGGCTTTCCTCAACAGCGGAGAGCTTTTGCATAGCAGGAGAACAAACTAGGATAGCCAAGAGCAAACCTGAAATGACTAATTTTATTTTTTACACTTTTTTTTAACCCTAAGTAAAATGTTGGGTTTTTTAAAATAATTCAGGTGTGTTTATTATGCTTAATTCATTTCACTACTAAACACTTGCCTTTTGGATTCTAAACTGCAGAATGGTCAGAAGTGGCATGTGCAGAATCAGCAGATTGTACGAACTCTCTAACGCAGCTCTCTAACGCAAATGATCTGAAAGACAGCTGACAAAGCTAAATGTGCTCTTCAAATGTATCTACAGGACAGTCTGATATTTTAAAAAGAGAAAAATGTTTCCAGGACTTCTTACTCTGTATTCTATCCAACAGCTATTTTGATTCTCTTCTTCCAGGAGATAGGGCAGTCTTTTCCTACTATTGTTTAAACTTTGCTCCCTTTTGGTAAACAAATCCCTCAAGGCTGGGTTTTTTTTTTTTTTTTAAGACAGAGTCTCGCTCTGTTGCCAGGCTGGAGTGCAGTGGCGCAATCTCGGCTTACTGCAACCTCCGCCTTCTGGGTTCAAGTGATTCTCCTGCCCCAGCCTCCCGAGTAGCTGGGACTACAGGCGTCTGCCACCACGCCCGGCTAATTTTTTGCAGTTTTAGTAGAGATCGGGTTTCACCAGGTTGGCCAAGATGGTCTTGATCTCTTGACCTCGTGATCCACCCGCCTTGCCCTCCCAAAGTGCTGGGATTACAGACGTGAAGGGCTGGGGTTTTTGAAAACGCAATTCATGCCCCTCCCCCATTGGTTTCATTTATGTAGGTTCTTAGGTAAACAGTTTTTTCTTTCCCCAAATATACAATTAATTTACAATATTGACTGTTATTTTGAACTTATGCCATTGGCTTCCTTGTGTGCTCCAGTTCTTTCCTCCCACCGAAGATTCAATCCGATAGATCAGGGGTAGGAAAACTTTTTCTGTAAAGTGCCAGACAGGAAATGCTTTGGGCTTTGCCAGCTGCTACTCAACCCTGCTGGGTAATGCGAAAGCGGCCACAGAAAACACAGATGCAAATGAGCGTGACCGTGTTCCAGTAAAATTTTACGGACACTGAAATCGTAATTTCATGTAATTTTCACGTGTCACAAAGTATTATATTTCTTTTTATTTCTTTTCAGTCATTAAAAAAAGTAAAAAAAAAAAAAATTCTTAGCAGGCCTTACAGTAACAGGCAGCAGGCGGGCAGTAGGTCATCACCCCAACGCTAGAGGAATGAGACCATATCGATCCGCGAGGATCAAGTCCTGATCCTGTCCCTGGCGACTTCTCCAGGCTGCGCGGTCTCTTGGAGGCAGCGTTCCCATTTTCAGGATTATTCCGGGGCGCTAGAGCACCACGCCACCATGAGTACACGTCCTCCTCGGCAGGCCACCTATCAGCTCTGTGAGGGTGGCAAGAGTCCAGGCAAGGCTTTCAGGGCGCAACCAAGTCCCGGGCTCCAGCACAGAAACCCTCTGGAAACACCTCCAGGCCCCAGCAAGGCGGCGCGGCGCGGCAGGGGCGAGCAGGTACGCACTCACCTGGCGCCAGTTCGAGTCCTCCCAAACACAGCGGCAGAGGCGACAGCCAAGCGCGCGCCTGTACCCAGTGCGCCGCTACCCGCAGCTCGCTCCCCGAGAGGCCCACAGCCCCTTTCCCCACGCTCCTCCTGGGTTAGAGGGATGCCAGGTAGGGGCGGTCACCAGAGGCCCCTTTTCTCTACTCTCGGCGCCGGGTTCCAGCCCCCGTTGGGGCGGGGCGGGGCGGGGCGGGGCTCCGGCTAGCTTGGCCTCTTCCGCGCGCCCCTGCGCAGCTCCGGCCCTTCCCTATCGGGAGCGCGCGCGGCCCGCGGCACTGCACTGGCGCACGCCCGCTTCGCCCTCGCTCGGCTCCGGCTGGTTCCGCCGCCGTGCGCGCCGCCCGCGCTCCTGCTGCGGCGAAGCTGCCAGCCCGGGAGCCAATTAGCGCTCGGCTAGGCGGGGTCCACTTCCTCGTCGGCCCGGCGCGCGCTCTGGACTGCTCCGGCGGCCGCGGGGCGGGGCGGAGCACTCGGCGGAGCCGCTCTGCCTGCGTCCGCTCTTCCCGCAGCCAAGGGTGGGCGCCGGTCCTAGGAGGCGCACGGTTGTAAGCCAGACAAAAAGAACTGGGGTGCCCGGAGTGCCAGGTGGCGGGCAAGCGGTGGGCTTTTCGGCGGGGTCTTTAGGATTTGCAGCTCCAGGAAGCGAGATGTCGAAGCCGCCACCCAAACCAGTCAAACCAGGTGAGGGAGGTAAGGTAGGCGCTTGCCAGGTCCTGCGACCGCCGCGGTGCCGGCGCCTCCTCTGCAGCTTGGCAGGGAGGACCCGGCGCGCACCCGGCCCCGAGCCTGGCTTCCGAGATCGGCCCCACCGGGATGGGCGCTCTTAGTTTTGCGTTCGCTGTTACGGAGGAGGGATCGATTTTGATAGCAAGAGGATTTCGAGGATTAATATATATATATATATTTAAAGGGGAGTAGCCCTCACTTTTGCTACGTTGTCATTCGCTGAAACTTTCAGAGGGTGTGATGGCAACGTCCCATGGAAGTTTTCCGGAAAGACAGGGCCATTGATCTCCCTTTAAAAAATGTCATGAAATGATCTTTAGCCACTTCCTCTTTTCTCAGTGTTTGTCACTGTCAAGTTAGGGTTCCTGACCGGCCAGAGCGAACGGGAAGTGCAATCCCTGCAGGGTGGGGTGGGCGAGCGAGCCTCCCTCGGGACTTAAGCGTGGAGCAGCGTTTGAAATTGACCTCGGGATCTTGGGAAGAGCGTTTAGAAAAAAACCCTATACTCGCGCTCCTGGTGGAAAGAATCTAGGATGCGGCAGTGATCTCAGCTGTTGCTATTTGGAAGTGTCATTTTATCATCTCCTTTGCCTTTGCTCTCCCAAAGACGTTGGCGTGCTAAACCTGAGAGGGCTGAGATTACTAAATTCCTCAAAGCAGTTTTCTGGGCGGATTGTCCTTGTTCATTTTTGCTCTGTTCTTAGAATATTTTCTGTGATATGCAGAAATAAGATAATTGTAAAAGAAACTGACGTATTTTAATTAAAAGTTGTAACATACTGTTCCGCTCATTCATTTGGGTAGGTAATTAGAAAGGACTGACGTATTTCAATACTTTAACAACTCTTACGTGCATTCATTTGGGTAGGTAATTAAGGGAAATACAGGAAATGGAAGATAAATGGCTCCGATGTATTCTTGGGTTTTTTCTTCCCATAGTGTAATTTCGGTATAGCGAAATGCTGAAATTTAATCCATTTACGTCAAATTTTGAAGTAACTTTCTTTGCAAGAGATGAGTTTCAGTGATTACTTTTTTCCTTGATTTTCCTAAACTCTATAGCTTTCATACTTATCTAGTTTTGTTTCTTTGCGTTCCTGCAGTTGGAGTATGAAGTCCCTTTATTTGATAATCATGTACGTACGTATGTGGAATAGTGCTTCACTGAGGACTGACATCTTGGTGGGCTGAGTGTGAAGGAAGTTGCTGAGACTGGCTCTGCCCTGGGCAAAGATGGGGCACAGCTAGAGTTGGGTTCTGCATTGCATTAGATGTGGAATCTGATGAGAAATTTCCATTTTAAGTGCATATGTATGAGGTAGCTTTCTAAACTCAGGTGCAAATCAGGACCTTAAGTATCTAACAGTGCAGAGTTGTTCTTTGATAGCTAAACAATATTTTATTTATCTTATTTTTTTCTGATCACCTGCTGCCAGTTGAAATACGTTAAAGAATGCCCTTTTTAAAAATCTCTTCATGCGTATTAAATGCTGTCTATATTGCAAATGGAGGGACATTGACAGGTGTGTGTGTGTGTGTGTGTGTGTGTGTGTGTGTGTACACAGTAATGTATACATGTGGGTTCATTCACACTTGGGGGTTTAAGGGTCATCCTGTTACTAATTGTGGATACATTCCCAGGAACCTCCTTTCTCCTTCACATCAGAAAGCTTATGGTTAAACATGACAGGTGTTTAGAGGGAACTTTGCATTTTATTTTATTTTAATTTGTTTTATCTGGTCCTTGATTCAGGATAAAGGGAATTTTGAATCAACATTAATTTACAAATGAGATCCAGACACAAAGTTACCATAGAAATGGGTTTGCCAGTTTAGTAATTTACAGTGAGAAACATTACTGCCAATCAGAGTTGAAACTTTGTGTGGGCTAGCTTAGTTGAAGAAAAAAAAAAAGCGATGGCCAGGAGCAGTGGGCCATGCCTGTAATCCTAGCACTTTATGAGGCTGAGGTGGGAGGATTGCTTGAGGCTAGGAGTTTGAGACTAGCCTGGGCAACATAGCAAGACCCCGTCTCAACAGAGTACAAAAAACAAAAACAGAAATGTCCTATCGTAGTACTGTCCCACATTTACTGTGTGTTAGGCAATGGTATAGTCACTTTACACGTGTTAACACATTTGCTGCTCTCAACAATCTTATGAGATCAGTACCATTATATTGTTCCTGTTGCACAGATGGGGAAATAAAGATGCGCAGAAATGTTATTTAACTTGTCTAAAGTCAACAGTTAGAGTGGGGGATGTAGCAGGCAGTATTAAAACCCAGGTAGTCTGGCTTTGAAGTCTGCACTTTTTTTTTTTTTTTTTTTTTTGAGACAGACTCTCGCTCTGTTGCCCAGGCTGGAGTGCAGTGGCGCGATCTCGGCTCACTGCAACCTCCGCCTCTCGGGATCAAGCAATTCTCTGCCTCAGCCTCCCGAGCAGCTGGGATTACAGGCAGCCCGCCACCATGCCCGGCTAATTTTTTTTTTGTATTTTTAGTAGAGACAGGATCCAGGCTGGTCTTGAACTCCTGACCTTGTGATCCACCCTCCTTCGCTTCCCAAAGTGTGGGATCACTGTGCCTGGCCAAAGTCTGCACTCTTAACCATTTGCTATTCTGCCTTAAGTCATAGTGCTCCATTCACACTGGCGGTCAAATGTGTATTTTAGAGCTGGTGGTCAGGAAGTCGAAAGGGAGGGGCCTCTGGTCTACAGACTTTCTTGTCACAAATGCACATAAAGGTCAGCCCCTGGTTGACAGCAAGGAGAGTGGTGTGGAGCTTTACTTTCTTGTCCTGCAGGCAAGCTGCATGGATAAAAATCTCCAAAGACAGCATGGGATTGGGGGCTTTGGGGTTGTATTTAATTTTTTGGTTTGTTTAAACCTTGCCTCATTCCAAAAGGACTTCTAAAAATACACATGATCTGAGAGAGAGGAAAAAGTAAAGATAAAGCATGGTCATCTAGAGGAAGGGAAGAATAGTAAGATGAAACAAGAGGAAAAGCTAGCTTACAGACAGACCTGCATGTGTAGTAAGGTCACTGTAGATTTGGCTCTCAGCTGCAAGCAGAGAGAAAAATCTCAAGATTCATAGTGCTCATAAAATTAAAATGTGTCACTTACTCTGAAAAGTAGTTATTTTAATGGCATTGAGATCTGAGACAGATTTTCCTGTGGGTTCTCTTAAAGTATTGGAGTGGCCTGGATATCTCTAGCAGAAATACAAGACAGAACATCCTAGCCATGTTTCTTACAGCTTCTTTCAGAGCAAGATTTGGGCAAAACAGCATGGCTCAATTCAGTAGACAATACTAAAAGGAAAGGAGCTAGGTGAGTAAGGACAAAGGACTTGCTGGAAGATATTAAAAACAAGGGACATTAAGCTATAATGCAGGCTAATAGCATCTTTCTGGCTGATCAGCACATCCCCAACAGGGGGCCGATTTGTGGAAGGAGGCTGCCCAGGGAAGTCCCGGGCAGATGCTAGTGGGAGACCCTGGCCATTTTTGTACCATCTGGAGGATAGATCAGGGTTACCTTGTTTGGGTTTTTGGCCATATCCAGAATTCATTTGCTAAACAAATGTTTCTTAATAAATGTAGCTCATATATTAGGCCCTGTGCTAGACACTGGGGTTCCCAGGAACAATAATCTATGGTGTCATTCACGAGGGTCCTGAGTCTAATGGGGAAGACGTATGTATCTACAGATATTACCTAGAGTATCCCATATTTACAAGTGGATGGCTGATCTCATTCATTTTGTTTTTTTTAAAAAAGCTTGTAAGTAAAAATATAATTTTTTTATTTTTAGAAAATTTAGAAAAAGGTAAACAATAAATATATAACTAAAATATAGGAATCATCCCTGTCATCTACTGATAATCACTATTTACATTTGGTTGAATATTCTTTCAGGTTTCTTTCTTCTTCACATCCATTTCATTTCAAAAAAGAAAATAAAAACAATTACCCTCAGAACAGCGTCTCAGCTTCCGTTTGAAAAGTCTTGCTGTTGGTTGGCATATGTTTCCAAAAGGCTATACGGTATTGCCTGCATTCTGCTTGAAAAATCAATTCTGTCGCAGTTTGACCTTTCCTTGCTTACTGATTTTGTTTCTGTAGAATCACTTTTGGCCACACAAGGTCTGTCATTGAAACTTTCTCCCTTAACTGTTATCTGTGCCACCATGGTACTCTACTAAGATGTGTTGCAATTTCGTGGTCTTCAGCTCATTCTTTATGATACCCTCTTTCTTTCTTTCTTTCTCTCTCTCTCTTTCTTTCTTTCTTTTTTTTTTTTTGGAGATGGGATTTTGCTATGTTGACCAGGCTGGTCTTGCTCTCCTGTGCTCAAGCAGTCTTCTTCCTTCCTGAGCTTCCAGAGTATCTGGAATTATAGATGCTCACCACCAAACCTGGCTGAGACCCTCCTTTCCTTTTTCTGAATGAGTACAACCTCTTAGTTTTACACATATAGCATTTATGTTGTTTTCAGCCACTCTCAGAAGCCTTGCAGTTCAATTAGCGTGAATCTGTCTGGCTTGTTAGAGTGTAGAAGTGTAGAAAACAGAACTTTTGTTCTTGTAAAATCTTTTTAAAAATATTTTATTCTGAGAGTAAGAATGGGCCAAAGGATACTGAATGAGATTTGGGCTGTAGAATCATCTCATTCTAAGCAGGTTTGGTAACTATCTATTGTAGTTGGAAACCTGGTGTCTGACCTTGGCCATTTTTTCCAAATGGCTTATTGATTTTGGTGGTGAAAGTAAAGCATAAATATTTCATGTGCCTTGTGAAAATAAATTCATGGAACTTTGAAGAAGCAAATGTCAGTGTTTCAGGTTTTTTTGTTATTCAGAGTAAAAACATCATAAAACTTAAAAGACATCACACGCATGCTGCTTAAATAACATTTTTGAGAAAAAAAGGTTTTTATCTAAAATGAACTTAATTTTTATGTATTTTTTACCCCAACAAAGGAATTAATCAAAAGTGAGGTGAAATATGCACGTGAATAGTCTTCTTTTATAAACTTGATACTTTTTATACCTGTTGGCAGAATAAAGCCTGAGAAACATCTTGAAAATTTCACAATGATGATGATGATGGGAATGGTTAACATATATTTGGCCCCATATGTCAGGCACTGCACCCAGCACTGTGTATGCTCTGTCTCCTTTAATTATTCTGACTTTCCTATCAGGTGGGTGGGTCCTCATATCCCTGTTTTATGGATGAAGTAGTACTTAATGAGGTCAAGTAAACTATCTAAGATCTCAAAGCTAGTGAGTGGTTGGTGTGACCTGGAAGTGGAACAGAAGCTTTAATTGAGTCCATGCATATGAGCAGAGAAACCTGCCAGAGATGTTATTGGGTTGGACCTGCTTTTGTTGGACAGTCATTTTATTAGCTTATGCAGTTGTATTATTGGTATTTGGTTTGTGTAACTGCCCTCTTTCAATGGATCCGTATTAGAGCATTAAACTATGCACTTTTTGAGAGTGGAACAGTCTTTTATTTCTTTGTAACTGCACAGCCACTAAATCGTTATGAATGACAGATAATGTAAAACGCTTTGATACAAAAAAAAGGTGGGTTTTTTTTTTTTTCCCTGAAAGAAGGTGGGGGTGGACTCAGAGACTGTGATTGGGCTTTTCTTGTAGCTTTACTACAAAGTAGCAAAGGCTGGAGGTTATGTGCTTCTGATAAGCATTCCTCCCTTCTGGAAATACTGGGGTCCCCTCCCTTGGCGTTTCAGCATTCCCACAATTTGACTTACGTGACTAGTGCAGTGAGATTTTCTAATACACACCTTATACCTCAGGGCATAACAGAACCCATTGCCAAAGTTGTCCTCACTTGCTTAATGGACAGGGAAAGACTACATTAAAAAAAAAATGATACAGGGACACCTTTCAGTGGGCTGATATGAGTGAGGTGTCAAGATTCTCTTATCAAATTAAAGGAGTTTCAGAAAAATGTACAGGCCAGGCACAGTGGTTCACACCTGTAATCCTGGCACTTTGGGAGGCCCAGGCAGGCAGATTGCTTGAGCCTAGGAGTTTGAGACCAGCCTGGGCAACATGGTGAAACCTTTTCTGTACAACAAATATGAAAAAATTAGCTGGGCTTGGTGGTGCGTGTTTGTAGTCCCTGCTACTTAGGAGACTGAGGTGGGAGGATCACTTGAGCCTGGGAGGCCAAGATCGTGCCACTGCACTCCAGCCTGGGTGACAGAGCGAGACCCTGTCTCAAATAAACAAACAAACAATACAACACAAATATTAGAACCAGGAGAACTTCCTGGTTCTTTTAAATAACTACATAGTATTCTGCTGAGCTCATTTAACCAGACCCTAATTAACGTACTTCTGGATTGTTTTCAATCTTTTGTTATAACAAATAGTCTCCCAATAGTATTGTTGTTGCTTACACACGTAAATCCATAGGATAAAGTCCTGGCAGTGGGATTTGTTGTTTCAGAGGGTAAGTGCACTGCTGTTTTCATAGAAATTTCCAAATCGCTTTTCAAAGAGGTCATACCAGTTTACTTCCCTACCAAAAATGTATGAGCATGTCTTAAACAGAAAAATCTCAGTGCTTGTGATAGGAGATGTTATCAAAGTGTGATCAGAGGGCTGGGAAGCATGGGGCAAGGAGCTTGAGGCAGCTGAGAAGATGTTACGGAAGAGGAGTAATCTAAGCAGAGTTCCCAATGCTGAGTAAGAGTTTGCTGGGCAGCAAAGGGGGAAAAGTCATTTGATTCAGGCAGAAAT